>NC_000008.11:67802265-68427265 GCF_000001405.40 Homo sapiens | reverse complement strand
TATTATGAATAATGTTGCTATAAACATTTCTGTATAGGTTTTTTTGTACACATGAGGTTTCATTTCTTTAGGATAAGTACCTAAGAGTACAATTACTGCATTACATGTTAGGGCCATTTTTAGTTTTAAAAGAAACCACCAAATTATTTTCAGAGTCACTATGCAATTTTACATTCACATCTGCAATATATACGTAATTTTGCCCATTCTTACATCTTTACAGTGATATCTCATTGTAATTTTAATTCCATTTCTCTAATGGATAATGATATTGAATGCCCCCTGATGTGCTTATCTGCCATCTATAAATCTTCTTCAGTAAAATGTCTATACTTACTTTGTCTATTTTCTAATAGGATTTTGTTTGGTTTGGTTTGGTTTGGTTTGGTTTTTTTTTAGACGGAGTTTCACTCTTGTTGCCTAGGCTGGAGTGCAATGGCGCGACCTCAGCTCACTGCAACGTCTACCTCCTGGGTTCAAGGGATTCTCCTGCCTCAACCTCCCGAGAAGCTGGGATTGCAGGTGCCCACCACCACACCCAGCTAATTTTTTGTGTTTTTAGTAGAGATAGGGTTTCACCATTTTGGTCAGGCTGGAATTGCTTTTCTTTTTTTTAATATGTTTTGAGAGTTCATTTGCATTATACTACTGCTTTGTTGGATATGTAATTTGGAAATATTTTTATTCATTTTGTAGTTTTCTTTTTTGCTTTTTTTCTGTTTTCTTTTTTTTTTTTTTTTTTTTTTTGAGACAAGGTCTTATTCTGTCACTCAGACTGGAGTGCAGCAGCAAGATCTCCGCTCACTACAACCTCCGCCTCCTAGGTTGAAGCGATTTTCCCACCTTGGGCCCCCGAGCATTTGGGACTACAGGAGTGCACCATCATGCCCAGGCAATTTTTGCATTTTTTGGTAGAGATGGGCTTTCACCATGTTGGCCAGGCTGGTCTTCAACTCCTGACCTCAAGTGATCCACCAGCATCAGGCTCCCAAAGTGCTGGGATTACAGGTGTGAGCCACGCACCCGGCCATTTTTTGCCCCCTTAACAGGATTTTTCATAAAGCTGAAGTTTTAAATTTTGATGTGGTCTTATTTATCAATTTTATTTATTAGTCATACTTTGGTAGCATATACAAGAGATATGAAGATATGTCATCTTCAGCAAGTCCTAGGTCCTGAAAATTTTCTTCCTAGTTATCTTTTAAAGTTTTATAATTTTATACTTTAAAGTCAATGACCCATTTTGAGTTAATTTTTGCATAAGACGCAATGTTTAAGGTCAAGAGTCAATTTTTCCCTACAAATGCTCTTTATCCAGTATCATTTATGCAGAAGAGTATCCTTTCTCCATTGAATTACTTTTGTGTCTTTGTCAAAAATTAATTCACATATCGGGTATGTATATCTATTATGTTTTGTTCCATTGACCTATGTATTTATCCATCTGCCAGCACCACTATGTCTTGATTTCTGTAGTCATATCTTATCCTTTGAAATCAGGAAGAGTGGTTTCTCCTACTTCCTTTTTTTTTTTTTCCTTCCAAAACTGTTTTGGCTATTCTAGGCTCTTTTCATATAAAGTATAGAGTAAGTTTGACTATGTCTACAAAAAGCCTTGATGAAATTATGATAAGAATGCTTTATACACATCAATTTATGGAGATGCTAAATGTTTTAACCAGCATTTTGTACTTTTCATCGTAAAGATCTGGTACATGATTTTTCTTTAGTTTTATAATGATTTTATTTTGTTTGAAACAATTGTAAGTTATATTATATTTCTAGTCTGGCTTTCACTTTTGTCAGTATACAGAAATTCAATTGATTTTATGTATCGATCATGTATCTATATTGAACTCACTTAGTTGTAGGAGTTTGTTGGGATCATCTCTGTAGACAATCATGTCATTTGCAAATAGAAATAGTTTTATTTATCCCATTCAAATCTGTATGCCTTCTATTACTTTTTATTGCCTTACTATAATGGCAAGAACTCCCAGAAATATGTTGAATAGCAATGGTTAGAGTGAACATCCTTGTCTAGAACTCAAACTTAGAGGAAAAGCATTCAGTTTTTCACAATTAAGTATAATGTTAGCTGTAGGATTTCTGTAGATGCATTTATGAGGTTAAGGAAGTTCCCCTCTATTTTGAATGTACTGATAGTTTTCCTCATTAATGGCTATTGGGTACTGTCCAATGATTTTATTTTTGCATCAATTAATATGATGTGACTTTTCTGCCTTAGCCTATTGATATGTTGAATTATATTAAATGATTTTCAAATATTGAACCAGCCTTACATGTCTGAAATAAATTTCACTCAATCATGGTGTATGATTATAATTATTATTATTATTATTTTTGGGATGGAGTCTCACTCTGTCACCCAGGCTGGAGTGCAGTGGCGCAATCTCAGCTCACTGCAAGCTCCGCCTCCCAGGTTCACACCATTCTACTGCCTCAGCCTCCCAAGTAGCTGGGACTACAGGCGCCCACCACCACGCCCAGCTAATTTTTTGTATTTTTAGTAGAGACAGGGTTACACCGTGTTAGCCAGGATGTTCCAGATCTCCTGACCTCGTGATCTGCCCGCCTCAGCCTCCCAGAGTGCTGGGATTACAGGTGGCTCTTTTTTACAATCTCTATTTCTTAGCTAAGATTTTCTATTTTGTATTTATCTCAAGAATATTTGTAATTGATTGTTTAACCACTTTTATGACAGCTGCTTTAAAATCCTTGCCTGATAATTTCAACATCCAATTCTTCTTGATACTGGTTTTTGTTGATTGTCCTTTTCTCATCCAAATTGTGGTTTTCCTATTTCTTGGTATGATAAGTGATATTTTTAAATATCCTGGGCATTCTGGTTAATATGTTAGTAGACTCAAAATCCTATTTAGTTATATCCTATCATTTATTTTAGTAGTCAGTTGCCCCGTTTAGGTTGAGCATGTAGGTTCTGGCCTACTTTTGTGGGCTTTAGTTTCAATGACAGCTTGGTTTTTAAAGCCCTTGCAATGCTATTCTGGTCTGCTTCACTTTTCTAGTACTGTTGGAACTCCCACTCAATATCTGCTGTTGGAATCACTGGGACTTAAAGTCCATTCCTGGGCAACTGGTATCAGTGGGTGAACATGGGCAGGGGGGAGGGAAGAAGCCTCTGGCCCTTGGTCTTCTTATGTCATTTCATGGAAGGCAGGGGCACAGGTGATATGGTGTGGCTCTGTGTCCCCACCCAAATCTCACCTTGAATTATAAACCCCATGTGTCAAGGGCAGGACTAGGTGGAGGTAATCAGATCATGGGGGCAGTTTCCTCCCTGCTATTCTTGTGATACTGAATGAGTTTCACATGATCTGATGGTTTTAAAAGCATCTGGCATTGCCCCTGTTTCCACTCATTCTGTTTCCTGCTGCCCTGTGAAGAGATTCCTTCTGCCATGATTGTAAGTTTCCTGAGGCCTCCCCAGTCATGTTGAACTGTGAGCCAATTAAACCTCCTTTCTTTATAAATTACCCAGTCTTGGGTATTTCTTCATAGCAGTGTTAGAGCAGCCTAATACAGTAAATTCATACCGAGATAGTGGGGTGCTGCTGTAAAGATACCCGAAAATGTGGAAGCAACTTTGGAATTGGGTAACAGGCAGAGGTTGGAACAGTTTGGAGGACTCATAAGAAGACAGGAAAATGTGGGAATGTTTGGAGCTTCCTAGAGACTTGGTGGCTCAGAAGATAGGAAGATGTGGGAAAATTTGGAACTTCCTAGATTCTCTTGTTGAATGGCTTTGACCAAAATGCTGATAGTGATATGGACACTGAAGTCCAGGCTGAGATGGTCTCAGGTGGAGGTGAGGAACTTGTTGGAAACTGGAGTAAAGTTCCCATCTTGCTATGCTTTGGCAAAGAGGCTGGCAGCATTTTGTCCCTGAATTAGAGGTCTGTGGAACTCTGAACTTGAGAGAGATGATTTAGGGTATCTGGCAGAAGAAATTTTTAAGCAGCAAAGCATTCAAGAGGAAACAGAACATAAAAAGCTTAGAAAATTTGCAGACTGACAATGTGATAGAAGGGAAAAACTCATTTTCTGGGGAAAAATTCAAGCCCGCTGCAGAAATTTGCATAAGTAGTGAGAAGCTGAATGTTAATCTCCAAGACAATGGGAAAAAATATCTCTGCGCATGTCAGAGACTTTCATGGCAGCCACTCCTATGGGAGAGAAAAATGTTTTCCTTGGCCAGGCTCAGGGTCTCCCTGCTCTGTGCTGCCTCAGGACATGGTGCCCTGAATCCCAGCTGCTTTGGCTCCAGCCACGGCTAAAAGGGGCCAAGGTATAGCTCGGGGCTTTGTTTCAGAGGGTGTAAGCCCCAAGCCTTGGCAGTTTCCATGTAGTGTTGAGCCTGTAGGTGCACAGAAGACAAGAACTGAGGTTTGGGAACCTCTGCCCAGATTTCAGAGGAGGTATGGAAGGGCCTGGATGTCCAGGCAGAAGTTTGCTGCAGTAGCAGAGGCCTCATGGAGAACCTCTGCTAGGGCAGTGTGGAAGGGAAATGTGGGGTCGGAGCCTCCATGCAAAGTCCCCATTGGGGCACTGCCTAGTGGAGCTGTGAGAAGAGGGCTACCATCCACCAGACCCCAGAATGGTAGATCCACCAACAGTTGGCACTGTGTTCCTGGCAAAGCTGGAGGAACTCAACACCAGCCTGTGAAAGCAGCTGGGAGGTGGGCTGTACCCTGCAAAACCACAGGAGTAGAGCTGCCCAAGGTCATGGGAGTCTACCTCTTGGATCAGCATGACCTTGATGTGAGACATGGAGTCAAAGGAGATTATTTTGGAACTTTAAGTTTTAATGACTTCCCTATTGGATTTCGGACTTGCATGGGGCCTGTAGCCCCTCTGTTTTGGCCAATTTCTCCCATTTGGAATGGGTGTATTTACCCAATACCGTATCTCCATTGCATCAAGGAAGTAACTAACTTGCTTTTGATTTTCCAGGCTGATAGATGGAAGGGACTTGCCTTGTCTCACATGAGACTTTGGACTTGGACTTTTGGGTTAATGCTGGAATAAGTTAAAACATTACAGAACTGTTGGACACACATGATTGTGTTTTGAAATGTGAGGACATGAGATTTGGGAGGGGCCAGCAGCAGAATGACATGGTTTGGCTCTGTGTCCCCACCCAAATCTCACCTTGAATTGTAATCCCCATAATCCCCATGTGTCAAGGGTGGAACCAGGTGGAGGTAATCAGGTCATGGGGGTGGTTTCCTGCATTCTGTTTTCATGATAGTGAATGAGTCTCAAAAGATCTGATGGTTTTATAAGCATCTGCCATTTCCCCTGTTTGCATTTATTCTCTCTCCTCCTACCTTGTGAAGAGGTGCCTTCTGCCATGAATGTAAGTTACTTGAGGACTCCCCATCCATGCAGGCTGTAAGTCAATTAAGGCTCTTTTCTTTATAAATTACCCAGTCTCATGTATTTCTTCATAGCAGTATGAGAACAGACCAATACAACAGGTCTTTGCTTCTGTTGCCACTGCAGACAGATGACTTCCTGCTGGTGCCCTATTTGTAGAGCCAGGGTTTGTTCAGCCTCAGGCCTTGCTGTTGCCACTGTGGAAACATCAGACCACCCACCAGTTCCCCAATTGTGTAGAAGGGGCTGAGTAGCCTAGGGTTTTTATGATAATACTACTGACATATCAAATGGCTCATGATGATGATACTACTGACATATCAAATGGCTTACATGTTCTCTGGATGTACAGTAGGAGTTGGGGCTTGCCACTAGGTTTTTTCTAGGGTTTCCTGGTCCTTTGGCAAGAGAAAGCAAGCTTTTGCTCTTGTTTCATTTTGTTTTGTTTTGTTTATCTATACCTGTTGGTAGTTCCAGGTTGTAAGCCTCTTTGGCTCCCAATCTGAGGTATAAGAGATATAAAAAGAAAATTCAGGAAATTCATCACATAGTTATTCTTTCTAGTCAGTCTACCTTCTTCTTTCTAGATTTCAGAGCTCTTTGTCATTTCCTGTTGAATAATGCCCAAGGTCTTTCGTTTTATTTAGAATAGAGGAACAGGGAAAGTGAGTCTATGCCATCTTGTTCAGAACTTGAAACACAGTTTTGTCTTGTTTTTGTAATTTGCAATTTTACCATATGTTTACATGTGGTTTTTTTAAGTTCCTTACTTATGGCTTATTAGGCTTTTAAATCTATGGGTTAACACCTTTCACAATTTGGGGATATCCTCAGCTAGTATCTCTTCAAATCATTATTCTGCTCCTTTCTCTTTGCTTTCTACTTCTGGGACCTCAGTTAAATTTTCTTACTGCATTAGACTTTCTCACTGCATCAACTCTGCTTCTATTTCTATTCTTTTTTTTTTTTCCATGATTTTGTTTCTATCTGCTTCATTCTGAATATTTTCTTCTGGTCTATGATACAGTTTCCATGTTTTGTCTTCAGCTATGTTTAATCCTGCTATTAAGCCCGTATTTTGAGTTCTTGATTTCTGTTAATGTATTTTTTATTTTAGATTTTATACAGAAATTATCTGTTGAAGTTTTAATATTGCCTCTATCCCCTGAACATAGTAAGCTGACTTATTTTAATGTCTGTGTCTGATAATTCTTATATCCCTAGACTGTCCTTGTTTAATTCTATTGTTTATTATTTCTACTGGCTTCTCTTGATGTTGTACCTGGTTTTGTGTATGTGTGTGTGTGTGTGTGCCACATGTTGCATTTCATAATTAGTTTTGGGGAATGATTTGTGGCCTAGGAGGATGCTACCTTCCTCCAGAAAGTAGAAAGTAGCGCCTGGTACCTGTGGATGCTAACAATCCACAAAATCTACAATCATTTTGAATCAATTTCAAAAAATTTACATTTTTTTTTCTGGAATTCCAGATGACCCAAATATAGAATGTAGCTTTTGTGAGAATTAATGTACTGTATCTTTATTATTAGTCTGATGTTCTTCTGGGTCCCAGTCCAAAGAGCAGGGCAGTTGCTGGTATCCTTACTCCTGACAGTCCCTAGTCTCCAACTGTTGCCCTTCTCCCTGGGAAGCTATAAAAAGCATCACTTTGCCTCTCGGTGGTCTCTTTAAAAAGGGTTAATTCTCTCAAGGAAAAAGTAGCCCCAAATGCAATGCTCGCTTTCCTGAATTTCTATCTTCTCCTGGATCTCAGGCCAGTCATCCTTCACTAACCTGTTAGCTCTTTGAAGCTCTCAGATAATTTCTTTTCTTTTTTTTTTGTCTTTTTTCTTTTTTTTTTTTATTATTATACTTTAAGTTTTAGGGTACATGTGCACAATGTGCAGGTTAGTTACATATGTATACATGTGCCATGCTGGTGTGCTGCACCCACTAACTCGTCATCTCGCATTAGGTATATCTCCCAATGCCATCCCTCCCCCCTTCCCCCACCCCACAACAGTCCCCAGAGTGTGATGTTCCCCTTCCTGTGTCCATGTGTTCTCACTGTTCAATTCCCACTTGTGAGCGAGAATATGCGGTGTTTGGTTTTTTGTTCTTGCGATAGTTTACTGAGAATGATGATTTCCAATTTCATCCATGTCCCTACAAAGGACATGAACTCATCATTTTTCATGGCTGCATAGTATTCCATGGTGTATATGTGCCACATTTTCTTAATCCAGTCTATCATTGTTGGACATTTGGGTTGGTTCCAAGTCTTTGCTATTGTGAATAATGCTGCAATAAACATATGTGTGCAAGTGTCTTTATAGCAGCATGATTTATAGTCCTTTGGGTATATACCCAGTAATGGGATGGCTGGGTCAAATGGTATTTCTAGTTCTAGATCCCTGAGGAATCACCACACTGACTTCCACAATGGTTGAACTAGTTTAGAGTCCCACCAACAGTGTAAAAGTGTTCCTATTTCTCCACATCCTCTCCAGCACCTGTTGTTTCCTGACTTTTTAATGATTGCCATTCTAACTGGTGTGAGATGGTATCTCATTGTGGTTTTGATTTGCATTTCTCTGATGGCCAGTGATGGTGAGCATTTTTTCATGTGTTTTTTGGCTGCATAAATGTCTTCTTTTGAGAAGTGTCTGTTCATGTCCTTCGCCCACTTCTTGATGGGGTTGTTTTTTTCTTGTAAATTTGTTTGAGTTCATTGTAGATTCTGGATATTAGCCCTTTGTCAGATGAGCAGGTTGCGAAAATTTTCTCCCATTTTGTAGGTTGCCTGTTCACTCTGATGGTAGTTTCTTTTGCTGTGCAGAAGCTCTTTAGTTTAATTAGATCCCATTTGTCAATTTTGGCTTTTGTTGCCATTGCTTTTGGTGTTTTAGACATGAAGTCCTTGCCCATGCCTATGTCCTGAATGGTAATGCCTAGGTTTTCTTCTAGGGTTTTTATGGTTTTAGGTCTAACGTTTAAGTCTTTAATCCATCTTGAACTGATTTTTGTATAAGGTGTAAGGAAGGGATCCAGTTTCAACTTTCTACATATGGCTAGCCAGTTTTCCCAGCACCATTTATTAAATAGGGAATCCTTTCCCCATTGCTTGTTTTTCTCAGGTTTGTCAAAGATCAGATAGTTGTAGATATGCGGTGTTATTCCTGAGGGCTCTGTTCTGTTCCGTTGATCTATATCTCTGTTTTGGTACCAGTACCATGCTGTTTTGGTTACTGTAATCCAGCATATAAACAGAACCAAAGACAAAAACCACATGATTATCTCAACAGATGCAGAAAAGGCCTTTGACAAAATTCAACAACCCTTCATGCTAAAAACTCTCAATAAATTAGGTATTGATGGGACGTATTTCAAAATAATAAGAGCTAACTATGACAAACCCACAGCCAATATCATACTGAATGGGCAAAATCTAGAAGCATTCCCTTTGAAAACTGGCACAAGACAGGGATGCCCTCTCTCACCACTCCTATTCAACATAGTGTTGGAAGTTCTGGCCAGGGCAATTAGGCAGGAGAAGGAAATAAAGGGTATTCAATTAGGAAAAGAGGAAGTCAAATTGTCCCTGTTTGCAGATGACATGATTGTATATCTAGAAAACCCCATTGTCTCAGCCCAAAATCTCCTTAAGCTGATAAGCAACTTCAGCAAAGTCTCAGGATACAAAATCAATGTACAAAAATCACAAGCATTCTTATACACCAATAACAGACAAACCAAGAGCCAAATCATGAGTGAACTCCCATTCACAATTGCTTCAAAGAGAATAAAATACCTAGGAATCCAACTTACAAGGGATGTGAAGGACCTCTTCAAGGAGAACTACAAACCACTGCTCAAGGAAATAAAAGAGGATACAAACAAATGGAAGACCATTCCATGCTCATGGGTAGGAAGAATCAATATCTTGAAAATGGCCATACTGCCCAAGGTAATTTACAGATTCAATGCCATCCCCATCAAGCTACCAATGACTTTCTTCACAGAATTGGAAAAAACTACTTTAATGTTCATATGGAACCAAAAAAGAGCCCGCATCGCCAAGTCAATCCTAAGCCAAAAGAACAAAGCTGGAGGCATCACACTACCTGACTTCAAACTGAACAGATATTTTCTTTATTTTGACCAGGTATTCTAGTTTTTCTTAGTTTCATTCTTGGTCCAAAGTTTCCAGTCCACCAATACTAAACTCTTCCAGTATTATTTATAAAAATGTGTTCAAGAATAATATAGGTTCTTATTTTCTCCTCTCGTTTTCATAAAAGTAATAATTTTATATACTTTACTTGTTCATTTAATAACATATCCTTTAGATATTTTTATATCAGGACATACAGTGAAAACCAGCAGTATAATATTCAATATTCTCCTGGGTGCTGTACAAGTTTATTTAATCAGTCTGACTGATAGACACTAAAATTAGTGTCTATCAGTAGGCACTAATTTGCTATTACAAACGGCAATATATGGTCCATTTTGCATATGTGCCAATATATTTGTAGAATGAGTTCCCTGGAGACTTAAAAGTAAACTTAAAATTTAATTTAAAAAGAGTATATGAGAATTTCTGTAATTTTTAATCTTTTTAGAAACCTAAAAATGCTCTAAGAAATAAAGCCCATTAACTTCTTAAAAATAACTTTATTTAGAAATATTTCAATTAAAGTATTTTGGTATCTTTAAAATGATGTTATGAATTGCAAGGTATATTGAAACTCTACACAATAGTTTTAATAGCAGTTGCTGAGAATCATGGGTCATTTTTATCAAGAGAGAAGCTCAACCCATATAATACCTAAATCTTCACTCCATCCTTTTCTCTTCCTGGGTTTTAAGAGGTGCTAGAATGTTTACTCAGAGGAAAGTAATGGTGTAATACTTAAATACAAAGGAGGAACATTTATAAATAATTGTTTTAGAAGTTTATGTGAATAAATATTTACAGATAATAGACATAATATTTAAAGATACTAATTCAGGTCAGGCATGATGCATCATGCCTGTAATCCCAGCATTTTGGGAGGCTGAGATGGGCGGGTCACGTGAAGTCAGGAGTTTGAGACAAGCCTGGCCAACATGGTGAAACCCCACCTCTACTGAAAATAGAAAAATTAGGCAGGCATGGTGACATCTACCTGTAATCCCAGCTAATCAGAGGCTGAAGCAGAAGAATCACTCAAACCTGGTAGGAGGAGGTTGCAGTGAGCTGAGATCGTGCCACTGCACTCCAGCCTGGGCAAAAGAGAGAGACTTCGTCTCTAAATAAATAAATAAATAAATAAATAAATAAATAAATGTATGTTTAATAAAATAAAATACTAATTCATATGTTTATTCAATAAATGTTTGCTGAGCATCTACTATATGCCAGTTTCTGTTCCAGGATCTTGGAATATGAATGAGAACAAAATAGAATTTTTAAAAATCTCTGTTCTAGAAAGGTTGTATTCTAGTGGTAGTGAGAATACATAAAATAATATGCAAATTATAGAACATATTGATAAATGATGAGTCCTATGGAGAGAAATAAATCAGGGAAGGGGATCAGATGCTGCCACGAGTGAGGATTGTTAAACATTGAAAACACTGGAAATTAATTAATTTTTAACCAGCTGGGAGTTGTTTAAAGATTACTTGTAAACCTAACATTGTTCTTCTTCCTAGTAGAACCCAAAGTCTATAAAACACCACCTTCTGCTCACATAGTTTGGTTAAGAGAAGAAAGTAAAATAATTAATCTATGACGCATAGTCCTAGGTGCTTTCAATACATTTTTTTCATGCTCACAACAACAATCTGTGAAGCAGGTATTCTTTTCTCATTTTAGAATAAGGAAATTGGGGTAAATAAATCTTAAGTAACTTTCCCAAGATCCACAAAATTGCCAAGTTCCTTCCATAAGATTTTAAATTTTAAAAAAGCAAGTCTTCTTAAACATAATCCAGGACTCCCTACGTATATAACAGCACAAATAGAGAAGCCATTTGGGGCAGACTTGGTGGCTGTAGACAGCATTTGCTGAACAAGTCTTCTTACTATCCCTGAAAGGAAGACAGATCAAGTCTCGGATTTGAGCATCACTCTGTGTGAAGTACAAACTAGAGAGGTGGAGAATTTTCAGTAGCTAATATTTTAATATGAATGGCTAAGTAATCTTCAGCTTAGGCAAAAATGGCACTATTGGCTTCTGGATTCCAGAGTGGGTTAAATAACTAATCTACACACAGTGGAGCAATGAGGCTGGATTTCAGAAACTACTGCATGCAATCTCCTGAACCCCATGTCTGTCTTTTATCTCTCCATACACTTTTTTTTTCTTTTTTTTCCTGAGATGGAATTTCACTCTCGTTGCCCAGGCTGGAGTGCAATGGCACAATCTCAGCTCACTGCAACTTCTGCCTCCTGGGTTCAAATGATTCTCCTGCCTCAGCCTGCTGAGTAGCTGGGATTACAGGCATGTACCGCCACACCCAGCTAATTTTTGTCCTTTTAGTAGAGACAGGGTTTTGACATGTTGGCCAGGCTTGTCTCAAACTCCTGACCTCAGGTGATCCACCCGCCTGGCCTCCCAAAGTGCTGGGATTATAGGCGTGACCCACCGTGCCCAGCCTCTCCATACACTTTTATCTTTCTTTATATCCAGTTTTCTCCATACGATGGAAAACATGATTCCTGTGGCTTCTGAACAAACCAGTCTCCAGGGCCACATTGCTGTCTGACCACACATGGCTGACCTACTTAGCTTCCACACCTCAGGTCAACAGGCAGAAATGAACTTTGACACTGTGGGTCTCAAATTTTAAGTTTCCCAGGGAGAAGACATAGTGAACATACTGATCAGGTGCCCAGCTGGAGCCATTGGCTGTAACTCAGGCAGTGATGCCATGAGGAACATCACAGCTTCTCAAGAGCCACATGAATGTTGGAATTGGCAGTTTATTAGAAGAAGAGGGAATGGTGGACAAGTTGATATCACAGGTGCCAACTATACAGAGCTTCACAAAAGAGATCATCACCATAGGAACCACACCTAATAAAACATAACTCTGATCATCTTCAATATTCTCAAGCAGAGTTAGTTAGGCATAATAAGTGTTTGAATAACATCATGAATAATTCTAGACAACCCTCATCCTACTGTAGGAAATCATTTTATTTTACCCGTGCAGTTCTCTGAGGAGTTCTTGAGGTCAGGAAGCATGTCTTAGACATCTCTGTTTCCCAAGATCAAAAAACAATTCCTGGCACATTTGATAAACGAAAGAATGAATAAATTATGTCAATAGTGTTACTAAAAGCTTTTTATAGATGTATATTACCTGAAAAAATTTCCTCCTATCATGGCATTTGAAACTAACTAAAAATTGTTCTCAACCTGCAGTTTCATTTCGTATGATAATATGCTGTACACTCTACAGATAGCAAAGGTTCCCTTGATACATCTTTCACTTTCATACAACATATTTATAGTAGTCTCTCATCTCATAATAAACAAGGCTGGCATGGTCTAGAGTTTAAGGAGCTCACATTCTTGGGAGGAAGCAGACAATAAATATATAATCAAATCAATCAGTAAAATAAATACATATTCTGGAAAGCACTATGGGAAAGAAGGCAGAGTAATACATTAGAGAAAAATGTGGATGGAATATATTACATAGGGTGATCAAGATAGCATCTCTGAGGGGGTGATATTTAATCTGAGGCCTCAAGGTAAAAACTAGAATCAGACATTCAAAAATTTGGCATTCCAGACAGAGAGAATAGTCCATGCAAAGGCTCCAGGGTATTGGAGAGGTTGATACATTAAAAAGAATTGTTAAAGTGCTCACAGGGATGAAATAGCATGTGAGCTAAAGAGGTAGGAGGATGTCTAACCTTGCAGAGCAAAGGTGTAGAGTCCAATTGTTGCTTTAAATGGAGTGCAAAGCCAATGAATGGTGTGAAGGAAGAGCTAGTGACATACATTTGCCCTTTTAAAGATGTGTCCAGGCTACTATATAAAGGTCAAGAGAGGAAGAAGGAAGAACTCTTCAGAAACTAGTGAACTATAGTGGTGGTGTAAGTGAGGGTGGAAAGCAGTGGCCTGACTTTACAAAAATTACAGAAGTAAACTTGACTGGGGAAAGAGTCAATAAAAGCAAGCTAAAGAATGACACCACCTAGGTGTCAGGCTTGAATGACTGGGCTGATGTTGATGCCATTCACCATAGCATGGGACAATGAGCAAGGGATTGTTTAGGGATGGGTACCAAGAGCTCCAATTTGGGCATGATAAGAAGAGCTGTAAAGTAGCCAGATAGATGAGAGATAAAGTGCCTACAGTAATTATTAAATTAATGTGTTTTAATGCTTCCTTTAGAATAACTGGTGCTTTTATTTGTTCAGTAGATATGTACTGAACACTCACATTATATAACTCAAGCACTCTGTGCTGCAGATAGTCAGTGAACAAAATAGAAAGATACTTCTGCTCTGCAGTTGGCAGTGTTTGTCTGCAGATTTCCTCTTCAGATTGCTTTGATTATCTCAGTAAAGTAGGAAACAATGGCAACAGCAGAAATAGTAGATGAGAGATGAGGACTGGGGGTTTTGAGAAAAGGGAAACGTGAAATAGTGATCCAGGGGTCTGCAAGAGCAATTGAACTAAGAATCTGATGATTGTCTGGCCACTTGAGATTTGTGGTCACAATTTTAAAGCAAGACAAGTTGTTATAGTAGGTAGTGTATTTTCCTCCCAACCGTGTTCAGCTGCACAGGTGTAGGAATGAAAAAGGCAGAAATGTGTATTTAGGTAGGGCTATGGATTAGCTAATTGAGTAGGATGAACTGAGAGAGGGGCAAGGAAGCTATTATAATGACTGGTCACTGACCACAGAGTTTAAGCTTGATAGGACACAGAGTGAGGACACTAAGGTGATAAGGGACAACGAAGAAGTGGTGGGATCAATGGGTGGGATGTCCAGGTAGGGTCGAAAAGTCGTTGGGGTTGGGATATTCAAGGCAGAGAGCTAGAGATAGGCCAAGATAGTCAGAGAGAAGGATGGCTGAAAGCGAGACTACAGAGGGTGAGAAAATGGAGAGAGTTATTGGTAACAGTAACAGGAGTGGCTGAGACAGGAAATAAGGTAAAAATCGCTGTATAAGAGGAGTTCAATAAAGAGGACAGGATGTTGGAAAGGTCATCTACCTGTATGCAAAAACTGCCAAGAATGAATATAGGTGTAGTATTAGCGGGTGAAGAGGGCAATAATTCAGAGTTAAAACTACTGAGGAATTTTGGAGAATGACCCAGGAGCCTGTAGAGAAAAGTAAAAATGAGGAGTGGTGGGAAATGTAATCTGATGGCATGGAGTTCAAAGACAGGTCTATTTTTAAAATATCTCTTACATCTAGCAAGTCTAAAATGTTTAAGAAGTAACCTTTCCTCTATATTAGAACTATTTCTCAGCTAGGAAAACTATACTACTATTACTAAAATAAAAAATTATAAAACATTACATTAATATTTAAATTTGCATATTCCTTTTCAAAGAGAAATTATCCCAAATATGCAGAGCACCAAGTCAGTGTGCGTAAATGGTTAACTGATGAGGTAGCTAGTCCTGTCTTAGTCTGTTCCGGCTACTATAAAAAATAACAGACTACCTAATTTATAAACACAGAATTTATTGTTCACAGTTCTGGAGGCTGAGAAGTCCAAGATCAAGGCGCCAGCAAGTTCAGTGTCTGGTAAGGACCTATGCCTCATAGATGGCACCTTCTATGTGTCCTCACATGGCAGGACAAAGGGGTTAAAGCTACTTCAGGTCCTTTTTAAGGGGACTCACTAATCCCATTCATTTGGGCACTGTCCTCATGACTTAATCACCTCCCAAAGGCTTCACATTCTAATACCATCACCTTGGTGACTAGCTTTCAACATATGAATTTTGGAGGGATACAAACATTCAGTCAACAGCAAGCCCTAAACACACATGAAAATAAAAGCCATAGCATTAGGCATAGAAAAAAATCTGTATAATTTAGCAGCATGCTGACCTCACATAGTCCTAGTGGTTTATTGAAAGTAAAAGAACATGTTGATGTAATTGCTGGTAATACAGTTCTAATTCACAGACAATGAATACCTCCTATTTGCAGAAGCTATATGCTGAACTCTGTTTGTATACACTTTACATAAGGTTTTGAAGATTTATATATGTTTGATAAAAACACAGTATCTGCTTAGTACCAAAATTATTCAATGGACAATACACAGCAATCACTTTAATTCTTTGATGGACAATAAATAGGAATCACTTTCTACAAACCCTTGCTGAGTCCAAATTGAGTTCACTGCAGCTAGTAAACCACAAGATGATTTAGAAAGATTCACAATCATTCAATAAAATCTAATTTCTGCTGAGGCAATGGACAATCCTATCTGCTTGTTTTCATGACTAGTTTTACATATGAAATATATTATATATGCTTATATTTGTTATTTGACCAAAAATATTTTTCTTCAACACTAAATAAAGACCAGAAATACTACTTAGAAACCATGCAGTTCATGATTCTTTAACATTTGTGCAACAAGCTGAATAGATATTGGCTTCTTATGTAATATAGTGGAATGATCTTACACATATATACATTGAATAGCCCTTCCTTCATGCTCCAAACTTCTACTAAAATAACAGAAAATGTATTACTTAAAGAATGAAAACACAATAGCATGGGAAAACAAGAAATTCTGACAAATTCTGGAAGTATGAAGAATGAAGCAGGTGAGGTAAGACTGACAGTTACATCAGAGCAGAAGAGCTGATACAGCCTAAGACACCAAAATTAGTTCTATTCTTACTACAAGGGTCAGAGAGAACATTCAGGCTAAGGAGCAGAACCAAGGGGAAGCCATCAGTGTTATTCATTGAAGAACTGCATTCTGAGAAGCTGGACTAGTTGGGATCCTATCTCCCTCTAGGAAGGGGTGCTGTTGGCAGTTGCGGCTTTTACCCACAGGAGAAAGTCAAAGAACCTTTCTCCAATGCCATCTGCCTGAGAATTCTTCTGGAATGGTATTGAACTCCAAGAAGCAGTAAAGCAGAAATTGTAATGCTGGACACCACATCTCCTGAAAGATGAGGACAGGTGCCTATGACTGAACTATAGTAAAGCGCTCTACCTCCAGAGGAAGGCCTTCCTTACTTTGGCACTTAGACTTTCTACCTGTGTACAGCTATCCCCCAGTATCCACACAGCATTGGTTCCAGCACTCCTGCCCCTTCCCAAATACCACAGTTTGAGGATGCTCAAGTCCTTGATATAAAACATTGTAGTATTTTTATATAACTTATGCACATCCTCCCATATACTTTAAATGATCTCTAGATTACTTGTAATGGCTAATACAATGTAAATTCTCTGTAAATAGATATAATACTGTTTTCATTTGTATTATTTTTATTGTTGTACTGTTATTTTTTATTGTTTTGGGTTTTCTTCTAAATACTTTTGGTCTGCTGATGCAGAGCCCACAGGTACAGAGGGCCAACTGTATTGTACAAGGAAGCCTGATTGCTAACCTCTCTACCCAACTCACCCAGCTTTCCCAGTCAAGGAAGACTTCAAATGAGGGTATCTATTCAAGTAGAGAGAAACCTAAACAAGCTACCTATAAATATATGCAACCTTATATTATATTTCTATGCAGTCACGTCTCACTTAGTAATAGGGATACATTCTGAGAAATGTGTTGTTGGGCAATTTTGTCATTGTGGGAACATCACAGTGTGCACTTACACAAACCTACGTGGTCTAGCCTACTACACACCTAGGCTGTATGGCATGGCCTACTGCTGCTAGGCTACTAACCTGCACAGCATGTTACTGTACTGAATACTTCAGGCAATTATTACACAGTGGTAAGTATTTGTGTATCTAAATCTATCTAAACATTAAAAAGGTACAGTAAAAATATGATATAAAAGATTTTTCAAATGTTCTCTTATATAGGGCACATACTATGAATGGAGGCTGCAGGACTGGAAGTTGCTCTGGGTGAGTCAGTGAGTGAGTGGCGAGTGAATGTGAAGGCCTAGGACATGACTGTGCACTGCTGTAGACTTCATCAACACTGTACATTTAGGCTATGCTAAATTGACAAAAAGGCATTCCTTTCTTCAAGAATTAAGGAACCTTAGCTTACTGTAACATTTTTACTTTATAAACCTTTAAGGATTTTTTAACTTTTTGACTCTTCTCTCATAACACTTAGCTTAGAAACAGATTGTAGAGCTGTACAAAAATATTTTCTTTATACCCTTATTCTATAAGCTTCTATTTTTAAACTTTTTAATTTCTCATGTTTTAAAATTTTGTTAAAAAACTAAGGCACAAACACACACATTAGCCTAGGCCTACACAGGGTCAGGATCATCAATATCACTGTCTTCCAACTCCACATCTTGTCCCACTGGAAGGTCTTCAGGGGCAATAACATACATGGGGCTGTCATCTCCTTTGACAACAATGCTTTCTTCTGGAATACCTCCTGAAGGACCTGCCTAAGAGTGTTTTCCAGTTAACTTTTTAAAAATAAGTAAAAGTACACTCTAAAATAATTATTCAAATATAGAAAATACATAAACTAGTAACATAGCCATTTATGATCATTATCAAGTATTATGCACCGTACAGAATGGTATGTGCTATACTTTTATAAGACTGGCAGCTCAGGCCGGGCACAGTGGCTCACGCCTGTAATCCCAGCACTTTGGGAGGCCAAGGCGGGTGTATCATGAGGTCAGGAGTTCAAGATCAGGCTGGCCAACATGGTGAAACCGCGTCTCTACTAAAAATACAAAAATTAGCCAGGTATGGTGGCGTGTGCCTGTAATCCTAGCTACTGGGGAGACTGAGGCAGGAGAATCGCTTGAACGCAGGAGGCAGAAGTTGCAGTGAACCGAGATTGCACCACTGCACTCTAGCCTGGGTGACAGAGCAAGACTCCGTCTCAAAAAACAAAACAAAACAAAAAACAAACAAAAGACTGGCAGCTCAGTAGGTTTGTTCACACCAGCATCACCACAAACACATGCATAATGGATGTTATGAGGGCTATGTCACTAGGAAACAGGAATTTCTGAGCTCTACGGGACCACTGTCATATGTGCAGTTCATCATGACTGAAACGTCACTATGTGGTGCATGACAATTTATGAATGGACAACCAGAAATCTGAGGAAAAGTTGTATGAGTGTATAAACAAAAAGAACACCTGAGCCAAGAAAAACATAGAGCTATTTCAGGAAAGTAATGAAAACTATGAAAATTGGGATCCTCAGTGGCAGCAGTCCCCAACCTTTTTGGCACCAGGGAGCAGTTTTGCAGAAGACAATTTTTCCAAGGACTGGGGGTGTGTGGCGGGGATGGTTTCAGGATGATTCAAGAGCATTACATTTATTGTGTACTTTATTTATATTATTATTACATTATAATATATAATACAATAATTATACAACCCATCATAATATAGCTGAACTTGTTTTCCTGCAACTAGATGGTCCCATCTGGGGGTGATGGGAGACAGTGACAGATCATCAGGCATTAGATTCTCATAAGGAGCATGTAACCTAGATCCCTCACATGCACAGTTCACAATAGGGTTCCTGCTCCTGGGAGAATCTAATGCTGCTGCTGACCTGACAGGAGGCAGAGCTCAGGAGGTAATGAGAGCAATGGGGACCAACTGTAAATACAGATGAAGCTTTGCTCGTTTGCCCACCACTCACCTCCTGCTGTGCAGCCCGGTTCCTAACAGGTCATGGACCTGTAACAGTCCATGGCCCGGGGATGGGGACACCAGCTCAGTGGGATGGGAATGAATGTTCCTTTTATAAAACAGGAACTTGTTGTCATGAAAAATAAGAAATCTTAGGAAAATAAGTAATCCATGAGGTTTAAAATATATTGCCAAAATCAAGATATAAGTGGAAGGACTGAGTAATAAATTCAAAGGATCTTAAAAATTTAAGCTGAATAAATCTGTTGACAAATGAAAATAACAAAAAAAATGGGAAAGTATAAATTAAGAGAAATGTTAGTGAGATACAAAAGGCCTAACATTTTTAAGAAGGATGTGAGATAAATTCAGTTGCCAACGCAGATGAGAAAATAAAAAGTAATAATAATTCCCTAAGCTGAAGAGATAGACCCACAGCAACAGACTGAAAGGGCTCAGAATTCACGAACAGACCCATGAGTAAACATCCTGAAGAAATGTTGTGAGTTCAAAGACAAAATAATATAATAAAATATTTCAGAGGGGAAAAATGCTACCTACAGAGTAAAAAGAATCTGATATATCAAATTTCTCATCAGTAAAACTGGATGTTAAAAAAACAAACAGCAGGACCTTTACTGTAGATCTTAGCCTGTAGGGAGCAGGCAAAATTATCTTACAGTTTTACGAATATGCCCCATTGTAAATCAAATGGGGGGCCAGGGAATTAGGATATTTTCAGACATGAACTTCGAAGACTTTATCTCCCTTACATTCTACTTGAAAAAAATATTTAGAAGAGATATTTTATAACGATAAAAAAAAAAGGAACCTTAGAAAAAGTAGCCAGGTATATGAAAATGTGGTGAAATGCTAGAAAAAAAATTGTAATATAGAACCTGACATTTTGTAAGTCCTTCAAGTGATAATACTTTAATAAAATGTTATTACTTTTCCAGTTCTATGGGTATGATTCCTCTATGTAGATCCATAGTTGCAAAGCTGAGGCAGATCGTATGCGTGTAGCTCATGCTCCAGCCACCTCAGCATCCTGCTTCTGAGACAGCTCCTGGCTTCATGCTCCTGGTTTACTCTCCTCTCTGTGAGCCATGCAGAGCACAACCCCACCAGTAATAAGAGGCTCTCACAGCATCACCTGTGCTTCAGTTTACTCAAGATAGCAGTCCTTTGTAATCCATTTAGGATCTGTTGGGGGAATAATGCTGCCTTAGAAGCTACTGGTCTAGGTCGGACGTGGTGGCTCATGCCTGTAATCCCAGCAATTTGGGAGGCCGAGGTGAGTGGGTCACTTGAGGTCAGGAGCTTGAGACCAGCCTGGCAACATGGCGAAACCCTGTCTCTACTAAAAATATAAAAATTACCTGGGTGTGGTGGCCGGTGCCTATAGTCCCAGCTACTTGAAAGGCTGGGGCCCGAGAATCACTAGAACCTGGAGGCAGAGATTGCAGTGTGCTGAGATCACGCCACTGCACTCTAGCCTGGGTGACAGAGCAAGACTCTCTCTCTCTCTCAATAATAATAATAATTAATTAATTAAAATCAATAAAAATTTAAAAAAGAGAAGAAACTACCGGTCCAGGGTGAGCTGATCAGCTCCCTTCACCCAACACACTCTTAGGAGGCTCCCAGAATGCCTCTTATCTCTCCCAACTGGGTCATCAACAGAAACAAAAGCCTTCTAGTACATCACTCAGACCCTAAAGCCCACAGTTCACAAATCCAATCTATCTTCAACTCTTGATAATTCCAAACCCTTCCTTCATATAAGAAAGACCAAAACTACGTGTATGTTTACTGAAACCAAAGCCCCCAGAGGACCAGCAGATCAACTGTCTGTCTACCGTAAGCCCTTCCATTTGTTTCCTCTCTGTTTCCCCTGCAGGCTTTTAGCCCCATGTTGGGTCCCCAGGCCAAATCCTGCTTCACATTTCAGGACCACACAACCCACCTCCTGACACTCAACTCTCCACCCTATAAATGAAAATTCCTTGTGAAAATCTTAATCTGTGCCTTTTATTTGGCGACATGGTTTTTGAATGTTCCCATACCTTTGTTTTCTTCCTCTAATAGCAAACTCTTTTTGTATGCTTTGTGATACTTTTTCATGGCCTAAAACACCAGAAAAATTCAGGAAATCTAAAAGTTGAGATTCAATAATAAAAGCGCTAAGTTTCATTATAAAGGAAAATAGTACAGAGCCTTTTAAGTAGTTTATTCATCTTTAGTTTCTCACAGAATTACGGGAGGGAGGTAGATTAGAAACAAAAATTAAGTGTGTATTTTCTTCTTAGTTAGTTTTTTAATAGTGGTAAATAGATTTTATCTTGTGTGTTTTACCTGTTCTTCTGTATGTCTGACACAGGCATTGTTTACCAGGAAGAGGAAAATAATTCACAACCATGTGAAATGGTGATAAAATGGATGCTGTCCGATATAAGACATAAGTGGATACTCCCTGGACAAAATCTTAAGTGACACAGTAACTGTAACCTATCCCACAGCTATGAGCTGTCTGCCAGTCCAGCTGAATCCACCATTTCTGGTGGGGAGTCCATGAGAACTGTCTTAATATGCAATGGTCAGCCTGGTCCACACCTATAAAATTACAATATCCTAGGGAGATCTGGCTGGGTAACAGATATAACAATATTTTATTTTAGGACTTAGATGAGTCCAGTGATCTGAGAATAAACCAAACTCTTAGCATTTGAGGTGGCTTCTAATATCTAAGGATTCAAGTACCCTAAAAGGCCCAGAATTCCTTTACTGTCTGTAAAGATCCAACGTAAGAGCCCTATGCCAAAAATGCTAAATCTAAGCTAACATTGATATCAGGCTCCAATCAACAAATGATCATCAAACCATCTTAAGAATGTACTCCCATTCACATTTGCTACAAAAAGAATAAAATACCTAGGAATACAACATACAAGGGATGTGAAGGACCTCTTCAAGGAGAGCTACAAACAACTGCTCAAGGAAATAAGAGAGGACACAAACAAATGGAAAAACATTACACGCTCATGGATAGGAAGAATCTATATTGTGAAAATGGCCATACTGCCCAAAGTAATTTATAGATTCAATGCTATCCCCATCAAGTTACCATTGACTTTCTTCACAGAATTAGAAAAAAAACTACTTTAAATTTCAAAAAAAGAGCCCACATAGCCAAGACAATCCTAAGCAAAAAGAACAAAGCTGGAGGCATCACACTACCTGACTTCAAACTATACTACAAGCCTACAGTAACCAAAACAGCAGATCCTGGTACCAAAACAGATTTCTAGACCAATGGAAAAGAACAGAGGCCTTAGAAATAATGCCACACATCTACAACAATCTGATCTTTGACAAACCTGACAAAAACAAGCAATGGGGAAAGGATTCCCTATTTAATAAATGGTGTTGGGAAAACTGGCTAGTCATATGCAGAAAACTGAAACTGAGCCCCTTCCTTACACCGTATACAAAAATTAACTCAAGATGGATTAAAGACTTAAACATAAGACCTAAAACCATAAAAACCCTAGAAGAAAACCGAGGCAATACCATTCAGGACATAGGCATGGGCAAGGACTTCATGACTAAAATACCAAAAGCAATGGCAACAAAAGCCAAGATTGACAAAGGAGATCTAATTAAACTAAAGAGCTTCTGCACAGCAAAAGAAACTATCATCAGAGTGAACAGGCAACTTACAGAACGGGAGAAACTTTTTGCAATCTATCCATCTGACAAAGGGCTAATATCCAGAATCTATGAGGAAAGTAAACAAATTCCAAGAAAAAACAAACGACCCTATCAAAAAGTGGGCAAAGGATATGAACAGACTCTTCTCAAAAGAAGACATTTATACGGCCAACAAACATATGAAAAAAAGCTCATCATCACTGGTCATTAGAGAAATGCAAATCAAAACCACAATGAGATACCATCTCACGCCAGTAAGAATGGCAATCATTAAAAAGTCAGGAAACAACAGATGTTGGAGAGGATGTGGAGAAATAGGAACGCTTTTACACTGTTGGTGGGAGTGTTAAACCATTGTGGAAGACAGTGTAGCCATTCCTCAAGGATCTAGAACCAGAAATACCATTTGACCCAGTAATCCCATTACTGGGTATATACCCAAAGGGTTATAAATCATTCTGCCATAAAGACACATGCACATGTATGTTTATTGTGGCACTGTTCACAATAGTAAAGACTTAGAACCAACCCAAATGCCCATTAATGATAGATGGGATAAAGAAAATGTGGCACATATACACCATGGAATACTATGCAGCCATAAAAAAGATGAGTTCATGTCCTTTGCAGGGATATGGATGAAGCTGGAAACCATCATTCTCAGCAAACTAACACAGGAACAGAAAACCAAACACCACATGTTCTCACTCATAAGTGGGAGTTGAACAATGAGAACACATGGACACAGGGAAGGGAACATCACACACCAAGGCCTGTCAGGGGGTGGGGGGCTAGGGGAGGGATAGCATTAGGAGAAATACCTAATGTAGGTGATGGGTTGATGGGTGCAGCAAACCACCATGGCACGTGTATACCTATGTAACAAACCTGCACGTTTTGCACGTGTACCCCAGAACTTAAACTATAATAATAATAAAAAGAATGTACAGAGACAAAAGGTAAACTGAATCACTCATGTGTAGTAACTCAAGGTTTCCAAGAGATGGGAGAAGAAAGCACAGAAGGTCAAGAGGAAGAGCCACAAATGGCAAGAATGAGCAAGACAGTAAGGGATGGAGCATGACACAGGAATCACTGCCAGTCCTCAGGCACCCCTGCCTTCCACTGGCCTCCCCTATGGGCATAAGTGTACATTATGGAAGAGTTGTCATATCCACTACTATCAACTTAACATCATAAAGCTCCTGCTGATGTCTGTTCTAGGTCAAGTTGGAATCCTCAAGAAGTAATTTGATATTTGGAAGCACAGCACTGCATGAATTTGAAACTCCAGTAACAGCAGGAAACATCAACAAGGAGTTTCCCTGCCTGCTGCTTCCCAGTGACTGGGGAGGGGTACAGTCACTGGGATGCATGGGGCTTCCTCTCACAGCACCTGTGGTAATGAAGATTTTATTTGCAATCATATTCATTGGCCATTGTTATCAAATGGAAAAGACTTATTCATATGGAGTTCTCACCAGCACATGAAACATTCTCCAAGATAGACCTCAAAATAAGTCACATTTTTAAAAATCAAAATCATATCAAATATCTTCCCAGACCACAACAGAATAAAACTGTAACTCAATATCAAGAGGAACTTTGGAAACTATACAAATATTGGAAATTAATAAATGGAAATTAAACAACATGCTCCTGAATAATCTTCGGGTAAACAAAGATACAAATGTTTAAAATTTTGAAACAAATGAAAATAGAAATGCAATATAACAAAAGCCGTGCAATACAGTCAAATCAGTGCTAAGAGGGAAGTTTATCACATTAAATGCCTACATCAAAAAAGTAGGAAGATCACAAATTAACAACCTAATGTTGCACTTCAAGGAACTAGAAAAACAACAGATCAAACCCAGAGTTAGCAGAAGAAAACAAATAACAATGATCAGAGCAGAACTAAATGAAATTGAGATGAAAAAACAATACAAAGGATCAATGAAAGAAAAAATTAGTTCCTCGAAAAGATAAACAAAATTGACAAACTGCTAGCCAGACTAACCAAGAAAAGAAGAGCGATGATTCAAATATACAAAATCAGAAATGAAAAATGAGACATTACAACTGATACCCTGCAAATACAAAAGATCATCAGAGATTGATATGAAACAACTATATGCTCACAAATTAGAGAACCCACAGGAAAGAAATAAATTCCTGGAAACGTACATCCCAGGATTGAAGCAACAAGAAACAGAAATCCTGAATAGTCCAATAACAAGTAACGAAATTGGAGTAATAAAAATCTCCCACAACAACATAAAAGCCCAAAACCAGGTGAATTTGTAGCCAAATTTTACCAAACCTACAAATAGCTAATACAAGTCATCCTGAAACTGTTCCAAAAATCAAGGAGGAGGGAATTCTCTCTAACTCATTCTATGATGCCAGTATCACCCTGGCACCAAAACCAGATACGAACACACACACACACACACACACACACAAAAGAGAACTGTAGACCAATATCCCTGATGAACATAGACGCAAAAAGTCCTCAATAAAACATTAGCAAACTGAATCACAACAGAATGTTAAAAAGATAACACACCATGATCAAGTGGGTTTTATATTAGGGGTGCCAAGATGGTTCCACATACATGAATCAATACATGTTAAACATCACATAAAACAGAATTAAGAAGAAAAACAAATGGCCATTTCAAGAGATGAAGAAAAGGCTTCATTTCAAGAGATGAAGAAAAGATAAAAATTCAGCATCCCCTTATGACAAAAACTCTCAACGAATGGGCATAGAAGGAACACACATCCAAATAATCAAGGCCATATATGAGAAACCCAAAGCCAACATTATAGTGAATAGGGAAAAGGTGAAAGTATTCTCTCTATGAATTAGAATAAGACGAGGATGTCCATTCTGACCACTCCTATTCAACATTGTACTGGAAGTCCTAGCCAAAACAATTAGGCAAGAGACAGGAATAAAAGGCATCCAAATTGGAAATGAGGAAGTCAAATTATTCCTGTTGGCTGATGATATACTCTTATTTTTAGAAGATCCTAAAGACTCCACCAAAAAACTCTTAGTTTTGATGAATACATTCAGTACAGTTTCATGATATAAAATCAACATACACAAATTAGTGGTGTTCCTATACATCAGTAATAATTCAGCTGAGAACCAAATCAAGAAGGCATTCACATTTACAATAGCTACAAAAAAAAAAAAAAACTAGGAATATGTTTAACCAAGGAGGTGAAAGATCTCTATAAGGAAAACTGCAAAACACTGATGAAAGAAACCGAAGATAACATGAAGAAATGGAAAAACAACCTATGCTCATGGACCAAAAGAATCAATATCATTGAAATGACCACACTGCCCAAGCAATCTACAGAGTCAATGCAAACTCTATGAAAACACCAACATCATTTTCATTTTTTAATAGAATTAGACAAAACTATCCTAAAATTCACATAGAATCAAAAAGGAGGCCAAATAGCCAAAGCAATCCTAAGCAAAAAGAACAAAGCTGAAGGCATCACATTGCTTCACTTCAAATTATGTTGCAAGGGTATAGTAACCAAAACAGCATGGTACTGACACAAAAATAGACACATAAGCTGGGCATGGTGGTGCACACTTGTAGTCCTAGCTACTCAGAAGGCTGAGGCAGGAGGATCACCTAAGCCCAGGAGTTGGAGGCTGCTGTGAGCTAAGATCGCACCATTGCACCCTAGCCTAGATGACAGAGCAAGATTCTGCCTCTAAAAAATAAAAATAAACAGACAAACAGACACATAGATCAACAGAACTGAAAAGAGGATTCCAGAAATGAAGCCACATACAACCAACTAATTTTTGACAAAGCTGAGAAGAACATACACTAGGGAAAGGATATCCTTTTCAGTAAATAGTGCTGGGGAACTTTGCAATAAATAGTGCTGGGGAAATTGGATAGCCACATGCAGAAGAATGAAACTAGATTCTTATCTCCTACCAGATACAAAAATCAACTCTAGATGGACTAGAACTTAAATTTGAGACCTGAAACTATAAAAATATTAAAAGAAAGCCTAGGGAAAACTCTTTTGCACATTGGTCTTGGCAAAGAATTTATGACTAAGACCTCAAAAGCACAGGCAACAAAAACAAAAATAGACAAATGGGACTTCATTAAACTAAAAAGCTTCTGCATAGCAAAGGAAAGAATCAACAGAGTGAATAGACAGCTTGCCAAATGGGAGAAAATATTTGCAAACCATGCATCCAACAGTAAACTAATACCTAGAGTTTACATGGAACTCAAGCAACTCAACCGCAACAACAAAAACCCCAAATAATTCCAGTAAAAAGTGGCAAAGGACATGAATATACATTTTTCAAAAGAAGACATACAAGTGGCCAATAAGCATATGAAAAAATGCTCATCATCAATCATCAGGGAAATGCAAATTAAAACTACAATAAGATATCATCTTACACCACTCAGAATGGTTATTAAATGAAGTAAAAAAATAAATAACAGATGTTGGTGAGGATGCAGAGAAAAGGGAACGCTTACACACTGTTGGTGGTGATGTAATTACTACAACTTCTATGGAAAAGAGTATGCAGATTTCTGAAAGAACTGAAAATAGAATTACCATTTGATCCAGCAATCCCACTACTGGGAATCTACCCAAAGGAAAAGAAATTATTATATCAAGAAGGTACCTGCTCTCATATGTTTATTGTAGCACAATTCACAATAGCAAAAATATAAAATCAACCTCAATGTCCATCAACAGATGACTGAATAAAGAAAACATGATATGTATACACAGTGGAATACTATTTGGCCATAAAAGAATGAAACCATGTCTTTTGCAGTGACATAGATGGAACTGGGGGCCATTATCTTCAGTGAAACAACTCAGAAACAGAAAGAGAAATACTGTATGTTCTTACTTTTAAGTGGGAGTTAAATAATCTGTACACATGGACATAAAGTGTGGAATGATAGACAACGGAGGCATGGAAAGGTGGGAGGGTAGAACGGGGGGTTGATGATGAGAAATTAATGGATGCAATGTATGCTGTTCTGGTGACAGATATATAAAAGCCCTGACTTCAACACAGCACAAACTATCCATGTAACAAAATTACAATTGTACCCCCATAAACTTATAGAAATGAAATAAACTCATATAAATAAATAAATTTTCACTATTATTAGGACTAACTGGCACTGACTTAAGGCATTCTAATAAATACAGTTTCATCCTGAAAAATATTAAAGATAGGATGGGTGACATAATTTCCTGGGTTCAGTACAAAATGAAGATGGGAGGTCCCTTGTTCGAAAATGATTAGGAATTTCAAGACAATAACAGCAGAGTATTAAATCAAGAAGGAGACCCTCTGAGAATAGTGGCCCGAGGGACAGCACAGGTCACACACCCATGAGACAGCCCTGACAAAAGGAATGTGAAGAGTTGCTGAGTAAGACACTGCTGCGCTGTCACCTGCTTTTTCAGTAAATTTCTCCAATGTTAAAATTGCATATTTAGCAAAACAATCCAAATATAGCATGAATATCTCAAGAGTACTTGAAACTTTTTCAAACTGCTATAAAATCATGTCTTTGATAAGGAGGCTGAGTTATATATGTGAATTCTTCTCTGTCCAAATAATTAGTTTTTTAGTGTATAAGTTAAAGTGTACAACATAATATGTACCACATAATACTTTGATATACTTATATTAATACATAGTGAAATGGTTACTATTGTCACTCAAATTAACATATCTATCATTTCAAATAGCTACCTTTTGTGTGTGTTTTTTTACCACACCAAAAAAAATACTTTATTTTATAACACTACTGAGTTTTCAAAATATTATGTTAGTAAACTGTATTTTGTCCCTGATAACTGTTTCATTACAAATTCCTTTCAGGCTTATGTAAATCAACCTATGAGCATATATTTAATAAAAGTGGGATAGCCTTCACAGATATTAATCACAGGTTCAAGTGTAAGAGAAATTTAATTAGCTTTATTTTAGCATACTTAGTAGGCTTTTAAATTAAGAGGCCCTGAAGACTTCTGTTGGCTAAAAGACTAAATAAAAACCATAGGATATATTTTAGTATCTTTGTGTTTCTATAATCTATGCCTCAGGTTGTTACATTGCTTTACTTGTGTTATGTATATTTTGCCCATCCTGAGAAGATATGTCATGAATGAAAGGAAAAAATAGACTAAAACAAATCAATAGAAAATAAAATAGAGACAGGCCAGGTGCAGTGGCTCACGCTTGTAATCTCAGCACTTTGGGAGCCCAAGGCAGGTGGATCTCTTAAGGCCAGGAGTTCGAGACCAGCCTGGCCAACATGGTAAAACCCCGTCTCTACTGAAAAGAAAAAAATTGGCTGGGTGTGTTGGTGCACACCTGTAATCCCAGCTACTTAGGAGGCTGAGGCAGGAGAATCATTTGATCCCAGGAGGTGGAGGTTGCAGTGAGCTGACATAATGCCATTGCACTTAAGACTGGGCAACAGAGTGAGACTTTGTCTCAAAAAATAAAAATTAAAAAAATAGGGTCAGTTCACAGGACAAAAGGAATGGCTTTCATGCAGTGCAGCACAATTCAACAGATTGTTTCAAACGTAAAAATGTGCATCCCAATCTAGCCACTCTAAAATGATAAATGCACAAGGATATAGTCAAGTGCTATTTATAATAACCAAGATTGGTAACCACCTAAAAGTTCAATGATAATATTTTGGCTGAATAAATTATTATACCATATACTTTGGAATATTTTACAATTATTAAACAAAATAAAGAAATTTATATATACTCATATAGATTTCTCTCCACATTAAATTGCTAAATGTAAAAATATACTTAAATAGTTAATTTATTAGTTTATGATTTTTAAGGTAATTGTTCACTAAAGTGGAAGTTGGGAGCCTAGTTAGGATAGCGTTTAGGAAAACATGGGAATTGAAACAAGAATGGAGAAATATTTTGGAGACTAGGAGAAGAAAGATTGCTTCAATGTAAAAACAATGAATGCCTGTAATCCCAGCACTTTGGGAAGCTGAGAGGGGTGGATCACCTGAGGTCAGGAGTTTGAGACCAGCCTGGCCAACATGGAAACCTTGTCTCTAATAAAAATACAAAAGTTAGTCAGGTGTGGTGGCAGGCTCCTATAATCCCAGCTACTCAAGAGGCTGAGGCAGACAATTGCTTGAACTTGGGAGATGGAGGATGCGGTGAGCCAAGATCGTGCCACTGCACTCCAGCCTGAGCAACAGAGTGAGACTCTACCTCAAAAAAAAAGAAAATAAATAAAATAAAAATTTTTTAAAAACAAAAACAATGAAGGGGTGTCTTAGTCCATTTGTGTTGCTATAAAGGAATACATGAAGCTGGGTATTTATAAGAGTTCAGTTGGCTCACAGTTCTGCAGGCTGTATAAGATACATGGTGTTAGCATCTGCTTCTCATGAAGGCCTCAAGCTGCTTCCCCTCATGGCAGAAGGTGAAGGGGAGCTGGCTGTGCAGAGATCACATGGCAGGAGAGGAAGCGAGAGAGAGAGAGGAGGCACCAGGCTTTTTTTTTTTTTTTTTTTTTTTTTTTTTGACAAGCAGCTTTTGCAGGAACTAATAGAATGAGAATTCACTCATTACTGGAAGGACAGCATGAAGCCCTTCATGAGGGATCCACTTCTATTGCCCAAACACCTCCCACTAAGCTCCACCTCCAATATTGGGGGTCAAATCGTAACAGGAGGTTGGAAGGGGACAGATATTGAAACTATAACCAGGGGTACAGGTGTGGGGAACAAGAGTGACAGTCTAAGACTGCTAGAACTGGAAGGGCCTTCAAAATGATGTGGTAGAGCTTTCTTGCTTTACAGGTGAGGGGGCTGAAGACCATAGGAATAAACTGACTTGCCCAAGTTTACAAAGCCTTAAGAGTTGTGCTACATATGGTACAAGATGGGCTTTATAATTAATTATAATGATCATTAATAATTAATTCCTCATTAAAATTTCAGGAAATATTATAAATTTTAAAACATGCTGGTAAGTTCAATAAACAAGCATTTAGCCATTTTTTAAAATCGTATGTCAAACTCAATGCTAGAGTCTAGGAGATACTAGGATGAATAAAATATGTCTTCTATTGTTTGGAGGTGGGGTCACAGTGTGCAGGGGTTGAGAAAAAAATATGCCAAAATATGCTTGAAGTGCTATAAATAAATGACTTTATTTTCTTTAATAACTGTAAAATATTCCAAAGTATGGGGTATAATAATATGCCATTTGGTGTAAGAGTTGCTAAACTTCTATATCTACTGCCTCCTTAGGAATAAGTTTAGAAAAAAAGTATTTGATTTTATCACATGTAAAGTGCCATCACTATGTACACTTACTTCCTCTCCCTGCCTTCAGGTTCTATAGGTTTTCTTACCATTGAACACTTCAGATAGAATATAGATGTTAGTCTTCTACCCCACAACGTCACAACTCCAGCATAGACACTTGAAGTTGATTTCGTTTCCTACTTGGCCCTCCCCAGTACCCATCTCCCATCAACCTTGACTGCCTTCTAGTTGTTCTTATAATATAGTTCTAATGTAACAGTTGTCTACGTGCCACTTTCTTCATAGACTATGAACTCCTAAACCACAAGGATCTTAGCTTTCATACATTCTAAACTTTCTATTGCCCATATTAATGATATCTATTGATGAAGTCAGTATATTTTCAATTTTATTTTTCATTGTTATTTGACATGGTGAGGCAGAAATAAGAAGTATAAAACAGAACATGTCCTTTGACATCAAGGATTTCACAATTAGTACTGACCAGTGATTCTCAATAGAAACAGGGGGCCCCATTCCAGATGTTTGGAATCTTGGACTAATGACAGCCAGAATGTGTGTGTGTTTGTGTGTGTGTGTGTGTGTGTGTGTGTGTGTGTGTGAGAGACACACAGAGAGAAAGAGAGAGTGCATGTGTGTAGCTTGCATTCAGAGAGGGGTGGAAACAAACATAATATATTTTGTGACCTTTCCCCAATAGTTATATGTCCAGGAAAAAAAAAACCCTTGTTCTATTCTTCATTTATGTCTCCCAGAATGTGACAATATTAATCCCTAGGCATGTCAAAGTTGCTCACTAGGGATTTCCATACTGATAGTTGTTTAAAAAAAATACTTTTTGTACTTTTTCCACATATTTGACATTTAGGAATGTTCTGTTACTTGACTTGGTATGGAGACATTCATATTACTGATAAATTTCTTGCTAAATTCCTTCCAAAGCTGCCAAAATAAACTGCTTAAAGTCATACTCTAGGAAAACTGTAGAATTTAAACTGCAAACATTGAACAGTATCCTCTCATCACTAGCACTCTACAAGGTATGATTCATTAAGTTAGAACTATCTCTAGAATTACCACATTTTTAAAGGAAGTGGTTTTATTCCTTAGTATTTTCTACAGTATAGTCTTTTGGAGTGAAATCTTGAGCACAAAATTAAATGAAACGCACCATCACTAATGGTGGCCACTAGATGGCAACAGCAGAAATGTCACTATTTTTAGTACTAAATTACGGAACTAGCTTCCTTCACTTAAGAAATTATGTGCTTATTATAAACCATATGACTCCAAATCAAGATGAAATTCATCATTAAAATCATAGAAAATAGTATAAGTTTAGAAACAAATTACTTTGTAAAATATTTGGCACTCAAAAACAAGTCAACAATTGCCAAAGGATGTATGTTTCCTCCCTTTTTATTGCAGCACTATTCACAATAGCAAAGACTTGGAACCAACCCAAATGTCCAACAATGATAGACTGGATTAAGAAAATGTGGCACATATACACCATGGAATACTGTGCAGCCATAAAAAATGATGAGTTCATGTCCTTTGTAGGGACATGGATGAAATTGGAAATCATCATTCTCAGTAAACTATCGCAAGAACAAAAAAACAAACACCGCATATTCTCACTCACAGGTGGGAATTGAACAATGAGAACATATGGACACAGGAAGGGGAACATCACACTCTGGGGACTGTTGTGGGGTGGGGGGAGGGGGGAGGGATAGCATTGGGAGATATACCTAATGTTAGATGACGAGTTAGTGGGTGCAGCGCACCAGCATGGCACATGTATACATATGTAACTAACCTGCACATTGTGCACATGTACCCTAAAACTTAAAGTATAATAATAAAAAAAAAATGGCATGCCTACCCACTCAATTTTGCTGCCTGTGGCATTATTCTTGAATTCTCCTCCACTCGAAGCCCCCAAAGGTATTTGATTGCTAAGTCTTACTGGTAACATTTCATTATTTAGTTTTGAATGTAGCCAGTCCTCTCTTCAGTTTTCACTCCCTGGTCTCAGCCACCATCATCTCTCCCCTAGATTACTGTAAGGCCCTGCTAACAGGTGTTAACTATCGTCAACCTTGTTTCTCTCCAATCCATTTTTCAAACTGAAGCAAGAGTGTATTTGTGAAGCTCTCACAACTTATTTCACTCCCCTGTTCAAAGCCCTTCAATGATTCGCTATCACCTTCAGAATCAAGTCCAAACTCCTAAAGATGATTATATGGACCTGCATGAACTGATGCTTGCTGAATTCTCTAATTTCATCGCTTGTCAGTTCTCTTTTCTCAAGTTCTATGTTTCCTTTAGTAAATCTTCTTCTAAAGCCTCCTCTTTCTCTATTTTTTTGCCATGGTGTCATTTTCTTTCCCCATGCCATTCTTAGGAAGCCCAGTGCAGAAAAAGCAATGCTAAAGCCTGACCTGGTGACAGAGTTTCCCCATCTGTCACTGCAGCCTAGTGCTGTTGCACTACACTGCTAGGAAGGTTGACTGTCAAATTCCTCATTATTCACTGATCTGTTCACATTCCTGTGCTTTGTTCTACCAAAATTATGGAATGTCCTCTATTTTTTTTGCTTCACAATGTCCTCCATCCATTTCCTGCAGCAGTGAACAACTCTGCCAAGAAGAGTGTGTCGATTCTCTACATTTTTATATTTAATCAAATCATATGAACATAGCCAACATTTTTTGTAATGTGTGGAAAATATTAGAAAAAGATTAAGACTTTAAGATAGTCTCACAGATTAAAACTCTCCCCTGGTTTCAGACCATCTAGACTTGACCAATCCTGCTTACACCTGAATTCACGTTATTCACAAAAAGCCTATTCAGTTTTATGAAATTCACCAAATACAAGCTATACATCCATTTCAGTCTTCAGCATTTCCTTCCTTCATCAGCCCCAAATAACTCATTTAAAGTATGAGTGAGAAGTACAGCACTGTTTTACAAATGAAATAAAATGTTGGCTAATGGATTAAACAAAATTCAAAAGAGAATGTGTTTTTCTAATACATTCCATTAGGAAACATTTCCAAGGTCAACATTCAATCCTTAGGCTTTTTCCAAAACATAGCCTTTATTACCTGAAGCCAAGAACATGATATTATCACTTTTCAAAATCATAATAACCTATGAAAGAAGAAAATAGGACTCTAGTCCCTACCATAAGCATATTCTTCAAACCAAGAATAGATTGAGAATGAACTGGGGTCACTCTCGTTTCAAGTGGATTCTTGGAGGCTATCCATTTTTTATATATTTAATCTGAATATTCTTTTATTAATATTTGTTAAAGCATATGTGGGTATAAAAATTATTTGGAAAGCAAAATTATTTTATAATAGAATTTTATCTGTAGTATCTACAAAAACTTTAAGAAAAAAATAATAGTCTAGGCAGAACATTTTTTTTATATTCTGAGAAAATATAAAAAAGTTACTAAGAATAATCCAGTAAACATTCTTGTATGTGCAACTCAAGGGTAACATATTATTTTGCTTCCAGAGTTTTTAAATTATAAAATAAATAGGACATTGCTAAGAAAATAGAAATCCTCTATGCTCCCAGTAAATACAGGAACTTGATATATATTAGCAACAGCTTTATATATCAAAGGAGAAGAGTAGACTATTTTATTAAGGGCATTTGGATGATTTTCTCTATAGACAGAAATAAAATAAAATTAGGTTCTTAATTCAAACCCATTGGAAAGTAAACTCCAGATTTATTAAAGGCCTAAATGAAAAAAAATTATAAAAAGAATATATAAGAGAAAACATTTTTGACCTCAGGGAAACAAAATATTTTGTAGATAAGAATAAAATTCATGGCAAAAAATGAAAAGTAATTTCAAAATCAGAATTTATATTCTCATAAAGTCAGCTACCCTTTACCAACAAAGGCATCAAAAGTATTTCCCAGGAGTGAAAAGTTGTATGAACAATTCAGCATTCATTAGCGATGTTCATTGGTTTTCCTAATGGTCCTCTTTCTGGGCATGTGGTGGAATTGCATTTTCCCAGTTCCTTAAATGTCTGAGTGACCATGTGATTTCTTTGGCTGATGAAATGTGTGCAAAAGTGATTTATGTCACTCTCGGCAGGAGTCTTTAAGAGCCAGAGCACGATCTGTCATATTCCGGTCCCTCTGCTGTGGTGGCTGGCCACATTTTAGATATGTTCTGATAAGACCAGAACTTACCACTGACTCAGATGGACATGGAGTGTGAGTGAGAAATAAACCTTGTGGTTTAAGCTACTGAGATTTTATGGGTTGTTTGCTGTCTGTCACTTGACAGCAATGTGACAGTATCTTGCTGGACTCTGATAGCAGTGACAGAACCTCAACACAAAATTGCTTAAGGAAAGAAGATAAATAATTAGTTAACAAGAACAAATCGCAGAAGAGGAAAGATATCTTGGACCATTCATGGTTACATCTATCCAACTTTCATTACAGCTTCTCTGAGCATGTTGGCTTCATGCTCTTAAACCAGCCTCCTTCATGGGGTGGGAGACATGGCCACCAGCATGTCAGTATAGCCTTGGGATCTGAGCTAGTAAAAAAAGGACAATCTCCTTCCAATTTGAATTTGTAAACTTTTGTGACAGAACTCTGGTTGTCCTACACATGGCTTGGCTCTTGGGCTTGTGTAAGTTACTGTGGGACATTGGCAAGTATCATCCTTTTTAGGATTATAATATCACCTCCTATGGTTTTATTAATGTTAAATGAAAGAATCCATGTGAGCATCTACTTACTACTCATGGAGTAAGTAAATACCAGCTATGATTAATATGATGACTATCTGATGGTTAGTTTTATGTGTCAATTTGGCTAAACCATAGTACCCAGTTATTTAATCAAACACTAATCTATGTGTTGCTAAAGACATTTTGTAGCTATGGTTAACAACTACAATCAGTTGACTTTAAGAAAAGTATATTTCCCTTAATACTGCAGGTGGGCATCATCCTACTAGTTGAAGGCCTTAAAAGCAAAAACTGAGCTTTCCTGAAGAAGAAGAAAGTCTGTCTCCAGGCAGCAACACCAACTCCTGCCTGAGCAGTTGCCGACCTGCCCTGCAGATTTCAGACTTGCCAGCCTCCAAAATCACATGAGCCAATTCCTTAAAATAACTCTCTATTGGCTCTGTTTCTCTGGAGAACCCTGACTGATACAGACTGTGACTACCCTCAAAGGTAACCTTCATCTCCATTTTATAGATAAAAATCTGAGCTTCTAAGAGATGGAACTTGATTCCACAGTCAGATCCCCTGTGTTCCAAAACCCATGCCTGGGGAATGTACACAGCCTGCACCATCCAAACTTGATAAAATTCCCATAGCCAAAGAAAAAAGGATAGAAGTAACAGAGATGGAAAGAAAGAGTCTGTTCTAGTTTTAATGAATTGTATGTGATACATAAACCATACATAGTCTGTCCTGATATGTACTAACTTCCACTTCCAAGGCATTTGTCATTACATACATTATCTTATTGCTAGCTACTTCCTCTTGACCCCTTTATGATATATTTAGAAAGCAAGTGGCCACTACCCTTTTGTTCAAAAGATTTCGTGAATTTAAACAGTTAATTTGATTCTCTCTCAAACTTTTCTTTTCTCAGGAAACGAAACTCAGTTCATGGAATTCAACTCAGACATGCAACCCAAGGCACTAACACATTAAGGGGCTGTCCAGGGCACAGAATGGTGGGCTGGACAGGGGCCCTCACGTCCTTCAGCCCCAATTAAGTGTATGCCCACTGCATCCTGCTTCTTTCTCCTTCTTTCCATGGCAAAACATCCCACACCAAAAGATACAACAGTGAGGGGAAAAGCAAAACACATTCAAATTTGAAATACGATTCACAAATCCAGGGTAATGGAAGAGTCACCTTTCTTCCAATAGTGATGGTGGTGGTGACCCCTTCAAGAGTAACTGCAGCTCACCAAAATGCTTACTCACATGCTTAATACATAACACCTTAGAAAAGAGGTCAAAAGAAAAGTGGTCATCGTTAGGATTATGTAAGCCTAAACATAATTTTCATCTAAAGAAACCGTCCTTGAACTAGATTTTGCTTTCTGTGAAAAGCAAATATATTTCTCCCCAGATAAGTTCACTAAGGCTTTCAAAAGTAAATAGAAAAGAAATCGTCAAATCATCTCATATATATCAAAAAATCACCTTCTTTTATTTGCTCGCACCTTCAGGTTTTTAATTTGTAACCTCTTGGCTGAAGAAGTGTCCAAGTGTCTAATAAATTCTGAGTTCCTAAGCAACAATTTGAAAAGATAGTCACCCATGCCCTTTACAATATGATAATTACAAATTAAATCCCTGCCTCTTAACAAGGGAGGCTAATGTACCATGTGGATAACAAGTATACTTAGGTGTTGTAGGTGCTTAAAATGTGCCCATAAGTAATCATCGCAATGCCTTCCAATCATCTATTTCATTCCATCTACCATGATCTCTCCTACATGCACTGGGATGATTCTTATTTTTTTGTACCTCACATTTGAGTAGCACTTAATAGCATACATAGCACTTATATATATGATGCCCCATTTAACTCTTGGCAACTATGCAAGTATTATTCTCATCACCACATCACAGATGTGGAAAGTAAGAGCCTGTCCAAGAACATAGATCATGAAGCAAAACTGACATGGAAACCAGGTCTTTGAACTTTATAATTGCCCACTTACTGTGCTTTTTATTCAATATATAACAGGCTCCATGAGGACAATATTTTGCTCACTATTCTATCTACATTTTCTAGCAGAGACAGGAGATTTAATGAATCTCTGCAAAATGAATGCATACAAAAATACGAATGCCAGACCCTACTAGCAATAATAAAGCTTCAATTCACTGAATACTTCCTGGGTAGCATACCTTGTAATCCATATTTTTGCACACATTCTTCATCAACTGACAATACAAAAGAGTTGCAGTACAGTTATGTGACAGAAAAGGCTAACGAGAAACTTATATCACTCATGTAAAACTCAGCTTAGGGCAGTTGTTCTCAAAATGTGATCCCTGGACCAGCAGCATCAGCATGTTGGGAAACAGAAATGCAAATTTTGGGGTACCACTTTACATCTACCAAATTATTTTTACTACTCTAAATAGTCTTAAACACGGTCTTGTTATTTTACCCCTCTATAACATGGCTTTGACTACTTTGTGTTTTGGCACTGGGCAACTGATCTGTATCAAGAAAGATCAACTTACAAAAGTAACTTGATGAATATCCACTTGTTCATTTCTTTTGATGAATATCCACTTGTTCATTTCTCATCAGATGAGTATCATGATGCCATATTGCCTCAGGCTGGCTAAACTATGTGTGTGAGTTGAAGGGGTGGGGGAAAAGTGGAGGAGAAGGGGAGATAAAAGTCCATATTCCTAAGGAGCTTAAGACTAATAGGAGATTTTTTAATAGAAGAGAAATTTTTGTATCAAAATGCATACCATAATGACATAGAAAGTGGTTACATGTACTTTACATGTCAGAAAAGGGGTGATTCTCAGCTAGCTGAGGTGATCAGGCAAGAATTTTCATGAACTCTAGAGAAGGAAAGCTATGTCAGACTCCACTGGGGCTCTGCAGAAATACACAGAGACTAAACAGCTTAAGGACTGAGTTTGCCAAATACAAAATATTAGTAATTGCACTTTATCCTAAAACTCTTCATACAGGCTTTGTGAAGAATATTTCCATGGAAAACAGTGAGTAAAGAGTGGGTAAACGGTAAATTGAATGTCTGTTTTATCTGGAATAAGACCAAAATTGGTCTTGGGAACAAAAACCAGAAGCAATCTTCATGGAATTCATAATTGGAAAAGATCAGTGGAAAATTACCACCAACAACAGAAGGCAATCAAGAACCACTGTAACACAACTACCATGAAATGCACACTCAGTGCTAATCAGTAAGTAGCTCCCTAAGCAGCAGTGAAGTCCTGCAACAAGAGAAGACAGCTCAAGTTTGAAAGCAAGTAAATACCTTTTACTAACTCAGGTGGATGAAGGGAAATAACATTATTTATCAAAATTTACATATATGCTAAATAAAGAAAAAAACACTGTAGAGTTGTCACATTCATGCTCTATTACCTATTTTGTATTTGTTTTAGATTTCAATAAATGATGAGATAGGTAGATCAAAGAATGAGCTATTTTGACTACTTTTGGCTCTGCACAAACATTAAGAATGGTTTTCTACGAGGTTTTTTTCTTTTTTTCAGACACACAGTGCTATGAAGGAAACTCTTTTGCCTATGGTAAATCTCCATCCATTTCTGTATCTTCTTCCTTAGGAACTTGGTGTCTATTCATGACTCTATCATCCTCTCCACCAGCATGGCTGCTCCTTCTTCCTCTATTTGTAAGGAAATTAACTTTATCTTTTTAATCCATATTTGAAACTTCAGGATCATCCTTGCCCATACCTCACACTCTATAACTATTCAATTATACTTCCTATTTAATAGTCCTCACCTGCTGCCTCCTTTCCCAGGTCCACTTAACCATCACCCTAGGTTAGGTCATCATCATTTCTCTGCTAGTAATAAATGCTAACTAATACCTTACACATCCCAGTCACCCCACACACCACCATAAGATGTATCTTCCCAAAGTGGCAATTTGACATGCACTCTCCTACCCAAATGTCATTAGTGATACTCACTTGCCTAACAAAGTTAGTACCCACTTCCTGCCTGACACTGAAGTCGGTCCATGTGCAGAATAAGGCTACTGCCCATCACCACCTTTCACCTTCCTCCCACACATGCACCATGAGCCAGATACACCAAACTACTTCTCCAAGAAAACACTGCATGTGGGTCTCCATCATGCCCATCTTTGTATCATGCCATCCTTCAGCTTGGAATACCTCAGTTAAAATACATTTGCATTTTAGCAAGAAACTTAATGCCTTTCCCTAAAGCAGTAGTTATTAATTTGTGGTGATTTTGTCCTTCAGGGCACTTTTGGCAATGTCTGGAGACTTCTTTCATTGTCACGGCTGGGGGAGGGCTATTTCTGGCATCTAGTTGGTAAAAGCCAGCAATGCTGCCAAACATCCTACAGTGCCCAGGACAGCTCCCACAGCAAAGAATGATCTGGTCCAAAATGTCAGCAGAGCTGAGGTTGAGCAACCCTGCTCTAATGCTGTACACAGCGTGGGCGTCTAAAGGTCTGCAGAAGTCCTAGTGGTAAAAGGTATTTTGAAAGAAGAAGAAAATCCCTTAATATTTCTCAAATCATAACACAGATCTAAGCAGAACTAGCAGTTACCCAAGGACAGCTTCTTATGTCATAGACACTTAGGAGGTTATAGAAGAAAAGACAACCCATGCAATGTTTAAACAGTTAATATCATTAGGATGGTATTACGTTGTTTCCACCTATAGATTCTAGCTTTGTCTCCTGAACAGATACAGAATAAATATATGTTTTATACAACAGCCTTTCATATATTTGAAATATATGTGCTATTCCCCTTAAGTCTTCCTTCTTAAGGTTAATATTGCTAAATACTTCAAAGCTTTTTTATTATGCTAGTCATTGTAGAAATGACCATTGCATTTGGAATATTCTAAATTAAATGCTGAACTTCAGATTTATCCCTATAAAGCTTCATATTATTCATGCCAAGTTCAGGCTCTGTTTTGTTTTGTTTTAATGTATTTCAAAATAAATAGGCCGGGTATGGGTGGCTCACACCTGTAATCCCAGAATTTTAGGAGGCCGAGGTGTGAGGAATGCTTAAGCCCAGGCATTCAAGATCAGCCTGGGCAACACAACAAGACCTCATCTCTATAGAAAGTCAAAACCTTAACCAAGTGTGGTGGACTAGTGGGCCATGCCTGTGGTCCCAGCTACTCTGGAGGTAAAGTAGGAGGGTCACTTGAGCCCAGGAGGTTGAGACCACAAAGAGCTATTACCACGCCACTACACTCCAGTCTGGGCAACAGTGAGAAATCCTGTCTCAAAAATAAGTAAATAAGTAAAATAAAGCTGATTTTTCATCATCTAGGTTTTTGGTAAAAATACTGAACAGGCCATGTTCTGGCACTAGCAAACAACTAGGGACAGTCCTCCAGGCTCATACCAATCATCAATCCATCCTCATGGGCAGGGGGATTCAATAAGATCCAAATGGCTGCACTATCACTAATTCCACATTTCTCCATCTTATACAAATCTGTGTTGTGTATATGAAAGGCTTTTCCAATTGTCTGGAAAAAAAATCTCAGATAAGCTATGTTTCCTACATGGATCTTATCTGTGAGCCTGGTTATCTTATCAGAAGCAAAGATTAAGCTGGTGTAGAATGATTTGTTCTCATTAAACTCACACTGGATTCAATGGAGCATATATCTCACTCACTGTTTTTTATTATTCAACATTTAATCACAAATTGTATAATTTTATTATAGGTCAATTAATCTTATCTTCTGTTGATTCCAGAATATACCTAGTTTTCTATGTTGAAAACTAAAAATGCTATTCCTGTTTCCAGTGTTTAGGCACATCTGTCAGCTTGGCAAGTATAGTGTGGGGATTGAGAGCATGAATACTGGTATCAAAGTATGTGGGTTTGCTACTTTGTTCCTCCATTTGTTTGGTGTGTGACCTTGGACAAGTTTCTTAACCTCTCTGTGCCTCCATGTCCTTATCACTAAAATGAGGCTGACAAAATTACCACATAAGGTTGAGGTAAGGATCAAATAATACCCAGTGCTTAGACCGTGACTGTCACATAGTAATTGTGGTGAGGTATTGGCTTATTAATTAAAGAGGACACTCCATGGTTCTGTGACCTCAATTCAAGTTGTTTACATTCACAAGGATATAACCACACTGAGCCAAGAGACTTTAAACTCATTAAAAGCATATTGCATATTTTTTTCGTTCCTTCGTTTTCAGCTTCTTCTTAATCAAGAACACCCTATTTTCTGGTGTGTAAAGTTAATCCTCTTTGATAGAAAATCTATCAGCAAAATAAAGGTTGAATCACTCTACACTCTCATGTCATCTGTTAAAATTTCACCATCTGCTCCCACCATGAGCTTGGTTCCATCATGTTATTATTAGAACCTACATTTCCAATCTTTCAAAATATATGCAGAGTGCAAGAGAGAACAAAACCTTTGGCTGAGTGGAGATAACAGTTAAGCCTGCACGTACCAACTGGATCACTTTTCTTGTCAAAGCATTTTATGTATTTAAACAACCAGTTTTAGCCTGATTAATCTGAGAGCAATCAGCAACAGCAGAGGGCAAACCATGCCCTTATGGAATAAACTCACCCTGGCTTTTACTATGCATCTCCTCACTTCTTAAAAACACAATGTTTGTTGTTGTACAATATTTAATCATACAGCCTAGAGTTTTACTATTAACCAATTAATCTTGTCTTCTTTTATTTAACAAGTAAAGCAATATCTTGGCAACAAAAGCGCAGACCCAGAAGCAGAGGCCAGCGCCATATATATCAAACAGACTGCCCTGCATTCCAAACATATTGTTGGGCCAGACAGCAAATCAAGAAGTGATGCAAACAGCAAGATATTAGTACTTTCAACACTAAACTGGCAAAAGCCATTGATACATGTTCTTTTGACCTACTGTTTTTGCTGTTGCTGTCATTTTACTCTCGAAGGAACCTATTGAAACTTCAAAGGAGAGGGTTGAGAACTCTATATTGACATTGACTTTAGATGTAAACAAAATTTAAAAATAATAGTCTTAGAAAATAGAATTGGAAAGAGCCAAATTTTCACCTCTAAAGCATTTCATTTTAGTTCATTTTGTTAAAAGGGTAAAACTTTCCTTCCTATCATGTCTTCTGAGAAAGGGTAGTGTGGTTAAGTATCTCCTAAATAGGACACACATCTGAATGGCAGACAGTTTGAAATTCACCAGCATCTATACCAAAATCCTGTATGTTTCTTTTGGCAGAACAGAAATCCTCTTCCTCCCACCCTATTAGGGAGATTACATTGTCTCATTTAGACTGCTTAATGATACAAACATGGGTTCTTTAGCTCAAGGAGTATTTTTTCAGCACCTGGCCAGTGCCAGGCTATTCTCCTGGACACATTGGCACAAGACAGTCATGGAGATGCCAGTGACTGCAGAGAGGAAATGAGCAATTCTCAGCACAAGTCAAAATAAATAATCAGGATGGGCTGCAGTCGAGGATGTAGTTTTTTTCTAATATTTTTCCAGAAGGGTGCACTATTGCACACTGTACAGCTCGAAGCACAAATTAGGATGTGATAACTTAGAAGCTTATTCATCATTCTTACACTGTAGATGCAGATGTATATACTGGACCTGAAACCTTAGAGAAACATTCTAGACCCGAGTATACTTTCTCCCAGCAGGGACCTTGAAGGGAATATGTATTTCAATCACATGAAAACTATGAACTTTAAATATTAATGCTGGAAGAAAAATTTCATGATGGGGAAATTGTCTGAACAAGCAAGACAGACCTATGGAACAGCTCATACATTACCAGTCACCATCACAGGGATCTGAAGTAGGAAATGGGGAAATGGGGCTAGAGGACACAGTTTTATGGTTAACATCATGGCCCAAATTTAGGCAAATGTTTCCCCTCTTAATGTGCTCTACATCGTACAGTTGAAGTAAATTCAGAATTTTCAATAAAATTTTACTAGAAACTAGGATGTAAATAAAGAATATAAACATGGCCATGATAATGACCCCAGATAATTTCACTCTCAAGTGTGTGCTGGACCTAGGATGACGGTCACATCTTCCTGACTTTCAGATTTCCTAATTCTTGGTCTGACATTATCTTTAACCTATGCTACAATATATAACCTCCTAGATATGCAGACTCAATGTCTAGGCCAAAAGAAAGACAGCACTCTTCTGATCATGAGAGTGGAGCTTTCATTTTCTAGCTCCTGTCTGAGGAACCCCCTTTCTCCCAGGAGGATGAAACTGGCATGGATGCCAGTGCACGGATGCAAAGTAGACCTATCAGAAGATATGATATAAATATAAATATAAATTTCAGAATTGCCAAATAGAATTCTATTCCAACCAAATAGAAAGTGTTGGAATCCATAGAATCTTTCTAAAGGAAAGTATAAAATAAAAAAAGAGGAGATCTAGGACTGAGTCCTGAGAATGTTCAACTTTTAAAGAGCAGGTGGAGGTGGAGGAGTTCCTAAGGGAGACTGAGAAGAAATGGCCTGAAGAGGCTGGAAGAAAACTAAGGGAGCATGGTGTCACAGGGGCCAAGGGATGGCAGCATCTTACTGTGTGGAATAGATGGGAGGCCAGGAATGATGGGAAATAGAAATGCTTCTGAACCTAAGGCCCATTGGTCCAGCAAAAGTATTCTGCAATGAGAGCAGTACTCTAGGTCTGCTGTGTTCAACACAGTAGGTACACGTTACTTTTGAACTCTTGAAATCTGGCTAGTGAGAATGAAGACTGAATTTCTAATTTAATTTACTTTAGTTCATTGTATAATTATTTCTGTATCACAGATGAGGAAACAGAGGCAAAAATACAGAGAAAAAAGCAACCTATAACACTGTCAAGATTGTAAACTGTAAAAATCTCTCTGGAAAGCATTTTGGCAATATATGTGAAATGTCTTAAATTGTGCACATCATTTTATATGCAATTTAATCAACAAGAATTACTAGGAAGTAATCAGATCTACGTATTTATCCACCACTACAATGGTTATAACTGCAAAGATGCAAAATATAAATATTCAATACAATAGGAAATAGATAAAATATGTTATCATGTACTTATGGAATACATCATGAATGGAAAACCACTAAACTTATCAATGAAATTTCTTATGTCCGCTATGTTTCTAATTGAAAATTTCAGGTTGCAATACTATTTGTATATGATTGAATTTTGTTAAGTACCAAATATATATGTGCATTAAAAGACTGGAAAATATGTATCAAAATGTTAACAAAAGTTATGTCTATGAAGGAGCACTGGAGAACTTTTACATTTTTCTTGATTATTTTTACTTTCTGTTTTTAATCTATAGGTATTTAAGTCATTTTAAAAGAAAAAATAAATGGAATGCACACACATCATCCTCAATTTGTAAGCCATTTAATATACCTATTTTTTTTTTTTTTTTTTTTTTTTGAGACGGAGTCTCGCTCTGTCGCCCAGGCCGGACTGCGGACTGCAGTGGCGCAATCTCGGCTCACTGCAAGCTCCGCTTCCCGGGTTCACGCCATTCTCCTGCCTCAGCCTCCCGAGTAGCTGGGACTACAGGCGCCCGCCACCGCGCCCGGCTAATTTTTTGTATTTTTAGTAGAGACGGGGTTTCACCTTGTTAGCCAGGATGGTCTCGATCTCCTGACCTCATGATCCACCCGCCTCGGCCTCCCAAAGTGCTGGGATTACAGGCGTGAGCCACCGCGCCCGGCCTTAATATACCTATTTTAAATGATGTGTGTTGTAAACATTAGATACAAGTGGTGGGAATCTTGTAATGATAACAGAGTACTCCAAAAGCAACATTTGCAAACCCGAAAATACAATACTAGCCATATATGAGATGTAAGCATCTAGTGGATTAACTAGAACATGCTTGAGTTAACCTCTATAGGTTCTTTGGAATAAACTTAGAGTAGAGCACTTGAATGCAGATCAATGAAGTTTACTGGTTTCCCTTTTTAAAGAAAAATAGTCTAGTCTTCCTGCTTCAGATAATACAATAGTCAAGCTTCTTGTACTTCTTAAAATATTCATGAAAAAATACTGAACACTGAAGTATTCCTTCATTAACCTTATTTTGTACAAAATAATTCAAGCTGTGCTTTCTGATGATTTCCTCTAGTATTCTTAATTGTAAATTCTGTCACCTCAAAGCTTCTTTTCTCTAGGACAACTTATCTCACTGTCATTTTTTTGCTTATATTTTATCATCTAACTTATTAATATGGACTCTCAATTAGAATAAAGCCTCAGGGCATAATGGAACACATAGAAAGGAGTTAATGTTTTCCCAAAACAATCTTCTGAGATACATGAATGTGTGGTAAATTTGATTGCCTTGAGTTGAATGTAATATATATATTAGCTCTTCTAAGCCTGAGTTTCAATCCTGAAGTTCTTTCCAAATTGTCTGCACACATAAAATATTTGCTGAGCTCATCATTGTCTTATGTATGTCTACCAAGTTGTACAATTGAATTCAGGTAGTGTAGCATAAAGAGTTTTTTAATGTCAATGCAATATTGATGCATTCAATAAATTCCAGCTAAGAACCAAGACATCTTGGGCCTGCATTCATCCAATCTAAAAAAACCTGTCAACAGTTTTGCTGGCTTGACAGCCATGGAGCCAAATACTGATAAAAGTGTATTACATTGGAAGCAGGAAATTATCCTAATCAAAATGTCACCTCTAAAAATATCTTTTTTAAAAATGACAATACTGTAAACAGTAATTTCCACAGTGACAATTAAGCATAATTAAATGCTAGGTTTCTCTTCAAGCCTCTTTTATTCCCTCCAATTAATTTTTCTGGCTGAACTCAGTTTCTCTTTCAAGTACATCTTGTTCCTGTCATGGCAAAATGGAGCTACCATTTCTTTTTAACTTATCAACTGAATTTAATTTAAAGGCATATTCAGCCATATTTAGAGTCTTAATGGCTTCAAAGACATTTTCTCTAACCATAAGCAGAGCCTGGGATTAACATGCAACAAGAAGGCTGGGTGTGGTGGCTCACGCCTATAATTCCAGCACTTTGGGAGGTGAAGGCAGGAAAATTACTTGAGTCCAAGAGTTTGAGATCCACCTGGGCAACACGGGGAGATCCTATCTCTACAAAAAAATTAAAAAATAAAATTAGAAGGGGGGTGTAGTGATGCACTCCTGTAGTCCCAGCTACTTGGGAGGTTCCAGTTGGGAGAATCACTTGAGCCTGGGAGGTTGACCCTACAGTGAGCCATAATTGTGCCACTGCACTCCAGCTTGGGTAACAGAGTGAGACTCTGTCTCGAAAAACAAACAAATAAACAAAAACCATGCAACAAGAAGCGTGACGATGTATACACATGTGACCAGAGGGTGTCCTGGCACATCTTTATCCGAGACAATGACATGATCCTGACTTTTTTCTTTTCTACAAAGTGGCCTACACTGGACAAGGTTTATTTTATTTGAGCTTTTTGTACACGTTTGCTTGTTTGAATAGGAATCAGTGACTTGTTGTAGGAATGAGATAATATTGCAAAGAGAAACAAAAGGAAAGTTAAAGCCATGGAAGCAATGAAAGGAATGAGAGATGAAGTTGTAACAACAGCAAGAGAGGAACCAAGTCAGAAAGAAAAACAAGAGTAGCAACAATAAATAAAATGGTATTTCAGATCATCTAAATGTCATCTCAGTCAGCGCTGCTGTGGAGCGGGGCATGAAGATAGATAAACTTCATGCTTGGTTAATGTACCTGTAGGAATGTGAAACTACATTAGACATTCTTTCTTTGTGGGAAAGGAAACAGATCCTTCATGGAATTTGTTCAGAAGACGGCCTGATTCTTGCCACCAGGAAGGAAGTGGACCTGAAATTAACAACCGAAGTAACACTGGAATTTCTTAAAGGTGCAAAAATCTTCGACTCTCAAATATCTACCAGTTGCTAAAGCATTCCATCATCTTTTCTCTCTTCAAACAATGATCTGTTATAGGTTGTTTACAAATAAATGCCATGTCCAATTGTAATTAATTGATTTATATATGTAGTTTATTAATATAAGTAATGTGCATGTAAATGTTCATTTTGTTCACATAGTAAGTCTTCTCTCTTCGAGATCCTAAAGAATGAGTTTGAAAAGCATTTAATAATATACAAATAATTCATATAAATGTTTGATGTTTCATTTTCCCTTTTCATTTCAAAGATATTCCTTCACTTTTTGGAAGTTATAATATTAGGCCTTTCTTCTTAACCGGATGTTTTTAATGTCAGACTTTATATATTGATTCAAATTTCATACTTTAAAAATAAAGTTACAATAGAGGCATTCAACCCTTCTATCATTTATCCTTAAATTTATGTATCTCATATATGTATTGTTTCAAGATGCTCAGGCTTACAAGTAACAGGAAACTCAATTCTAACTAGCTTAAATAAAAAAGAATTAATGGCTTATTTAGCTAGAAATTTCTCAGCTTGGACAGACTTCAAGTTGATTGGTTAAATTGCTCAGGAACATCACCAAGGACTTGGTTATTTCTGCTCTGTTATTCATGCTTTGGATCTCATCCTAAAATAAGCTCTGGGCCACACACAGTGGCTCACGCACGTAATCCCAGCACTTTGGGAGGCTGAGGCAGGAGAATCAGTTGAGCCCAGGAGTTCGAGACAAGCCTGGGCAACATGTCGACACCCCATATCTACAAAAATTAGCTGGACGTGGTAGCATGTGCCTATAGTTCCAGCTACTTGGAAGGTTGAGTCCAGGAGGCCAAGGCTGCAATGAGCCTAGATTGTACCACTCCACTCCAATCTGGAGTGAGACTCTGTCTCAAAAATAAGAAAGAAATAAAATAAAATAAGCTCCTTACATTCTTGTAGGAGAAACTTAAATTTAACCCTGCCAACAAATCAAGGCATGGGCAAGGAATTTTTTCTGAAGTTCATCATTCAGGCACAGAACATGGAAAATGGGGTTTTCAATATACATTTCTTGAACAAATTAATCAAGAAATAAATTAATATGATTCCAAGTGAGTTTTGTCAGGTCTCTGCCTGATACGGTTTGGCTGTGTCCCCACCCAAACTTTCATCTTGAATTATCTCCATAATCCCCCCATGTCGAGGGTGGGACCAGGTAGAGGTATTTGGATCATGGGGCAGTTTCCCCACACTTCTCTTGTCATAGTGAGTAAGTCTCATGAGATCTGATGGTTTCTGATGGTTTCATAAGCATCTGGCATTTCCCCTGCTTGCACTTATTCTGTCCTGCCACCCTGTGAAGAAGGTGCCTGCTTATCCTTTGCCTTCCACCGTGATTGTAAGTTTCCTGAGGCCTCCCCAGCCATGCTGAACTGAGTCAATTAAACCTTTTTCCTTTATTAATTACTCAGTCTTGGATATGTTTTCATAGCAGCGTGAGAACAAACTAATAAACTGCTTTAGCATACTCACACATATGACCTAGAAAAAAAATGAGATTGCCAAACCTTGAAAAAAAACTTTTGTTAAATTGCTTTACCCAAAAAAGTGGTCATGTGAATTGTTTCCTAATGATTCACATTTAATATAGGATATTGTCCAATGATGCTCAAAACATTTGATATTACTGAGAGTAGCAGAATCCTGCAAAATTCTTACTAAGATTATAACTGAAACCTCCACCTCTACCTTAACTCCTAACAGTAGGCTTACCACAATTCCCTTTTCTTCCTCCTCCCCCTCCTCCTCTTCTTCCTTCTTTTTTCTTCCTTCTCCTTCTCCTTCTCCTTAATTTGAGACAGGGTCTCCCTTTGTCACCAGGCTGGAGTGCAGTGGCATGAATATGGCTCACTGCAGCCTCAACGTCCTGGGCTCAAGCGATCCTCTCTCCTCAGCCCCCTGAATAGCTGAGACACCACAGGTGCATGCCACCACATCCAGCTCATTTTTTTTATTTCTTTTTATAGAGACCAGGTTTTGCCATGTTGCCCAGGCTAGTCTTGAACTCCTGAGTTCAAGTGATCCTCCTATCTCAGCCTTCCAAAGAGCTAGGATTACAGCTGTGGGCCACCATGCCCAGCCCCTTCTTGCTTCTTACTTCTGCTCTTCTCACATTCAGGGCTCCATGAAGGTTCCTCCTCTCAGCACTTACTGCCGACATTTTAAACAAAAACAAAACAAAACTAAACAGTGTATTTCCTGCATCCGTTGCTCCACTGGGAAATTTGGAACTCTGAGATCCAAATCCCTAGATTACAGACAACTTTTCCACTAGGCCTCTGTCCCTAAGGCAATGGCCCTTCTGTTGATATTTTCTCACTAGAAATTGGAAACAGAGGACTCTGTATAAAATGTCATGAGCCAGGTTGATCAGATTCTAGATGAAGGGTAGTTATCCACTGACTACTCAATGTCAGTGGATACAAGAAGTAACGAAGAACTCAGTATGGGTTTCCTTCAAAAGGCATACAACATACTGGACATAAAACAAAACTTTGTTTTGTTTTGATCTATTAAGTTTAAATATAGTTGAATAAATGGGCCTGGAGAGAGAGAAGTAAAATGATTTAAAAAAAAAAAAGGAGAAAGATGCACAGAACATAAAAGAAAAGGGAGGCAGGCAGGCCCAAGAGGAAGGAGTATAATGACTCTACAGGTTTCGGATTATCTGGGTCCGACTACAGTCCAGCCACATCCTATATCATTTCTCCCTTCATTCTCTACTTTCAAGGAACACTAATCTTATTCCCATTTCAATTAGGCCAAACATCTCCCCATATTAGGGAATTCTTCTTATGTTATTCCTTTGCCCAAATCCTGTGCTCAGCTTCCATCATTCTAAACCTATTTGTATCCATGCTCTGTTGGACTGCTTTCCTAGCCTATGTGGGTTTCATAAGACCCCCCATTTATAAGCTTTCAGAAGAGCTGCACTTTTTCTTTCTCTTCTCAATACAATCAACATTATTTATCAACTTTTATTTTATTTTATTTTATTTTATTTTATGTCTGCCTTTTCTGACAGGCCATATGATTATTCCTTCCTTCACTCATACAACAAATACATGCATTGTTCTAGGCCATGGAGATACAAATATGAAAGAACAGGAAAAGGACAGGGACATTGACCTTACCTCCCTCAGCATCATGTGTCCTTAGCATCTCAGTACCTAACCCAGTCATGGTATATTGTAGGCACTCCATGAAAGTTGAAGAATAGACAAACGGTTGGGTTGATGGAAGGAAGTAGAGATACTGCTTCCATTTCTTGACTTGATTCAAACCTATATACATGCCTGAGTCTAAAGCCTATATTTTAATGATTTTGGCTTCACTGCAATATGCATCTACGTCTTCAAGTCTAATCATACTTTTGGTACCACAAAACACCTAGCCCAGTTCTAGGCATATAAGTACTCCCTAAATAAATGCTGACTAATTGCTAGAGTACAGTAGGTCAAGGTAAGACACACACATATTTTAAGTAGTTTGTGTTTTGTTTTTCTAAACAAGGTAATATTCCCAAGGACCCATTCTCTAACAAATACTTCATGAATTGGTCTGTCATGATTGAAAGATTGTCTTGTCTTGGCTCATGCCATTGCTTTTTTCTGAGGTTTGAAAAAATTGTGAAAGGTGCCAGTATATGAATAAAAGCAGAAATACTTGAACATTCTATATGAGTTTCTATTGCAACGATGCTTGTGCATGTCCATTTAATGGTTGTGGCTGTGGTTTCTCAATGGGGTGTACATGACTATTTGTTAGGGATTATCAGAACTTTTACTTAGATTAATTTTTGTTTCAGCTTTTGAACATGCCCTTGTTTACATGTGTTTTATTATGTGTAAAATTTATTAATAGATTTATGCATGCATATAATTTATACATGCACCTAAATATTGTGAATAACAAAATGTTTTATAAATAGGACTGCACAATCAAAACATTTGGAAACTACTGAGCTAGAACATAATACAGCAAAGCCCATGTCAAAAAGTCAACTTTCTATGTCACTTTATTGCACATAAATTAGATGCCTCTTATATAGGGCATAAAATTGAGCTAGTCCAATAAGAGGATGTGGATAAGTAATCACAGATCCATCTCTGCTAAAGAATTAGGAAAACATCTCAGAGAATATTATTAATGTTGATTCTATCACATCTTTTCCTACATGAAGAAAGAAGTAAAAACTACCATTTATTGCCATCTTATTTTGCAGTAGTTGCTATGTCAAAACATAAATCCCTATTTAATCTTCACAACAACACATTAAGGTAGAGAATATTTACCTTACTTTATCATTGAGTAAATCAAAGTTCAGAGAGTTATAGAACTCCCTAATGTTACACTTCTAATAAAAAGAGAAACTGGTATTTGAATAATTTTTAATTGCATATTCCAAGCATTTTCCCCTAAGACAAAATAATAATTTTAGTACTTGGATGCAACCTTGGGCCAATTATTTAAACTGTTTACATTTTTTTATTTTTTGAAAGGAAATGATAATAATAACTACTTTCTGGTTGGTTAGTATATTTTACTTAGAGACTCTGTAGCACTGGGAGAAATACGTTAATGTTTTAGGAGCTATATGGTATCCACAAGGGTTCACTCTCCTAATTTCAAAGCTTGCGTTGAATAATTACAATGAAGTTCAAATATTTTCATTTGTGTTTGGTGAACAGCTGAAACCTCAAACAATATCTGTGTCTGGTAAGTTTGAACTACAATGAATCCTGTCAAATGCAAATAATAAAATTAATTTGCACCTACTGTGCCCTAGTCAGCATTGGGGAAAACTTTAAACTGGATTTAATGAGAGGAGAAGCTGAATATGAAGGGTTAAAAGCTCCCATCTTACCTTAGCTGTAGATGTATCCAAAACACACCATACGGGATACAAACATATTTTAATATAAGCTTCACATTAAAAAAAATTCTAAAGTACAATCATAGTAAGAAAGAATTATAGGCCAGGTGTGGTGGCTCGTGCCTGCAATCCTAGCACTTTGGGAGGTCGAGGTGGAAGAATTACTTGAGGCCAGTAGCGCAAGACCATCCTGGGAAAAATAGCGAGACTGCATCTCTACAAAAATTAAAAGATTAGGTGGGCATGATGGTGCACGCCTGTAGTACTAGCTATTCAACAGGCTAAGGCAGGAGGATGGCTTGAGCCCAGGAGTTCAAAGTTACAGTGAGCTATAATCATGCCATTGTGCTTTAGCCTGGGCAACAGATAAGACCCTATCTGAGAAATAAACAAACAAAAAAACATAAGAAAGGAAAGAACTAGAATATATCCTTTAGTTTTTGAAAATAATCAGGATGCCTTGTGGTTATATTTATTTTAACCACTTGTGATATGTAGTTACCAAGTCTTGGTATATGATATATCAAGTCTTAGTATGTGATGTACCAAGAGTCTAATTTGATAATAAACTCCAAAGTATTCACTTATTTCAAAATCAACATAGAGAAAACATACTTTATTTTTTTGGCCATATGCTGCTATAAATAAATATATAGTAACTTAAAGAAATAAATTTTACCATTAAGTTAACCATAGTAATGGGAAACAGAATGAGACAGTTCTGGCTGTCTCAGAACTCTTGGCTACAGCATTAAAGCTGAGAACAGAGGATGAGAAATAAACCCCATTAAATATGAGGCTCTACATACATCTGCACAGGGCTTGTTGGTTAAGGGGGACAAACCGGTTCAATCATCATTTCCACAGTAGCCGATATAAGAGAAAGAGAGGAAAATGCTTTGGAGAGAATTCCTATGAGTAGAGAGAGCTGGATTATTTCATCTCTTCCCTTTTCCCCCATCTGTGGTCATCTGCAAGTCAAGATGAATGTCTTTTTGACAGTTATGAAATTACCATTTCTGGCCAGGAGCAATGGCTCATGCCTGTAATTCCAGCAATTTGGGAGGCTGAGGCAGGCAGATCACCTGAGGTCAGGAGTCCGAGACCAGCCTGGCCAACATAGCGAAACCCTGTCTCTATTAAAAATACTAAAATTAGCCAGGCGTGGTGACGCACACCTGAATCCCAGCTACTTGGGAGGCTGATGCAGGAGAATTGATTGAATGCAGGAGGTGGAGGTTGCAGTGAGCTGAGATTGCGCCATTGCACTCCAGGCTGGGCAACAAGAGCAAAACTCTGTCTCAAAAACAAAACAGAAACAAAAACAAAAAAGTAAAAAGAAATGATCATTTCTTAACAAACCCATTCTTCTATGCTGTGCTTTGCAAGGAAGGGGCTGGTACTCTGCACGTTCATTTCCTTTGTCAGCTGACTTCCTGTTAAAGTTACATTCAGAAAACCAAACATCGCATGTTCTCACTCATCAGTGGGAGTTGAACAATGAGAACACATGGACACAGGGAGGGGAACATCACACACTGGGGCCTGTCGGAGGGTGGAGGACTAGGGGAGGGACAGCATTAGGAGAAATACTTAATGTAGATGACGGGTTGATGGGTGCAGCAAACCACCACAGCACGTGTATACCTATGTAACAAACCTGCACATTCTGCACATGTATCCCAGAACTTAAAGTATAATAATAGTAAGTTATGCTCCTAGGGAGAGTTGCAAAAATGGGAAAACAGGAAGAGGAGAGGAGGGACTTACTCCCTCTTGATTGCTTGCTATTCCTATTAATATAACCCCTTGGCCCACCAGAGAACCATCTCTAGCTTCTTTGGCATTGGAGAACCATTCTCATTACAAGTCCTCAGAGGGACCAGCAACATCTAGGCTAAGCTTTCTTCTCAGCAGGAGGGACTGGGTCTCTGAGATTTAAGTTCTGACAACCTCAGTTTCTTTCCTGTGTTTCCCTGGGCTTTAGGGGTAGCTGCTTCCTGAAGTTATTAATAACCTCATGTTATCCCAGTTTTTCCCTGTTTGCTTTTTCAGTCTTCCAACTCCTATGCCATCAATTCTCTGTAATGAATTATGTCTTTTGAACTACCAAATGTGGTTTCCGTTTTCTAACTGACTCCTGATTGATAAAGTATTTAGGATCAAGAACCTCAGAGATGGAACTTCATGATTAGCTTGGCCATGTTTGGCCTTGAATCACAATGTGAAACTCTTTGCCAGTGGAAATTATAATACTAACAATTATGTGACATGCAGAGGCTTCTTCATTAAAAATATTATAGCCTGTGTTTGATTGTGATGAAGTTCTTACAGAAGCCAGTATTTTGGAGAACCAAGTGGCTGTTACATTTGACCATTACTGTAGCATTGGTGACCATAAAGACTGTGAGGTAGGGTAGCTTATAGAAATAAGTGGTGCCTGTAATCCCAGCACTTTGGGAGGCTGAGGCAGGCTGATCATGAGGTCAGGAGTTCGAGACCAGCCTGACCAACATGGTGAAATCACCTCTCTACTAAAAATACAAAAATTAGCTGGGTGTGGTGGTGCATGCCTGTAATCCCAGCTACTCAGGAGGCTGAAGGAGGAGAATAGCTTGAACGCAGGAGGCAGAGGTTGCAGTGAGCCGAGATCATGCCATTGCACTCTAGCCAGGGCAACAGAGCGAGACTCCGTATCAAAAAAAAAAAAAAAAGAAAGAAATGAAGTAAGTGGCAAGCTCAGATCCTTAAACTCTCAGCCCAAGTCATAGTCAGAGAATTACAAAGCTTCAACACTAGTCATAAAATAATCTTTTGTTTCTTATAGTTGTCATATAGGATGTCATAAATAAAATAATCTTTTGTTTCTTATAAGATGTCATATAGAATGTCATAAAATATCTAACTTAAATTTTCAATTTGTGAGTTTGTGAATTCAAATTATGCTGCAATTCTATAATTTGCCAAAACTATGGAATTATTAAAAATTGTCAAATTATAGAATTGTAACATAATTTGAAATCACAAATTACATTGCAAGATTGTACCATTACAATGAAATTTGAATTCACAGGCTTCCCAAATATAAAAGTTATGGCATTGAGTGAGAAAGAATGGGAACCTGTTATTTGAATGAGGACAGCTAAATGGAAGTAAAAGAAACTGAAAATCTTGGACCCCAAGCTTCTTTGGGCTTCTCTTGCCAGCAGAAGCAGCTTGCTCTCCTATGTTGGAGGAGAATCACCTTCCCTTGATCAAGGGCCCTGATTAACCTCATCTGGGCCGTTGTTTGCAATGGGATACCTCTTTCCCTTAAGACCCACCCCCAGCCACCACTTTTTTTAAGAGTCAGATACCAGCTTGCTCCTGGAAGACATGTAAAAAATGTGACCCTGTAGGAGATAGCTTATACTCCGTAAAATTCCTCCAATTTTATTTTGACTTAAATCTGGGAAATATGTGCAGAAATGGATTCTAAGGATGTTAGACCAAAGTGAATGGAATATAACATTATATTGAGCTGGATATTAATATGGGAGAAGTTAGAGATTCTTCATGTAAAGTGTTAGCTCTCAGGTACTAACAGTTTGCTGTGTTGGAGGACTGAAACCTAGCCTCAGCAGAGTCCTGCAAACAATGAGGCTGACATGCCACAGTAAATCATGATACAAAGGAAAGAATCCAAAGACTTGGAAAGATAAGCATAGTGAAGTGAATTTATCATGTGCACACTGGACATTCACCCACTCCGCACTCTAGAAAGGCCCAGAGCACATTTCCCTCATGAAAGAATTTAAAAATACATTAGTGAGGAGAGCAAGACAGTCTCCTTGATAGGCTCCATACTAGCTGCCTTCTGAAGACCAGGGAGGGCAGTAAGAAATGTTGCCACTGGGATTGGCTCTTCTTTCAGCTGGGATGATGGATTCCAGAGAAGCAAAGTCCAGGTGGCAGTGCTTAATTTCCATAGGCAAAATGGACATATTTACTATCATGGGCAACAGAGACAAAATAATAAGCAAAATGTTTTGACCAACAGGAATATTTCATATTGCCTGATAATCAGTCAGGGTGTCTGTAGAAGGGGAATAGATGGGCAGCCTACAGAAATATAACTTAATCCATATCACAGGAAAAAAGCTAGGTCTGGTAGGCTAAAACCTGAATTGAATTACCACAAATGGAGAGTCTGCCCCAGGGAAAATTTAGGGGTCAGCCAAGTTGGTAAAGTTTCCAAGGGCCCATTAATCAGGATATCTTTCCCAAAGTTGCTGCATTTATGCCACCTAACACCACAAAGGAGCATGCCCTCTTTGGATTTTGGAGGCATTCTATATCACAATGTCCTGGACAACCCATAAAGCTTCCCTGCGTGAGAGGGGTCCAAAGCAAGAGAAGACTCTGCAGGCAGTACAGCTCAGCACATGCTGCTCTAGTGCTCAACCCTTATGCTCCAGTAGATCCAATGATACTCGAAGTGCCTGTGCCAAGGGGAATGCTACATTGAGTGGCTGGCAAGTGTGCAGAGAATTACAGTGCAGACCCCTGGGGGCTTTTAGTAAAGTCCTGTCTGCTTCTCCAGATGACTAGTTTTCTTCTGAGACACAGCTTCTGGTTTGCTGTTGGGCCCTGGTACAATGCCTTACTATGGGACATCAGTTGCTCATGAGACTGAAGTGGCTCACCAAACCATAAGATTGGATATGCAGAGAGGCAATCCAGAATGCACAGGTAAGTTACATGTCAGGTAGCTCAAACTCCTTCAGTACCAACTTCTGATACATTATATTCTTTCCTTCAATCCACACCTATGTCCTTCATGGAAAATTGATTACGACCAGTGACTAAAAAGAAAGAAGAGGCAAACAGAAAATGTGGGACTGGTTTAGACCTAGTCCGGCATGGCATTCTGTCATAAAATAGAGGTGGACTATTACAGCATTACAGTTCCACTCAGGCATCTGCTAAAATGGCATGTAGAAAGGCTCCCAAGAAGCAAACCTGTAAGCATATTTGGTTGTCCACTTGAGTGGCCTGTTGCCAAACGCAGGAATACAGTGATTTACGGGCAGTGAATAATGGAATGGTTCAGAGATTTGAAAAGAACAGAACTGGAAGATTGGTTTCAAGGATGTCTAGGAATAGTGATGTGGAAGCACTGTTTAAAATGTGCATAAAGGATAAAAATATTTATTACTTGTCTGCTTTTGAATCTGAACCAAAAGAAGATAGAATTGAAAATAATGAATAACAGCATATAAACTAGAAAAAGTGTCAGCTAGAGGCAAAGCGCTCTAAAATCCTTGCATTATCCAGGAGAAAGGTGAAGATAATGCTCAACTTCAGATTTTAAGTTACATATACATCTTACTATTTCTGGGATAACAACAAAAGAAAGAATTGAGTTTGAACCCTCCAAAAGTAGAGGGAAAAAAATCTTAAACCAAATGTTAGCAATCCAAATCTAGCAATGCAAAAACTAGATTATACATCTTAACCTGAATCAATTTCTTCCAGAAATGCAAAGTTGGTTTAACATTTAATAACTCCAGTAACATAATCTTTCCCATTAGCAGAATAAAGGGAAAAAAATCATATGGTAATCTCAATACATAGAGAAAAACCTTTAAATATTACTGGACTCAACTTTTAATTAAAAGTTTTAGCCAACTATTGAGAGAAGAAAACTTTCCTAACTTTATAAAGGTACCTAACACAAAAAAGCTAATATTGCAATGATCATTCTTCTTAAAATCAGGACCCACACAAAAAATATGAAGTTTACCACTCTCTTCAGCATAATATTAAAGGTCTTAACTAGCAAAGTAAGACTGGAACATAAATAAATAAAATCTGTAGAGAGTGAAAAGAAACAAAAACTGTCATTTTTCATATTTTTCATGAATAATAGCCATAATACAGAGCCATAATACAGAGCCAAAGAGGAAATAAAAGCTATAGCAACTAGACAGAAAGAAACAAAACTGCCATTTCTGCAAACAATATGCCTCTTTACACTGAAAATTCAAAATAATGTCTATCTAAGGAAGAATAAATAAGGGAATATAGCATGGTTCTAGGTGCACATTTAAAATCATTGAAAAACTTTCCTGCATCATAATTAAATCTACTTTCCGGTGCAATTTCAGAGGATAATCTGTGGTAAAACTTCCCTACAAACTGTGTTCACCTAGGAGGCTGGCATAATGACTTTGCTGAGCTGAAAGATCCTCCAACATCACACTTTTAAATACTTTAAAATACAGAAGAAAGTAAACTAATAGACATAGTTAATAGATTCTATAGCACCTTCACTAGTGCAGAGCAGAGTAGAAATTACCAGTTTATCTTTCTTCAGCTCAGTGATGTACTTTTTTCTTTTTTTTTTTTTTTTTTTTTTTTTCTTTTCTTTTTTTATTATACTTTAGGTTTTAGGGTACATGTGCACATTGTGCAGGTTAGTTACATATGTATACATGTGCCATGCTGGTGCGCTGCACCCACTAACTCGTCATCTAGCATTAGGTATATCTCCCAATGCTATCCATCCCCCCTCCCCCCACCCCACCACAGTCCCCAGAGTGTGGTATTCCCTTTCTTGTGTCCATGTGATCTCATTGTTCAATTCCCACCTATGAGTGAGAATATGTGGTGTTTGGTTTTTTGTTCTTGTGATAGTTTACTGAGAATGATGATTTCCAATTTCATCCATGTCCCTACAAAGGACATGAACTCATCATTTTTTATGGCTGCATAGTATTCCATGGTGTATATGTGCCACATTTTCTTAATCCAGTCTATCATTGTTGGACATTTGGGTTGGTTCCAAGTCTTTGCTATTGTGAATAATGCCACAATAAACATACATGTGCATGTGTCTTTATAGCAGCATGATTTATAGTCCTTTGGGTATATACCCAGTAATGGGATGGCTGGGTCAAATGGTATTTCTAGTTCTAGATCCCTGAGGAATCGCCACACTGACTTCCACAATGGTTGAACTAGTTTACAGTCCCACCAACAATGTAAAAGTGTTCCTATTTCTCCACATCCTCTCCAGCACCTGTTGTTTCCTGACTTTTTAATGATTGCCATTCTAACTGGTGTGAGATGGTATCTCATTGTGGTTTTGATTTGCATTTCTCTGATGGCCAGTGATGATGAGCATTTTTTCATGTGTTTTTTGGCTGCATAAATGTCTTCTTTTGAGAAGTGTCTGTTCATGTCCTTCGCCCACTTTTTGATGGGGTTGTTTGTTTTTTTCTTGTAAATTTGTTTGAGTTCATTGTAGATTCTGGATATTAGCCCTTTGTCAGATGAGTAGGTTGCGAAAATTTTCTCCCATTTTGTAGGTTGCCTGTTCACTCTGATGGTAGTTTCTTTTGCTGTGCAGAAGCTCTTTAGTTTAATTAGATCCCATTTGTCAATTTTGTCTTTTGTTGCCATTGCTTTTGGTGTTTTAGACATGAAGTCCTTGCCCATGCCTATGTCCTGAATGGTAATGCCTAAGTTTTCTTCTAGGGTTTTTATGGTTTTAGGTCTAACGTTTAAATCTTTAATCCATCTTGAATTGATTTTTGTATAAGGTGTAAGGAAGGGATCCAGTTTCAGCTTTCTACATATGGCTAGCCAGTTTTCCCAGCACCATTTATTAAATAGGGAATCCTTTCCCCATTTCTTGTTTTTCTCAGGTTTATCAAAGATCAGACAGTTGTAGGTATGCGGTGTTATTTCTGAGGGCTCTGTTCTGTTCCATTAATCTATATCTCTGTTTTGGTACCAGTACCATGCTGTTTTGGTTACTGTAGCCTTGTAGTAAAGTTTGAAGTCAGGTAGTGTGATGCCTCCAGCTTTGTTCTTTTGGCTTAGGATTGACTTGGCGATGCGGGCTCTTTTTTGGTTCCATATGAACTTTAAAGTAGTTTTTTTCAATTCTGTGAAGAAAGTCATTGGTAGCTTGATGGGGATGACATTGAATCTATAAATTACCTTGGGCAGTATGGCCATTTTCACAATATTGATTCTTCCTACCCATGAGCATGGAATGTTCTTCCATTTGTTTGTATCCTCTTTTATTTCCTTGAGCAGTGGTTTGTAGTTCTCCTTGAAGAGGTCCTTCACATCCCTTGTAAGTTGGATTCCTAGGTATTTTATTCTCTTTGAAGCAATTGTGAATGGGAGTTCACTCATGATTTGGCTCTCTGTTTGTGTGTTGTTGGTGTATAAGAATGCTTGTGATTTTTGTACATTGATTTTGTATCCTGAGACTTTGCTGAAGTTGCTTATCAGCTTAAGGAGATTTTGGGCTGAGACAATGGGGTTTTCTAGATATACAATCATGTCATCTGCAAACAGGGACAATTTGACTTCCTCTTTTCCTAATTGAATACCCTTTATTTCCTTCTCCTGCCTAATTGCCCTGGCCAGAACTTCCAACACTATGTTGAATAGGAGTGGTGAGAGAGGGCATCCCTGTCTTGTGCCAGTTTTCAAAGGGAATGCTTCCAGTTTTTGCACATTCAGTATGATATTGGCTGTGGGTTTGTCATAGATAGCTCTTATTATTTTGAAATACGTCCCATCAATACCTAATTTATTGAGAGTTTTTAGCATGAAGGGTTGTTGAATTTTGTCAAAGGTTTTTTCTGCATCTATTGAGATAATCATGTGGTTTTTGACTTTGGTTCTGTTTATATGCTGGATTACATTTATTGATTTGCGTATATTGAACCAGCCTTGCATCCCAGGGATGAAGCCCACTTGATCATGGTGGATAAGCTTTTTGATGTGCTGCTGGATTCGGTTTGCCAGTATTTTATTGAGGATTTTTGCATCAATGTTCATCAAGGATATTGGTCTAAAATTCTCTTTTTTGGTTGTGTCTCTGCCCGGCTTTGGTATCAGAATGATGCTGGCCTCATAAAATGAGTTAGGGAGGATTCCCTCTTTTTCTATTGATTGGAATAGTTTCAGAAGGAATGGTACCAGTTCCTCCTTGTACCTCTGGTAGAATTCGGCTGTGAATCCATCTGGTCCTGGACTCTTTTTGGTTGGTAAGCTATTGATTATTGCCACAATTTCAGCTCCTGTTATTGGTCTATTAAGAGATTCAACTTCTTCCTGGTTTAGTCTTGGGAGAGTGTATGTGTCGAGGAATTTATCCATTTCTTCTAGATTTTCTAGTTTATTTGCGTAGAGGTGTTTGTAGTATTCTCTGATGGTAGTTTGTATTTCTGTGGGATCGGTGGTGATATTCCCTTTATCATTTTTTATTGTGTCTATTTGATTCTTCTCTCTTTTTTTCTTTATTAATCTTGCTAGCGGTCTATCAATTTTGTTGATCCTTTCAAAAAACCAGCTCCTGGATTCATTGATTTTTTGAAGGGTTTTTTGTGTCTCTATTTCCTTCAGTTCTTCTCTGATTTTAGTTATTTCTTGCCTTCTGCCTGCTTTTGAATGTGTTTGCTCTTGCTTTTCTAGTTCTTTTAATTGTGATGTTAGGGTGTCAATTTTGGATCTTTCCTGCTTTCTCTTGTGGGCATTTAGTGCTATAAATTTCCCTCTACACACTGCTTTGAATGCATCCCAGAGATTCTGGTATGTTGTGTCTTTGTTCTCGTTGGTTTCAAAGAACATCTTTATTTCTGCCTTCATTTCGTTATGTACCCAGTAGTCATTCAGGAGCAGGTTGTTCAGTTTCCATGTAGTTGAGCAGCTTTGAGTGAGATTCTTAATCCTGAGTTCTAGTTTGATTGCACTGTGGTCTGAGAGATAGTTTGTTATAATTTCTGTTCTTTTACATTTGCTGAGGAGAGCTTTACTTCCAACTATGTGGTCAATTTTGGAATAGGTGTGGTGTGGTGCTGAAAAAAATGTATATTCTGTTGATTTGGGGTGGAGAGTTCTGTAGATGTCTATTAGGTCCGCTTGGTGCAGAGCTGAGTTCAATTCCTGGGTATCCTTGTTGACTTTCTGTCTCGTTGATCTGTCTAATGTTGACAGTGGGGTGTTAAAGTCTCCCATTATTATTGTGTGGGAGTCTAAGTCTCTTTGTAGGTCACTCAGGACTTGCTTTATGAATCTGGGTGCTCCTGTATTGGGTGCATATATATTTAGGATAGTTAGCTCTTCTTGTTGAATTGATCCCTTTACCATTATGTAATGGCCTTCTTTGTCTCTTTTGATCTTTGTTGGTTTAAAGTCTGTTTTATCAGAGACTAGGATTGCAACCCCTGCCTTTTTTTGTTTTCCATTTGCTTGGTAGATCTTCCTCCATCCTTTTATTTTGAGCCTATGTGTGTCTCCGCACGTGAGATGGGTTTCCTGAATACAGCACACTGATGGGTCTTGACTCTTTATCCAATTTGCCAGTCTGTGTCTTTTAATTGGAGCATTTAGTCCATTTACATTTAAAGTTAATATTGTTATGTGTGAATTTGATCCTGTCATTATGATGTTAGCTGGTGATTTTGCTCGTTAGTTGATGCAGTTTCTTCCTAGTCTCGATGGTCTTTACATTTTGGCATGATTTTGCAGCGGCTGGTACTGGTTGTTCCTTTCCATGTTTAGCGCTTCCTTCAGGAGCTCTTTTAGGGCAGGTCTGGTGGTGACAAAATCTCTCAGCATTTGCTTGTCTGTAAAGTATTTTATTTCTCCTTCACTTATGAAGCTTAGCTTGGCTGGATATGAAATTCTGGGTTGAAAATTCTTTTCTTTAAGAATGTTGAATATTGGCCCCCACTCTCTTCTGGCTTGTAGGGTTTCTGCCGAGAGATCCGCTGTTAGTCTGATGGGCTTCCCTTTGAGGGTAACCCGACCTTTCTCTCTGGCTGCCCTTAACATTTTTTCCTTCATTTCAACTTTGGTGAATCTGACAATTATGTGTCTTGGAGTTGCTCTTCTCGAGGAGTATCTTTGTGGCGTTCTCTGTATTTCCTGAATCTGAACGTTGGCCTGCCTTGCTAGATTGGGGAAGTTCTCCTGGATAATATCCTGCAGAGTGTTTTCCAACTTGGTTCCATTCTCCCCATCACTTTCAGGTACACCAATCAGACGTAGATTTGGTCTTTTCACATAGTCCCATATTTCTTGGAGGTTTTGCTCATTTCTTTTTATTCTTTTTTCTCTAAACTTCCCTTCTCGCTTCATTTCATTCATTTCATCTTCCATTGCTGACACCCTTTCTTCCAGTTGATCGCATCGGCTCCTGAGGCTTCTGCATTCTTCACGTAGTTCTCGAGCCTTGGTTTTCAGCTCCATCAGCTCCTTTAAGCACTTCTCTGTATTGGTTATTCTAGTTATACATTCTTCTAAATTTTTTTCAAAGTTTTCAACTTCTTTGCCTTTGGTTTGAATGTCCTCCCGTAGCTCAGAGTAATTTGATCGTCTGAAGCCTTCTTCTCTCAGCTCGTCAAAGTCATTCTCCATCCAGCTTTGTTCTGTTGCTGGTGAGGAGCTGCGTTCCTTTGGAGGAGGAGAGGCGCTCTGATTTTTAGAGCTTCCAGTTTTTCTGTTCTGTTTTTTCCCCATCTTTGTGGTTTTATCTACTTTTGGTCTTTGATGATGGTGATGTACAGATGGGTTTTTGGTGTGGTTGTCCTTTCTGTTTGTTAGTTTTCCTTCTAACAGACAGGACCCTCAGCTGCAGGTCTGTTGGAATATCCTGCCGTGTGAGGTGTCAGTGTGCCCCTGCTGGGGGGTGCCTCCCAGTTAGGCTGCTCGGGGGTCAGGGACCCACTTGAAGAGGCAGTCTGCCCGTTCTCAGATCTCCAGCCGCGTGCTGGGAGAACCACTGCTCTCTTCAAAGCTCAGATGGAAATGCAGAAATCACCCGTCTTCTGCGTCGCTCACGCTGGGAGCTGTAGACTGGAGCTGTTCCTATTCGGCCATCTTGGCTCCTCCCTCCATGGCCTTTGGAATTAATCGATGTACTTTTTTCATTGACAGTGGACTCTGCTAAATATTAAGCAAATATAATCTTGGTTTTAATGATGAAAACATCAAATTGAGAATGTGTATAAACTCTATGAGTTTAATAAATAATCTTCATTACTTAGCCAATAGTAGCCAACATGAAAAAGATCCCTTCATTGAAGAACCTCAAATTTATAATCTTTATAAGAAAGAAAGCAATCAATCAATTAAACAAGGAAATGCCATTCATTTTAACTACATCTTTCTTATTCTTGCCTGAATTGAATGGAGTCACATAAATTTGTACAATTCAAGAGCTCATTTTACACAGATCACATTTGCAACTACACAGATAACTTGGGACTCTTACGTTACAAATAAAAAATCCAAATCAGTTTGGCTTACACCTAAAAGAAGATCCATCAACTCACATAACTGACTATAGAGATTGTAGTTCCATGTACGTTAGTAGATCTTTAACCTTCTTTGAGTTCTTTGCCTATTTTTCTTTTGTAAAGCTTAGAAATCATGGAAAGGTTCAGCCTGCTTTGTGTACAAAACAAAAATTATTTCACAGTTCTGTAGACCATGCTATTTTGTATGCCTTTATTCACCCAACAAGTACTCAGTTAAATTCTTATGATGCATACATTTACTATAAATTAAATATTTGGGAGAAGTAGTAGAAAAAAGCCAACAATATAGTTAGAAAGACAATCCATAACCCAGAAAGTAGTTAAGTAACAATGTGGTTAACCACAGAAATGGGTGCAATAGCTCATAAGCACAACAGAAATGGAAAATGTAAGGAAGCTAGAGCAGTCAAAACATATTTAATTCAACAGGCAAAACATGAATTTTCCCCTAATGAGCGATAGTTGGATAGAGTAATGTGGTAGATATAGTGGCACATGTCCAGATCCTTCCTTCAGAGCTCATTGTGCCAGCTGCCAGGAATATTGGCTGTTGAAGACTCTCAGAGGCCTCCTCTAGAATCCTCCTCCCACAAAAGCTGCCTCCTCCGAGGTTACAGTCTCTCTCTGGAGGAAGCCTGCCTCTAAAGACTGGTCCATGCAGCGTACAAAGGCCTTACTCCATCTTCTGTTGGAGCAACCCTTCAGTGCTTTCCAGTTGCAGTGCTCCCTAGGTGAGCCTCTCTATGTAAATGGCTGTGGACACAACTGCAACTGCCTTATAGTTCAACATATTCTACCGAAACCTTCTTCCCTCACTCCTTTCAAGGTGCTATTCTCATGGGCACTCCACAATTAACCCTCTGCCTGCAAATCTCCATCTCAAAGTCTGTATCCCAAGAAACTTTTTCTAGGACATTATAGAAAAAAGGGGAGGCCGGATGCGGTGGCTCACACCTGTAATCCCAGCACTTTCAGAGGCCAAGGTGGGTGGATGACCTGAGGTCAGGAGTTTGAGACCAGCCTGGCCAACATGGTGAAACCCCGTCTCTATTAAAAATACAAAAATTCGCAGGGGGTGGGGTGGTGCACGTCTGTAATGCCAGCTACTCGGGAGGCTAAGGCATGAGAATCACTCAAATCTGGGAGATGGAGGTTGCAGTGAGCCAGGATCACACCACTGCACTCCAGACTGGGTGACAGAGCGAGGCTCAAGAAAAAAAAAAAAAAAAAGAAAGGAAGAAAAGGAAAAGGGAAATATTCCATGTAGAGACATTACCAAGCAAAAAGATGACATTATATATATTGGGAAGAACTGGACAAGCTGGTCTGGCTGACACTAAAGGCAGTGTGTGAGGACAATGTATAGTTAAGTAGATTTTGAAGGTCCAAGAATGCTGCCCTAGTTTGGAATTAATCCCATGATTCAGTGCATTCTCAGTGGCCCAAGGCTGTGAATTCCAGATGTCTGGAGGCAGGACTAAAAGTGATAAAATGCAACCATGAAAGTTTGATTATCTTTAAAATTTACATGAACTCTGCATTTTGTCTACAAGTATTGGCATGTGTCAAATAATGTATGCAGACTCCTGTTTAAAAAGTATAGCCACAGGAAGTGGCCAAACAGTGTATGATTATTTTTTTAGTAGAGACATGACATGATAAATATCACTGTTTGGAATGGTCAATGTATCAACCACACATAAAATGAATGGGGTTGGGACCATTTCATGGGGTTGGTTGAGTGTCAGGACTAATTTGGCAAAGACGAGAAAAGCAAGGGAAGGACACAAAAGACATTTCACAGAACTCATTAGAAGGATCTGATAATTTACCAGACAGAATTTTTGTTTAAGGAGAGAAAAGAAAGAATGGTAACTGGGCCCTGGGAAGAATTAAGCCACAGCTGAAACAAAGAGGTAAGGGAAGTGGAACATCTTGTGTTATTTTGGTTCCTTTTTGTCATTTTGAGTTTTGGGTACCTATAAGATCACCTCCATGAAATGTCCTTCAAATACTATTCACTCAAAAATATTTGTGAAATAGGCATGCTGTGAAGGCAGCTGCTGATACAATGATATTAGAGTAGATTCCAGCTTGGCTTTAGACATGTATGAATGAGGCTCAACATAATTCCTTCATAATTCTTTCAGTCACCTTCTTGAGATCACCTCAATTTTCATGTCCCTTTGTGCTTATGGTATTTCATTCCTTTACATTCCTACAAAGACCGAGGGTGCAGGATGAAATAATGCAAAACTTTGTGAACCCAGGTAGCACGCACTATCCACAATTCTCAATGTTTTTTCAGCTCTTTAAAAGAGAGCCTTAAAAAGAGAGAGGGGTGGGTATAGAGTGACAGGAGAAATGTATCTGAAAATGTTGGCTCACTCGTTCCACTTCCCCACCTGGCACTGTCTCAACTCACCTGATGCTCATTTCTATTCTACATACTACTGCCCTCTTATCACCAGCACTTCTGGGTTGGTCTCTTCAATTAGGGTTCTTCTCTCACCCTCTGCCAGAAATCCCCATTAAGGTTTTAATTGACAAGAGATTCAGTATTAGTATGCAAATACAGTACCCATGTAGGAGTCAGTAGGGGCCTCTCGAAGACTAAATCATCTAAAACAATGACTTAACAATACTAAAAGCAACAGTGCAGCAATACAGGCAGCTTGGAAAATTGAATGGGTTGCTCAGGAGCATAAATAGCTCATTATACAGTACGTTACATAAAAAATAGCTTGCTAACATAGTATATCACATAAAAGCTATAAATCATTCTTGTTTTCTGTTCTTTTTGCATACTTTACACAGCAATAATAATATTGTGCATATAATTTTGCACTCTGTCTTTCCACATTTTTAATGACTTCATTATCTCTCATCTGGGGAAACGTTTACTCCTTTTTAATGTTTGGTAAGAGAAATAAGAATGAATAGCAATATAATTTTTACTTGTCAATTTTTTTAAAAAATAAATATATAGGCCAGTTGTGGGAGTGCACGCCTATAATCCCAGCACTTTGGGAGGCCGAAGTGGGTGGATCACTTGAGGCCAGGCGTTTGATGCCAGAGTGACCAACAACAGTGAAACCGTGCCTCTCCTAAAACTACAAAAATTAGCCAGATGTGGTGGCGCACACCTGTACACTCAGGAGGCTGAGGCACAAGAATCACTTGAACCCGAGAGGCAGAGGCTGCAGTGAGCTAAGATCATGCCACTGCACTCCAGCCCAAGTGACAGAGCGAGACTCTGTCTCAAAAAAAAAATAAATAAATATGAATAAATCAATCTGTTAATAAACACCCCCCCTCCAAAAAAAAAAGAATAAATTGCCAATTGTAGAAATTGGCCTATGGTCCATGATGAAGATGTGTCAGAAACAAAGCTGGCAAAGTCCTGTTCTTAGTGGAGGCTCTTTTTAAGGAGGCAGAGCCAGACACTGAACAAATAAACATGGAAATGTCAGTGACTGATGAGAGATGTGGTGAAAATAAACTATTGTGGCATGAAGGAGGCTATTGGGATTGAGTCATCTGTGCGGGTCTATCTAGTATATATTTAACCTGAGATCCAAATGGCAAGCTGGAGCCGGCAACACAATGGGGAAAACTTTCAAGAGAAGAAAACAGACTGTGCAAAGTCTCTAAGGCTCAAATCTTGCCTTTTTTGGTGCTTCATCTTTGCTGTTCATAAGACTAATCCAGGGAGACATCATGTACAAATAAATTCTCACTAAGCAATCCAGAATGAGCCAAACAAATCTTTTTAGTAAGAAAGCCAGTTATAGCATGGATCAACAGGAAACAGATTATAGCTCATAATGTACCAAAATGATGTGGGCCGAAAGTGTGTTGCTTTACGATTTATTTAAAATATTTATATTTGTCCTTATTTCAGAAAGAATTTAAGGCATTTTCCAAGGAAGCATAAATTACGTTCAAATAGCATAAATAAACAAAGGAGTGAAAAAGATAAAGTAAAACAATGTGAAGACAATGTGGGAAAAAGAATGGGGGTATAAATGCCCATGATAATGGGCTAGAGTCTGGCTATGTCAGGGCCGTGAGTTTTCCAGAAGCCCAAGCAAAAAAAGTGGGGAGGAGCCTATTAGTTGCACAATTCAAAATATCTACGTAAATATTTTTGACAGTATCAAATTATGCAGTAGTTCTCATAAGTGTTTGCTACCAAATGTAATAAACATGTCCCTCAACATTCTTCCTTAGACAAAACTGCCATTTTAATCAGTGTGGTTCTTGTAATAAAGAATCATTCGAGAGGCTTCTTCAATCGCTCCACTGTACAACTCAGTGAAAGTAATTCCTCAACAGGCCAGCCTTATGCAGAATAGATATCCAGCTCATTGTTTCACAAAATTTATCCAAAAATATACTTTTTAATAACTTAGAAGTTGATGTAAATGAACCTCATAAATTCTTCCCTGAATATTATTTTTTAAAACTGAACCACTGATGAACCTAGTAATGTTGATCTCTGTGTTCCCTACTAATCTGAAGATTATAGGAGTGGAATGTTGCCAGTTGCACACAAACTTCAATGTCTTAGCCAAACATTTCATAAAGGTTATAATTAAAATCGAAAGCTGAAACTTTTTGTGAAGCTATGGAAAGTCTGAGAGCTTCCTCAGAGTAGAGTATTTATCATCTGCTTAACATTGTCACCTACTTAACATTATTGCATATTATATCATTACTATACAACTAAGAGCAAAGATACTAGAGAATGTCTCAATAAATATTTTCAGCAGAATAGAATATTGTATACCTAATAGGCTGTAGCTGATTTTAATTACCATTTTATATAATACTAAGACGATTATATTTTTTATACAAAACATATAACAGGAAAAAAATAAAATGACCAAAACAATTCCAACTTTTCTAGAGAGAATTCTTAGAAATAAAAGAAAATTAAAGATAATATCTCAAAAACATACAATTATGATAAATCTTATGAAATTCACTTCATACGAATAGATATATTGTTTCAATGTACAGACAAATAAAATGTCTTCTCACTGCAATCTAGCTTGTCACTATGAATTAGATCAATATCTCCAAACAGTGAAGGAACAGCAGGCGTTATATGCTCCTATATTCGCTGGGCTATACCTCAAAAGGAATCTTTTTTATATTAAAGGGAAAACTTCCAATCTAAAATTATCAGTATATTTCATGTAGAATACTACATATACCAATGAGATCATTTACATAATTTTAGTAATTTATCTTTAAATGTTTTTATTGTTGCTAAGAACTTCCAGGAACAAAACAACAGAAACTGGTTTATTTAATAAATCTTTTACCTTATCCAATTCACATACTTAATTTCATGGCAAATTTCTCAAAAATTAATCTCTGAATCTCTGAAAACTAATCTCCAAATCTAAATCATAATTTAAATATGAATTTCTTGCTTCTAATATTACAATGATGAAATGTATTGATGAGTATGAAAATTGAGCAGGCATATAAACAGAAAATCAAGGCAGGCTTTTGTGAAATTGTCAGGATATAATAGTAGGGAATGTCCCAAATATACCAGTAGTTTCTACATACATATGAGTTTTTGTGTTTATTTTTCTCGGTAGATAATATAGTACCCAATAAATATGTACCAATTGGTGTAAATGAAGTCTCCAATACCATGCACCAAAGAACTTAATAGCTGTTGAAAAGATATCCAAGTCTGAATGAATTTTCCAGAAAATAAAGTCTCCCATAAACTGCTAAGAATATTCTCAGACTTGTAGTGACAAATGATATTCACACATAAACCATACATTTCAGATTTGACAGGCTTGCCCTGATATTTTTCATTCATAAACGCATTTGACAACTCTTTAGAAGAACATCTACTGTGTAGCAGACATTTTCTGGTCATGAAGATACAAGCAATTTAAAAGACTGGCAAAATATCCACCTTGAAGGAGTTTATATTCAAGCAGGAATAAACAGAATATAAACTGTAATCAAAGGAATACATCCAACAAGATGATTTTAGATGATGATGTGAAGAAAAACAAAGACAATTATACTACAGAGAAACAGGGGAGTTGGAGTTGTGTGTGCTATTTAAGGGTGATCCAAGTTGCCTCTCTGAGATGATAGGACATATTCTGGATTGTTTTCTAATTATATGACATGTTTCCAAAGTTTGCCAAAGCATATTGTCACTGTGGAGATGCAGGAGCAAGCTAGGCTTCCTCTGCTCCCACTGACGAACACAGACACGTACACTTTGCCCTGCCCAGTACTGCTCTCTTTTACACCATCACCAAGATCTTTTCTATAGATACCAGAGCTACAACCTAAAAGAACAGATGCACACTCTGAGTTCTAATCTCAGGATACCAGAAGGCAGCCTTCAAAAGATCTCTCCACCTGTTCTGTCACTGGGCCATTAATATTAATAGAAGAGAAGCAACAGCATCTACTGTGTTGCTGGCCAAAATGTATTGGGTGTCCACCAAATGCCAGTCACAGAATTAGGCTCTTCAAACTGTTTTCACCTCATAAATTCCTCACAGTGTCCCCATTAGGTATTATTTTGCAGATGAAGACTCCAATGTTAACAGAGATTAAATCACTTGCTCAGGGTCAAGCAGACAGATTGCCAAACCTGAGTCATTCCCAAAGATTATCTCCCAGATATAGCTGTGTCATGCAACTTCCTCCCTATTAAAGGCAAATGCACTTGTTGTGTGTGTGTTTGGTGGTGGGGCAGGGGGGTTATACATTACACTTTGAGCTTCAGTTCAGTGTGAATTTATTTCTCAGCCCCTCTCTTGAAAGCAAATATTAAAAGAGAAAAAGACGGCTGAAAGCTAATTGTGTATTTAAGTATATAATTAAAACATATCCACTGTACATAAAGGTAACTTAATGGGATGGGGGTTATTTTTCTCTAGATCTTAAAAGAATAAATATTAAGATGCTATTTGCTAACTGGTTCTATTTTCAATGTTTTTTTTTTCCAAATAAGATGAAAGCATACACAAGTCAATGCTTGGTTTACTTCAACAGATATTTGCTGAGCTCCTGCTTTATGGCCCATGCTCCCCTAGACGCTACAGTATCTGTACACTGTGCATCTGTACAGGGCTATTGCACAGATGCACAATGAAGCACGAAGCAAAACACCTGTTTTCCACCCTCAAGACTTTACGATCTACTTTGAGATACAGGGCATGATATAATGTATGACCAAATATCTTTTGTCCGCAGATACCTGGTAATCACACACCCTTGATGGTAGGTAAGCCCTCTCTATCTCAATAGACTGTGACCTCTAGGAGACACAGAGAAATGGCATAGAAAGAGAAGCCCTACTTAGATCAGTCATATCCATCCACTAAACTCTGGCAGTCAATCAGGGAAGGATGATGCAGCCCCATCACTCTGAAGCCCAAGTGCCTTTAGCATTATTTTATTTCAAAATAAAAATATTCTCAGCTGGGTGCTGTGGGTCACACCTGCAATCCCAGTGCTTTGAGAGGCTGAGGCAAGAGAATTGCTTGAGCACAGGAATTCTAGTCTGTGGTAAGCTATTATCACACCACTGCACCCCGGTCTGGGCAACAGAATAAGATCCTGTCTCTAAAAACAAAAAAAGTCTGTAAGAATAAATTGCCTAGAATAGTACTATGATTATTAGGTCTGTTATCTTTCAAATAAAATTGGGTATAAGTTTTCTACAACAGTGAGTTCTACAGAATTGAACTATACTATATTATGGATAAAATATCTGTAATTCTAACTAATCTCATACTTTTGTTTTATTGAAAAATATACATGTAATATATAAATATTATAAAACATTGAAATAATTTAGCGCACAAATTAAAGTCACCCTCTGACTACTCCTCTCTCTCCTTACGTATGAGTAAACACTATAAACAACTTGATGTTAATTCCCCAAACAACAAGCACATACACAAATACAAGCACATATAGACATCTTGTTTTGATATATACAGTTGTCCCTCAGATGCAGAAGGGGATTGGTTCCAGGACCTCACTTGAATATCAAACCCACAGATCTCAAGTTCCTTATATAAAATGGCATAGTATTTGCATATAAACTATGCACATCCTCCTGTATGCTTTTAATCACCTCTAGATTACTTATATCAAACAGAATGTAAATGCTCTGTAAATAGATATTATACTATATTCTTTAGAGACTAATGACAAAGAAAAAAGTCTGTACATGTTCATTACAGATGCAATTTTTTTTGCAATATTTTCATTCCACAGTTGGTTGAATCCACAGATGCAGAACCCAAGAATATGGATCAACTATATATATATATATATATAATATATATATAATCAACTGTATATATATATGTGTGTGTATATATATACATCAACTGTGTATATATATATATGCACACACACATATGTGTATATATACATACACATAAGCATACAATACACATATATATACACACAATACATACATCCACACATCCATAACTTTTTATTATATTTGAGACATAAAAATATATAAATAATAATGTAACAATCATCTATGCATCACTCATAAAACTACTGGAAAATATTACCAAAATAGTTAAACTTCCCCCATCCCTCCAAAACATTATCACTTTCTTTAGCTGTATTATAGTGCTCATCCATTTATTTAGACTTTTATTATATATGTGGGCATCCCTTGTGGGGGAGTGCAGTTCTAATACTTCATTGTTTAGGTCCAAGGCCACATTTTCTGTCCCTTACATAGCCATTAAGACCCTATGCTCAAAATTCAAGAGATGAAGCACACATGCTCAGCAGGTGTGGATTCAGTGTCAAACTCCCAGGCTCATGACCCATTTCCTACTTATGTCTAGCCCATGGGTTTCCCTACTCTATTTTAAACTTCTGTACTTTCAAAAGGAGGTAATTTCTAAGTGATTTAATAAGGAATTGTTGTCAGTTATCTACTTCATTATGTTGCAAGAGATATAAGCATTCCAAGATTCAGTCCCTTAAAAATATAGACACCATTCCATGTCAATATAGGCATTGAGTATATGGATATTTATCTGATTCTTTTTAACAGCTATTTGTGTTCAAAAAGATGCTATTTTACTATCTGTACATACTTATTGTTCACAACTTCTGACCATCTTGTATAATTTGCAATTAATGTCCTTGTAAATGTTTTGCATGTGTGCAAATATTTCTCTAAAATACATTCCTACAATGAAATTGCTGGTTTAAAGAGTTCTTTTTCACTTTGATATATTTTAACACATTTCGAACCCAAAAGGCTCTTTCAATTTGCAATATTACCAAATTTGAATGAAAGTCCAGAATAAAAAATTGTAGGAAGGGTCCCTGAGACAATCATGTGCGTAAAGGAGTGCATTCATGAAAGCTGGATCACTTTTCCCCAGCAACTTGACAGCCAGGAGTGGAGGCTGCCTAACACAGCAAGTAAATGGAGCAGTTTCTGACTGAAATTTGAGGATAACTTTGCATAATGTCTATAAAAATTATTGTTTAGCAAATGTCTACATTTTCTAAAAAGAAAAAGTGACCAAAACAACATCTCTGCCTTAGCAAGAGCACATGTTTCCAGTTTCCGTGATTTGCTTTCAAAATGACATATCAGACATAGTTTTCACGTCTCTGAACTCTCAGTAGGCCCACATTTTAATATAATAATGTAACTTTTTTCAGTGAATTGAATAAAGAGTTACATATATGCTTCCTCTTCAAGCTCTGTTAATTCAGATTTCCTAATATTTTGAATACCAAAAATTATTCTTAAATGTTTGGTAGAATATTCAAGAGAATGAATAGCCAAGCCACAGAGTAGGAGAAAATATTTGCAAAAAAATGTATCTGAGAAAGGAATGTTATTCAAAACATACAAAGAACCCTTAAAACTCGACAGTAAAAAAAAAGTCTGATTCAAAAATGTTCCAAAGACCTTAACAAACAGCTCACCAAAGAAGATATACAGATGGCAAATAAGCAGATGAAAAGATGTTCAACATCATATGCCATTAGGGAATTATAAATTAAAACAATGAGATTCCACTACACACCTATCAGAATGGTCAAAATACAGAACACTGACAACACCAAATGTTGGCAAGGATGTGAAGCAACAGGACTCATTCTTTGCTGGTGGAAATTCAAAATGGCACAGTTACTTTGGAAGACAATTTGGCAGTTTCTTACAAAATTAAACCTATTCTTACCATATAGTCCAGCAGTCATGCTACCTGGTATTTACCCAAAGGAATTGAAAACTTATGTCCACAAAAATAAAGAAAAAAGAATGAGAGGAGTGAACAAAACCTTTGAGAAGTATGGGATTATTTAAAGAGGCCAAATCTATGAGTCACTGGCATCCCTGAAAGGGAGGGAGAGAAAACAAGCAATTTTGAAAACATATTTCAGGATATTGTTCATGAAAACTTCCACAACTTTGCTAGAGAGGTCAGTAGTCAAATTCAGGAAATACAGAGAATTCTTGCAAGATTCTACACAAGAAGATCATCTCCAAGATGCATCATCATCAGATTTTCCAAGGTCAAAATGAAAGAAATAATGTTAAAGGCAGCTGGAGAGAAAAGGCAGTTCACATACAAAGGGAACCTTATCAAGCTAATTGGATCTCTCAGCTGAAACCCTACAAGCCAGAATAAATAGGAGGCCTATATTCAACATTCTTAAAGAAAAAATTATTCAACCAAGAATCCTATATCCAGCCAAACTAAGGTTTTTAAGTGAAGGAAAAATAAGATTCTTTTCAGGTAAGCAAAAGTTGTGGTAATTCATTCCCACCAGACCTGCCTTACAAGAGACCTTGAAAGGAGCACTTAATATAGAAAGAAAAGACTGCTACCAGCTAATATAAAAACATATTTAAACACGCAGACCAGTGTCACTGTAAAGCAACCACACAAACAAGCCAACATAATAACCAGCTAACAGAAAAATGACAGAATCAAATCCACACATATCAATGCTAACCTTGAATGTAAACGGACTATATGTCCCACTTAAAAGGCATAGAGTGGCAAACTGGATAAAAAAGCAAGACCTAACGGTATACTGTCTTCAAGAGACCCATCTCAAGTGTAATGACATTCATAGGCTCAAAATAAAGGGACGGAGGAAAATCTACCAAGCAAATGGAAAACAGAATAAAAGCAGAAGTTACAATTTCAGACAAAACAGATTTCAGACAAAACTAATTTCAGACAAAACAGATTTCAAACCAACAAACATCAAAAAAGACAAAGAAGGGCATTACATAATTGTAAAGGGTTCAATTCAACAAGAAAACCTAACTATCCTAAATATATATGCACACAACACAGGAGTACCTAGATTCATAAAGCAAGTTCTTAGAGACCTACAAGGAGACATAGGCTCCCACACAATAATAGTGGGAGACTTCAGCACTCCACTAACAGTATTAGACAGATCATGAAGGTAGAATATTAACAAAGATATTCAGAACCTAAATTCAATATTGGACCAAATGGATCTGATAGACATTTATAGAAGTGTTCACACCCAAACAACAGAATATACATTTTTCTCGTCACCACATGGCACATACTCTAAAATCAGCTACATAATTGAACATAAAACAATCCTCAAAAAATGCAAAATAACCAAAATCATACCAAACACACTCTATGACCACAGCACAATAAAAAAAAAAGCAAGACTATGAAAATCACTCAAAATCATGCAGTTACATGGATAAGTAATGAAATTAAGGCAGTAATCTAGAAGTTCTTTGAAAATAATGAGGACAAACATACAACATACCAGAATCTCTGGGACACAGCTAAGGCAGTATTAAGAGCGAAATTCATAGCTCTAAATATCCACATCAAAAAATTGGAAAGATCTGAAATTAACAACCTAACTTCATAACTGAAAGAATTAGAGAAGCAAGAACAAGTCAACCCCAAAGCTAGGAGAAGATGAGAAATAACAAAACTCAGAGCTGAACTGAAGGAAAATGACTCAGAAAAAAACCTTTCAAAAGATCAACCAAACCAGGAGTTGATTTTTTTGAAAAAAATTAATAAAATATATAGGCCACTAGCTAGACTAATGAAGAAGAAAAGAGAGAAGATCCAAACAAACATAATAAGAAATGATGAAGGGAATGTTACTACTCACCCCACAGAAATAAAAACAACCATCAGAAACTATTACACACAAACTCGAAAACCTAAAAGAGATAGATAAATTTCTGGGCACATACACCCTCACAAGACTGAGCAAGGGAGAAATCGATTCCCTGAACAGACCAATAACAAGCTCCGAAATTGAATCCATAATAAACAGCCTACCAACTAAAAAAAGCCTGGACCCTGATAGAAACACAACCAAATTCTACCAGATATACAAAGAAAAGCTGGTGCCATTCCTACTGGAATATTTCCCAACAATTGAGGAGGAGAGAGTCCTCCCCAACCTATTATATGAGGTTAGCATTATCTTGATACTAAAACCTGGCAAAGACACAATAAAAAAAGAAAAAGTTCAAGCCAATATCCTTGATGAATATCAGTGCAAAAATTCTCAACAAAATACCTGCAAATTGAATCCAGCAGCACATCAAAGTCTAATCCACCATGATCAAGTAGGCTTCATCCCTAGGATGCAAAGCTGGTTCAACATATGCAAATCAATAAATGTGATTCATCACATAAACAGAACTAAAGACAAAAACCACATGATTATGTCAATAGACACAGAAAAGGCTTTTGATAAAATTCAATACTCCTTCCTGTTAAAAACTCCCAGTAAATCAGGTATTGAAGAAACATACCTCAAAATAATAAGAGCCTAAGAGCCATCTATGAAAAATGCACAGCCAACATTATACTGACTGGGCAAAATCTGGAAGCATCCACCTTTAAAACTGTCAAACGACAAGGATATCCTCTCTCACCACTTCTATTCAACATAGTATTGGAAGCCCTGGCCAGGGCAATCAGGAAAGAGAAAGAAATAAAATGCATTCAAATAGGAAGAGAGGAAGTCACACTCTGTCTCTTTGCAGATGACATGATTCTATATCTATAAAATGCCATAATCTCAGCCCCAAAGCTCCTTCAACTGATAAACAACTCCAGCAAAGTTGCAGGATACAAAATCAATGTACTAAAGTCACTAGCATTCCTGTACACCAACAACAGCCAAACTGATAATCAAATCAGAAAGGCAACCCCATTCACAATTGCCACAAAAAAAACAATAAAATACTTAGGAATACAGCTAACCAGGGAGGAGAAAGATCTCTGCAACAAGCATTACAAAACACTGCTCAAAGAAATCAGAGAAGACACAAACAAATGAAAAAACATCCCATGCTCATGGATAGGAAGAATCAATATAATTAAAATGACTAGACTGCCCAAGGCAATTTATAGATTCAATGCTATTCCTATCAAACTGCCAACAATGTTCTTCATAGAAATAGAAAAAACTATTTTAAAATTCATATGGAACGATAAACAAGCCTGAATAGTCAAGGCAATGCTAAGCAAAAAGAACAAAGCTGGAGACATCACATAACCCAACTTCAAACTATACTGCAAGGGTACAGTAACCAAAACAGCATGATACTGGTATAAAAACAGGCACGTAGACCAGTGGAACAGAATAGAGAGCCCAGAAATAAAGCTACATATCTATGACCATTTTATCTTTGACAAAGCTGACAAAAGCAAGCAATGGGGAAAAAAACTCCCTATTCAACAAATGGTACTGGGATAACTGGCTAGCCCTATACAGATGATTGAAGATGGACTCCTGCCTTACATCATACACAAAAATCAACTCAAGATGGATTAAAGATGTAAATGTAAAACCCAAAATTATAAAAATCCTAGAAGACAACATAGGTAATACCACCGTGGACACAGGAATGGGCAAAGATTTCATAACAAAGACACCAAAAGCAATCAGAACAAAAGCAAAACTTGACAAATGAAATCTAATTAAACTTAAGAGCTTCTGCACAGCAAAAGAAAATATCCACAGAGTAAACAGACAACCTACAGAGCGGGGAGAAAATATTTCAAAATTATGCATCTGACAAAGGCCTAATATCCAGCATCTATGAGGAAGTTGAACAAATTTACAAGAGAAAAATAACTCCATTAAAAAGTGGGCAAAGGACATGAACAGACACTTCTCAAAAGAAGACATAAATGTGGCCAACACATGTATGAAAAAAAAAGCTCAACATCACTGATCATTAGATAAATGCAAATCAAAACCACAGTGAGATACCATCTCACACCAGTCAGAATGGCTATTACTAAAATGTCAAAAAACAACAGATGCTGGTGAGGTTGTGGAGAAAAGGGAACACTTATACACTGTTGGGAGTGTAAATTAGTTCAACCGTTGTGGAAAGCAGTGTGGTGATTCTTCAAAGACCTAAGAAGAGAACTACCATTTGACCCAGCAATCCCTTGAGTGGGAATATGGCCAGAGGAATAGAAATCATTCTACCATAAAGACACATACACAAGAATGTTCATTGCAGCACTATTCATAATAGCAAAGACATGGAATCAACCTAAATACCTGTCAATGACTGACTGGATTAAAAAAATGTAGTACGTATACACCATGGAATGCTATGCAGCCGTAAGAAAAGAATGAGATCATGTCTTTTGCAGTAACATGAACAGAGCTGGAGCCTATTATCCTTAGCAAACTCAAACAGGAACAGAAAACCAAATACCACATGTTCTCATCTATAAGTGGGAGCTAAATAATAAGAACTTATGAACACAAAGAAAGAAACAACAAACACTGGGGTCTACTTGAGAGTGGAGGGTGGGAGGGGGAAGAGGAGCAGAAATGATAACTGTTGGGTACTAGGCTTAATATAGGCTGATGAAATAATATTTATAACAGCCCCCCATGAAAGATGTTTACCTATATAATAATCCTTAACAGGTGCCCCCAAACCTAAAATAAAAGTTAAAAATAAAATAAATAAAATGTAAAAAGCTTATGTCCATGTAGAAGCCTGCATATGGATGTTTATAGCAGCTTTATTTATAACTGCCAAAACTTGGAAGGAACTAAAATCTCCTTCATTCAGCAGGGAAATGGATAAACTATGGTATATCCAAACAATGAAATATTATTCAAAACTAAAAAAGAAATAAGCTATCAAGCCATGAAAAGACATGGAGGAACCTTAACTGCAAGTTACTAAGTGAAAGAAGCCAATCTGAAAAGGCTACATATTGTATGATTCCAACTATGTAACATTTGAGAAAAGGCAAAAATATGGAGATAGTAAAAAGATCAGAGGTTGCCAGGATTTATGGGGGAGGGAGAGACAGATAGGCAAAAACACAGAGGATTTTAGGACAGTGAAAATACTCTGTATGACACTATAATGGTGAATATACATCATTGTATATTTGTCCAAACCCATGGAATGTACACCAAGAGTGAACCCTACTGTAAACTACAGACTTTGGGTAATAAGGATGTGTCAATGTAGGTTCATCAATTGTAATAAATGTTACACTCTGGTGGAGGATGTTGTGATGGGGGAGGTTGGTGCCTGCATGGGGCAGGTGGCATATGAGACACTTCTGTAGCTTCCTGTTAATTTTGCTGTGAACCTAAATCCTAACAATATGATCTTTCTAAAAAAAAAAAAAAAAGGTAGGGAGATTATTAAAATATGTTTATTTCAATGCAGAGATTTGGGATTCTCAGAAAGTCTCTAATATGGGAAATTAGTATGTAAAATATATCATATTTCCAATCAACTAAGAAAGAATACACATTCAATCAGTGGTATTGAGGCAGTTCTACATACATATTGAAATAAATAACATATTCTATTTCATTCAATACAATTTCAAAACAATTGATTTCTTTACCAACATAGGACAATGTTAACATAGATGTGGGGGACAGGGTGGAGCAAGATGTGTTATTCAGGAAGGTGTGCTTTGGTTGTTAAATACAACTGGGCATTGTGGTCAGAAAATGTGGCCTGTACAGTTTTCTAAGTTAATACATTTGTTAGTATTTTCTTTGTGGCTTAAATCATGGTAAATTTTTTTCTAAATGCTATTGTGTATTTTTTAAATGTATAAATTTACTTGATGAAAATGTTTCTGTACCTTGACACATACACCACACACATATATATAATACACAAAAAATATATATATACCCACTTATATGTATATATGTATAAATACACACATGTATGTATATATGTATATATATGTATGTATGTATAATCAAGCTTCTAAATTGGTTATTCAATTCCTTTCTGTATTAATTACTTGCTCTACCAATTTGATAGGTGTACTCCTGAAAGGAATATTTTAAATTTTCCTACTATGAATATTGATTCTTCCTTGTATTTTTAAGCTTATATAGTTAACTGTCAGGCCTATAAATTGGTTATTCAGTTCCTCCTTATTTTACCAATTTAATGTGTACTCCTAAGGGAAATATTTTAAGTCTGCCTACTATGAATTCTTGCACTTTTTGGCTTTTCTATACATATTTCAAAGCTTTACTTTATGGGCATAAAAGTTTTTAAAGTATATCATGGAGTACTTATATATAATAAATATTTTTAAATCTCTGTAACAAATACAATGTACCTCACTTTAAATTCTATTGTTTCAGATACTAGCAATGCAATATCAATTGTCTCATTGTTATTTTATTAGTAAATATTTTTCCATTTTCCTTTGTGTTCACCATTCTGTATCATCTTGTTCCTGGTGTGTCTTTTATACAGATTACGCAAAGATTTTTAAGCCAATCTAGGAATCTTTGATTTGATAAAATAATTTAATACATTTATATTTATTAAAATTCCTGCTCTGTCTGGACTTGCTTTTGGTATCTCCTTTTGTTTTCCATTTCTCTTGCTCTCTCATGTGATGTCTTTAATGTGCTATTCTTGACTTGTTAATTTAACTAAATATTACTTACTTTTGGTATTATGTTTCTAATTATTTGGAAGCAACACACTTATATTCTAGAGATTACTCTTAAATTTTCAACACGTATGTTAATATTTTTCTATCAATATCACAGATCACTACCCATGTTACTCCCCCCCAATAAAAATTACAAAAAGTTTGCTTAACACATATTTTGCTCTTAGATTTTTCACTTCTTTATCTTTATCCAATCTATCTGTATATTCAAATTACTTTACCTTCCAATTAACTAATTCTCTAATTTGCTCTATTCTTTCTATTATGCAACCCTGTCTACTTTCTTGAAAGTTAAAAAACTATATTTTGGGCTGGGAACATTTTTCATTAAACTTTATATTTTGAAGTAATTGTAGACTCATATTCAGCTGTTAGAAATAATATAAAGAAATCCCATGTACATTTTATTCATGTTCCTCCATTGGTAATATTTTGCAAAACTATAGAAGAATATCATAACTGGGGTATTTATATTGACAAAATCAGGATATAGAACATTTTGATCACAATAAGAATCCCTGATGTTGTTACATTGTTTCATTCACTTTCCTCATTTCCCTACTCCATCCCTGACACCCAGAAATCACAAATAAAAATTTTGTCACTATTTTATAAATGTAATCACACAATCATATAATACGTAAACTTTTCATTTGGCTTTTTTCACTCAGCATATTTCTCTGGAAATTCACCTAGATTTTTGCATGCATTAATAGCTTATTTTTTTTAACTGCTGAATAGTATTCCATGTCATGGATGCCCCACATTTGTTTAATGATTCAGCCATATTTGGGTTGTTCCTAGTTTTTTTACTACTGTAAATAATACTTCTAGAAACATAATGTACCAGTTTTTGTGTTAACATAAATCTTCATTTCTCTGGGATAAATGTTCAGGAGTATGAACACTGATATTTGGTAGTTGCATATCTACTTTAAACAATATTGGCTCACACCTGTAATCTCAGAACTTTGGGAGGCCGAGACAGGCAGATTGCTTAAGCCCAGGAGTTCGAGACCAGCCTGAGCAACATGGTGAAACCCTATCTCTACAAAAAATACAAAAATTGGCCTGGCATGGTGGCTCACGCCTGTAATCCCAGCACTTTGGGAGGCCAAGGCAGGCGGATCATGAGGTCAGGAGTTCGAGACTAGCCTAACCAACATGGTGAAACCCTGTCTCTACCAAAAATACAAAAATTAGCTGGGCATGATGGTGCATACCTGTAATGCCAGCTACTCGTGAGGCTGAGGCAGAAGGATCGTTTGAACCCAGGAGGCAGAGGTTGCAGTGAGCTGAGATTGTGCCACTGCACTCCAGCCTGGGCGGCAGAGCGAGACTCTGTCTTAAAAAAAAAAAAAAAAAATTAGCTAGGCATACAGCATCATCTGCCTGCAGTCCCAGCTACTTGGGAGGCTAAGTTGGGAGGATCTCTTGAGTCCAGGGAGGTAGAAGCTGCAGTGAACCAAGATCATGCCACTGCACTCCAACCTGGGACACAGAGTGAGACCCTGTCAAATAAATAAATAAATAAATGTAAAAATAAAATAGAATAATTTGTCAAAGTGTTTTCCAGAGTGATTGGACCATTTTATATTCTCACCTGCAAAGCACGAGTGATTCAGTCTCTCTTCATCCTCACCATCATTTGGTGGTCTCAGTTTCATTTTAGCCATTCGGATAGGTGTGTAGTGATTTCTCATTGTGGTTTTAATTTGTATTTCTCTAATAGCAAATGGTTTTGAACATCTTTTCATGTGCTTATTTACCATCAGTATAGACCCTTATGTGAAATGTCTCTTCTTGTCTTTTACCCATTTTCTAATTGCATTTAGATTATTAGAGGGAGTGTTGGTTAATTTGTTTTGTTTTGTTTATACAAGTAGTCTCCCCTTATCTTGCAGGTATTCATTCCAAGACCCCAAATGGATGCCTGAAACTATATACAGTACCAAACTCTACTTATACACAAATTTCTTCTTTTCCTCTTCACAATTTCATGAAGCTTCATTATTACTGTATATTTTAGCAACCTCAGCCTATGACTTTTTTCTTTCCCTATTAAGGAGAGCACTTTCGCCTTTTCACTTAAGCACATTAAGGCTTCTCTTTGGCATATCTGAATTGCCAGAATCACTACTTTTGCATTTGGGGGCCAGTATTAAGTCAAATAAGGGGTACCTGAACTCAAGCACTGAGATACCACAAGAGTCAATCTGATAACTGAGACTGCTACTAAGTGACTGACAGGTGGGTGGGTGGAATAGACAGTGTGGGGACGCTGGACAAAGGAATGATTCACACCTCACCCAAATCGAGTGGGACAGGGTTAGACTTAACAATGCTACTCAGAATGATATGCAATTTAAAACTTATGAATTGTTTATTTCTGGAATTTTCTGTTTTGTATTTTTGGGCCATGGTTGACCATGAGTAACTGAAACCACAGATAAGAGGGGGCTACTACACTGCTGAGTTTGAGAGCTCTGTATTCTATAAATAGATCTTATCCATTTGTTAGATGTGTGCTTTGAAAATATTTTCTCCTAACCGGTAACTTATCTTCTAATCTTTTTAATACAGTCTTTCACAGAGCAAAAGTTTTTAATTTTGCTGAGGTCCAATTTATCAATATGTCCTCCTATAGACTGTGCTTATGGTGTCAAGTCTAAGTGTAACTCTAGATCTCTAAGAACTTTCCTTAGAATTTCCTTGTTTTTAAGTTTTGTTTTTTAAAATTTACATCTATAACTTTTATTGACAAATATTATGTTTATGATGTACAATGTGATATTTTGATATATTATACACTATGAAATGACAAAATCATGCTGATTAACATATCTGTTACCTCACATACTTATCATTTTTGTTTGTGGTAAAAATCTAAAATCTACTCCATTAGGAATTTTCAAGTATACAATACATAATTGTTAACTACAGCCACTGTGCTATAAAATAGAGCCCAGAGTTTATTCCTTCTGTCTAACTGAAACCTCATATTGTTTGACCAACATCTTCCAATCTTTCTCCTCACACACTCCACCCTCAACCCCTGATGTGTTAGGCCATTCTTGCATTGCTATAAAGAAATACCTGAAACTGGATAATTTATAAAGAAAAGAGATTTAATTGGCTTATAGTTCTGCAGGCTATACAAGAAGCATGGCACTGGCATCGGCTCAGCTTCTGGGACGGCCTCAGGGAGTTTTACTCATGACAGAAGGTGACGTGGGAGCAGGCATGTTTCATGGCAAAAGCAGGATGGGCAGAGGGGCACAGGAGTAGGTGCCACACCACTTAAACAGATCTCATGAGAACTCACTCCTATCGTGAGGCCAGCACCAAGCCATGAGGGATCTGCCACCAGGACCCAAACACTTCCCACCAGGCCCCACCTTCAACACTAGGGATTACATCTCAACATGAGATATGGAGGGGACATCCACACTATATTATCTGGTACCCAGTATTCCATTAATATTCTCTGCTTTTATGAGTTCAGTTTTTTTAGATTTCCCATATATGTGACATCATTAAATCTGTGGTATACTTTAAGTTAATTTTTGTACAAGGTGTAAGACTGAGGTCGAGCTTTGGTTTTCTGCCAATGGATATCCAAATGCTCCAGGAGCACTGATAATTGAAAAAGCTATCCTCCCTCCATTGAACTACTTCTGTACTTTGACAACCCTCATGAACGGGATTGGCATCCTTAGAAGAGTCCCAAGAGAGCTCCTTTGCCCTTTCCATGTGAAGACACACAGAGAAGCCACCATCTACAAATTAGAAAGTGGGCCCTCACCAGACACCAAATCTGCCAGGCACCTTGATCTTGGACTTCCAGCCTCCAGAACTATGAGAAATAAATTTCTATGGTTTATAAGTCATCTAATTTATGGTATTTTCATTATAGCAGCTGGAAGGTACAAAGACAGTTGATTACATTGATTTTCTAATTGGATTATCCTTGCACCTCTGTAAGAAACCTGACTTGGTCATAGTGCATAAGTTTGTTTGTTGTTTTTTTATTTCTGAATTCTGTTTGTTAATTTTGTTAAGGTTTTTTGTGTCTATATTCATAATGTAATGAATTTTATCTGTAGTTTTCCTTTTTTGTACAGTTTTTGTCTGGTTTTGGCAAAAGGGTAAAACTAGCTTCATAAAATAAACTGGGAAGTATTTCCTCCTCTTCTGGAAGACAGTGTATAGAATTAGTATTGATTATTTTTAAAATATTTGATGATAATCTTCATTGAATTGGTTTGGGCTGGAAGATCTTTTCTTGGGGAGTTTTCAAAATGTAAATTCAATTCAATTATATACTTCATGTTCCATGAATTGTCCAATTTGTATTTTCAAAGACTTTGTCTATTTCAATTAAGTTGTCAATTATGTGCATAGAGTCATCCCTAGTATTTCCTTATTATTCTTTTGATGTCTGCAGTCCATAGTGATCTCTCATTTCATTCCTGTTTTTGAATTGAGATTTCTCTCTTTTTCCTTTGTCAGTCTTGCTAAAGCTTGGTCAATTTTATTAATCTTTCAGAAAATAAATTTCTGCTTATTTCATCTCATTTTCCTCTGGCTTTGTTCACTCAGCATAATTCAGGATTCATTTGTGTTACTGCGTGCATCATTAATTCATGTTTTTATTTAAGAATAGTATTATATTATATGTATGTATGCAAATTTTTTATCCAATAACGTATCAATCCACCTATTTTCAATTTGGGGCTACTAGAAATAAACCTCACTTGCCAAACTTTTTTCCAAAGTGGTTGGACCATTTTGCATTCCCACTGTCAGTATATAAAAGTTCTAATTGCTTCAAATCTTCACCAATGCTTATTAAAGTCAGTCTTTTTAACTTCAGACATTCTAATAAATGGGTAGTGGGTTTAGCTATATTTCCCTAATGATATTGAGCAGCTATTCATTCCCTTACTTTGCCACCTATACATCTTCTTATGAAAAGTTTTTATTCAATTATGTTGTTTATTTATTGAATTGTTTTTTCTCTTCTTATCATAGTGTTTTAAGAAAAGTATTGTTTATATATAATAGGCAGGAGTCCTTTTTCAGATATATAGTCTATCTTTGGTTTGCCTTTTCATTTTCTTAACAATTGCCTTTTGAAGAACAAATGTTTAATTTTAAATAAGTCCATTTTATTGATTTTTTTACAGTTTATATATTTCTGTCATATTTAAGAAATATTTTCCAAACCCAAGCTCACAAAAATTATCTCCTACACTCTCTTTGAGAAGAAAAAAGGTTTTACATTTAGGTAATAATCCATTTCAATTTACACCAATACTGCACTGCCTTTTCTTTTACTTATAACTGATTTAATGACTGTTGAAGTCAGGTAGCATATATAATTCAACATATTAATAGTATTGAGTTTTCCTATGCATAAATAAGAATACAACTCTTCATTTATTTAGATATTCTTTAACTTTTTTTTAAGAGTTTTTATACTTTTTAGTGTAGGGGTCTTACATATCTTTTTAAAATTTAATTCCTAAGTATTTCATATTTTAATACCATTATAAATGGTACTTTTACTATTTTAACTTCTGATGGTTGTTTGCTTGAACATAAATATGTAATTGATTACCTATTACATAAACAGGTAATTGTAAAAGATACCTTGCATCTAAAACCTTAATAAACTTACTTATTATTTATTGTCTCTTTTTTGTAGATACCCTCTAATTTTCTACGTAGACTAAAAGTTGTTAAGATGTCAATTCTGCCTAACAGCACCTATAAATTCAACACAATCTGAATCAAAATTCCAGCAGGTATTTTTATATGAAAATTAACAAAATGATCCTAAAATTTATATGAAAATGAAAAGGATCTAGAACATATAATTCTTAAACCCCCAAAACAACCCAAATAAAAATGGGCAACATATTTGGACAGACACATCACCAAAGATATACGGAAGGCAAATAATCACAAGAAAAGAAAATTCATTGCATTAGAGATCAGAGAAGTATAAATTAATATAACAATGAGATATCATTACAAACCTATTAGAATGGCTAATGGGTTTCTGGCTAAAAAGACTGACAATACCAAGATTAGGTGAGGATATGGAACAACTGGAACTCCTATACACTGTTCACAGAAATGTAGAATTGTACATCCACTTTAATAACTAGTTTATTTAAAAATTTAACATATACCTACCATATGGTTCAGTCAATCCACTCCAGGTATTTACATAAGAAAAATGAAAGCACATAGCCATACGGAATACAACTCAGCAATAAAAGGAAATAAAAATTGGTAACATGCTGCAACATGGATGAATATTAAAATAATTAGGTTAATAATTATTAACTTAAAGATGTTAAAGAGGATATACCAAAAAATTTGCATAGTGTGTGATTTCATATACATGAAACTCTAAAAAATGAAACCTAATCCATAGTGACAAAAAGGAGATCAGTCATTGCCTGAAGATGCAGAAGGAGTAAGGAGAAGAGGAGTTACAAACAGGCTTCTAGACAGTAGGAAGGGCATATGAGGAGCCTGTTCCAACTGAGACAATGCATTTTAAGGTAATTTCCAGGAAATTCCAAACAACGTTTTCACTACATATGCTGTGGTTTGAATGTGGCCCCTTCAGAATTCATATGTTGCCAATCTGAAGGGGTTTATAAGTGAGGTCTTTAAGTGATGATTAGACCAAGAAAGCTGCTCCCTCATTAATGGGATTAGAGACCTTTTAAAAGAGGCTTCATACAGTGTTGGGCTAGCTTGCCTTCTGCCTTCTGCCATATGAGGACAAAGTAAGAGGGCCCTCACCAGACCAAATGCCAGCACCATGATCTTGGACTTCCCAGCCTCCAGATCTGTGAGAAATAAAGGCATTGTGTAATAGCAGCAGAAAAACTAAGAAAACACATCATTGACTCTGTGTCACTGACTATATATAGGTGCAAAGAAGATGCCACCATTTGTAATAAAGAAATTCTGTACACAAAGGAGAAAGTGTCTCCCTCAGCACTCTTTCTTATGTTCCAGCACTCTTGTGCATTTATTGTTTAAATATTTTTTTCAGATATTTCAAAATGATTTTGAGAGGGAGAAGAGGAAAATGCATATGCTTAGTTAACCAGAATTGCAAATTGTCTTTACTCAGATTTGTAGCTATTTATTGTATAAGCCATTTCCTCGTATAAACATTGATGAAATTCTGAACTACATTCACATAATTTACTGTTTAAAGAAACCCAATAGGTGAACTATTTTGCAAATACTGATTCCCTAGGTGCTCTTTAAAATTATTTTTAGTAATTTTTCTTTTAAGGTAATTTTAAATTATAGAAAAAGTATAGGAACAATACAAACAATTCCTTATTCCATTCACATAGAGACCACATTCAAATTTTGTCAACTTTCCCAATAATCTCTTTCATAACAGAAGTATTATATCTAGAACCATATTTTGCACTTAGTTGCCATGTCCCTTCAGTCTGAGGCCTCTCTTGACCCTCATGACTTTAACATTTTTGAAAACTCTAGAAAAGTTACTTTGTAGATTTTCTCTATTAGCTTTATAAGATATTTTCTCATTATTCAGTTCAGGTTATACATGATTGTCAGGAAAATCACAAAACAATGCTGTGTTGTTTTAAATGCATCCTATCATGGGCATACAATATTGCTTTATCCCATCACTTGAACGAAGTAGTGTCTGCCAGGTTTCTTTACTGTAAAGTCACTTTTTCCCTTTATAATTTACAAGTATTTTGTAGGAAGATACTTAGAGATTATGTAACATCTTATTGTTTATCCAACTTTTACCCATTAATTTTAGTACTGATTAATGTTTCTTGCCTGAATTATCTTTCAGATGGTTGCCAAGTAGTAATTTTCTAATTCCATCATCCTTCTACTTTTATTAGTTGGCATTCTACTATAAGGTAAAGTTTTCTCTTCTCCCCATGAATTAAGCACATTCCACATTCCATTAGATCCCAGTGAAGTAAAATATTCCTATTTTATTCAGTAAAATAATCTGTTACTATCATTCTTTATTTTGACCCTCAAGTTGTCTTAGGGGTAGGCACATCCTCTGTGTCCTTTGATACATACCTACTATTCTTTGAGCTCTTCCTTACTTTTTGACATATGATACTCCAAACCTTGCTTAGCCCCAAACCTGGAATCAACCATTTCTTCAAGGACACCTGGTTCTACTTAATGGAGAATGGTATTTAGAAACCAAAATGTGGATGCTAGGTGTGCTCATTGCTACCAGGATGTTGTTATTCCCAGGCCCTTCCAGTAGACAGAGTTGGGAAGTAAATGTAGGTATATGCACTTAAGTATATGTAAATACATACAAATCTATATTTGTTTCTATTACATCTATACCTGTTTCTATTATTGAAAGTCATGAGATCACACCAACACCTCCAATTTCAATCCAACACAACAAGGTTCATTCTAGCTTTCCCTATACTATCTCTGTGACTCCTATGTCCATCAGTAAGAAGGCTGACTTGAATATATATTTTTTCAATATATTTAATTATTTTCTGAATACCCTGCCCCCACCTTGTACGTAACAAATCTTCTGACCCTGCCAGGCCACTGCCCACTCAGCCCCTTTCTTTAATTGTGCTCTGATACTTTCCAGGTGAACTCCCAACTTAGCTCTCCTTGTCATATGGGTCTTAGCTGTAGTCTTAGCTGTTCTCTTTGTATGGTTCATGGCTTCTTAATTGAATTATGAAAAAAAAAAGGGAGGAAAGCCTATGTTATTTTTGTAGTCTCATATTTCCATTGATCACATTCTCTTAAGAGAGACCCACAAATATTAAAATACTATTTTTTTTCTTTTTTTTGTAATGGGGTCTCCCTCTGTTGCCCAGGCTGGAGTGCAATGGCATAATCTTGGCTCACTGCAACCTCCACTTCCTGGGTTCAAGCAATTCTCCTGCCTCAGCCTCCCGAGGAGCTGGGATTACAGGTGTGCATCACCATGCCTGGTTAATTTTTGAATTTTTAGTAGAGATGTGGTTTCACTGTGTTGGCCAGGCTGGTCTTTGGTCTCAAACTCCTGACCTCAAGTGATCCAGCTGCCTCAGCCTCCCAATGTGCTGGGACTACAGGCATGAACCACCATGCCTGCCCAAAATATTATTTCTTTTTTCAAATTTATTGATGCCATATTGGTATATGTACATATTACTATTTCTAAGGTTATATAGTGATTTATTGAATTGAATTTTGGGTCACTTTATTAAGCTATTTAAAAGCTGCATGAAAATAAAATACATTAAGGCAGAAATGAAAAATAAATGGGCTGGTAATAGAAACATGTTAATTAAAGTAACATTTTAAAAAACTGTTTTGAAGTAAGTCAATGACAACACTTAACTTGGACTCTAGGCAAAATTTTATAAAATGGAACTGCTTTGTCTTCTGCCTCCTCTAAATGCTCTGAGATTATAAAGATTAATGCAAATTTTGATATAGGAAAAGTCTTCATAACTTTGAGCACTGGGGAAGATCACCTGACAATCATTACTCCAAAAAATATATTTACAATATTTAAGTTGAACATATTATAACTACCAAGCTTATATTTTATTACTTCTCTAATAAAAGCATTTTCCTAATCATTTTTATTAAAATGACACTTTTACCTTTATTAACGACAAATTATTTTTAAACATTAAAATATCTTTCTGGAGGGGTATTTTACCTCTGGCCATAAGTGAGTAACTAGTATCCTTCTTATCCCCAAACAACTGCCCTAAACAATCATAAGCCTGCCTAAATTAGACAAAAATATTTCTTTTCATGTATTAAATAACAGGTAGCCCACGGCTGTGATCCTTATGAGAGGGGGAACAACGAAAGGAGATCTCCGCAGACACTACAGCTCTCTGATAAACGCAAGGAGCATTTTTTAGATATGATCAGGGAGGTCAATAAAGTGAAATAATGGGCTTGCTGAGGGTTGGCAGCAAATTGGAGTTCAGGGTTGCATACATGGCTGGAAGAAGTGCCGTGGGGTACCAGAGAAGAGCAAGCTGGGCAACAGCAAAATATATAAGTGATGCAGGCTTTGATCATAAGTTTGATAAGTCCATTTTATAACATATATGCCAAATCAGTTAATGCAAATTTACACCATGTGAGTAGAAGCACTTTGAGTGGAACAGAGAAGGTGATAGTGATTCCATTCTATTTGGAGTGGGTCATACCATACTTAGAGAAATGTAGTGACTTTTGTTTGCCACATCTTCAGTACACAAATTTAAAAATTCCATGGTGATTTTATGAAGATCCCCACTATTTGGCTTCTTAGTAACTTAAGATTTCACACTCTTGTGAGTGTGATCAGGCCTGAACCAAGATATATAACTGCCCTGAGCACTCTTCCAATCAATAATGGGAGAAACTCAAAAGTTTCTATTTCTTTATATAAAATGTGTGTGTACACAAACATACATGGAATATATATATTCCACTATATATAATATTTATATATATTACAAATATTTATCTTGTAAGATGTAAACCATTACATCTTACAAAAATTAGAAAGTTTGTGAAATGTATTTTTCATCTTACACCTTCATATTATCTAATCAGAATATCATTGTCCAGAATTCTAATGCAATGATTTTTAGGCATAGTTTTGTAATGCTCCAAAACATCTTCAATGAAATTTAAAAGTAGTACAAATTTATTCACCTGAGTCAGCTGGAAACAAAATTAATTTCAATTTAAAATAAATTTTGAAACACCATACTGCATGTAACACTTTAATAAGCATCTCAAATCATAAAATATTAGCAATAAACTAAGTAAGAAATAAACTAAGTGAACAAACTAGGTAAATAAGCCCTACAGGTAAAAAAGAGGATCAAGTATTCTCAATATCAGTGAATAGGTTACTTTTTGCTATTGTTTTAAAAAACATTCATAGATTATCTTTAAAGTATCTCATACCAATTAAGTTTTCTTAAAACATTCCTAACTTAAACTATCCACAAGGGGGACATATTATCAGATACCGCATATTTTCCAAACTGAAAGAAGCCTGTGTCAGCTACACTGACTCAACACAACAAAGCATAGATGACAAGACATGAAGCGGCCAATTTCAATTTGTGAGTGGTAAAAGGAGATTTTAGCTCAGTTTCTCAAAATGTGGCCCAGAAATTAAAATTGTAGCAAACATTTGTGCTGCTTCTAAATATGTTCAGATTGCTGGGCACCTCCTCTGACCCAAATCAATTCCTGTGAAAACTATTGAGTAAGGTCCTAGAAGAGAATGGACGGTCTCTAGGTCAACAATGTCCATTTCACAGGTGGCACTGGTTTTCTAACATGAAACAAGTAGGCTACACGCTAGTAAAATCTTCCAATTTTGTGAAATACGTATAATTGTACTCTCAAAGTCAAGCTCTATCATGATCAAAATTGTTGCATAAGGAACTGTGTTACATCCAGCTTTTATTAAAAGAGAATTTATTATCCATTTTTCTCCCTTCAATTATTTAAAGTGGACATCAAACCTTAAAAAATGCACTACTCATCACTGCAATCTAAGCTAATGCCAGTGTATGTCATATGTATTCAATAAAATACGAAGCATGGTGGTGCTTGTTTTTTGGTGAGGGGACCTAAAGCTTTTATGAGACACGTTGCTATCACTTAAAATTCTTCAGCGCATAACTTGCTGGTGAGCATCAAAAGGTGGGGGTTAGGGGGCACTTCATAAATATCCATTTGAGTTTATTTTCTAATTCTGCAGAAAGTTTACATATATTCCTAATTTTATTATTATTAAAATCTTGGGGATTTTAAGATAACAAATTAAAACAGTATTTATTAAAAACAATTCATTTATTCTCCCAGGCTAATTGTACTTTATACTCCAGGAGAGTAGAGAGAAAACACACACTCTAAATGTATGTATTTTATGATTCTTTCGATGCAATTAATACACTGCGTTGCAGAAGGTTTTAGGCTTCTGCCTTTAAAAAAATTATATAGGATTATGTATAATCAATAATCATTAAACTAAAGGCAAAGAAAAGAAATCTGGTAGTTCCATCAATTTTATTTCGCTCTTGCATGGATTGCCTTTGTTAACATTTTTGGCAGAAAAAAGAATCAAAGCAATTGTAGGACTCTGCACCCCACAATGCGAGCTTCAATTGAAACAATGGTCTTATCGTCTAAGACAGATCAACGTTAAAGTTGGGCAAAAAAACTTAGGAGATCTTGCAAATCTTGTTATGTGAAACCCGTCCTCCCAAAAGACCTATTGGACCACACCTTTGTCCTCCGCGCCCTTTTTTTGCAGGGTCATTAACTCGCATTATTTTTTTGTTCTCCACAGTTCTCACTTGCTTCTCTTCAGTCTTTGCTAGGTTTTCCGCGATCTCCAGTGCAGCCCCTTCCACTTGCCGCGATTCTGCCTCTCTCAGACACTGACACGTAACCTCCTCCCCATACCAAGCCCTCACCCCAAACCAAGCTGTTAAGAACAGCTACAACTGCTTCTGGGAGACGTGGGGGGCGGGGGCAAGGCGGGGGCAAGGCGGGGGCAAGGCGGGAGCACCTCGACCCTCCCGCGAACTCTCGCCGCCGGTCAGTGCCCCCTGAACTGGATGGGACCAAGGGAGTCCCTCCGCAAGGGCCTCCACTTCTGACTACGGTCCGCACGCCCCACCCCTGCTCAGCACCCTGGCAACCCGCGGGACGCTTTGCTGGTGCCAGGCTTCAATCTCTTGTTCTCATTTTCTCGTGTCCTCGCGCTCTTCCTTCTACTGTATTTTTGTCTTAAATTCTTTAATGGCGAGAGAGAGAAAAAAAAACAAAACCAGCTCAGAGCTATAGTCTTCTTCCACAAATACGTGTGTGCTTTTCAGAACCTTTCTCCGTCCCTTTCTCCTGCTAACACATGTGGGGTCTGCAGTGCAAAGGACTCTCCTTTCGTCCAGTGACCAAATGGCAGTCTCTCAGTTTGCCAATTTCATTCATCACGCCCGCACCGACTGAAGCCTACTCCTCACCAGTTCAGCTGTCTTCCAGTTAATTGTATTAACTGCTAAGCACCTCCTCCACCTTTTCGGGTTCTATTACCGCCCTCATTAAAAAAAAAAAAAAAAAAAAAAAAAAAAAGAAGGAAAGAAAAGAAAAGAAAAAAGAAAATCCAACACGAACACTCAAGATAGCGTGAATTCAAAAAAGAAAGTGTGCGTGTGCAACACAGTCTGAGTGTGTGCATCCGTATGCGTCGCCTGCCTCAGCCTGCCCGGGTCCTGAACATGTAGCTGAGAGGTGCAGGACAGTCAGAGGGCCAAAACTTCCCCTGCCAGGCTGAGGCTGGGCCCTCCCGAGCTCACCTGTCCGCGTTCAGGTAACTGGCTAAGTGCCCGCCCGGCCGCGTTCCAGGACACCTGGCCGGGACAGAGCGAATGCCAGTGAATCCCAGGGCGCCCTCTCCCGCGCGTTGGTTCTCTAGCCCTCCTTCCCTGGGAGGGGTGGGATTGGGAGTGTTCTGTTTTCATTACTGCACCCCTTCCCCTAAAGACAACGGGACTGCCCTCCTCCACAGCGCCTTACCTCAAACAGGGGACCGATCTTGTTCTTCTCCAGGTAAGCCTGGATCCGGGTTTGCGGATGAGACGCCATGGGGAACAGATGGGACCGCGAAGAGAGTGCAGGGAGAACGCGCGGCTGTGCGCCTCCGCTGGGGACAACCCTCCTTTTACCCGGACTGGGGCCGGGACAGGAGCTCCGGAGCCTCGGCTGCCCTGCGTGGCTGGCTCGGCCCCGGCCGCGGGCGTGGGTGGCAGCCCGGGGAGCCACGCGCGCGTGGGGCGCTGAGAGCCGGAAGCCTGGGCGCAGCGCCGCCAACTCAGACAACTCCGAGGCGAGGGGAGAACTCATTCATCGCGTTCTCCGCCTCGCGCCCACCCTCGCCGCTCTCCGCAGCGCCCGGCGCAGTGGGGAAATTCGAGGCAGAGGTTCCTTTCTCCTCTGGGCGGCAGCAGCAGGAATCAGGGGGCGGGAGGCGAGCTGTGTCGAGGGGCGCACGCGGGCGGACAGGGGCCGCGGGGCTCGAACTCGCCACCGGTGTGTGTGCGTGCGTGCGTGTGTGTGTGTGTCCGTGCGCGCGCGACTGTGTGTACCTCCTTTCCCCGGTGACGGAACAAACAGCCCGGGCTGCTCCCCGAGGCTGCTCGCCCTACCAGCCGCTCCCTAGCGACAGCGCCGCTTAAAAAGCCAATGGTGAAGGTGCTTCTTTCAAAGTGCACATAAATCTGGTGCTTGTTGGCTACTCCTTGGCAGCTACAAATGCAGTTCGAAAGGGGATCGTCCCCACCGCCCCTTCTGAGCCTCTCCTCAGCACCTTCTGCCCTGCCTACTCTAGCGCAGGGGTTGAGAAGGGCAGAGTTTTGAGAAGGTGCGTGGGTTTAAGGGTTTGCCGCGAAAAAGAAGTTGCCTTCCTTTTCAAAATCTGGTTTGGCCTGGAGCAAGTCGACGGGTGAACGCAGCCTGAGAACCCAGCTGAAAACTCTCAAAGTGCAGGAGCTCAAAGGCTGGAACCAGCCTTTCAGCATTTGACAGGGAGAAGAGAAATGAGCGAGCCAGCCCTCCCCTCCAAAGTTGGCCTTCCTAATCCACGCCTTGAGTCATGTCTGTATACCTATAACTGCATCTCAGACACCACACTATCCCACTTCATAATGTTTCCTCTAGATACTGCGTGAGCTGCTCAAATTTAGCCAATACCTTTCTTATTATGCAGGGATTTCCGAGTCGAAGGTTTGCAGATAGCCCAGGCTTCCTCACAGAGCTCTCTTTCTTGTGAAATACAATACTAAGGTCCCAATGACAATTTCCCTGGCTCCTAACCATGATGTGCTGCCAAAATTAGATTTATTTCTAATAAATATAAATTTTCAGAATGATGGAAACAGTTTTCCTAAAAGCTGACTGCAGCAGTATATATTTTTTTCTTTCTTTCTTCACTGTGTTCTGGATTTCTGTTACTCATAGTTTCTTTATTGGTGTTCATGTTTTCCTTCTGTATTTTAAATATGTGGAAACATGTAATAGATAAGTGTGGAATATCCCAGGAACTATTATTAATTTCATGCATTAAGACATAAGAAATCTGCTAGAATAGCTAGGAGCTTAACCATCCCTGATAACCTGAAATGGACTTGATCCAGAGTGGAAAGATGTCCACATTAATACTTTTACAATCGGACTCATATGATCTGCCTAGGGAGGGTTAAGTTAAATAGCAGTGAGGTGTCCAGGGTTGCCTCGTGCTTTCCATTTTGGTTCGAAGGTATATTTACTTATGTATTTTTTAATGTGTCCAGGAGAAATTAAATACACAGAGTGAATACCAACATTTCTATTTGCTAAAAGGTATAGCGTAGAGCCATAAGGAAGGCCATCTATGACCCAGCTAAAAAGCCTACTATTTTTGATACCACATAAGGTACCAAGATGGTACGCTTCCTGAAATCAAGAGTCTTTCTCTTTTAAGAGGCATCAGGAGGATGCTTCTTTAAATGAAATAAAGACACTTATTAAGTCTTCACCATGCTCAGACTATTGCACTTAGGGCTTTGAATAGAAGAGACAAAGCTTCAGCTGGCAAAATGTGTATGTTTTAAAGAGAGAATGAAGCCAAGTACAAAGGCTCACGTCTGTAATCCCAATTATGTGGAAGGATCACTTGAGGCCAGCAGTTCAAGACTGGGCAACATAAAAAGACCCCATTTCTAAAACAAATTGTTTTTTTTAATTAGCTGGGCATAGTGGTGCACACTTATAGTTCCAGCTACTGGGAAAACTGAGACAGCAGGACCCTTGAGCTGCAGTTTGAGGCTGCAGTGAACTATGAGTGTGCCACTGCATCTAGGCTGGGCCATACAACAAGACTCAGTCAAAAGAAAGAAAGGAAGAAAGAGAGCAAGAGACAAAGAAAGAAGAGCAACATGAGGATATGCATACCCATTTATGTATGTTAAAACTCTGAGCATCCCAAAATTGCACATTTAAAATTCAGGGAGTATTTTCAAAGCTTTTCAAGGCCAACATTAAATATCACCTCCTTCATAAAGCACTTCTTGGTTCTTTCTATTTATCCCTAAACATGGCTTCATTACTACAATAAACATTTATTGCATAGCTTCTCAGTGACAGACATTATGTTAAGACTGGGAATTCAAAGGTGAAAGGCTTTGTCTTTGTCCTCAGTTGCTTCGTCTTGTTGAGGCAATCGGCATATATATAAATAATGGCATCAGATGCTGGGCTTGGTGGCTCACACCTGTAACCCCAGCACTTTGGTAGACCAAGACAGAAGGATCACTTGAGCCCAGTAATTTGAGACCAGCCCGGGCAGGATAGCGAGACTTTGTCTCTATTAACAATAAAATAGTAGTCTCAGCTACTCATGAGGCTGAGGTAGGAGGATCTGTTGAGCCCAGGAGTTTGAGGTTGCAGTAATTGCACCACTGCACTCCAGCCTAAACAAAGCAAGATTCTATTTCTTTTTTAAAAAAGATAGCATGTACAGAGGCACAGAGACACCCAACAGGCTGGTAGTTAAAGATATGTAAAGTATATGTGGAGGAGTATTATTTTCATGTGAGGTTAAAAATGTAAGCAGAGTTCAGCTCATTGAAAGTCCTAAATGCCTTGTTAAGAACAATAGACTTACATCTTGTGGATAATGAGAAGTGACTTGTTAGGCTACAGAATCTGTAACAAATCATGGGGTTATTGTTAGGACTTAAGATATAGGGTTAACGGGGATGGGATGGATTCCAGACATAGTAAAGGACTAATGTTGATTAACTAAATGAAGGATGAAGTTAGAGGAGGAAATCAAAGATGACACTCTGATATCTGACATGAAGCTAAGAGATGACAAATTATTTACCCAAGTCACCCAATGTATCATTGGTAGGGCAAGGTTTTAGTTCAGGTTTTTCTAACTCTAAAGCTGAAGCTATTTCTGCTCTCTACCCTGTAACCTGGAAACTAGTCAAAAATTGAGTTTATAGATATTAGCACCCCTTTGTGGGAACAGCTATGTCTCATGACTTGGCACATAGTAGATACTCCAGAAATAGCAATTAAATGAATGAATTGAATTTTAGAATATCAATTCAGTCCAGCTATGTTCTTTCAGTCTAAACTTTGCCTCTGACTCATGGCATTTATACTCTGTTTTGTTTCCTTTAGTCAATTGCATGCATATTTTGGTCTCTCTTTTAAACTGCAAACTCTCTAAAATCATGAACTGTATCTTAATAATTTTCTTTTACTTTACAGTGTGTAACACAGTATATTTTCGCATAGTAGGTTCTTCATAAAATATCTTTAATTAAGGTACTATTACTATAAGTTTTAAGATTTGTATTAGGTAGTCCCTTTAAAATTGGCTGAAAGGTAACCATTGTCTTGGATTGAATTTATCAACTTTTTCTGCACATATGCCATGGTACCTTTAGGATCCTTTCGCCGTTTTTGGGTTGGATACAGCATGAAAAGACCATTTTCGGTGAGACTGTTTTGACCTCATTGTGTTATAGAAGTGCCTGTCAGCATAATTTACAGATGTACAGAATCCAATTTATAGAATTCACTAAAGCCATTGTCCAACTCCATTTGTAAGACACCTTGCACAGTTCCTTACACAAATAGGTTTCGGAGAGATGAGGGAACAGTGGTGAAGTCCAGTTGACCCAATTAGGAAGTATTAGCAATGTAATCCATTGAAATTAATTAAATGTTGAAGTCAGAGAGCAGAGATGTTCTATATGGATTTCTTGAATTTAGACTTCTATCCCTGAAGCATACTTATCCTCTTTCTGTTTTGGTTTCACCTTGCCACTTTGTAACAAAAAGGGAAAAATATCTTTCCAAGGAACCCAGCACATATGAATAATCTGGCCATAAAAGGGAGGTGCACATAGAGAGTTTTCTTCATTTTTGCCCGAAATGCCTCCCACAACTAATGCAAATGAGCTCACATACAGCATTTACTATGTACTAGGTATTGATAACAGCACTTTATACACTCCCTCAACTCATTTAATTCTCAAAACAACATCATGAAGTAGGTACTACTATTATTCCCATTTTTTTAGATGAGGAAACTGAGACACTTACCAGGTAAGTAACTTGCCCAAGGTCATAGCTAGTAAGTAGCAGAGTATCTTGAACCCCAGTGATGTATTAAACCCCCACTGTCAAGGTTGCAAGAGTACCAATTCAAGTACAAATCAGTCTGATTCCCTTTGCTTTGGATTAGTTCTGACCAAGCTGTGTTTTGATGACTAGTTTGACTTCCCCAGTGTGTGGGTATGGGAAGGGAAGTAGTATGGGTAGCAGATAACGGGGTAACTTTCTGGCTCCATACTAAATGAATATGTTGTCTCTTGTGAGTTTGAATAATAGCTAATCAACCACGTTGGAACTGATTTTTTTTTTCTTTTTTGAGATAGGGTCTCACTCTGTCCCCCAGGCTGGAGTGCAGTGGCACGATTATAGTTCACTGCAGCCTCGACATCCCAGGCTCTTGCAATCCTCCCACCTCAGCCTCCTGAGTAGCTGGGACTATAGGTGCATATCACCAAACCCAGCTAATTTTTGTATTTTTTGTAGATACAGGATTTCACCATATTGCCCAGGCTGGTCTCGAACCCCTGGCCTCAACTGATTGTCCTGCCTAGGCCTCCCAAAGTGCTAGGATTACAGGCATGAGGCTCTGAGCCTTGCCCTGGTTCTAACTGTGTGGAAAATATCAACTTACTGGATCTACTAAATTGACAACTCAAATGATGGTGCCAGCTTGTGAAATCCTGCCATTCAGCCTTCTGAAATTACATTTCTATCTCTTTAATTTCTGCCTTTACTCATTAGGTTTTAATATTTATTTTTTAATTTTTTAATATGTGGACTGTATATAAGCAATCTCCATCTAAAAGACTTTATGTAAATGCATTTTATAACATGTTAATTTTTGTTGTTATGAATCATTTAAAGGAAATCTATAGATATCAGACTATGTAGATACCCTTGATGTTAATTGCCCATAGTCTGTTAAACCTGATATGCTTTTTGCTTATAATTTCCGAGAGCGTATTGTCTTGATTTTTCAAGAGTCTTTGTTGGAAGGAAAAAACAAAACCTTGAGCCATGAAAACTGTTATAGGATACTGTAACATGATACTGAATTTATTGGAAAGGAGGAGGAAATAAGAGCAACTAAGCAAACAAAAGACGATGTCATAAGGCAAAACAATTCTACTCGGTGTGCACCCTGGGGAGCCCGACACTCTGCCTAGGACAGGATATACTATTGCTCTAGTCTCACTATCAAGGAATAAGCAACATGGGACCTATTTCTCAAACTCGGATATCTGTAAATGTCAGCTAATGCTTGTTCATAAGGAAGCACATTACAACAACCTCTGCACTAAGGGTTAAAGGTACTTTTAGCAGAATTAGTGGAACCACCATTACCTAGAGGAAATTTAAATTTTAAAAATAAAATAAAATAGAAGGATGACTTAGCTTTCTGCAAAAACACCCTGGAAACTATAATACTCAAAGTAGTCAGCAAAGCTCTTCTTCCAAAGCAGATGTCGTTAGCCCATTACCTATGGATAAGACCCACCCCTCAACCCTCAGATGGTCTCAGTCCTGGGAGAGAGATAATTTACTGATGTCTAAGGATACGCTAAGTTTCCACAAAGGTCAGGGAAATACACTTACTTATCATATATCTGCCACAAAAGATTTATGATGGGGTCATAAAGACCGGGAACTAAACTTACTAGCTTTGTCTGGGAGGATTAGGAAACCAAATATTCAATGAATGAATGATGAATGAGTGGAGAGATAGAAGAATAAACAAAGAAAGAATGAATGAGTAAAATGCTGGTAACTTATTAGGTAACTCAGAGGCATAGTCAAGTTCTCAGTCATTTATACTTAAGTTCCTTTTATATATGCATAATGAAGTATAATTAATTTTGTTTAAAAAAACCTAAGTATTTTTGAAGTACTTAAATATAGTAAATGTTTCAGTAAGATAACAGCATTGATTTGTCTTTATGTCTTTCTCTGAGCCTCTCCTCTTCAATTTGTCACTTTTCTCTTTCCTTCTCTTCCTTTATTACTTCCTTCCTGTCTTTTTTAAAGGAAGTTTCACTTACCTTGCAGCCTAAGCCTGAAACATTTGTGCACAATTGTGATGTCTAAAGACAAACTAAGGTTCCTACTGAAGTTGAAAAATGTTTTCTGCGACATTCAGTTTCTAAAACATATTCTAACATTCTTTTGTCTGTAATAGCTTACCCTTGACCCTTCATATTCCTAGGCATATTTTTATATCAAATCATTGTCACCAAACCCAAGATTTTATATACCTTAGGATGGGTATTTTCCACTCTCAACATATATTAACTCATATGATGTGATTTGCCAAAAGTATTATCAAAAGAAAATCATTTTTTCTCCTTTTCAATCATTAGCTTTCATAAAATGACATCACATTAAACATGTGTCTTTAATAAAACAATGACAGTAAGGATATTTCAGGATTCAAACAGGACAAGGTAATATGGTAAATCTTATACATTTCATTGATATTTAATTTCAAAAGTCTCCCTCCAATGATAAATTAAAATTAGGCAGCAATAGAATGGCATCCCATGGAATGAAATATATGAGAAAAGTTTTCTAAAGTGTGTTCTCTCTGCTCCCCACAACAAATTATCTTTCTTTACATTTGTTCAGAACTTGTGCTGATATTTAGGTGCCCTTTGACATTTTTAATCTCGCTTGGAGTGTAATTTTCTCTAAGACAGCTGAAATGGCTTTGGTGTGAAACTTGAGATTGAAATACGGGTCAGTTACTTGCTGACAAGTGTGTGACCCATGACTGCCTACAGTTCATTCTGCATTTTACAGATGAGAAAACTGAGGTCAATAGCATTCGATAACATATCAAACTAGTTGATGGAAAAGCCAAAATTCAAATACAAATCAGTCTGATTCCAAAATATATGTTATCTTATTACACAGGGCCAATTTCAATTGCTACTGTTTTGAATACTGTTTAAAACATTATTCATGACGCTTGTTAAAATGTAAAGTAGATTTTATTCAGGACTATTGCAATAAGTATGGGGACTACTGCTATGGGGTTTTGCAGTAAGGGACAGAGATTGGGCTCAACTCAAAACACAACAAGAAAAAGTGAGACTTCATAGCCAAAATAAAGAGTAGAAGTCATTGGATGAAAAATTATTAAGAGGAAACATTAGGGATAAGCGGGGGATTGTGGCTAAACCAATTTAGCAGAATTTTTGTTAAAACTGGGCGATGCAAAGGTGGACAAAGCAGCCCAAAAGTTGATATATAGTTGAGAAGAGTATTAAGAGGAGCCTGACTAAAGTATAGTCAAGGAGAGACTTTTTGTCAGGATCCAGTAACACTTCAATTTCTTTATATTATTGTTGTAATGTTTTTACATTCAAAGCTATTTGCATCTAGAAGCATAGTTAATAATGTTGTTTAATGGACTTGTAAAGCAACTGATCAATCTCATACATTTCAACAACATGAAAAGGTGTTTGCACATTGTAATATATTTTTTGTTACTAATTTCTCACTGACAATTTTTTTAGAATACAAGAAGTGATATTGGAGAATACTTAAAACTTATAGACTCTGGAATATAATGTTTTAACATCTTAAAACCTTTCTGGCTATGGAGACTGCCCCTTCCAGAGCTAGTCAATTTTTTTTTTTTTTTGAGACGGAGTCTTGCTCTGTCGCCCAGGCTGGAGTGCAGTGGCGCGATCTCGGCTTACTGCAACCTCTTCCTCCCAGGTTCACGCCATTCTCCTGTCTCAACCTCCCGAGTAGCCGGGACAACAGGCGCCCGCCACCACGCTGGGCTAATTTTTTGTATTTTCAGTAGAGACAGGGTCTCACCAGGTTAGCCAGGATGGTCTCAATCTCCTGACCTCGTGATCCGCCCGCCTCGGCCTCCCAAAGTGCTGGGATTACAGGCGTGAGCCACCACGCTCGGCCTAGTCAATTCTTAGAGACAACAAACAGCTCAGGAAGCATCGTCTTTGATGTAAAAAATAACCAGTCCAGGGTCACATCTCGTCTATCTGACCGGCACACTCCAGGAGACAATATTCCTCTGCCTCGATCATCCCAGGTTCAGATGCTAGGCTACTAGAGCCTACCCATATAAAGTAGGGTCCACTGATGAGTAAACATTACACAAAAGAACACAGAATAGACTTCCATGGATTTGAATCCTGGTTCTAGTACATACCAGCTTTGAATTTTGGCAAGTTCCTCTCTAAGCTTCATTTCTCTCTGACAGAAAATTAAACAATACTAATAGGCCTATACCAAGGAGTTGTTGTGAGGTTTGCTTGAGAATATGTCAACACGTAGCTCGATGCCTACCGAGGAGTAAATGCTCAGTAAATATTACCTATGTCATTGTTGACTACATTGGAAGATATTTCAGAAGTTATTCATATTTCCTCCTCTTCCTTTCCCCCAATTTAAAGGGAAGCAAAGTCTGGCCACAAAAACATTGGTCTGACTCTCTCATTTGTCTTATCTCTAGTCTAAAATAGCTTCCATTTCACCATTCTGCCACTCAAGAAAAACTGGAGATTTAAATGACCAGTTGAATAAAAGGTTATTATTTAATAAGCTGATGGCCTTCAAATGCCAATATCAAAAAAAGGAGAAGAAAAACAGAAAAAAAAACTAGTTTGAAAGTAATTGTTGACATGATAATACATTTAAAAGTGATGATACATATTTATTTCCAAACTCAAGAAAAAGACATTAACATATCACAAACTTCCTAAGCCTGGTTTAAAGAAATATATTCTTATAATTAAGATCATTTAATACCCAATATTGATGAATTTGATTTTTGATGTCCGTGGATTACATAAAAACAACCAACAAAAGTTTGAGGGTTTTTAATGATGTTTTTTCTCCAGCCCAAACTTCTGTGATCTAAACACCCTTGGTTGTGTGGTAATCCTGTATAAGTTGGTGCATATTCTAGAAAGAATCAGCTTTACACTTTAAAAAGGAACTGACACAAACTTTCATATTGTTAATTCTCAAGACCATACTTCAGGCTCAACCAGTCTCTGCACTCCTGTTGGTTTCTGAAAGAGGAGCCAGAGCCCCAGTTTGCTTTCCTTGCTTTCCTGTTGCTCATGGTGACCATTTACTCTTTCTCCCTTTTAACTTTTCTCAGACAGCGGCTGTAGAGCAGTGTGTGGTTTGCCACACTCATTCTTCTTTTACTGCTCCTAAGAAAAGAAGAAACAGCTCTTTTATTTTACTACCTTACAGCAAATCATAAGCAAGAAAATAATCTGGGAGAAACACAGGCTTAAAATGACATCTTACCACTTCTATTCAACATTGTATTAGAGGTTCTAGCCAGGGCAATTAGGAAAGAAAAGGAAATAAAAATCATCCTGATTGCAAAGGAAGAAGTTAAACTATCTCTATTTGCAAATGACATGATCTTGTGTATATATAATCCTAAAAAATCCATCAAAAAAAAAAAAACTATTGGAACCAATAAAGGAGTTTAGAAAAGTTGCAGGCTACAAGATAACATGCAAAAAGCAACCATATCTCTATACATCTTCAATGAACAAAAATATCCCATGAAATTAACAAAATGATTCTATTTACAACAGCATCAAAAACAAGTGAAAAACTTAGAAATATATTTAACAAAAGTAGCATGGACCGGATGCGGTGGTTTATGACTGTAATCCCAGCAATTTGGGAGGCCAAGGCAGGAGGATTGCTTGAGATCAGGAGTTCAAGACCAGACCAGACAATATGGCAAAACCTTGTGTCTACAAAAAATACAAAAAATTAGCCAGGTGTGGTAGGGCATGCCTGGAGTCCTAGCTACCTGGGAGCAGGGGTGGGGTGGTGGGAGATGAGGAAGGGTGAAGGGGACAGGGCACAGTGCTGAGGTGGGAGTATCGTCTGAGCCTGCAAGGTCAAGGCTGCAGTGAGCCATGTTTGTGTCACCGCACTCCAGCCTGGGCAACAGAGTAACATCTTGTCTCAAAAAAAAAAAAAAAAAAAAAGTAGTATAAAACTTATTCTCCGAAAACTACAAAACATTGGTGAAATAAATGAAAGAAGATCTAAATGAAAGATAAAATGTAGCCCTGTGTGGTGGCAGATGCCTGTAGTCCCAGCTAATTGGGAGGCTGGGGCAAGGCAATCACTTAAACGGGGAGGCAGAGGCTGCAGTGAGCCGAGATTGTGCCACTGCACTCCAGCCTGGGTGACAGAGCAAGACTCTGTCTCAAGAAAAAGATAAAATGAAAGATATTATGTGTTCATGAATTGGAAGACTTACTATTGTTAAGATGGCAACGCTCCCCAAGTTGATCTACATATTTAATACAATTCTCTTAAAAATTCCAACTGGATTTTTTTTTGCAGAAATTGGCAAGCTAATCCTGAAATCATATGGAAATGCAAAGACCCAGAATAACCAAAACAATCTTGAACAAAATTGGAAGACTCACACTTCCAATTTCAAAACTTACTACCAAGTTCTACAGCAATTAAAGCAGTGTGGTACTGGCATAGAGACAGACATATATATCGATGGAATAGAATTGAGAGTCTAGAAATAAAGTCTCACATGTGTGGTCAAATGATTTTAGATATGAGTATCAAGACAATTCAATAGAGAAAGAATAATATTTTCATCAAATTGTGCTCAGACAACTGGATATCTACATGTAAAAGAATGAAATTGAACCTGTACCTCACATTAGATACAAAAATTAACTCAAAATGGATCAAAGACTTAAATCTAAGAGCTAAAGCTATAACTCTTTTATAGGAAAAAAGAGGCATACATCATGGTGACATTGGGTTAAATAATGTTTTCTTAGATATAATACCAAAAGAACAAATGACAAAAACATAAATTGGATATCATCAAAATAAACACCTTTTTATGCAAAGAACACCATCAAGAAAGTGAAAAGAAAATCAAAAAATGGGAGAAAATATTTTCAAATCATGTATCTGATAAGGAACTTGTTTCTCCAATATATAAATAATTCTTATCACTCAATAATAAAAATGACAAATGGCCCAATTAAAAAAGTCAACGTGGCTGAATAGTTACTTCTCCAAAGAAGATATACACATGGCCAATAAACACAGAAATGCATGCCTAACACCATTATCCATTAGGGAAATGCAGATCAAAACCACAATGTTATACCACTTCACACTCACTAGGACAGCGCTACATAATAAAAAAGACAGCACTGGCAAAGTGTCCAAAAACTGGAACTCTCATAAACTGCTGGTGGAACTGCTTTGAAAAAGTCTGGTAGTTTCTCAAAAGGTTAAATGTCGACTGACTGAGTGATCCAGCAATTCCACCCCTAGGTTTATACCCAAGAAAAATGAAAATGCGTGACCACATGAAAACTTATCCATGAGTGTTGGTAGCAGCAATATTCATAACAGCCAAAAAGTGAAAACAATCCAAATACCCAAATATCTATCACTTGATAAAAGGCTATATAAAATGTGGTATGTCCATATAATGAAATATTATTTTGTGATTCAAATGAATGTAGTACCAATACATGCTACACCATGGATGAACCTTGAAAACATTATACCAAGTCAAAGAAACCAGTCACAAAAACACCATGTATTGTATGATTCCATTGATATAAAATAACCACAGTAGGCAAGTCTGCAGAGACAGAAAGTAGATTAGTGGTTGCCTAGGGCTGGTAGGAAGGCAGGAAAGTGTTGCAGGGTGACAGGTGTGAGGGCAGGACAGTAACAGGGGGAGGAATGGAAATGACCACTAATGGGCTTACAGTTTCTTTTTGGTGTGATGAAAATGTTCTAAAATTTATTTTGCTGAAGGTTGCACAACTCTGTGAATATACTAAAAGCTATTCAATTGTACACTTTAAATAGGTGACTTGTCTGGTATGTGAAGTATATCTCAACAAAGATGTTATTTTAAGAATTAACAAGGATGGGCATGATGGCCCATACCTATAATCCCAGCAGTTTGGGAGGCCGAGGTGGGAGAATCACTTGATCCCAGGAGTTTGAGACCAGCCTGGGCAACATAGCAAGATTTTGTCTCCACATAAAAGAAAAATTTAGCCAGTTGTAGTGGTACACACCTGCAGTCCCAGCTACTCAGGAGGCTTATATGGAAGGATCACATGAACCCAGGAGGTTGAGGCTCCAGTGAGCCATGATTGTGCCACCGCACTTCAGCTTGGGTGACACAGTGAGACCCTGTCTCAAAAAAAAAAAGAAAAGGAAAAAAAAAAGAATTAACAGTAATTGTTAATTTTTGTTGATTCTAAGGTCCTCTTGGATCCTAGATTTTTTTTTTAAACTGTGAAAAAAATATGTTGTTATGAAACACACACACACACACACACAATTATAAAAAGATTTCAAAAAGGAGCTTTCATTTAGTGAGCCACAAAATGGAGCAAAAATGCAAGTTTAAAAGCAAAGGGGAGTTTAATAACTATGCATTAGTTTGGAGCTATGTGCATCTGTGTGGCTTTAGAAAATGAGACACTGGGTGAGGCCAGAAAGCAGCAAAAATGCACTGTGAAGAGAAAGAGAGCTATGTTGAGTTGATTTGAATTTCGGTGAACTAAACAAGATATATAAACACAATTTTGTGTAATTTTTGCCTTAGTTTACTTCCCCCCTGTACTTGGGAAATATTCAGTAAGAACTCCTTCTGTCTTTCTTGCTATGCGTGGGCTCTGTGTTGAGGGTCTGCCCGTGTGCAGAGTGGGAGCTGGGCCAAAAGGAAGCCAATTACATCTGCAACACTGGTGTTGCTTTCATTTTTGAGAGGAGTAATTAAAAGTCCTTTTTGTTTTGTCCTTTCTTCCTTTCTTGAGGTTAAGGATTACATTTTTTAAAATTTCTTTCTGATCCTCTACAGTTCAGCATTAGGCTTTGTTGGGGTTCAAAAAATGATAATCCAAAGTATAGCACTTTGGCCTGCTGAGCACTTCCAACTAAAGCAGGGGCCCCCAACCCCCAGGCGACAGACCAGCACCAGTCCATGACCTGTTGGTGATCGCGCCTCACAGGAGGAGGTGAGCGGCAGTAAGCAAGCAAAGCTTCATCTGTATTTATAGCCACTTCCCGTCACTCGCATTACCGCCTGAGCTCTGCCTCCTGTCAGATCAGTGGTGGCATTAGATTCTCATAGGAGCATAAACCCTGTTATGAACTGCACATGTGGAAGGGTCTAGGGTGCAAGGTTCTTATGAGAATCTAATGCCTGATGATCTGTCACTGTCTCCCACCATCCCTAGATGGGACCATCTAGTTGCAGGAAAACAAGCTCAGGGATCCCACTGATTCTACATTATGGTGAGTTGTATACTTATTTTATTATATATTATAATGTAATAATCATAGAAATAAAGTGCACAGTAAGTGTAATGCTCTTGAATTATCCTGAAACCACCCCCTCCCCAGTCCATGGAAAAATTGTCTTCAACAAAACCAGTCCCTGGTCCCAAAAAGGAGAGGGACTACTGATCTAAAGGACATCTGAAGGGCCTCAGAAGCAGTCTCAGGACCAGGGTCACTCTGACCTTCTCCTGCCCTCCTGTCTCTCATCCTTGAGTCTCCCTGGAAGCAAGTCACAGAAACCAGAATTCCTCTTCCCCAAGGCAGGTCATAGAAACTAGAACCCCTATTGCCCAAGTCAGCCATGAATACAAGGAATAACCTACAAGGAATACAAGGCTAACCTTCTCACCTCCTACCTTTCTGTCTAGGAGCTGGCCATAAAGGAATTCTCTGACCTACCCTTGTCTGATAATAGGTCATAAGACTCCTACTGTAGAGGGTTCTTGCTTCATACCCAGGTGGAGGGAATGCCACTGAGAGGCCAAGAAGAATCTGGACATGCCTTACTGGGTTTTCTCATCTCAGTCTGCTGGATCACACCCTTTTTTCCAATGAAGTTTTTATACAGCTATTCATTCTTCATTCAACCTAAGCATAAAAATGGATATTTTTTCTTGTACCTTTGGATCTTCATTCCAAAGGCTTCCATGTCACATAAAACTTTAAGTAAGTCATTTTTGTATGTGCTTTTCTCCTGTTAAGTTGTCTTTTGTTATAGCAGTGTTGACTGGGACCCTTATGAGGGGTGAAGAAAGATATCACACGCTTTTTACCTCTACAGCTCAGTTCTGCAAATATCCTGCAGCTTGCCTTGCTTTTTCCATGAAAGTGAAGCTTTGAGAATTATCCCTGATGATACATGTCTATGGTACATTGATTTTCACTGCTCTGCATATTCCATTGTGTGATTAGAGCACAACTCATTTATCCATTCTCCTGTTCCAAGTTTTTACTAATGCAAACAATGCTGCAATAAAATTCTTGTTCATGTCTGAATTTTTGCACGGCCTAGAATTTCTCGGGGGTATTAATCTGCCAAAGGAATTGTTTGGTCATAAGGATGGGCATGTTCAAATTCATCAGGCATTGTCACATTGCTCTTCAAAGCAGTTGTATAAATTTATCATTCTTCCCACAACTTTTGAGGGTTCCTGTTGCTCAAATCCTCATACCAAAGAAAGAACACTCTAGAAGATGCGAGCCTCAGTCCCAATTCTCCCCATCTGTACACTGGTATTGTTTCAGCACCTATGTTACTTAGAGCAATAAATATCCCAGAGCAGACACAGCATCAGCTTTGCAGTTTGCTGTCCTGATTTTTAGTTTCTTCTTCATTTCTGGCCGAAGGCAATTTTTCTGCTTTTCTTAGCAGCTCAGCCCTGTATTTATAAGGATGTTAGTTATAATTTATTGAGCAATTCTTGGTGTTGGTAGCTGGAGGGTCTTCAAGTTATCTGTACTGCCAGGCCCTTAAATCCCTACCAGTGTTTTCAGCAGCTGACCACTCTTTAAACACTCCCCAAATGTTGGATACCATGAAGTAAGTGGAATCAAATTAGCAGCTACGATGAGCTATGAAACTCTTTTCCCAAATATTCGTTAGTCACCATTACAGCAGCATGGCATAACAATTAATGGTAAGGACTCTGCAGCCAGGTTGTATGGATCTGAGTCCCAACTCTGTTTGACTTTGGGCAATATACTTCATCTCTCTGGACCTCAGTTTCTTCATATGCAAGATGAGGATGATGACAACAGTACCTATTCGGTAGGGTTGATGTAAAGACTCAATGAGTTACTAGTGATAAAAATGCCTAGAATTGTATCTGACACACAGCGTATGCTATGTAATCAATTGATGCATGAATAAAATCGAATAATGAATATTAGACATACATTTTTGTATGGCCTGTATTATATATTATGTGAATATTTTAATAATGATTTTTCCTTCAATCCCCAGCATCAGCGATCTAAGGTTGGTAACATCATAGAACTACTTTTCACGTTTAATGATTCTAATGATAAATCACTTTTACCTAAAAGCATCTCTGTGTCCTTGAATACAAGCAAAATGGCTGATGTCCGTTGCAGAAGATTCTTTCCATTGTGGGAAGAATTCCCTGCTCAAACCAAGCTGTTATACAGCCTGGAAGCAAGAGTATTAGGAATGTAAGAGGGAGAAATGAATAAATATGAGGAAGAAGGACAAGAGAAAATACAGACTTGTTCTTCCTCCTAACCGAGTGGTGTCCAGTTGCCAGTGGCAGAATGCTGCCCAAGGAGCCTCTTCCCTCCCTTACTCTTCCCAGCTCCGCGCTTCAGTCACAGCAACTCTGCGCTCGCCACATGTGCCCCGCTGCTTCTCTAGGTTCAAAGAGACAATTGGGGCAAAATACTGCAAAAAGCTTTCTTTTTGTCTACAGTAGACAATTTCCATATTTGAGGATGTCCAGGCTGTGAGAAACCCATGCCTCAGGGATCTGACCCATCACAATAATGAAATATTGGAAAATAATCCATATGACTGTTTATTCTGCTATTGTGTCATGTATTGTCATTATCCTCTTTCCACCCTTTCAGGCCATACACACCTTAATATTTTGTACTTCACAGGTGTACAACATACTTTATTTAAACTGAAATGAACTTATTAAGGTTCACTACACAGCCCATACAGCAAACTTGATAATGCCTCACAATAATATGAATTTAGATATAACATGATAAGAAATTAGCTCCCTCCTCAGCCAGCACCCATTCTCAAACCAGGAAGGCCAAGCTCATTTCTCTTCCTGGGGCTGTGGAGGATGAAGTGATTACCTCATGACTGTTTTGGACTTTCTCATACACAGAGAGATGGGTATTATTCTAATAATATGCAAGTTTAACAAATATCATTTTCTTTCTTTTTTCACACCATACCTGGAAAACTGACTAGAAAATTTTGTTTGCAAAAATGGTTTGCAAACTGGGCTGGGTGTGGTGGCTGAACACTAATCCCAGCACTTTGGGAGGACCAGGTGGCAGATCACTTGAGGTCAGGAGTTTGAGACCAGCCTAACCAACATGGCGAAACCCCTTCTCTACTAAAAATCCAAAACAAAACAAAACAAAACAAAAAGCCAGGTGTGGTGGTGCACACCTGTAATCCCAGCTACTCAGGAGGCTGAGGCAGGAGACTCTTTTGAGCCCCATAGGAAAAAGTTGCAGTGAGCTGAGATCATGCCATTGCACTCCAGCCTGGGGAACACAGTGAGACTCTGCCTTGAAAAAAATATGTTTTCTTGCAAACATTGTTAGTCATTTTCCTTGACTAAACTTTTGGACCTCGCTTATAGTTTTACAGAGGGGTGGGGAGTGTTACTCTATTTCTTTATGAAGAGAAAAAAGAAAACTCTTACCAAGCAAAACAGAAACCTGTTTTGATTTATACGGTGGACCTATCAACCTCTTTTTCTATAGTTTTTCTGTAACTGCCCCAAAGGTTCTTCTTGCTCACTGCACAAACAAAATCATTTCACAGAGATCATGGCGTTGCAATAAAGGTAGAGTTTAATTGACGTGAGGCTGGCCATGCCACGTGTATTACTCAAATCAATCTCTTCGAAGGCTTGGAGGTTAGGGGTTTTTCAAAGATAGTTTGGTGAGCAGCAGGCTAGGGTATGAGTGTTGATTGGTCGGGTCAGGGATGAAGTCATAGGGAGTAGAAGCTATTCTCTTGCACTGAGTGGGTTGCTGGGTGAGGCCACAGGACTGATTGGTGGGTCTCAGTGGAGCCACTAGTCATTAAAGGTGCAAAAACCTGAAAAGACATCTCAAAAAGCCAATTTTAAGTTCTACAATAGTGATGTTATCTGCAGGAGTAATTGGGGACGTTGCATATCTTGTGACCTCCTGAATAATGAATGGCTGGCAATCATTTATGTCTACACCTTAGCAGAATTCAGGCCCCTCTAATCCTCCTAGCCCCGGTGGTCTCTCACTAGCTTTACAAGGTGGCTGAATTTTGGGGAAAGGCTATTATCACTTAAGCTATAAACTAAACATCTCCCACAGTTAGCTTGACCCACGCCCAGGAATATTCAAGGGCGGCTTGAATGCTAAAGGCAAGATGGGGGTTGGCTAGATCAGATCTCCTCCACTGCCATAGTTTTCTTGCTGTTGTAACTTTTGCAAAGTCAGTTTCATTTCTACCACACAGCATTCAGGATTCAGAAATACTTGGTTTCCCTATTATTCTAGGCACACAAGAACCTTGTGAGTCCTGGCCCTTTTATTATTTATTCATTTATTCATTTATTTAGATGGAGTCTCACTCTGTTGCCCAGGCTGGAGTACAGTGGCGCCATCTTGGCTCACAGCAACCTCTGCCTTCACCTCCGGAGTTCAAGCAATTCTCCTGCCCCAGCCTCCCTAGTAGCTGGGATTACAGGCGTGAGCCACCTGGCCTGGGATCCTGGCCCTTTTAAATCAAGTATGGGCATATGACTAGTTCTGGCCAGTGGTTTGTGGGAGGATGTGTTATGTGTCGATTCCAGGGTGGAACACTTAATTGTGGGAGCAAGATCTTTGAATTGTGCTCTTTATCTGCAGTAGTGATTGTAGATGGACAGGCGGAGATAGAACCTCCTTCATCTGCATCCCTGAAAGACTAAAATGAGGGGAGTCCTCACCCACACCCTATAGGTATGCAGATTACATAGAAAAGAAAAAGGTTATTTGGGGCTGTTTTTTTAAGCACAGCATAACTTAGCCTATGCTGTTAATAATCATGCTAGCTCATACATGTGGGAAATACTTTCCCTGTGATGTTGACCTGTCAGAGTGAAAATAATACTCTACATGTGAATCTCAAAACCTGAATTATATTCTCAGGTGTGCTTCTTATTACAGACACAGCCTTGAGCAAGTTAATAATTCATCAAAAAATGTGTTGAGCACCTACTGTGTCCCAGGTGTGTCTTTGTCACATTTGTCTCTGCGCCTTGGTTTTAGCAATTATAGAATTAGAGAATTTGACTAGATTTTTAATTTTGTGATTTTAACATTATTATAGTATTACTTTGTGCTCACTTGGCTTATTTCTTGGGCTCAAGTGTGTTTTCCAATGACACCTGTGCTCCAGATCTCCTTTTTTCTAATCTTTTCTTCTGGGAGAAGATAGTGCCTCTTATGCTTATGCTGCAATTAAGCAACTTGTGGAAGAGGCTTATGTGGTGACATTAGGAAAAAAGGTAAGCAGACTGTATCCTTTAAGCCAAATCTGTGTTTTACTGGTATACAACTGTGCTGTGCTATTTATTTATGTATTGTGCATGGCTGTTTTCACTGTATGCTGGCAGAGTTGACTAATTATGAAAGAAGTAGAATTCCCCACAAAGCCAGAAAGAAAGAAAGCAAGGAAGGAGGGAGGGAGGGAGACAGGGAAGGAGGAAGGGAAAGAAGGAAGGAGGGAAAAAGAGAAGGAAGAAGGGAAGGAAGGAAGGGAGGGAGGGAGACAGGGAAGGGGGAAGGGAAAGAAGGAAGGAAGGAAACAAGGAAGGAGGGAAAGAGAGAAGGAAGAAGAGGAGGGGGGAAGGAAGGAAGGAAGGAAAGAGGGAAGGAAAGAGGGAAGGAAGGAGGGAGCCTACCTAAAATCTGGCCCTTTACAGAAACGTGCTGACTGCTAGCCTGGAAATATCTGCATGTGTTTACTCTAATTTCTTATTTATCTCTTGTTACCTGTATAAATTTCTAGAACTCCAATGATACTGCTTTTGCTAAGGTGGCCTCAGACCTCCTAACTAAACCTAATAAACCTCCTAACTAAACCTAATAAACCTAACTAAACCTAATAAACATCTTTCAGTCCATTTGATATAGGAGTTAGAAAGAAATTATTTAGGCAGATAGTGAGGGTAAAGAAGTCCTCGGTAAGGTTTTCCTTTTAATGAAAAGCAGCCCCAAAATAATTTCTTTTCTAACAAACAGCAGCCTGTAAAATCAAGCTGCAGACATAGATAAGCAAGCTGGAAGCTTGCACAGGTGAATGCTGGCAGCTGTGCCAATGGGAAAAAGCTAACCTGGGGGCCAGGTATGTTCAACATGGGGGCTCCACCTTCCCTTTTCCTTGCCAACCATGTGTACAATAAGGAGAAGACAACATGGCGCCAGCCCGGTAGAAAACACATTTGCATAATAAAAGATTAGGGTGGGGTGGCCAGCTTCTTCATGAGCTATTACAAAAGAAATAGAATGCCCCACAATCCAGAAAGAAAGAAAGGAAGGAAGGAGGGAAGGAGACAGGGAAGGAGGAAGGAAAATAAGGAAGGAAGGAAAGAAGAAGGGAGGGAGAGAGAGAGAAGGAAGAAGGGAAGGAAGGAAGAAAGAAAGGAAGGAAGGAAGGAAGGAAGGGAAAGAGGGAGGGAGGGAGGGAAGAATGGAAGGAAGGAAAACGGAGGGAGGGAAGAAAGGAAGGAAGGAAAGGAAGGGAAGGAAGGAAGGAAGAAAGGGAGGGAGGGAGGAAGGGAAAGAAAGAAAGAAAGAAAACGTCACACCTGGTCCAACCAATCTCTGGGCCCTGTGTAAATCAGACACCACCTCCTCAAGCCAGTCTATAAAACCCAGTGCACTCTGCCATGACTGAAGTCTCATTTGGGCGCCCCTCTCTTTCCCAGGAGAGAGAGCTATTCTCCATTCTCTTTCTTTTGCCTATTAAACCTCTGCTCCTAAAACCATTTCTTGTGTGTCCATATCCTTGATTCCCCTGGTGTGAGACAGTGAACCTTGGGTATTTACCCCAGACAGTGACGCCGCTTCACTTTCAAGAAGGTATCTCTAAAAGATAAAAGATCAGATTATGGCTAAAAAGAGATGTAAAGTTAATGGACAGTTGATTTTTAATTCTTTTTAATTTTTAAAATAATTTTAAGACTAATTTCAAATACAGACAAAATATATTTAAATTTGATTTTACTTAATACTTTAAATATAAAATAATTTTAAGATACATTATGTTTTATGATAAAAGAATTTTTTAAATTATAATAGGAAAAAAGAAAAGTCCTGGAGGAGAGAAACAAAGTTTTGATTATGAGGAACTGCTGCAATCTCACTTTGATTCTATTGAAGGGTACAGCAAGGGAGAATGGCAATAAATTATTTAGGAAATATGTGTTCAGGGTAGAGCACAGATAGCATCATACATCAAGGAAAGAAGTTTAAGCTTTATTTTGTAGGCAGCGGGACAGAGTGATGTTTTTCAGCTTAAGGTGACCTGCTCAGACTAGAGTTTTATGGAAATCAATCCTGTAACAACTAATGTCCCTGATATATTTTGTTTGATCTATACACAACACAATATAGCACATTTACATTTCATTTCTTCTAAATAAATTCAGTACTCCATAAAAATTTATTCTATACTTACTTGTGTACTTTTCATATTTTCACTACTCTCAAGTCAATTCCTTGAGGAGAAAGAGATCTAGAAAATATCACTGAGTTTTCTTACATGAAAAAAATTATTATAAAATATACATTGCTTCACTTAACTTTATGCTTACAAGTTTATGACTAGTAGGCTTAACTTTTCCGTTGGAAAAAAATCAAGATTATTATATTTTATGACATGAATTTTGTAACTGCCCAATGGGTTCTTCCTCCCCACTGCACACACAAAATCAGCTCACTGAGACTATGGCATTGCGGTAAAAAAAAGAGTTTCATTGATGCAAGGCCAGCTGTGCCACACGGGAGATGGAGTTATTACTCAAATCGATTTCCCCAAAGGCTTGGAGGTTAGGGGTTTTTCAAAGATAGTCTGGTGGGCAGGGGGCTAGGATAGGGTGCATGCTGATTGGTTGGGTTGGAGATAAAATCAAAGGAATGGAAGCTGTCCTCTTGTGCTGAGTCAGTTCTTGGGTGGGGGCCACAGGGCTGGTTGGTGGGTCTAGGTGGGGCCGTCCAGTTGTCAGAATTGCAAAATTCTGAAAAGATATCTCAAAAGGCCAATCTTAGGTTCTATAACAGTGATGTTATCCGCAGGATTAACTGGAGAAAGTGCAAATCTTATGACCTCCAGAATAACGGCTGGTAATTATTGAGAATTTAAGCCCCTCTTATCCTCCTAACTTGGTAGTCTTTCATTTGTTTTATAAGAACAGTTTAGTTTCGGGAAGGGCTATTATCATTTAAACTATAAACTAAATTTCTCACAAAGTTAGCTTTGCCCACATGCAGAAATGGACAAAGAGAACCAATCTCTAAGGCTAGAAGCAAGATGGAGTCAGATGTCTCTTTCCATCATAATTTTGCAGAGACAGTTTCAATTTGAGCTAGAAGAATGAATGTTCTTTCTCAACAATAGAGAACATGCTTGATGGTATTCTTTAATATAACTACACTTAAATTTTATTTTCTTATTCATTAAACAGTTAAACAGCTTTATAAGACATGATGAAAGCAGCCATCCCCTAGTTCCTTCTTCACCCTGATCTGTGATCTCCAGAGGAAATGATGTTCAACTCATTTTTTTCTGGTATTTATTATCAAATTCCTCAACGATAATATAGAATATTGTTTCTTAGTTTTTTCAATAGTAGTATCTACTGACTTCATACTATGGAAGATGAGGATTGAGTTCTATAATGTACCCTTTCCTATAGTCACCCACTGTAGTTATTGATCTTTTTTATTAATATTCAATTTGACATTATGATTTGCATATAATAATCCATAGCTGAACCACACACTCATTAATGAAGGAGCCTTTTTTGTGTAACACTTTTGTTGCTTCACTTTAATCAAGTCCTATTGCTTGTTTAATTCCTTTCTTATGTACCTTCCACTGATTTTTGCCCAAACTCCCACCCATTCATCTAAATAAAACTCCCCACAACCTGTTCATAAACAACAAGCAAATGTGATTGTTTTGTTTCTTAGAACAATCCTTCTAGAGTCCTTGGATACCCTTGCTCTAATTGGGAAAATTTGCTTCCTGGGACAGCTCCTCTTCATTATACTAGGATTTCCTTTCACCATCATCTCAGGAATTCACTTCACTCCACTCTAAAGTCAGATTTCCTGTTTCCCAGAAAACAGTTCATATTTCTTTCTTTATTGGTTTACAAGTTTACTTCAGGTGAGCATCACAGTAAATTACTGACAAAGTGTGCATGAAAGATCAATTTTTTTGAGACTTTTGCATCTTTTTAAATGTTTTATTATTATAATCCCACCACTTGACTATTTGATAATACAATGCTAAATTGGAAATAATTCAGAATTTGAAAGGCATAATTCCATCATCTTTTGACAATAGTGCTGTAACACCATTCCAATCCCCAGTTTTTTGTTGACAACTTGCTTCCACCCCCTCCTCACCCACCCTCCCCACTCTGCCCTACTTCATCTTTCCATCCCCTACTCCATGTTCTGGAAGCTTTCCAAATAAAGTCTCTGTCCCTGGGTTCTGAAATGTCTTGGTAGGGGTAATATCTTTCCTCAATCACTGTGATAGTGTTAGAGTAGGTAGTTAGCCAGACATGAGCAGGACAGGAGAGGGCCCCCCACCTCACCAGGAATGTCAGGTGACTATCAGGTTATAGTCAGGTGGTTATTAAACTCTAAAATAATAAGTGGTAGCGGCCAGCACCAGGAAGAGCTGTCTCCCAATAGACAAAAAACACCTGAAGCTGGTGATCAGCAGCTTCCCATTAAGATCTTAGGAGTTGGGTGATTGGGCTCAAGCATGCGCACTAAGAGGCACAGTAGTAGAGTTTAACTGGTATATGACCTTCCTCTAGGAACACTTGACTGGTAAGGGAAAAACACCTCAAGTGAGCATGCGCACAACTTCAGTAAACACACTGCATATGTGGTGCCTCCCAAGTGCTGGCAGGCCACTGCACATGCAGACAGCCCATCCCAAGGGAAGAATCAGAGAGAAGAGACATAAAACCCTGGAAGCATGCCAACATATAAAACCCCACGTCAAGGACTAAATGGCACACTTGGATCTCTCAAGTCACCTCCATGGTCCTCTTCCAAGTATACTTAACTCTCTTTCATTCCTGCTCTAAAACTTTTTAATAAATATTCACTCCTGCTCTAAAACTTGCCTTGGTCTCTCACTTTGCTTTATGGTTCTCATATGAATTCTTTCCTCTGAAAAGGCAAAAATCAAGTTACTGCAGACAAATATGGATTCATCCCTGCTTACATACTTTGGTGCTGTTGTTACCAAAACACCAGGGGTTCGGTCTAGGTCCTGCTACTTGCCACACAGAAAGCCAAGCCCTAAGATGACAACTATTGACAAGGAAGAAGGCTTTAATCAGGTGCTGCAGCTGAGGAGATGGGAGCTCAGTCTAAATCCATCTCCCTGACCCACTAAAACTAGGGGTTTATATAGAAGGGAAGAAATGTAACAATGTAAGAGAACAGGAACTAGGGAGGGGCAAGGAAGCAATAATGTTGAATGATAGGTCCTGGCATCTGATTGTCTGGATGTGGTAATCTGGTGAATTTTAGTTCCTTGATATTTTTTTTTTGAGAGGCCTGAAAGTTGTTTCCTGAGGAAGGAACTCAGATAAAACAAATATAAGTTTTAAGTTTTAAGACCAAAAGTGTCAATTCCTATGTTTATCAAGAAGAACTGTCTATGGGACAATTGGGTCAGGTTCACCATGACTGGGATACTGCATGGGATGGGTTTGTGAGAGCACCAGGTATCCTAAGGGAAACTTTGGAGGGAACCAGCTACCAGATGGTTTGATTAGTCTTTTTTCCTATACCCAGGTTGGACACCTAATTTGCACATCAGGACTGCCATGGACCATGGTGCAATGAAGGTGAAGACTGGAGCACTCATCACCCACGGTGGGTTCCCAAGGACTCTCCACTCTACTGAGGGAATACCACCAGTCTACCACTGGTCTGTATCTCCTGCCACGCTGGGGAGGTGGAGCATGAGCACAGGTGTTAGGAAATGAAAGATTGTGAACTATGCCTGGGCAAGATGAAGCCAGAGGAAACTGGTGGAGGTCCGCAATGGTCCTGATGGGCAAATCGATTGTCCAACCTGGATATAGGGATGAAAGACTAATTGAATCATCTAGTAGCTGGTTCCCTCCAAAGTTTCCCTCAGTATAGCTGGTGCTCTCACAAAACCCATCCCATACAGTTTTATCCAAGTCACAGCACCAAAGTATGTTAGCAGTGGTGAATCCATATGAGTCTGCAGCAACTCAATTCTTCCCTAGTCAGAAGAAAGAATTCATCCGCAGAGCATAAGTCAGAGTGAGAGATGAAGGCAATTTTTACAGCAGGAGCGAAAGTTTATTTAAAAGTTTTAAAGCAGGAAAGAAAGGAAGTAAAGTACACTTGGAAGAGGGCCCACTGGGCAACTCCAGAGTTCAAGTGTGCCATTTAGTCCTTGACTTGGGCTTTTTATATGTTGGCATGCTTGTAGGGTTTTGCATTTCTTCTTTCCTGATTCTTCCTTGGGGTGGGCTGTTTGCATGTACATGCCAGCACTTGGGAGGGGCCCCATGAGTAGTATGTTTACTGGAAGTTGTGTGTATGCTCACTTGAAGTGTTTTCCCCCTTATCAGCTGAGTGTTCCTGGAGGAAGGTTATATGCCAGTTAAACTCCACCATTATGCCTCTTAATGTGCATGCTTGAGCACACTGAACTAACTCCTGAGATCTTATTGGGAAACTGCTGACCACCACCTTCAGGTGTTTTCTATCTATTGGGAGACTGCCTTTCCCCGGTGCCAGCAGCAACCAATTATTATTTTAGAGAAACAGTTTAACAACCACCTGACTAGCACCTGATGGTCATCTGACATTCCTGGTGGGGTGGGGGGCTTCTCCTGCCCTGCTCATGTCTGTCTGGCTGTCCACTCTAATAATAGACACATAGTCCTTTCAGTCTAGGAAAGTACATTCTTTCCTACCTGTTGTGGGACATTTTCTTCTGTTATTTCTTTGGTAATTTCCTCAGAAACATTTTTTCAATTCTCATCGTCTAGATTACTACTTAGATGATGTTGAATCCTTTTGCCTAATGCTATATTTTCTTATCTTCACTCTTCTATTTTTCCATCTCTTTGTCTTTTGGGCAGATTGTCTCAACCTAAACTTCCCATCCTCCTGTTGATTTTATGTGTATTTAGGAGATGGGATTTACTATTTGAGAGCATTTTGTTGTCATAAGGTTCCTTATTTATTTTGCCTTTTCTTTTGTAAATTGACAAATAAAAATTGTACATATTTATGATATATAGCATGATATTTTGATATATGTATACACTGTGGAATGACTAGTCAAGTGAATTAACATATCTATTACCACACATACTTACCATTTTTTGTAGTGAAAGAACATTTAAAATCTACTCTCTTAGCAATTTTCAAGTATACAATACATTCTTATTAATTTTACTCACTGTGATGTAGAATAGCTCTCTTCTACTTACTTCTGCTAACTGAAACTTTGGATCTGTTGACCAACATCTCCTCAACTCCTTCGTCCTTCAGCTCCTGGTAACCATAATTCTACTCTCTATTTCTTGTTTCTTTTTGAGACAGGGTCTCACTTTGTTGCCCAGGCTGGAGTATAGTGCCCTGATCACAGCTTGCTGCAACCTCAAGCTCCCATGCTCAAGCAAGCTTCCTGCCTCAACTTCCCAAGTAGCTGAGACCACAGGCATGCTCCATGACACCTGAACTCCTGAACTCAAGCGATCCTCCTGCCTCAGCCTTCCAAAGTGCTGGGATTACAGGCATGAGCCCCTGAACCCTGCCTACCCTCTGTTTCTATGTGGTGTTTGTCTTTCTAAGCCTGGCCTATTTCGTGTAACATAATTTCCTCCAGATTTATCCATATTGTCTCAAATGACCAGATTTCTTTCTTTTTTAAGGCTGAATAGTATTCCATTGTACATATATACTACATTTTATTTATCCATTCATCTGTTGATGGACACTTAGGTTGATTCCATATCTTGGCTATTGTGAATAAGCTGCAATGAACATAGGAGTGCAGATACTGCTTTGACATATTCATTTCATTTTCTTTGGATATGTATCCAGAAGTGGAATTGGGCTGGAATATAGGCAGTTCTATTTTTAATATTTTGAGGAAACTCCATATTACTTTCCATAATAGCTGTGCTAATTTACATTCCCACCGCCAATGTATAAGGGCTTCCTTTTCTCCACATCCTCTCCAACACTGGTTATCTCTTGTCTTTTTGATATGTTTTCTCTTCTCTGTAAAGCTATTGGTTGTAGCATTTTACTTTTTCCAAATTTTTTTAATCAAACTTTTGAAATGTATAGCTGAAATGAAAGAATTTTAGCATGAATGCTAATATACACTCAGCACCTATATTCTTGCTTTTTCATGTATTTACTCCTGAATTAATATATTACTTGTTATATGCTTTTGAAAGTAAACTGCAAACAAGTGCATGCTTCTCCTAGATCTTTCCACATGCTCTGCCATTAATTAGAGTTCAATGTTCAATTTTTTCCTTTTGATGTACAATTAATACACAATTAATTTACACACACATTTTACTTAGTTCTGAAAAATGTATATACTTTTATAACTCAAAGCCCATCATTATACAACATTACTATCACCCTAGCAAAATCTTTTGTGTCCCTTCTCAATCACCAATCCTGACCACACCCCAAGAAAACTACTGTTCAAATTTTTCTCCATCATTGATTGGCTTTGTCTGTTTTAGAACTTCATAAAACTAAAATACTGTAGTAAATTATGTACAATTTTATGACTAGCTTCCTTTGCTCAATATAATGTTTTCGAGATTTATTCATATTGCTGCATGTCAGTAGTTGGTTCTTTTTATTGCTGCATATTTCATTGAATAAAAATGCCAAAGCTTGTTTATTCATTCTTGTCTCACATCAAAGTATCTGGGGGATGTTTTCCACTTTTGGCTATTAGAAATGAAACAGATTTGAATATTGTCGTACAGGCTTTTTATGCATATATATGCCTTCTTTGAGTAAATACCCAGAAATTATGTTACTGGATCATAGGTTAATATATGTTTAGTTTTAGAAGAAAATGCTACCTCTTTTTTCCAAAATATTGTCCCATTTTACACTCCCAGCAGTAATGTATGAGATTTCCAGTTGCTGCACATCCTTACCAAAAATTAGCTTTTCTAATTTTAGTCATTGTAAGGGGTGTGTAGTGGTGGCTCTATGTAGTTCTAATTTGCATTTCTCTAATGACTAACGATGTTAAACATATTTTTATGTACTTGTTTCATGTACTTGTTGATATGTCTATTCAATTCCTTTCACCATTTTTATGGAGCTGTTTTTTTATTATTGAGTTGTAGGATTTCTTTATATATGCTGCATACCAGGCCTTTGTTATATACATGCTTTGCAATGTACATTGTCTTAAAATCTGTGGCTTGCCTGTTCAATTCATTAGTGGTGTTTTGTTAAGCAGTTTTTAATTTTGATGAAGTGTAACTTATTCATTTTTTATTATGGTTATTGCTTTATGTTTCAGGTCCCAAATTTTGCCTTCTCACAAATCACAAACATTATCCTATGTTTTCCTTCAAAAATTATATGGTTTTATGTATTTTCAATCTCAAAATATTCTCTAATTTTTTTGCTGATTTATTTACTAAAGAAATTTGAGGGATTTGCTATAATGTTAGGGATTTTTCTAGATGCCACATTGTTATTGATTTCTAATTTAATTATATTATGCTCAGAAAACATATTCTGTATGCTTTCAACACTTTTAAATTTATTGAGACTTGTTGGAGGGTCCAGCATATAATCTATCTCAGTGAACACACTGTATTTACTTGAAAAGATGTATATTCTGCAGTTATTCAGTGTAGTGTTCTATAAAATCATTTAGGTCAAGGTGGTTGATAGTTTGTTCAAATCCATCTACGTCTTCATTAATTTTATTTATCTGGCTCTATCAATTGCTAAAAGAATGTTGTTAAAAATTGTCAACTATGATTTTAGAATCATTTATTTCTCCCTTTGATTAATGAATGTTGTTTCATGAATTTTGAAGCTATTCAGAGACAAAAAAAAACTATTTATGAATATTGTCTTCCTAAATGAACTGATGATTCTTTTGGCATTATGAAATGTGTGTCTTTATTTCCAGTGTTAATTCCTTCCTGAAGATCAGCAGGGTGATATGTTATCATTTACCTAAAACGTGAAGAATTTCCGTTAGCATTTCTCAAGGAGATAGTCTACTGGTAAAGAATTCTCTTTTTCTTTTTCTAAAAATGCCTTTATTTTGCCTTCTTCATCTTTGCTGGTTGAGAATTGGTTGTTAGATTTTTTTTTCTGTTCTTTCAGGACTGTAATTATGGTGTATTGCTATACTGTTCACCTTTATTGAATGTGTTGTTTTTCTCTGGATGCTTTCAAGATTTCCTCTTTATTTTTTGGTATTCAGTGCTTTCATTAGGATGAGCCAAAATTTAGTTTTATTTTTAATTTTTCAACTTGAAGTTTGCTAATTTTTTAAAAAGCCTATTGAGAGGTAGATTTGACATACAATAAGCATCACATATTCAAAATGTATATTTGGATCATTTTGATACATATACACTCAGGAGATCATCACCACAATGAAAGCAATGAACGTATCTATTACCCTAGAATGTTTCCTTCTGCCTTTTAGTAATTCCTCCCACATTCCATCTGATTCACAGGCTCCCACTGATCTCCTTTCTGACACTATACATTTGCATTTCCTAGAATTTTATAGAAATGAACTCATACATTATGTATACTTTTTGTCTAGCTACTTGCACTGAGACTCAATTATTTCAAGAGTCATACATTATTGTGTGTATCAATAGTTCGTTCCTTTTCATTGCTGAGTAGTATTCTGTTGTATGGATGTACTACAATATATTTATCCACCTGCTGATGGACACTGAGATTGTGTCCACTTTGAGACCACTACAGACAAAGTTGCCATGAACATTCGTATACACTCTTTCTATTTTTCTTGGGTAAATGCCTACAAGTGGAATGGCTGGGCCATATTGTAGAAGTATGTTTAACTGTTTAAGAAATTACCAAACTGCTTCTAAACAGATTGTACCATTTTACATTCCCAAGAAAAGTGTTTAAGAGTTCCAGTAATTTCATATCCTTACCAGCATTTGGTATGGGCAGTCTTTCTCTTCACCTTGGTAAGGAAAAAATGAATTTAATAGTACTTAACAGTTCTATATGATTTTATCGCCAATGTAGTTTCATGTATTAAAATTGTTTTGTTTTCTGAGACAGGGTCTCATATTGTTGCCAAGGCTGGAGTGCAGTGGTGTAATCTTGGCTCACTGCAACATCTGCCTCCCAGGCTCAAGCAATTCTCCCACCTCAGCCTCCCAAGAAGCTGGGACTACAGGTGTGCACACCATGCTTGGCTGATTTTTGTATTTTTTGTAGAGAGAAGGCTTTGCCATGTGGCCCAGGTTAATCTTGAACTCCTAGACTCAAGTGATCCACCTGTCTCAGCCTCCCAAAGTGCTGGGGTTACAGGTGTGAGCCACTGTGCCCAGCCTAAAATTGTTTTTAATAACTTTAAAATTTGATCACAAAAATAATGTATTATAGAAAATTTCAAAAATATCAAATGATGCAAAAATACCTGTAATTGTGTCACTTAGTCATAATGCTTGTGAACATTCTAGACTTCTTATTTAGATATACATGTTTTTAAAAAGTGGATTCTAGTTCACACGCTGTTTTATAATCCTACTTTTTTCTTAATACTAAATCATGGACTCTTGAAGTCATGAAATATTATTCCACTATGCCTTATCTTTAGAGGACATAGAGTTTTCTGTCACATGGCAATGCCGTGTTTTATAATATCAGGTTCCTGTTTTCAGACATTTAGGTTGTTTCTGGGTTTTCACTTAAAAAAATATGGTAAAATACACATACCATAGTATTTACCATATTAACCATTTTTAAGTATAAAATTCAGTGTTAAGTATATTCACATTGTTGTGTAACCAATCTCCAGAATTTTTTCATCTTGCAAAACTGAAACTCTTTCCTTATTGAACAACTCCCCCTGTCCTCCTCTCCCCTGCAACTTAGGAAGACCACTGGGCCCAAATGGGTCACTTCTCCTTCACTGTAGCCTGGAAGTGCTCTCAAGTCAGTAAGCTGGAGCAATCATAGTACTGACCTCATTTCTTTTCTGTTATCATTGCCTGATTTTCAGTGTCTTAAAAAGTGTTGCCTTGCATATTTTATCTAATTTCGGGGGTTGCTTTAAATAAGAGGTAAATCTGGTCTCTGTTACTCCATCTTGGCCAGAAGTAGCAGTCACAGCCATTATTTTCCACATATTCTTTTCCCTGATTCTCTTTCCGTTCTTCTTCTGAGACACAACAATATACATATCTAAGACCTTTTGCTATTGTTTCATAGGTCCCTGAAATGCTAATCCTCTTTTTCTTCTATCTTTATCCTTTTCCTTCTTCTGATTAGATAAATTATACTGATTTATCTTCAGGGGTTACTTACCCTTTATTCTGCCATCTCCTTTCTGCTGCTAAACTTGCCCAGTAAATTTGAATTTCAAATATATTTTCAATTCTAGAATTTCCATTTGGTTCTATCTCTCTTCTAACAATTCCTATCTTTTTATTTATCGTGAGTGAGTGGATTTCCCTTCGTTTCATTCAGTGTAGTTGTGCATCCATTCTAAAATCCTATCTACCATTTCCAACATCTTGGTCACTTTGGGGTTCAATCCTTTTTACTGCCTTTTCTTTTGAAAATGGGTCATATTTTCCTATTTTGCTTTGGTAATTCTGGATTGCATTCTGGACATCATGAATTCTGTAATTTAGAAACTCTGGGTTCTTCTAAATTTCTCCAAAAGGTGTTGAGTTTTTATTTGCAGGGAATTGACTTGGTTTGTCTCAAACTGAACATATGCTGCTTACAGTTTTCTTTATGTATGCATGGATAGGGTGACCATAATTTTTTTTCAAAATTTATGTATGTAGAATTTGGGGTTCCCCTCCTTTACTCACACATTTCCAGGATTTTTCCTTCACTTTCCATTATCTCTCATATATCTGAACTCTGTTCTTTGTTTCTTCAAGCCAGAAAAATGTTTTTTTTTCTGATGTTTTAGCCACTCAGTATGTTGCCAACTTCTGATTACCCTTAAGTAAAAAACATTTTTAAAAAGGTAGAGAGGAGAGTCCCTTCTTCCAAATGTCATTTCTCCTGTGGAATCCACCTACTTCTGTTCACTCTCTACTGTTTTCAGGTAGTTGTTTTCCATATATTGTCCAAGGATTATAGGTATCATATGATACCTATCAACTACATTAACACATATAAATTATATATTATATGTGCTCAGCCTAGTAGTAAATTCCTTGGGCCCACACTGGAAGTGGTATCTCTAGTAATTTATTTTTAAAGTTTTCCACTACTCTGCATTCTCTCTCTTTCCTTTGAAAAATTTACCATATTTATTACTTTTGGACCCTCTTTCATATTAAAAACTTGATCCTGAGTTACCCTTTCATTTTCAAAATTAATGAACTAAGAGGCAGATTAGAAGGTCTGCCATGGTGACTAACCTGTTAAGTAAGTAATAAATGCAGTTCTGCTAAGACTTTCTGATTATTTTGATGGAAGGCCCTCAAATGTGCATACCTAGAAGTCCTTGGGTGGCTGGTCAGTACCTGGTCATGTATTTCCTGATACCATGCTTATACTGAAAATATATTAACTAAGGTGATTGCCAATCACATAGATACAGATCTTTAATGAAGTTCCTTCTTCAAATGTATTGCATATGCTTTGAGTACATATGTTTTTCTCTGTGAATACTTACTGTCGACTAAATTAGATATTTCAGTTTAAATATAAATCCTTCAAGTCCTTAAAAGTTGTTTTAAGTCTTAGGTGATGGCATGATACTCCAATCACCTTTATTTTCACTGGAACTTCATTTATCCTTGGTAAGAGAGGCTTCTTTCTTATATATATATCCGATGTTACAGTCATACCAAGTGACATCTACTTTGTCACATAGATCTTAGTTTTTCACACTTTCATTACATGACACAGAATATTCTTTCTTCCTAAAATGTCCCTTTCTTTCTCTATTTATTTACTTTCCCTACACTCATCTCCTCTTCTGTGAGTGGTTCTGACTTTTCCAGACAAACTCACTCTGACTCACCCCTTCTGTGCTTACCTCAAATAGTACATTTACCTCCAACAAGTATTTACTTGTTGTTTTGCCTTCTAATATTTTATATATATCTATCTCCCTTGCTAGCTTGTGAATTCTGTAAAGGCAGGGGCTAACACATTTTATGAAACTGCTTTACCAACTGAAAAAATCTTCAGTTATGACCAAAAAGATCCATACCAGTCACATTCCACATTCAATCTATCTGTTGCAAGAGTCAGATTGCCCCATTTCAAAACTTATACTTTTATTATTATAGAATAGCATTTAGTTGAAAAGTGTGTGTGTGTGTGTGTGTGTGTGTGTGTGTGTGTGTGTAGAGGGGTGCTCCTTATCAACATCTTGGGAAAGTAGTAACTAAAGTTATTTTATATTCAAGTATTTAAAATTCTAAGTTATGATAATTTAGAGCCTCATTCTGTAAACTCAAATGCATTCATTATAGGTAACACAGAGTCTGTTACCCTTTATGCTACAGTGATTTCTGTTGTGAAATTTAATATGAGTGAGATGCTTGTTTCTATAATGAATTTGCAAATATGTGTTTCTATTTCAAAAAGTAGTGTATTCATGTGTGCAGGTGTCAGCTGGATAAATATATATAACAGCTTTTTAAGTATTATAGATTTTACTTAATGATGGAGATGGAAGGAGTACTGTAATATGGGGAAGCTTATGCTTCAATTATAAGTGACAAACTCTGGGCCTGTTATATAGAGTAAGCCCAAATCTCTTCCAGATCTTCATGTTACTGAACTATTTGAAGGAGAATCCAGCAGCTGTTGTGTGAATCTGCTGAAGCATTAGAAAAAAAAATATTCTCCATGTAAATTTAACTTAAAATTCTATAGAATTCTTTAGGGATTGCAAATAGATACAATAAATCATAGCTATAAGAAACAACAAAATAAAGAAGTGCTCTTATGGCTATCATGAGATTGCCCTATGCAACAACTTCAGAGATCTGAAAATACATGCAAGTGTAATTATATGTGTCTGTCTTTATTTTAAATATGTCTAGTGTAAGTTTCATCACACTCAAATAAAATACATCTCCCAAAATTAGATGACACCAATTTCCTGAGAATTCTTACAAATTTACTCACCCAAAAAGTGAAGAAAATAAAAATTTAACCTTGAGAATGTTTCCTTAAACCAAATGGAGTCTGGAGAATCAAAGAATAAAGAATAAAGGGTGAAGCAGAATCAAAACAATGCTAGTATAATAAAGGTTTTGCTGGCAAACTTAATAAATTTTATGACAATTTAATAAATTGAAGGCAGGAAGACCAGGATACTTACTGTAAACCTTTTTTCACCTTCAAGTCTGGCCAGGATTACCAAACTTCTTTGATGACTAGAATGAGCCCAGGCACTTAACTATAATAACTCCCCTGGAAACCCTTACTTCAGTTGGCTTGGTGGCCCCTAGTGTAACCAGCAGTGAATCAGTACAGGTCTGTGGCAAACTCAATCCCTGCCATCTTAGAGGAAAGAACTCGGCTGAGGGGCAGAAGTAGGGTATAAGGTAGAGGGAGAAACTGAGGCAAGTTTTATAGCAGGCGTGAGAGTTTATTTTAAAAGTTTTAGAGCAGGAGCGAAAGGAATCAAAGTGGACTTGGAAGAGGACCAAGCAGGTGACTTGAGAGATCCAAGTGCCCTGTTCAGCCCTGGACTTGGGGTTTTACATTGGCATGGTTCCAGGGTTTGTGTTTCTCCTCCCTTGAGCCTTCCCTTGGGGCAGGTTGTTGCTTAACTGCCACTCGCACAGTGTTGGTCAGCATTTGGGAGGATGACTGTATGTGTAGTGCATTTACTGAGGTTGTGCACATGCTGTCTACGGGTGATTCACCTTTACTGGTCAAACACTCCCAGAGAAGGTCATACATCCACTATTTTGCCTGTTAGTGTGAATGCTTAAGCCCACTTGCCCAACTCCTGAGATCTTATCAGGAAGCCGCTGATCACCACCTCCAAGTGTTTTCCATCTATTGGGAGACTGCCTTTCCATGGCACTGGCTATGACCAATGATCATTTCAGAGACATAGTTTAACAACTGCCTGACCATCACCTAATGGTCACCTAACATTCCTGGGTGAGGAGCCCTCTCCTGCCCTGCTCATGTCTGACTAGCTACCTACTCCAGAGCCAGGAATCTGATTTTAATTAGTAATCCTGATACAAATTTACTCACCTGAAAAGTGAAGAAAATAAAAACCTAACCATTAGAGAAGTTAAGAAACATTGTGACATGCACCATAATTCTAGATGAAATTTAGTGGATGCCCATCATCTTTTCTTAAGCCAATTTAGTAAGTACAGCTCTCATGACTATCACAATAATGACATTTTGGACTTTAAAAGTTGAAAGTGGTCATTTATTTTCAGATGTGGAAGGTCCTAGATTTCAGTGCTCCTGGAAGCTCTCAGACTGTGGTCCCATCTTCTAGCCATAATCCATAAAACTAATTAAAATATCTTGTAGATAGACAGAGTGATAGGTGGATGTACAGATAGATAGATAGACATATAAAAGATTACTGGGAGGAACTGAGGACTCTATTTAAGTGTCAGGAAAGAACTGTAATAAGTGCTGTAGAGAGCCGTAGGTGTCAGGATGGTCAAATAGGTAACAATGAAGCCTTTAATCCCTTACTCTGACAGTGTAAGGACTAGATCAAAAGCAGAAAGTAGACAGTGGCTTTCCCAGTCTTCCATTTTTCCCCCCATGGAACAGCACCAACAGAGGAAGAGATGTATTGGCACAGGTGGGAGGAGTGGGAGCAGGATCCTTTCACTGCCCAGGAAGTTCTGGAAAAAAGGCTCCTGCCATTTTACAAATCCTGAGAAGGGAGGGCTAGGAGTACAAAAGTACTGAGTCAGAATAGAGAAAAGTTTCTTCAGGGCCTTCCCATAAGTAGGTCTCAACAGAGGTGCCTAATCAGTTTCAGTTGAGTATCCCTGCTGCCCCAAGTAATGTCTTAGAATGGAGACACCTAGGCTAGGAATGCAGATATAGTAAGGTTATGGTCAGCGGGAGGCAGGGGAAAGGGTGTTAAAAGGAGAGAGGGGAGTTGAACAGGAGCTGAGTCTCTGACTGCAACTCTCTCCAGAGGCTGCAATGCACTGGCTGTGCAGAAAGCCTAGGGTGAGAGGGGCAGCTTGCCCCAATGAGGAAGCCAGGTAAAACCTTTGTCATTGCCCATGGTTAGATCTGAATGATCACACATAAGATTTTGGCCTGGAGGCTGACTCCCAAAATGCCAAAATAAATCATTGGCATTTTCCTCAAATTGAAATGTTCTCTTCTAAGAAATAGATCTGTCTGACCTCATCTAGAAAAAAAATCAAATGATTTAATGAGTCATACAGATCACTTTATAGCCTTGTAGTTAATATTAAGCTAAATGAATCGTTGCCTTATTTGGAAGTAATACTGTTTTAAATATTAATTCACATGCACTCATCTAAATAATAAAAGAATAATAATGCTATACAAATATAGTCAACTGATCTTTAATAAAATTGCAAAAGTACTTCAATGGAAAAAGACAGCCTCTTTAATAATTTGTACTGCTAAAATTCCACATCTATATGCAAAAACTATAAAGCTTCTTGAAGAAAACATAGAAGAAAAACTTTGAAACCTTGCGTATTAGTTTGCTCAGGCTGGCATAACAAAATACCACAAACTTGGTGGCTTAAATAATAGATATTTATTTTCACACAGTTCTGGAGGCTGAAAGTCCAAGATCGAGGTGTTGGCAGATTTGGTTTCTCCTGAGGACTCTCTCTTTGGTTTGTACATGGCTGCCTTCTTGCTGTATTCTCATAGGGTCCTTTCTCAGTGTGCATTCATCTCTGATGTCTCTTCCTTTTCTTATAAGAACACCAGTCACATTGGATTAGTGCCTACCCTAAAGTTCATTAAAACTGGCTATACCAATTGCTAGAGAAGATCAGAGCAACAGATCTTTCATTCATTACTACTGGAAATACAAAACAGTATAGCCACTTTGAAGACCATTTGGCAGTATTTTTTACAAAGTTAAACACAGTCTTATCATATGATTCACCAATTGCACTCTTAGTTATTTACCCAAGTGATTTGAAAACATATCCACACAAAAACCTGCACACAAATGTTTATAGCAACTTATAGCTGCCAAAAACTGGAAGCAACCAAGATATCCTTCAATAGATGAAAGGATAAACAAATTGTAGCATATCCAAACAAAGGAATACTATCTGATGATAAAAAGAAATGCACTATGGCCTTTCCAACTTGGGCCCAGCAGAATGACTCCCACAAAGAAGGGTGGCTGGAAGAAAAAGGGCCGTTCCCCCATCAACGATGTGGTGACAAGAATACATCATCAACATTCACAAACACATCCATGGAGTGGGCTTGAAGAAGCATGCCCCTCCAGCACTCAAAGAGATCTGGAAATTTGCCATGAAGAAGACATGAACTCCAGATGTGTGCATTGATACCAGGCTTAACTAAGCTGTCTGGGCCAAAGGAATAAAGAATGTCCCATATCGTATCCATGTGTGGTTGTCCGGGAAAAGTAACAAATACTTTTGTTACCTATGTACCTGTGTACTGGGATCTTTGGGGTGTTGATTTTCTTCCCAGAAACCTCTGTGGCTGATGGCACCCTTGCCTGAGTTCTTGTCCTGTGTTCCGGAAGAATGAGGTATACAGACAAATGAAGGGTAAACAGGATGAAGATAAGCTTTATTAAGTGTTACAACAACTCGGAGGAGACATGCAGTGGGTAGCTCATCTCTGTAGGCAGGTCATCCGTCCAAGGTTCAGTTCTCAGCAGAGAGGAGGCCCTGGAGAGGGTGGCTCCTGTCCACAGGTAAGTCATTTGGACATCTCTGCAGGTCTCTGAAACTCTCAGCAGAGAGTAGCTCGTCTCTGCAGGTCTCTGAAGTTCTCAGCAGAGACAGTAGCTCCTCTCTACTGGTCTCTGAAGCTCTCAGCAGGGAAAGTAGCTCCTCCCTACCATCAGGTCATCTCTGTAGCTCTCAGCGAGAGGGTACTCCTCTTTGCATCTGGTTCTACTGTCATCTCTCTGCTGTCCTCTCCTCCGGCCATTGTCCTCTGCCCTGGACCTCAGAGGGGAGGAAGTGCCTGCCAATTGGTCCCTGGGCAGCCATAGGGAGCCCAGAAGAGGCACCATGAGTCCCCACTCAGGTCCACGGGACTGGCAGCCTAGCCCGCAGCCTGCAGGCCCTCCCTGGCCTGAAGGTGGGGCTTTACTGGGGACCTGCCCCCTTCATCCCAGGACTCTGTCTGCCTCCCGCTGCCAGTCAAGGCCCTGTGGCTCAGCCCAAGCCCTGCTAGGAGATTGGAGCAGGCACCAGAAGTGGAGAGAGGCCAGACAGTGGGAGCAGACACCCCTGAACCTGCAGGGATGGCGGGGCATCCTTCCTGGGGCCATTGAGAGTGCCGGCTGCAGAGACGCCCGGCTCCTCCGCCTGGGAGGGTGGCCGCAGCAGCACCGGTAGCGGGGCAGATCCTGCCTGCTCCTGCCCCTCCCATGAGAACACAGGGAGGCTCGGAGCCGTGGCTGCAGTTTGGGTGGTTGTAGCCCGCCCAGGAGGATGGGACTCCTGCCTCCTCCATAGAGCAAGACACCTGGGTCTGCAGCTGTGTTTCGGGTGGCTGCAGCGTCACCCGGGGAGCTCTCATCCCAACTGAGAAGGGGCGGGGCTCCCACCGGCTCCATGGAGTGTCCAGCCCCAGCCCCGCCTCTCTCCTGCAGCCAGAATGATGGCAGTGGTCACTTCCATCACGGGTAACCACTTTCAAAAATCTACAGTTAGTGTGGATGAGAACTAACTGCTGATCCTCAAATACATCAAATAAAGTTCTAAAATTACCTTAAAAAAAAAAGCGCACCATCAAGCCACACAAAGACTTGAATGAGTTGAAATATATTTTACTAAATAAAAGAAGCCAGTCTGAAAAGGTTACACACTTTGTGACTTCAACTGTATGATATGCTGGAAAAGATAAAAATATAGAGACAGCTAATAGATCAGTAGTTGGGTTGGATTAAGGGTTGGCAGGGTAGAATAGGTGAAAAACAGGATGTGTGTAAGGCAGTAAAACTATTTATTGTGGTGAATACATGATGCTCTGCATTTGCTAAAACCCATAGAACTTAGCTCAAAGAATGAACCTTAATGCATTCAAATTTTCGTTTTTTTCTTTTTTCCCCCGAGACAAAGTCTTACTCTGTCACCCAGGATGGAGTGCAGTGGTATGATCTCGGCTCACTGCAACCTCTGCCTCCCTGGTTCAAGTGATTCTCCTGCCTCAGCATCCTGAGTAGCTGAGATTACAGGTGCCCACCACCGCGCCCAGCTGATTTTTCTATTTTTAGTAGAGACAGGGTTTCACCATGTTGGCCAGGCTGATCTCGAACTCCTGACCTCATGATCTGCCCGCCTCAGCCTCCTAATGTGCTGGGATTACAGGCGTGAGCCACCATGCCCAGCCACATGCAATTTTTAATGAAATATTTTAGAAGGTTTAGGGATCACGGGATAAAATGCAGAACATGACAAAATAATCTAACTGCATTACATGTATATGAAACAACTTCCCTGATAGAGACAGGGTAAAGTTTCTGACCTAAGTAGCTGGAAACAGGGTGTCAGACCAAAGGCAAACGAACCTCTAGGAAAGCATTGTACTCTAGTTGATCACGTTATTTCCCACAGAGATACAGGTTATCAATTCTACAACATGTATAGATACTTGAACAGGTATATCACCAAAAAAAGATATAGCAAAGACAGTTACACACTTGAAACAATGTTCAACATCACCAGCTATGAGAGAAATAAACCATATCACACACAATAGAATGGCTAAAATAAAAGTTACTCACCATACCAAGTGCTGGTGAGAATACAGAGCAACTGGAACTCTCATATATTGCAGGTGGGAATGCAAAATAGTACAACTACTCCAGAAAACAGTTTGACAGTTTTTTTTATAACATTAAATATAGACTTACCTTATGACCCAGAATTCCCACTCTTTGACATTTACTAGAGGAGTGAAACATTATGTCCATATAAAAACCTACACAGAAATATTCATAGCAGCTCTATTACAATTACCAAGAACTAGAAACAGCTCAAACACACTTCATTGGGTGAATGGATAAACCAACCGTGGTCCATCCATACAGTGGAATACCATTCAGCAATTAAAAAATGGGGAATTTTAAAATACAATTTTAATTAGTGTAAATTTAACTCTAAAAACTGACATTTGATTTAATTATTGGAAAAATGTTAAGGTGTGTTTGGAACAAGTTGGATATGTAAATCTTCTTTCAACTGTACATCTTATAAAATCTAAATACAGATTAAGTGTATCTGATAAAATTTAACTTTCAAATTGAGATGCACTGTAAGTGTAAAATTATACACTAAATTTTGAAGACAGTTTAAAGCAAGCGTATAAAATATCTTTTTTCACCATTTTATGTGGATTATATTTTGAAATGACAATGTTTAAATTCATTTGGAAAAATTAAAATATTAAAATTTTTTAAAATGACATGAACAGTGTAAGTTGTAATGTAGCAAATATAAAGATGCAAGGAAGAATGAATAACAATGGAAATCACAGAATGCTAAAAAGCTTTGGGAAATACAGGAGACGAGAAAAGGATTTAAATGCGAAGATGATTCTGACTAGTCAATCACCGCGATGAAGTTGGTGCTGAACTGATTAGGCTCTGAGGTTCTACTCACCAAATATTAAACCATTTTATCTTTTAACAAATTGGCCTGTGTAGATCATTGAGATTAGCATCTTTTTAAAACTAATGAAAGGGAGTAATCTGAATGTTTCTGTATGCTCATTCAATAATTGCAAGGGGGCCGGGCGCAGTGGCTCACGCCTGTAATCCCAACACTTTGGGAGGCTGAGGCGGGCAGATCACGAGGTCAGGAGATGGAAAACATCCTGGTTAACACGGTGAAACCCCATCTCTACTAAAAAAATACAAAAAATTAGCCGGGTATGGTGGCGGGCGCCTGTAGTCCCAGCTACTCGGGAGGCTGAGGCAGGAGAATGGCGTGAACCCGGGAGGCGGAGCTTGCAGTGAGCCAAGATCGCAACACTGCACTCCAGCCTGAGCAACAGAGGGAGACCAGGTCTCAGAAAAAAAAAAAAAAAAAAAAAAAAAAAATTGCAAGGTCTCTTCAGAAGTTTTATTAGTTGAGATAATCAATTAATATTTTAAAGGCATAAAACCAATTCTTAAGGTGAATCCTTTGTTTTACATTGGTGGGTTCAATTTTTTTAATGTAAGAGAAAGAAAGAAATTAAGGTTACTACAATAAAAGTCTTAATACCATATTTGCATTTTCATTATATGAAATGTTATTTCTCATATGAAATGCAAATTCATATCATGAAAATGCAAATATGGTATGAAGATTTTTATTGTAGTAACCTTAATTTTATCTATATGTTCATCCCATTATCTCTTTATTTTCCTCGAAAGAGGCATTTGTGCTATTTGATAGGAGAATACACAATAGTGCAATACTGAAATCTCTTTTCGTGTATTACTTAAGTCAGAATGACATTCTGATAACTCAATTATTACGGGCATTCTTTTCCAGTGTATACAGTGTATCCAATGAGATTCCACGTTCAAGTCAAATAATAAAACGTGTGTCTTGGTCTATTTCTATAACAATAAGATAATAATTCTTTCAGATCTTTTTTTTAAATCAATGATTAAATCTATCTTACTTTTTCAGGTTCTGATAAAAGACATTCTGTGTCCCAGTCAATAGTGCTGGGAAAAAAGGAACGAAGAGAGTCCAAGTAGTGGATTCAGTATTTATTAGCCTTGTTTTCTCTATAACAAAATGATGCTTCTGCCTTACTTTCTCTTCAATGCCTCCTAGATCAGAACAAGGTTGAGGAGGGAGTAATACATATGAGGGAGCCTTAGAATGATTTATTTATGAGCATGTAATGTGACCCTGCCATTCTTGTGATTATATACGCCACATAAAAAATTTACTGGTTGTTTTTATTTTCCCCTGTAGAAAAGAGAGAGCCAAAGAGGCAAGCTCCAAGGATTACATGGCCAAAATATACTATTTTTTCTTTCATTCATTGAATATTGATAATAAGTTGCAATCTGATTTTATGAGAACATGTATTGCTAAAATAAATGAAAGAATTTGTGCATTTTGAGCGTTTTAAATTTTAATGCTGCTTGTTAAAGGCTGATGATTCACTGGGTTTCTAAAACTAAACTTCTAAAATTTAGTTAAATTAATTAAATAACAATGAAAAGGGAGATGACAGAAAAATAATATTCACAAATGTTTTATTGTTATTATTGTAACTGTAATAGCTTCGTTGACTGCACATGGCAAGTCAATATGCTGAGACACGGGATTGCAGCAGAGAAAGAGGATCAATCATAGGGCTGCCAAATGAGGAGATAGGAGAGAACCTCAGATTTGTCTCCCCCAAGAGTTTGAGGCTAGGGTTGTTAAGGGTTTTGGAGTAGGCCGAAGTGTGAAGATCCTTGATTGATCAAAGAGTGCAGGTGAAGCTGTGGGACAGGGAGTTGAAGAAACTATATTTACTGGAATTCAGAATCTTAAAAACACCTTAAGCAACTCTTAAACAAAAGCCTTATGATTCTAATGTCGGAAATCATATCTATTATAGGAACAATGAGGATGCAAATGGTAAATATCTAGTGCTACATGACTTCTGTGGTCAAGGTGCACCCTGTGAAGTCAAGGTGCACCCTGATTAATGATCAATTATAGCTATATTTCTGTCCAGAATTCTTGTTAACCCTGTGAGGACAGCTTCCTCATTCTTTTGGAGACATACACACACACACACACACACACACACACACACACACACACACACACACGGCAACGATACATGAGAGTACAAAATGAGCACAAAAGGAGAGTACAAATATCAGACCCTGCAATATCTGGACTCTAAACGACTTGTAAAAACTTCTCGTCTCCGATTAAACCAGATTGTTCTGCTTACTATTCTCCAGAATTCTCACCTCTGTACTTTTACTCAAATTATTTGCCGCAGTTAAATACCATCCTCCTCCCTCACCCCAACCTGAAATCCACAAATCTTTCAAGCCTGGATCAAGTGGCACCTCCCCTAACTACACAACTCTCTCTCCCTCTCCTGCCTCTGCACTCATGCCTCATAATCACTGGTGCACACTAATGCAACACCCCAGACAGTGCCCATTCTGATTGGTTAGCTATACTTTTCTTTCTTGTTGGTTAGCTACACTTTCTCACACTATACCAAATGTAACTTTTAACATATTCCTTGTGTGATTAATTTTTAATTCAATGAATATTCACTGAGCCTTTGCTCTGGACACTGAGGATAAAATGGAATAAAAAATCAGACATAGGGCATGATAGCTCATATCTGTAATCCTAGCACTTTGAGAGGCCAAAGTGGGCAGATAGCTTGAGCCCAGCAGTTCAAGAGCAGCCTGGGCAACACAGCAAAACCCTGTCTCTACAAAAATATAAAAAAAATTAGCCAGGCATGGTGGCACACACCTGTAGTCCCAGCTACTCAGGAGGCTGAAGAGGGAGGATCACCTAAGCCCAGGAGGTCGAGACTGCAGTGAGCTGTGATCATGTCACTGCACTCCAGCCTGGGCCAAAGAGTGAGACCCTGTCTCAAAAATATAAAAAATAAAAAAATAAAAATCAATCCAGTTTTTTCCCTCATACAGCTTACAGTCTAGCAAGCTTTTGTTCACATCATTTGACTATGATTCTATTCCAATAATATGCTTTGGATAATTATATTTATACATGTATTGATCTTATGTCTGTAATTATATTTCAGGCAGTTATAGTACAATCTCAACTTTTGCATCAGACATAACGCCCAGAATAGGACTTACAAAACACAGAGTTAAAGAAAACTGGAAGAACAATTACAGAACCATGAAAAAATAGTTGAATTATAAAGTAGGAAATTGACAGGGAGAAGATTGAAGGGTCAAGCCTAAAGTCACAGGGTGAGATATTCTGAGTAAGTGTTTATTGATTTGATGAACTTGAAGAGACCTCTGTTCAAAATCTCATGAGAATCTTTGCCAAACTATTTCCCTCATTTGCTAGTTTATATTTTCCATGTCATTGGTGGTTTATTTAGTAACAGATTTCAGAAACAAATTTTTGATGAATCTCCCTATTTTTACACATGGAAAAATAAGCCATAAAATATCATGAAATATCAGCTGAATATAGACAAGCAATAGCAGCAGCACCAGCAAAACTATACCTAAACTATAACTTGTTTTTTTATGGTGCAGTGAGCAGAGTTATAGTTTACACTGAAGATCAGAGACACACTTGATTAATCAAAACATAGAATCATGAAACAGAATAGAAGCCAGAAACAGACGCACACATGTAAAGTCATCTGATTTTTGAAGCATAGCACCCTCTAAGTTATAAAAATCATGTTTTTAGTTAGTTTAGGATTTCTAGCCTAGGCAAGATGTCATAGACTTCATTTCTCTCTACTCCTCCCAGCTAAGTATGACTACAAATGCTGGAAATAATACACTAGGCAACCAAAGGCAGGATTCTGAAAGGCAGTAAGAGGAAGGAGAACTGAATTGTGACCCCAGGAATGGAGGAACAACAGAGCTGCAAGGCATTTACATCTCCTGACCGCACCCCAACAGAAGAAAGTAACCTGTATTTTCTGACACACAACCTAGCAACAGAAGAGACAGCTCAGGTAGTTTCATTCCTCCCCTAAATCAAATGGGAGTCTCTCCAACAAAACCGGGAAAACTAGTCAAGCCCTGTGTCACTGGCAAATGAAATTCATTAGGAGCCTGGCGAATGAGAGTGGCCAGTGGGAGGACTCATTCCCTGACAGGCCTGGTTCTCTCTCACTCTCGCTGAGAGATTCTGGGTCAGTGGGGTGTCACCTGCAAGAAGAACCCCACCACAAGAAGTGTCCCAGCCCCAGGAGCCTCTTTGTTCCAAGGGACTCAAAACTCCCATTTCCAATCCAGACTCAGTAGGAGGCCCTGAGAGAATATATCTATCACAACAAACACCTGGCCCAGCAAACAACTTCATCATCAAGGGCCTAACACTTCCTTCTCCCATAAAAAGACACCAGGCATCTGGCCTGAGGCAACTCATTTTGTCCTACCAGGCAACACCAGCAGGGGCAAGTGGGGGCCCTAGTGGTACCAAAAGACCAAAAGAACACCACAAAGGCTCTGAAAATTAAAGTGTCATTGGAACCATAGCCTACAAAATTAGACTAGGACCTGCATGCTAAACCCAAACAAGATGACTGCCTGCTAGAAGAAAATATTTAAGGCCGGGCGCAGTGGCTCACGCCTGTAATCCCAGCACTTTGGGAGGCCAAGGAGGGCGGATCATGAGGTCAGGAGATCGAGACCATCCTGGCTAACGCGGTGAAACCCCATCTCTATTAAAAATACAAAAAATTAGCCGGGCGTACTGGCTGGAGCCTGTAGTCCCAGCTACTTGGGAGGCTGAGGCAGGAGAATGGCGTGAACCTGGGAGGCGGAGCTTGCAGTGAGCCGAGATTGTACCACTGCACTCCAGCCTGGGCAACAGAGCGAGACTCCATCTCAAAAAGAAAAAAAAAGTATATATATATATACTATATATATATATAATGTATGTATATATAATATATATATAATGTGTGTGTATATAATATATATATAATGTGTGTGTATATATACATTAAATATATATATATTTAGATAGGATCCAGAATCTTCTAACATAACCAAAATGTCAAAGATACAATAAAAAAATCACAACTTGAATAAGTAAAACTGTCAATGATGTAAATGTTGAGAAGAGTCAGATGTTGGAATTATCTGACCAAGGATTTTATTTATTTATTTATTTTGAGATGGAGTCTCACTCTGTCACCCAGGCTGGAGTTCAGTGGCGCACTCTCGGCTGACTGCAACCTCCCCCTCCTGGGTTCAAGCAATCCTCCTGCCTCAGCCTCCCAAGTAGTGGAGATTACAAGCATGTGCCACCACGCGGGCTAATTTTTATATTTTTAGTAGAGATAGGGTTTCACCATATTGGCCAGGCTGATCTCAAACTCCTGACTTCAACTAATCAGCCCACCTCGGCCTCTCAAAGTGCTGGGATTACAGGCATGAGCCACCGTGCCTGGCCTGACCAAAGCAGCCATCATAAAATCTCAGTGAAATAAAAGAAGTAAAAACAGAAACAAATGGAAATTATAGAAAAAAATAACAAATTAGTAAAAAAACTTATTGGATGGGTTCTATAGCACAGGAGAGATGACAAAGGATAAAGCCAATAAAGTTGAGGGCAGATCACTAGAATTTACTCCATAAGAACAACAGTGAGAAAATAGACTGAAGAACCAACCAACCAGAACCTTACAACCTGTAGGACAATAACGAAATTTCCTGTAGGACAATAACGAAATTACAACCTGTAGGACAATAACGAAATTTCCCACGTCTGTATCATCAAAGTCTCAGAATGAAAGAAAAAACGGAGTGAGGCTAAAAGAGTATTTGAGAATAAAATGACTGAACTTTGCCCAAATTTGGTGAAATAAACAAAACTACAGATTCCAGAAGCTGAATGAACCTTAATCAGGATAAACCCAAAGATTTCAAACAAAGATACATTGGAAAAAATTAAACAGAAGGAAGTGGCACATTTTTCAAGTTCTGGAAAAAAAGAACTGTAAACCACAAAATCTATATCCAATGAAACTGTCTTTCAGGAATGTAGGGGAAATAAAGACATTCTCAGAAAAAGGAAAACTAAAAGAGCTTTTGCCTGTAGACCTACCTTAAAAGGTGGCCCTAAATGAAGTTCTTCATACAGAAGGAAAGTGATAAAAAAGGAAATCTGGAGAATCTGGAAAGAAAGAACAATGAAAAGAACAGAAACATGGGTACATACTATATACTATCCCTTTCAAGAGTTATAGAAATCATGTTTAATGATTGAAACAAAAATTTTAACAGCATCTGATACTCAAGACAATGATATTTAAAAGTGAGGAAGGGAAATAGAAGTAAGGTTTCCATGCACTTAAAGTGGAAAATGTTCATCCAAGTTGACTGTGGTAAGTCACTAATGCATATTGTAATGCCCAAAGCAACCACTAGAAAAATTATACAAAGAGATGCTCTGAAAAACACTATAAATAAATAAAGGTGGAATTCTAAAAAATGTTTAAGTAATTCACAAAATGGCAAAAAAAGATAAAGAAGTGAGAATCAGAATGAACAAATAGAAAACAAATAATAAAATGACAGACTTCAGCTCTAACATCTTAATAATTAACTTAAATGTAAAAGATCTAAATATACCAATTAAAAGACAGAAATTGGCAGGATATATAATAAAATATGACCCAAGGATATGCACTTTACAAGAAACTCACTTTAAATTCAATGACACGGGTAGATTTAAAGTAAAGGGCTGGAAAGAATATACCATGCAAATATTAACTGAACAGAAGGAGAAGTGTCTATATCAATAGCATATTAAGTAGAAATTAGAACAAGGACAATTACCAGAGATAAAGAAAAATATCACATAATGATAAAAATATAAATTCACCATGAAGACATAAGAATCCTAAATGTGTACACATCTAACAACAGAGCTTCAAAATGCAGGAAACAAAATTGACAAAGCAGAAAAGAGAAATAGACAAAATCACAATTAAAATTAGGGGCCAATTATCCATCTTAGCAACTGATAAAACTACAAGGTGGAATATAGGCACAATTATAGGAGCTCTGAACCAACAGAATTCAATTCATATTTATAGAAGAATGCTCAATCCAACAAACACAGAATATAGATTTTCTCAAGTGTCCATAGAGCATTCGCCAAGACAGACCCTATCTTAGGCCATAAAGCAAAGCTCCACGAATTCAAGATTGAAATCAAACAGTGTTCTCTGGTCCTAATGGAATCAAACTAGAAATCACTAAGACACAATAGGAAAATCTCTGAACACAGTTGTATTAGTCCTTTCTCACATTGCTGCAAAGAAATAGCTGAGTCTGGGTAATTTATAAAGAAAAGAGGTTTAATTGGCTCACAGATCTGAAGTTTATACAGGAAGCATATACAGAACCAGCTTCAGCTTCTGCTTCTGGGGAGGCCTCAGGAAACTTACAATCAGGGCAGAAGGGGAAGTGGGAACATCTTACATGGTGCTAGAGTGGGAGCAAGAGGTGGGGGGAGGTGCCACATACTTTTACATGACCAGATCTCATAGGAATTCACTCGCTATCATGAGAACTGCACCAAGAGCAAAATCTTCCCCATGATCCAATCACCTCCCACCAGGCCCCCCCGCTCCAACATAGAGGATAACAATTTGGCATGAGATTTGGGAGGGGATACAGATCCAAACCATATCAACACTAAAATTAAACAACATGCTTCTAAATAATCTATAGGTCAAAGAGTAAGTCTCAAAGAAAATTTTACAATGTAGACCTGATCAAAAATAACAATACAACATATCAAAATATTGAGGATGCAGCTAAAACAGTCCTGAGGGGAAAATTTATGGCATGAAATCAGTACATTCGATATTAGAAAAACCTCAAATCAATAATCTAAGTTTGTACCTCAAGAAACTAGAAAAACAAAGAGCAAACTAAGCCCAAAACAAGTACAAGCTAGGGAATAATAAAGGCAAGAATAACAATTAATAATGTTGAAAATTGAAAGTAAAAGAAAAAAACCTGTTTTAAAAGTTCCTCAAAAAAATCAACAAGATTTATAAACCTCATGCAAGATTTACAAAAATAAAGAGAGAAGACACAAATCATCAATATCAGGAATAAACCGGGAGTATCACTGCAGATCCTAAAATTATTATACGAATTGTAAAGTAATATTACAAACAGTTTTACAATTGCAAATCTGACAATTTAATAGAAATAGACCATTCCTCAAAAACTATGAACTGCTTGTGGTAGTCCTAAAACTAAGGCCTAATATGTTGGCCTTAACATCTGCTGAAATTGGGAGGGCCCTGAGTGACCTACTTGCAATTTCCCCTCTACATTCTGATCCTGTGGATAAGGTCCTCTAACCAAACAACGCTTCTTATTAAAAGGACCAGGCATTGTACCTGTTTATCCCTGAGTTGCAGGTTTCCGTTTCCTGCCAGGCCACAGATTGTTCAAATGAGTCCATCACATCTTCTTGTGGGAACCAAGAAGTGCCTCATCCTCTTGAAATTATAAAGCCTGCCTTCCACGGCCCCTGGTTGTTCACTCTGTTCCTGAGTTCTATCCTGAGTCTCTGTGTGGCATGTGATATCCCCGTCCCACAGGCTGTGAGTATGTGTGACTAATGAACTGTTGTCAATCTCATCTTTCCAGTGTTGGGTGTTGTGTGGTTGGCCATCCCCATAACACTGGGGGGGAAATCTCCCTTTACCAATGGGGCAAATGGGAAGTGATGAAAACATTACCAAATCTCAACCAAAATGAAATAATCTATATATTCCCATAACCATGAAATAAGTTAAAATAATAATTTAAAAGCTCCCAAAAAAGAAAATCACAGGCCCAGATGGTTTCAATGGAGAATACTACCAAACATTTAATGAAGAATTAGCATCAGTTTTACACAATCTCTTCCAAAGAACAAAAGAAGACACGCTTCCCAATTTATTTTATGAGACTAGTATTACCTTGACACCAAAAATACAGAACTATCATGAGAGAAAGAAACTACAGGTAAATATATCTCATGAACTTAATCACAAAACCCTCAACAAAATTTTAGCAAGCTAAGTCCAGCAATGTATTAAAAGAATAATATAACATAACGAAGTGGACTTTTTCCACATGTGCAAGGTTAACTCCACATTGAAAAATCAATCCATGTAATCCACTATAGCAATAGGCTAAAGAAGAAAAAAATTTTTTGGAGTTTTCTTAAGATTTATATAAATTATATTTAGTCATAATGCATGAGAATAACGCATCGTGGCAGACATCTTGGCTGGTATATGTGGGAATTGGTGTTCTACTTGATTTATACCATACTTAATTCCATTTGGTAGATAATTACACATTTTATTTGCAGGTAATATCTGTTGCATAATTAAATTATTTTATTTGCATTTTATTTATTTATTTAATTTGAGATAGTGTCTTTTTTTAATTTTTATTATACTTTAAGTTGTAGGGCACATGTGCACAACGTGCAGGTTTGTTATATATGTATACATGCACCACGTTGGTGTGGTGCACCCATTAACTCGTCATTTACATTAGGTATATCTCCTAATGCTATCCCTCCCCCCAGTTGTGAATGGGAGTTCACTCATGATTTGGCTGTTTGTCTGCTATTGGTGTATAAGGATGCCTGTGATTTTTGCACATTGATTTTGTATCCTGAGACTTTGCTGAAGTTGCTTGTCAGCTTAAGGAGATTTTGGGCTGAGACAATGGGGTTTTCTAAATATACAATCATGTCATCTGCAAACAGGGACAATTTGACTTCCTCTTTTCCTAATTGAATACCGTTTATTTCTTTCTCCTACCTGATTGCCCTGGCCAGAACTTCCAACACAAGGTTGAATAGGAGTGGAGAGAGAGGGCATCCCTGTCTTGTGCCAGTTTTCAAAGGGAATGCTTCCAGTTTTTGCCCATTCAGTATGATATTGGCTGTGGGTTTGTCATAAATAGCTCTTATTATTTTGAGATACGTCCCATGAATACCGAATTTATTGAGAGTTTTTAGCATGCAGCGCTGTTGAATTTTGTCAAAGGCCTTTTCTGCATCTATTGAGATAATCATGTGGTTTTTGTCTTTGGTTCTGTTTATATGCTGGATTACGTTTAATGATTTGCGTATGTTGAACCAGCCTTGCATCCCAGGGATGAAGCCCACTTGATCATGGTGGATAAGCTTTTTGATGTGCTGCTGGCTTCAGTTTGCCAGTATTTTATGGAGGATTTTTGCATCAATGTTCATCAGGGATATTGGTCTAAAATTCTCTTTTTTTGTTGTGTCTCTGCCAGGCTTTGGTATCAGGATGATGCTGGCCTGATAAAATGAGTTAGGGAGGATTCCTTCTTTTTCTATTGATTGGAATGGTTTCACAAGGAATGGTACCAGCTCCTCCTTGTACCTCTGGTAGAATTTGGCTGTGAATCCGTCTGGTCCTAGACTTTTTTTTGGTTGGTAGGCTATTAATTATTGCCTCAATTTCAGAGCCTGTTATTGGTCTATTCAGGAATTCAACTTCTTCCTGGTTTAGTCTTGGGAGGGTGTATGTGTCAAGGAATTTATCCATTTCTTCTAGGTTTTCTAGTTTATTTGCATAGAGGTGTTTATAGTATTCTCTGATGGTGGTTTGTATTTCTGTGGGATCGGTGGTGATATCCCCTTTATCATTTTTTATTACATCTATTTGATTCTTCTCTCTTTTCTTCTTTATTAGTCTTGCTAGTGGTCTATCAATTTTGTTGATCTTTTCAAAAAACCAGCTCCTGGATTCATTAATTTTTTGAAGGGTTTTTTGTGTCTCTATTTCCTTCAGTTCTGCTCTGATCTTAGTTATTTCTTGCCTTCTGCTAGCTTTTGAATGTGTTTGCTCTTGCTTCTCTAGTTCTTTTAATTGTGATGTTAGGGTGTCAATTTTGGATCTTTCCTGCTTTCTCTTGTGGGCATTTAGTGCTATAAATTTCCTTCTACACACTGCTTTGAATGTGTCCCAGAGATTCTGGTATGTTGTATCTTTGTTCTCACTGGTTTCAAAGAACATCTTTATTTCTGCCTTCATTTTGTTATGTACCCAGTAGTCATTCAGAAGCAGGTTGTTCAGTTTCCATGTAGTTGAGAGGTTTTGAGTGAGTTTCTTAATCCTGAGTTCTAGTTTGATTGCACTGTGGTCTGAGAGATAGTTTGTTATAATTTCTGTTCTTTTACATTTGCTGAGGAGTGCTTTACTTCCAACTATGTGGTCAATTTTGGAATAGGTGTGGTGTGGTGCTGAAAAAAATGTATATTCTGTTGATTTGGTGTGGAGAGTTCTGTAGATGTCTGTTAGGTCCACTTGGTGCAGAGTGGAGTTCAATTCCTGGATATCCTTGTTAACTTTCTGCCTTATTGATGTGTCTAATGTTGACAGTGGGGTGTTAAAGTCTCCCATTATTATTGTGTGGGAGTCTCTTTTTGTAGGTCTCTAAGGACTTGCTTTATGAATCGGGTTGCTGCTGTATTGGGTGCATATATGTTTAGGATAGTTAGCACTTCTTGTTGAATTGATCCCTTTACCGTTATGTAATGGCCTTCTTTGTCTCTTTTGATCTTTGTTGGTTTAAAGTCTGTTTTATCAGAGACTAGGCTTGCAACCCCTGCCTTTTTTTGTTTTCCATTTGCTTGGTAGATCTTCCTCCATCCTTTTATTTTGAGCCTATGTGTGTCTGCACGTGAGATGGGTTTCCTGAATACAGCACACTGATGGGTCTTGACTCTTTATCCAACTTGCCAGTCTGTGTCTTTTAATTGGAGCATTTAGTCCATTTACATTTAAAGTTAATATTGTTATGTGTGAATTTGATCCTGTCATTATGATGCTAGCTGGTTATTTTGCTCGTTAGTTAATGCAGTTTCTTCCTAGTCTCTATGGTCTTTACATTTTGGCATGATTTTGCAGCGGCTGGTACTGGTTGTGCCTTTCCATGTTTAGTGCTTCCTTCAGGAGCTCTTGTAGGGCAGGCCTGGTGGTGACAAAATCTCTCAGCATTTGCTTGTCTATAAAGATTTTATTTCTCCTTCACTCATGAAGCTTAGTTTGGCTGGATAGGAAATTCTGGGTTGAAAATTCTTTTCTTTAAGAATGTTGAATATTGGCCCCCACTCTCTTCTGGCTTGTAGAGTTCCTGCCAAGAGATCCGCTGTTAGTCTGATGGGCTTCCCTTTGTGGGTAACCCGACCTTTCTCTCTGGCTGCCCTTAACATTTTTTCCTTCATTTCAACTTTGGTGAATCTGACAATTATGTGTCTTGGAGTTGCTCTTCTTGAGGAGTATCTTTGTGGCGTTCTCTGTATTTCCTGAATTTGAATGTTGGCCTGTCTTGCTAGGTTGGGGAAGTTCTCCTGGATAATATGCTGCAGAGTGTTTTCCATCTTGGTTCCATTCTCCCCATCACTTTCAGGTACACCAATCAGACGTAGATTTGGTCTTTTCACATAGTCCCATATTTCTTGGAGGCTTTGTAGTTTCTTTTTACTCTTTTTTCTCTAAACTTCTCTTCTCGCTTCATTTCATTCATTTGATCTTCAATCACTGATACCCTTTCTTCCAGTTGATCGAATCGGCTACTGAAGCTTGTGCATTCATCACATAGTTCTCGTGCCATGTTTTTCAGCTCCATCAGGTCATTTAAGGACTTCTCTACATTGGTTATTCTAGTTAGCCATTCATCTAATCTTTTTTCAAGGTTTTTAGCTTCTTTGCGATGGGTTCGAACTTCTTCCTTTAGCTTGGAGGAGTTTGATCTTCTGAAGCCTTCTTCTCTCAACTCATCAAAGTCATTCTCCATCCAGCTTTATTCCATTGCTGGCGAGGAGCTGTGTTCCTTTGGAGGGGGAGAGGTGCTCTGATTTTTAGAATTTTCAGCTTTTCTGCTCTGTTTTTTCCCCATCTTTGTGGTTTTATCTACCTTTGGTCTTTTATGATGGGGATGTATAGATGGGGTTTTGGTGTGGATGTCCTTTCTGTTTGTTAGTTTTCCTTCTAACAGTCAGGACTCTCAGCTGCAGGTCTGTTGGAGTTTGCTGGAGGTCCACTCCAGACCCTGTTTGCCTGGGTATCAGCAGCGGAGGCTGCAGAACAGCTAATATTGCTGAACAGCAAATGTTGCTGCCTGATCATTCCTCTGGAAGCTTTGTCTCAGAGGGGTACCTGGCCGTGTGAGGTGTCTGTCTGCCCCTACTGGAGGGTGCCTCCCAGTTAGGCTATTCCGGGGTCAGGGACCCACTTGAGGGGGCCGTCTGTCCGTTCTCAGGTCTCAAACTCCATGCTGGGAGAACCACTGCTCTCTTCAAAGCTGTCAGACAAGGACATTTAAGTCTGCAGAGGTTTCTGCTGCCATTTGTTCAGCTATGCCCTGCCCCCAGAGGTCGAGTCTACAAAGGCAGGCAGGCCTCCTTGAGCTGCGGTGGGCTCCACCAAGTTCGAGCTTCCTGGCCACTTTGTTTACCTATTCAAGCCTCAACAATGGCGGACGCCCCTCCCCCAGCCTTGCTGCCACCTTGCAGATTGATCTCAGACTGCTGTGCTAGCAATGAGCGAGGCTCCATGGGTGTGGGACCCTTTGAGCCAGGCACAGGATATAATCTCCTGGTGTGCCGTTTGCTAAGACTGTTGGAAAAGCACAGTATTAGGGTGGGAGGGACCTGATTTTCCAGTTGCCATCCGTCACTGCTTCCCTGGCTAGGAAAGGGAATTCCCTGACCCCTTGTGCTTCCCAGGTGAGGCAATGCCTTGCCCTGCTTCAGCTCTCGCTCAGTGGGCTGCACCCACTGTCCTGCCCCCACTGTCCTACAAGCCCCAGTGAGATGAACTCGGTACCTCAGTTGGAAATGCAGAAATCACCTGTCTTCTGAGTCACTCATGCTGGGAGCTGTAGACTGGAGCTATTCCTATTTGGCCATCTTGGGACCACCCCAAGAAGAAAATTTTTGTGATACTATCAGTTGATGTAGAAAAGCATTGACAAAAGTCAACCTTCATGACAAAAACTCTCAGCAAACTAGATATAGAGAGTAACTACCATCACAAAAACCCTACAGCTAGCATCAGACTTAATAGTAAAGCACTGATTGCTTTTCTCTTAAGAACAGGAACAAGACAAAAATATTTGATATCACCATCAGGAATCAAGCAAGGAGTATCACAGAAAGATCCTAAAGCTATTATAAGAATAATATGGGACTGCCACAAACAGCTTTTCACTTCGAAATCTGGCAATTGAGTAGAAATGGATGATTCTATTCACCATAGTGCTCTAAGTTTTAGATAGTGCAATAAAGTAAGAAAAATAAGTAAAAGGCATACCAATTGGAAAGAAAGAAAGAAAATTGTCCCTATTTGAAGATGACATCATTGGCTATATAGAATACTCTAAGAAATCTACAAATAAAGACATAGGGCTAATAAGTGAGTTCAGTAATGCTGCATGATACAAGATTAACACACAAACATTAAACACTTTTCTATATAGTAAAAATGAACATGCAGAAACTGTCATGAAAAGCATAAAATTACTTACAATCACTCCAAAGAAAATGAGATACTTAGGTATACACTTAAGAAAACATGTATTAGATCTGTATGCTGAAAATTACAAAATCCTGATGAAAGAAATAAAAGACCTAAATGAACAGAGATACAAATCATGTTCATGGAATAGAAGACTCAATGTAGTTAAGGCATCTATTCTCCCCAAATTAGTTTCTAGGTTTAATGTAATTGCTATAAAAATTCCAGCAGGGTTTTTTGTAGACATGGACAAGTTATTATAAAATTTAGTGATGCATGGTGGCGTGAGCCTGTAATCCCAGTTACTTAGGATGCTGAACTGGGAGGATCATCGGAGCCCCAAAGTTTGAGAGCAGCCTGGGCAACATAACAAGACTCAATTGCTAAAAAAAAAAGGAGAAAATTTGTATGGCAAAATATAGACTCAACAATAGCTAAAATAATCTTGAAAAATAATAAAATGGGCAAAGTCCCTATCCTGGATATAAAGTCTTACTATATAGCTATGGTAAACAAGACAGAGTGATATTGTTGAAGGAATAGACCCATAGATCAATAGAACAGAAAGGAGAACCCAGAAATAAATCCATACAAATATGCACAACTGAGTTTTGGCAAAATTGCACAAACAGTTCAATGGAGGAAGGATTTAAAAAAGAACTTTGACCAAAACTTCACACTTTATACAAAAGTCAACTCAAAATAGGTCATGAATTTAAGTATAAAATATAAGAGTATCTTGGGAAAAAGGGAGAAAATCCTCAGAATCTAGAGCAAGACAAAGAATTCAAAGACAAAGGGAAACATAATAAATTAGACTTTATAAAAATGTAAAGCTTTTGCTTGACAAAAGACCTTGTTAAGAGGATGAAAAGACAAACCACAGACTGAAAGAAACTGCTTATAAACCACATATCCTGCAAAAGACTAGTATATAGAACATAGAAAAGATTCTCAAAACTCAACAGTAAGAAAATAATCAACTAAGAAATAGGCAAAAGTCATGAAAAGAAAACAATTCTCCCAAATGATGTATAGATGGTAAATAAGATATTCAATATCAACAGCCATCAAGGAATTGCAAATTAAAACCACAATAAGATATCACTACATACCTATAAGAATGGGTAAAATTAAAAATGGTGGTAACATCAAACGCTGGTGATGATGCAGAGGAACTGGATCACACATACATTGCTTATCAGAATGGAAAATGCCACAGCCACTCTGGCAAATAGCTTGACAATTATAATATGATCCAGCAATTGCACTTCTGGGCATCTACCCCACAGAAATGAAAACTTATGTTCTCATAAATAATAAATACTTGTACATGAATGCTCATAACAGCTTTATTCATAATAGCCAAAAGCTGGAATCAACTCAAAAGTCCTTCAGCACTTGAATGGTTAAGCGAACTCTAAGTATCTCATGGGTAATACTACTCAGAAATAAAAAGTAATTCCTGATACAAACAACTTTGGTGAATTTCTGGGGAATTATCCTAAGTGAAAAATGCCAAACCTAAAATGTTGCATATTGTATGGTTCTATTTATGTAACATTTTTGAGATGACAAAAATTGGAAATGTAGAACACATTAGTGATAGAGCAGGGTACTAATTTCAAAATATTGGAATATGAGAAATCTTTACCCCCAAAACTATGAACTAAATAACTTTAAATAGCTCTTCATATAATTTACACAGCTTAGTCATATCCATTGTATCATCTGATTCTTATTGGCCCTTTGAGATAATGCTATTATTAATTCAGTTTTATAGTTGAGAAAACTTAGGCACAGAAAGATGAAAAGGCTGGACCGTCACAGCATTGTCAGTGAGTGGCCCAGTCAGTACTCTAAAACAACTCTTCTGGTTCCACATTCTATCCACTGTATCTCAATAACTTAATCACTTCTTGATGATTCAGAAAGACTTTCAGATCTTACATTGTGCCAGGCTCATCAATAATCACATTACTCATCATGAATAATATTATAGATGGAGAGGCTGTAAGAGACTTAGTTTGGATTTGTAGTGACACTTTTTTGATGTCAACATCCCCTTTGTCAATAAGACAGAGAATTAAAGTAAAACTTCTTTGAGCTTCCTGCCAGTTCGAATAAATAGGATTTTCCTAACTTTAAACCTTTATATGAAAAAGCTACCCAAATAAAACATACTATTGTAAAAGAATGAACAATTTTTTAAAGAAAAGGAAAGAAACATTACTGACCAATTATGTATGAAGGGATGCAGACTGACTGTGCAAAAATATTCTTATTCCTGTTCATTTGTATACTTGAACCTTTGAGTCAAAGGTGCTAATTTAATAAAAATGCACAATAATCAGTGAGTCCTCTTTGGATGTTATACATTCTGATAAAGGGTAATGAGCTTTTCACTATACTAACCACTGTTAGGATGTTATACTGTATAACATTCAGTCAAAATATTACAAACAAATGTCATCTAAATTTAACCCTGAGCCAGATGACATGATTTGATTTCACCCTTGATTGCTTTAGCTAGCAGAGATATCATAGTTTTGGAGAAACAAAACTCGAATTATGGCATTGAAAAGAAAATGACCACTATCAGCAACAATCTGAGTTATTTCACATTTGAATGGAATTCACACCTATTGACATCCAATAGAATAAAAAGTATAAAAATACTTTTATTGATTTGCGTATATTGAACCAGCCTTGCATCCCAGGGATGAAGCACACTTGATCATGGTGGATAAGCTTTTTGATGTGCTGCTGGATTCGGTTTGCCAGTATTTTATTGAGGATTTTTGCATCAATGTTCATCAAGGATATTGGTCTAAAATTCTCTTTTTTGGTTGTGTCTCTGCCCGGCTTTGGTATCAGGATGATGCTGGCCTCATAAAATGAGTTAGGGAGGATTCCCTCTTTTTCTATTGATTGGAATACTTTCAGAAGGAATGGTACCAGTTCCTCCTTGTACCTCTGGTAGAATTCGGCTGTGAATCGATCTGGTCCTGGACTCTTTTTGGTTGGTAAGCTATTGATTATTGCCACAATTTCAGAGCCTGTTATTGGTCTATTCAGAGAGTCAACTTCTTCCTGGTTTAGTCTTGGGAGGGTGTATGTGTTGAGGAATTTATCCGTTTCTTCTAGATTTTCTAGTTTATTTGCATAGAGGTGTTTGTAGTATTCTCTGATGGTAGTTTGTATTTCTGTGGGATCGGTGGTGATATCCCCTTTATCATTTTTTATTGCGTCTATTTGATTCTTCTCTCTTTTCTTCTTTATTAGTCTTGCTAGCAGTCTATCAATTTTGTTGATCCTTTCAAAAAACCAGCTCCTGCATTCATTAATTTTTTTGAAGGGTTTTTTGTGTCTCTATTTCCTTCAGTTCTGCTCTGATTTTAATTATTTCTTGTCTTCTGCTAGCTTTTGAATGTGTTTGCTCTTCCTTTTCTAGTTCTTTTAATTGTGATGTTAGGGTGTCAATTTTGGATCTTTCCTGCTTTCTCTTGTGGGCATTTAGTGCTATAAATTTCCTTCTACACACTGCTTTGAATGTGTCCCAGAGATTCTGGTAAGTTGTGTCTTTGTCCTCGTTGGTTTCAAAGAACATCTTTATTTCTGCCTTCATTTCGTTATGTACCCAGTAGTCATTCAGGAGCAGGTTGTTCAGTTGCCACGTAGTTGAGTGGTTTTGAGTGAGTTTCTTAATCCTGAGTTCTAGTTTGATTGCACTGTGGTCTGAGAGACAGTTTGTTATAATTTCTGATCTTTTACATTTGCTGAGGAGAGCTTTACTTCCAACTATGTGGTCAATTTTGGAATAGGTGTGGTGTGGTGCTGAAAAAAAATGTATATTCTGTTGATTTGGTGTGGAGAGTTCTGTAGATGTCTATTAGGTCCGCTTGGTGCAGAGCTGAGTTCAATTCCTGGGTATCCTTGTTAATTTTCTGTCTCGTTGATCTGTCTAATGTTGACAGTGGGGTGTTAAAATCTCCCATTATTATTGTGTGGGAGTCTTTTTTGAAATATGTTAGTAAACTGTGTATTAGCTAAAAGATAAAAGCAACATGGTCTCCTTTATTAGAAAATTTCTGTGGACTTAAAACTGAAGAGTGGTGTCATAAACTAGAAGTTTCAGTTCAACATATCAAAACCAAACTTCTTTCTATTCTACAAAATAGAAGTCAGTGCAACTATGTTTATTTTTGCTTACTGAAACCCAGCTCCTTCCAGAGGCATCTGAAGCTATTAGGTCTAAATAACATCTTTGCCTTTCAAGGGGCATTCAACCTCTTGAACTGAATAGATTTGAGCAGAGTAATAAAATAGGGTCCATGCCTGAGTTTACCAAATTAAAGTAGCTTTACTTGGCTACATTAGTACTTCATGTACTCGTGAAGCAAAACAATTTTAAATTTCATAAAAGTTTCAGTGGTTTCATTGCCATTGAAACCACAGATTTTGAATCTCAATCTTTTTTCTATAAATGCCCAAGTTAATCTACTCATCTCAATCACACCTTCTTCATAAATACTCACCCACCTTCCTGCCCTCTGCCGAGCTTTGTCTTCAATCTTTTCCTCAGCTCTACCAGCTCAACACTAGATCAACTTTAATAAAAATGAATTGCATTTTTTGCAGTTTATGTGCCAAGCACCATATTCACTTATTTTATTTAATTCTCAAAAGAATCAGATAAAGTACATATTGCAATTTTCAATATTTTGCTGATTAGCTAACAAAGCCAGTAGAGGTAAAGTGACTTTCCCAAAATCACGTGGAGAGCTTCATGTCTAGATTGGAACCCAGGAATATTTGTTCTTCAAACTTTGTTCTTAATTTCTGTCTCCTGAGCACAAGAATCTGTTCATCCATTGGTGTCTGGCAGGTATTCTAGTTTCCCTAGGTGTAGGGTCTGGTCTTTCAACTTCTTTTTTCACTGAGGTCTTTCTAGGAATTAGAGCCCTGCTACCTACTGCCAGATACCCCTAACAATAACTGCCCCCTTCCGGAACCACCCTACATGTCCATTTATAGAAACAGGGGCTTGTGGACCTCTGTGAAAGGCCAGAACCATATGGGTTCCTTGTAAATGAATCAGCACTGAGCTTTAGGGATTTGCATAAAGATTAAATATTCTTATTTTCCTTAGGTATACAAATTCAATCCCTAAATTTTTATTTAAGAATTATAGTTAGCTTAGTGAGTAGTTTCAGACACCATTGCTTTTTAGCAATTGCCTTAACATTGCTATTTGTTATATTGGATTACTTTTTAAAAAGTTGTCATATATGATTATTGCTGAAACATTAACATTCCTCTCTGGAATACCCAGGTGGAAAACTGGCTTCTTGATGATATTGTGTTCTACTCAGTCTCCTCATACTGTTCCAGCAGATCTGTCTTTTGAAATCTGCTCCTTCATCCTGTTCATTCATATTCTTTTAGCAGGAAAATCTGATCTGTTTTTTTATTAATATCCCAAGTCCAATTTTAAAAAATTCACAACTAGTATCAGGGCATATATTTTTGTTCATGTCTGTAAACAAGTAGCTTAACTGTTCAAGCTCAGAGACTATGTAATATTGCCTATTGAGCCTAAAATGAAATTTTTTTGTAAACGCAACAGCACCTACTTTAAGGATCAACATATAGCAAGGTTTTGGAATTGAGTCATAATGATTTATAATTGAATGCATGCTCTGTCAAATATCTTTTACTGCTCTGGGAATTTTAAAAACAGATATTATTTCAGGTGATGCCTCACATAAAATCACACGCATAATTTCAGATGAAAATATTTTTTAAATAATTGTATGTAATGGAATCTCATTGAAAAACTCAGAAGTTTTAATAACTACATATATTTAAAAAAACAGTTTAATTTAAGCTATTATCTCTAATTAAAAAGAATAGGTAATAGTTACTTAAAAATAAAACAAAACAAAAAGATTACTGAAAAAAAACAACAACAACACTAGACTAGGTGGTTAACCTCACAAATTTCCCAACTGTAAGAAAATCAACCAAAAAGCCTTAATGGTTTTGTAACATTTTTCCAAATTCACATGGCCATGATTCCTCTCACTGTATATCAGAAATAAATTATTTTATTGGAGGTTATTGAATGAGTACTCTACTTTTCTTTCCATATTTTAAGGCCTGTTTTGCTCTGGCTTTACTTGGGGGCAGCTGTAAACTACATTACAGATTTCGAAAACCAGTGGATTAAATCACCAATGATTGCTCAACAGGGAAGCCTCTCCCCACTCTCTCAGGGTACTCCTATATGGTGACTACCAGCACATGGAGCAAAGTATTGGATTTGCTTCTGTTGACTGCTGTGTTTCCAACATCATTATTTTATGAAACTGATGATTTGTATCACCACTATGAAATGCTGGCATAAAACTCTAAACTCTGTTGAGCCTACATTACATCTTATTGCATATAACAGAGGGATTGGCACTGTGACGGAGGACCATGGCAGGAATCAAAACTCGTGTGTTTCAAGATGTTCTTCCAGTGACTATGTGAAACTAACAGTTCCAAAGTCTTACTATCGGTAAGTGAACTTCTGTTAAATTTGGAGCGCATGTCCCTATCTTTAAAATTATTCTGAAAAAAAAAAAAAAAAAGAAAAGAAATGATGTGATTGTGTTTTACCTAAGTAATCCTAGAACTAGAAATGTATTATGTTGTGTGTATGTGTGTTCCAAGGATGCATATTGAAATGCATATCCAAGGATAACCACTAAAAAGCATGCAGTGTAGACCTAAAAACTTAAAAGAGAAAAAAAAGCCATAATAAGAAATATTTGACTAATACAAAAGAAGTTGGGAAACGGGAAAAAAAGAACACCACATAAAGAACAGATGGAACTAGTAGAAAACAAATAGTAAGGTAATAGAATTAAACCTACTGCAGCAGTAACTAATTTAAGTGTAAATAGACTAAACACTCAAAAGACGAAAATTACCACACTGGAAAGAAAAAAACAAAAAACAAAAAACCAAGATCCAACTATGCATTTTAAATACAAAGACACAGATGGTTAAAAGTAAACACATCACACAGCACTGGCATGAGGATGGGCAAGAAGGGGAACTTGAGGAGATCGTAATATTCAGAAAAAACATTTCTGAGGAGTAAGAGAGGGAATTTTCAAGAAACAAACAGAAGATTTCCACTTAATTGAAGGCCAGTTTGAACTTGGAGTTCACAAATTTTCAGAACTCAAGTCTTTAATAATAAGCCCAGTAGAAAAAAATATTATTATAAAGAAAAAGTGGCCAGGCACGGTGGCTCACGCCTGTAATCTCCGCACTTTGGGAGGCCAAGGCGGGCAGATCACCTGAGGTCAGGAGTTCGAGGAGAGCCTGGCCAACATGGTGAAACCCTCATCTCTACTAAAAATACAAAAATAAGCTGGGTAAGTGGTGTGCGCCTGTGATTCCAGTTACTTGAGAGGCTGAGGCAGAGTTGCTTGAACCCAGGAGGCGGAGGTTGCAGTGAGCTGAGATCTGCCACTGCACTCCAGGCTGGGCGACAGAGTGACTCTGAACAAAAAAAAGAGAGAGAGAGAAAGAAAGAGAAGAAAGAAGGAAGGAAGGAAAAGAAAGAAAGAAAGAAAGAAAGAAAGAAAGAAAGAAAGAAAGAAAGAAAGAAAGAAAGAAAGAAAGACAGACAGACAGACAGACAGAAAGAAAGAAAGAAAGAAAGAAAGAAAAAAAGAAAGAAAGAAAGGGAAGGAAAGAAAGAAAAGGCAAAGTTAAGACAGCAAAAATATTTTTGCTAAAAATCTAAAAGTGGAAGCTCAGGCTTCTAACTGATATAGAAGAACTTCTCCCAAATTCTCTCAATCCAAAAATGCTGTTCAAATATTTTATGATTTAAATGCAGAAACATTTCTGATCACATCTTCACACAATGCAACTTGTTTTTGTTTTTTTGTGGTTTTTTTTTTGTTGGGGGGAGGTGGAGTCTCATTTTGTCACCCAGGCTGGAGTGCAATGGTGTGATCTCGGCTCACTGCAACCTCAGCCTCCTGGGTTCAAGTGATTCTCATGCTGCAGCCTCCCAAGTAGCTGGGATTACAGGCGCATGCCACCAGCCCAGCTAATTTTTGTATTTTTAGTAGAGTCAGGGTCTCACTGTTGCCCAGGCTGGTCTTGAACTCCTGACCTCAGATGATCCACCTGCCTCAGCCTCGCAAAGTGCTGGGATTACAGGCTGTAAGCCACTGCGCCCAGCCCAACTGTTCTTAATGAAACTGTCTTCATGAGAAAACATAAAACAATGAGCAATTTATTCAATCTAGTTTTATAACTGCCACATCATTAAACACATAAAAGGGTTTTGCAGTTGCTTGATAATAAGAAATTTATACTTTCCTAGAGATAAAACCATTATCTGGATTTACATTCAGTTTTCCATTCTTCATTTTGTAAACAATAAAATATAATTGAATTATATTTCAGAAAATAGTTTAGTCTCGACTGCATTTTAAAACCTTCCAGCTAAAAGACATTACAAATTTTATAGTTTATACATGTAAGTTGCTAGAATTTATCCACATATCATATATTAATTAAATGATCATAGTCACATGGATTTTTGTATTGGTTGGAGGGAATAATACTGTTATATTTTCTAAAAGCTTTACATTCCTCAAATGAAGTGAGAAATTAGATAACTAAATCATTGTTTCCAGGAGCTTCAGATACATCTTACATGGAGAAGTAACGAAGAGAACATACTGAAAACTATCTCTATGTCGGACACTCTCTGTGTGCCATTTACTGAAAACCCTGACTCACCATCAGCTCAATTTAGGCTAATACCAAAAATTGACCTTGACCTAGGCTTTCTGTCATAAGAAAATGCCAAACACTCCTTCACTTCAGAGCATTTAAGAATGTTGCTTCTTTTTGTGTTTGGAAATGGCTTTTGACAGCAAAGTCAAAAGAACAGCTATAAGCACTATTTGTACATAGAGACTGTCTTCTGATTGGTGGCTAATGTACTTAGAGACTACCTTTTTTATTTTATCAGTTCTCAGTGCTGAACACAGTACAAATGGTAATAGTACACTAATTTCTGACTCTATAGTTTAGGATTATCTCCCTGAATTTGTTTTCTAGAACCCCATAGCTATGCCTCATTGATTACTTTTCTCCCTAAGATTCAGTCTCATCATCTATGAAATAGAAAAGTAATGCTGATTTCACAGAAAATTGCAAAGATTAAATATATTACTATATCTAAAATGCCAAGTGTAGATCAGAACTTGGCACATAGAAAAGAATCATTAAAAAGCAAATGATTTATTTGTTAAAAAATTGTTAGGAATATCTATATCACTTCTGGCTCCCAAATATTAAACTCTCCACTCCAACTCTTTGTCTCTATCCACCCTGTCTCCCTCAGTTTCTCCTTGGGATCCCATTCCTTCCTGAAGTGAACCTCTAGAATCCTTTCCCTAGGACTGAAAAATAAGGAACTGCTTAACATATATAAATGAAATTGAATAAAACATCCAAAGCAAATATTCAGCAGTAAAAGAAGGGCCTTATTGTCACAGCTGATAATCTGAAAGAGCAGCTCCAAGTGCCCTGGGAAAAGCTGCATTTGTGGGATTAGGGTCTGATATGGTTTGGCTGTGTCCCCACCCAAGTCTCATCTTGAATTGTAGTTCCCATAATCCCCATGTGTCCTGGGAGGGACCCGGTGGGAAGTAATTGAATCACAGGGATGGGTTTTCCCATGCTGTTCTCATGATAGTGAATAAGTCTCACAAGATCTGATGGTTTGATAAAGGACAGTTCCCCTGCACAAGCTCTCTTGCCTGATGCCAGGTAAGCTGTGATTTCTTCCTTCTTTACCTTCTGCCATGATTGTGAGGCCTCCCCAGCTATATGGAACTGTGAGTCCATTAAACCTCTTTTTCTTTATAAATTACTCAATCTCAGGTATTTCTTCATAGCAGTATGAAAATGGACTAATACAGTGTCCAGAGCACAACATAGTGATGGGTGCTTCTGGAGCTGCCAAATGAGGAAAGCAACTCTGACCCTCCAAGGCCTTACAATGTAGTAGTGTTATGGGATGTATGTAGCAATACATTTAAGGGAAGAGCATATAGTAGTGCTATGAAGAGTCTCAAACACAAAGCCATGGGAATTCAGAAGAGAAAATGACTGAAGGGAATTAGGAAGGCTTTGTGGAGATCGTGTCATCAACATGGTAGTATTATTTTAGGCAGAGAGCATGGGAAACACATAATGCCTAAGGGAATGAGGGTGGGAAAGCATAGAGCACATGCATCAAAAGACAGTCGACTTTGGTATCAGCATAGGATTTCTATAGAGGAGCAGTAGGAGATTAACCAAGGTAAAGCCAGTTAAGGATTAGAGAATGAAGGCCTTGAATGTCAGCATAAGTACTTTGATTAACTCAAAAGGAAAACAGAGAGCCATGGAAAATTTTTTACATAAGGACTACCAAGTGATCTTATGTGTTTTAGGAAAATCTTTTTGATAGCAATGTTTAAGTTTTAAAAAGGAAAATGACTCCAAATTGGAGATTTTAATAACTTAGGCAGAAACCATGAAGAGATTACACATGGAACCATGACAGGAGATAGAAAAGACATGGCTGAGACTTGGAGCTACATCTGTATCTGTTTTTGTACAGGTGGAGTTTGACTTGTTAAAGAGAAAAGTAAAGGAAGCAATTGGACTGAACATGAGGAAAGAATCATCTTGGAAATTGATTTGAATGTTTTCACTTAGGCAAAAGTTGAAGCTAAATACCTGGAAAGATTGGTGACAAAGTAATTTCAAAAAAGAAGCCACTCCACAGGGTCCTATGCCACAAATATCAGGATCAATGAAGACAAAGGCTGAAGTGGGATCAGGACAGTAGGGGTCACCTCAGAATGGGGAAAACCAGATTGCTATGGCAACATGGGACCCTCTCTGAGGACCTTGGGTTGAGCTTCATTTGGTTTCCATGGTGGTGCCATGCTCTGTGTCTCGGACTTTCGTGAAGGTCATGGTGTTCTTTGCAATTTGATTCCCAGCTCAGAGGAACTCTGAGCATTTCACAAACTGAGTAACAGTAATCAGTGTTGCTGCCCTTCACCCTCTTTCTAAGAAGAGAAGGCATAAGAAAGAGACCACCTCCTCACAAAGCGGCAAGGCTGAAGGAAAGTAACATCAGGCTGAACTCACAAAAGGAACATCCGCTGAACTGTCAGAAGACAAAATTACAACAAATTTAGTTATAAATCTAACTGGCTTTTATTTGCAATTCATGAATCGGGGTAGCCTTCATTCTACAAAATAGAATGAGAACTCCCACTGGGCAATTTCAGAACAGTGAGTTTGGAAGGTGGGAACAAGGAAACTAACAAAAGAAAAAAAGCTGATTGGTAAACGTCAAGTTACTTCAGGTTACTTTATGGTAAGGGTTTAAGCAGAGGGGACTTCCTTATTACACCTATTCAGGTAAACTGGGGTCTCCTGTTTCCAGACAAAAATTGATGTGTTTAGGGATCGATTTGATTCCTTGAAGTTTCCATTTGATTATGTGGCATTTAGCGTGAGTGACTCCATTTTGCTTCAGTTTGGTCTGTTGAGGCCTAGTGCAGGAGCTCAGTCCAAATGCCATGAATAAAATGAAACATCGGTTGGAAGTATTTATGGAAAAAGTTCTACTTGGCAATATCTTTAGGTGAAAACCAAGTGCCATTTCTTTTGTTCACCAGTTAGAGGTAAGTACATACTATGTGAGTTTAACAGTGATTTTAAAATAAATTCAAATTAACATGTGCATATATACAATAAATAAAGTGATTTTCCAGCAATGGATGCCCACGGAAAGATTCTTAGTTATGATACATTTTGGTTTTAAATTTGGTAAGTGTATTTTCAAACATTTCAAACATAAATTCAGTGTTTGAATTATATATGAAATATAATCACCACAGCTTTTTTTTTGAGACAGGGTCTCACTCTGTTGCCCAGGCTGAAGTGCAGTGATGCATTCATAACTCACTGCAGCCTCAGACACCTGAGCTCAAGTGATCCTTCCATTTCGGCCTCACAAGTAGCTGGGACTGCAGGCACACACATCCATGCCCGGATAATTTTTTAAATTTTTTGTAGAGACAGGTTCTCGCTATGTTGCCCAGGCTGATCTTGAACTCCTGGATTCAAGTGATCCTCCTGCCCCCCAAATTGTTGGGATCACAAGGGCTAGCCACTACACCCAGCCGTTTTTTTTTTCTGTTTTTTAAAGAAATCATTTTGTGAACCAATTAAATCAGATTTGTAATGCCTTAATAGAGAAAAATTACCTTTTAAAAAAATTCAAAAAGAAACAAACAGGCCTTCCAGTTTGCTAAATGTCTGACTCTGGATATGAAATTGAGAAGATGACAACAGCTAGAATATACAAACCATTGAATTACAGCATTACCAAATATTTTTAATAAAGTCGACATTCCCTTTCCCTTCCTAAAAATTTCTGAATGCTTATCTACTTTTTTTCTGAATAAATATAGTTTTTGGAAATGTAGTATCCTGAAAGATCAACTTTTATTTGCATATCACAGAAGATACAAGAACTAGACACTTTTTGCAGAGCACGATGCTAAAAACCCATGCTTGCTCAACTATTTCAAAAACAGATACTTACGTAATGCCTTATGGTTTTAAGCACTTTCATGTAAACTCTTATTTGACCCTTATATTAATCTTATATGCCAGTTCCTGTTGCAGATCTCTTCTAAAGATGAGAAAACTAAGATTCAAACACTCGTCCATGATCACAAAGCTCCGAAATATAATAGTTGAGATTTGGATTCAGTTTTTCTATTAACTCTAGTGCTCTTCAGGGAGAGTGACTGTTATGATGGAAATTTTTTGAGAAATTCCAATCTGTATTATGGAGCAGACATCAGTTCATATTGCATTCTTTACTTTGAAAAATGGAGAGATGTGCACCTGAAGTCGAATACATCTTAATAAAGAGAAATACAGTATCTTTCTACAGCTAAATTTGAATGCACAGACCCGTTATTAGTCTTGAACTATGAAGAAACATATTCTTTTGTCATCATTATCTTGCACACTGTAATTAGGATGGAGAATTCATTTATTTGTAAATTCCATGCTACATGAATCAGTAGTAAGGCTTTTCTGTATTGTGTAAGTGGATAACTAGAACATGAAGTGATAGATGCTGTAGGTGACTTGTGTATAAAGCAATAAAAGCATACAGGCACAGAAACAGAATATTCTGTTATGGAGACAAGGAAGAAAATTCAGGAAAGCCTATGGAATAGCTTGGCCTACACGCTCCAAAATAAACAAATGAAACCATCACTACTACAGACAATGTGCCTGAATCTGAAGCTGTGGCCCTCCTTTTCACTCTGCACTGAAGTGTCTGAAGGGAAAAATAAACAATGCCTAGCTATGCTGCTGTCAAGTATTTTTCAGAGAATCCTGAGAAACAGAAGATTTTGTGTGAAATATTATCCACAAAGTATTTTAAATGGAAGGGACCTGGGCTCCGTCACCCAGGAAACTAAACTGTCCTAGCAGCACTCTTCATACAATCCTAGGCCATTACCCTAGAGAAGGAACAAAGGAAGCAAACACACTCTGTTTTCAAAGCTATAACTTGCCTGTTGAGGCTTCCCTAGCTAGGTTCCACTAGAGCAGAATTTGGTGTCACTTGTATGAGACAGGTGACTAAAAACCAGGGTTTAGAAAATAATTGTCTCTTGCTCATGGCCAAGATAAATCACAGTTCAATTCAAACCCATTTCTACTAATGAAATCTTTATTTATTTACTTATTTTTTTTCTCATTTTTCCATTCAGCCAGTAAACATGAACTATTTCACAGTTCAAACAGGCTAATAAATTTAGGCAGAACTGGGTGATGGCTTTCATAAATGAAGGAAGGCATGAATAAATAAATACATAAAGTGGTCTTTTCTGAACCCCGCAGTTACACTTCATAAGAATGAAAATCTAAAGTGGCCAGAGTTGCACTCTCCAACTAGTCTCAGGGGACCAGCAGCATTGTTTTGAGACACAGAAAACATTTTCTTGTCACTTCAGAAATGAGAGGAATCAAAACTTGCCTGTGGTTCAGGGCCCACATTTATTCCACTAAAGTAAACACACAGCAATCAAGGCACCATCTGCAGGCAACATGACCATCCTGGGAAGTGGCCATGCAACTGCAGGCAGCTGTCTCTGATCTCTGGACTCAATCCCTTTGCTGGAGGATTTCCCTATGAAGCATAACATGTTTTGCATGGATTTAAATCAGCATTTCAAGTCCAAACTTGATTTCAAGTCCAAATGATTTTTAATAGACTTTTGTAAATGACATGGGAAATGGTTGCATCTGAGTATGGTAGAAGACTATAGAGGTTAGAAAGAAGTGGGAACGGAACTTATGGGGCAGAGAAATCTTTGGGGGTTTAAATGAGAGCAAAAGTCTTCAAAAGGGAAAAAGCCATAGGGAGAGACGGGAGGAAATACAGTAATGATGAGAAAATGAAACTAAGATCCCCTCGTGCTCACAACATAGAAATCGGCAACATTCTGTGGTATGTTAAAGTATTGGATGGATACTGCTGAAATCGATTAGAAACTGAATAGCTGTGTGTCTCAGGGGTCAGCGCCCTGGAGATCAGAGCCCAATACAACACAGGTAGATAACAGAAAGCCTGCAAAAGTTTAATAGAAAGCTGATCCTCATTTTCAGGAACCCCATATGATTGACAGGGCACCACAAAACCAAAAATCTTACTTCAAGGGAAAGGAGGAACAAAGAAAACACTATATAAACTTTGCTGAATTAATATTAAATGGCATATTGTGTTGATTATTTTTCTTTCTAGGTTTCTCTGCTCATGGCATTGATACTTGTATATGGGGCATATGCAATACCTGGTCATAGTGTAACACCACAAAATCTTGGCTTTTGAACTCCAACCAGGAAGGAGAGCAGTTAGGCAAAGCATGTAAAAGACAAAATATTCCACAGTTATTGAATGTGTCTTTAAGAATTATAAAAAATAAATCAGATAAATCAGATAAATCAGATAATCAGATAAATCAGAAATTCCTATATCCAACCAGTTGCCAATCTATTCCAATTCTGCTTTCAAGATGAATTTCCTTATTTTTTCTTCTTTTTCAGTTCTATATTTACTTCCCCAATTCAGGCTTTCATGCCTTCTGTCTTGAATTGTTACTTCTAGCTAATGAAGCGTGGCCTTACATTGAGCCTATATCTTATTGCCAAATGAATGTTTCTAAAGTTCTGATCTCATGTCCTCTTGCTCAAGACTTACTTTGTGTGTGCATTTCAATTGTGACAGAATAAAACTCAAATTCTTTATTGTCTACTTTTAAAACAGACCAATATGCCTATACACCATGCAGTTAATGTCCAATAAACATTTTTATTTAAAAAGAAGAAAAAATGAAAAAGCAACATGCCTTCCAGTCTACTTGTAGCAAATGAACCTGCTAGACTGAATTTGCTAGATTCAAACCAGCTTTGCTCATTGCCGTATTCCTGGTGCGCCATTGCCAACCCTCATCAGACTTTGCGTCTTCTTTGGCTTGCATTTCACCCTTTGGATTTGATTGTAGATTCTGCTTTTCTTAGCTCCGCCCTCATCATTTCCTAATAGAGCTCTTATAAATATTCTATTCTTTGGATTTGTCATTTTACAGAGTCACTTTTTCTATTCTGTGTTCATTTCTAAAGTTCTTACTGCATGGGGCTAGTTTTATAAGTGAAACTAAAAAAGAAAAAAAAAGTAATGATTACAACTGAACCAATATGACTCAATTGACATAAAGAGTTACCATCTGTTAAATGCTCACTGTGCTGCTGGGCTAAGTATTTTATATACTTTATGGTATTTTTTTCCTTGCCAGCACCATTGGATTTCCAATATTCTTTCATTTCTTTGATGAAGGAAGTTAAGATCAGGCAGCTTAGTAAATGAAAGAGAAAATATTCAAACCTTCTGAATGCAAAACCCCATGCTCTTAACTAATCCTTATCTGTATTTGTCTGTATAATTATTTTCTAAGTCCAAATGTGGAAAGATGTTTTATAATTGTGGAATCATCTTTAGAAAAGAGGTTAAGTGAGGATGGTGCTTCATTGGTTTGAATTACCCCCCTCTGTAGTAATAAATGGTTATAAAGTTCCCGGTATATTATTGAATGATTTTTATTGGGAAAAGTATTTCATGATTACTGTTTCATGGAGAAAATAATTCTTGGATAAAAACCAGGGTTTAGAAAATAATTGTTCTCCAAAAATCAACGCTTTTGCAATCCTAGCTTTAGGGCCTGGAAAACAGATGTCTGAGATCTCCAAAGACTTCAAAATAACTAGTGCTGTAAAAGGCAGATGAAAAACAAAAATGTATTATATAAAGTTTTGTGTCTGGTATGAAAATGGTTGATAAGAATCAACTACTTTTGAATATGGATAGTCACAATACTAGCTTAAATGGACTTTAACACACCAACCTTGAGAGCTGATAGAAATTGGAATTTATTTTCATTATTAAATTCCTAATTGACAGTATAAAAATGGAGACAGAGTAAGGCATCAAAGATAAATCAAGGTTTATGCAATAATATTTCATGTTGGCTAAGTTTCTCATTTGAGTTTTCATTCACATTACCATATAACTAATAACAACGAAAAGTTGCACAGCCTAGGAAAGAAATATTGTCAGGTGTTCCCTTTGTTTACTAATTACCAAAGTAGATGAAATGGGCTTTAATTGCATCTGGAAGGATTAAGTTAAAATGATCAAGAATAAGAGAAAAGAAGTCTATTAAATTAAATATAAGGAAAAATTTCCATATTAGATAAAATATATTTAACTTTATATATATAGTATATTTAAAACATTTCCATGGAAATGTTTTGAAACAGGTCATAATTTTGGTAATTGTGATTCTTTTAGATAAAATTGAAAATTCTGAAGTTAGACATTCACTGAATTTGGTGGCCAAGGACGTTTCTTGACCCAGATTCTCACTTCACTTTACTAAAATCCTCTCCTTTTTTCTTGTGAGAACCCATCTTAAAGGTGGCAGACGGGGGCTGTGTGCCATCTATCTTACAAGATGAGAGGACCTGGAAAATATGACATCTCCTTTAAGTGGTTTTCTTTGAGCACTTTCTCTTTCAGGTATTATTTTTAAAAGGAACAATATAAAATACTAAATACATTTTTATTATCATTGAAAAAACAAGCTTCATGCAGCTGTAATTTGAATTGAAATAAAAAAGCTATAAATAGACCCCAAAATGGGGACAATAACTTTATTCTGATATCAAATTTTGGAGTTTTACCATTACATTTTCTCGCCTACCTTTACGTACACTGTTTGAATAATACCTGAATAGATTACCACGCTAAATAACTGAATAGGTTTGGGAGAAAAGGCTACCATTGAGAAACAGAATTATGTACTCATCTTCTTGCAGTATGAAAGCCAAGGAAAAATCACTCCCTGCAAAGAAAACCTGCCCTATGTTCCCAGTCTGTTATGTGTATTATTAATGTCATGATGCCATTGTCCTCTAGAGGGTAACATTTGGTTGCTATTTGCATTGTTATTATTTAGCCTTTATACAGCACAGTCATCTTTTCTTAGTTTAAAAGGTCAATTGTGATCTGAGGTTTTTCCAGGTTTCGTTTTCTTATCTTTTGTTGAATTCAGTGAGACATTTGTTTGGTTTGCTGTAGTCTGAAAGATTCCATGCTGAGAGGAAAACTGAACACTAAGGATTCTTCAAGGATACATGTCTTGTTGGCTTGCTGTTTTATATGTTGAAAATACGTGCTTTGGCCAGGGGCCATGACACACACTTGTAATTCCAGCACTTTGAGAGGCTGAGGCAGGCAGATCACTTGAGGCCAGGAGTTCAAGACCAGCCTGGCCAAAATGTTGAAACCCCATCTCTACTGAAAATACAAAAATTAGCCCAGCATGGTGGTCTGCGCCTGTAATTCCAGCTACTCGGGAGGCTGAGGCATGAGAATCCCTTGAACCCTGGAGGTGCAGGTTGCAGTGAGCCGAGATCGTGCCACTGCACTCCAGCCTAGATGACAGAGCGAGACTCTGTCTCAAAAAAGAAAGAAAGAAAGAAAAGGAAATACATGTCTTCATCTATTCAGGACATGGCTCTCCCCTTTAGCGACTCACCACCAGCCTCTTCAGATTGCTGTTCTAAGGAGAGAGGAGAAACAGGTAGAATGTGTTCACTCTAGGTTTTGCGTTTGGCTGCGGTCAAGGGGGTTTGCTTCTCTTGAGTAGTTACAATAGTTTGTTGCTGACATTCATACACTGGTTAATAACTAATCTTTAAAGGACATGCACCTAAGTGGCTTAAGTTCTCAATGTGAATGTAGTCATGATTGTATCAGTTCATACCACTCTTTGTCCTGCTGCCTTAATCACATCCAGTTATGCAATCAAAGGACTGGGTAATGTTTTAGGAATTCTCGCCAAAAGTGACAGGGATCTGGTCCCAGTATTATGGCTTTTCATGGCTACACAGAATTCTTGTGCCCTGTGTGTGCAACAAATTGTAGGATGATTTATCTTCTCTTTCTACACACACCCAGCTCTCCCTTCACCACCTCCTGGTCCATTTGGCTTCCACTCTAGCTGCATGCTAAGAATGGCATCTGATCCTGAATCCGAGCCCAGAAAAACACATTCATTCCAGCTGATCCAGTGAATGCCAAACTGACCCCACTTAGTATTCTTAAATAAGGTGCCACTTCTTTATCCACAAACTTGTTTGTGTCTCCATAGACCTCTGAGTCACCGTGACTCTTGCCCGGCCATGTCCACCTTACCACATGAGGCAGCTCATCTTTTAAGACAGGAAGTCGGCCACAGGGCAGAGATCATTGTCTGGCTTCAGCCATAACTCAGTGTTCCTGTCTGGATCAACTGAGAAATATTTTTACCTCCAAATTCTAACAAGAGTTTTAAAATCAGCTAATTAACACCAAGACCTCTATCCCTGCCATCCTTCACCACTGTCGTTAGCTCAAGCTTTGCAGTTTTTCTTCTATTTCTGCATTACCATTCTAGTCTCTGGGTTCCCAAACCCATCTTTGTGCTTTTGAGTCTCTAGTCATTTATTTCCATTGTTCCCACCTTACCCTTTCAAGCCCTTCACTCCATATTCAGAAGATCTTTCCTTAAGTAGAACCCACCTCTTCCTCAGGACTCTGCCTCATCTTACCTCTTCGCCTCTACACATCTTCATCCTGGAAACAAGTGCCTATATTTCTAACACTCTCTATTCTTATTTCTAGACAATCTTCTTCTCCCTTCCCCAGGGGATTTTAGGCTGATTATCACATCTGATTCTTGCATCCTCCCTATTGCTGGGATTTGCTTACTTACTTTTTGGTTTCCAGTTGGAAGAAAATTGCCAGCATCCTTTGAAAATTCTCACATATGGCTTAAAGCTTTGACCCCACCCCTATTTCCACCATCATCTTGGATGACCTATTTATCCATGTAAGGATTCAGTAACATCACATCCTTAAAGCTACTTGCTGTTTGTCATTGTTTTCGGCCACCCACTCCCATGGCTTCACCCTAAACTTTGCCATCCCCAAGAAATGTCCCCTTCCTGACACTTTAAAGCTTAACATCCCACTTCTCGGCCACCTTCTCTGTTTATGCTTGTTTCTTATTCCTCTTGCTCTCTCTCCAACTCAATCTTCTCTCATTGAAATTGTTCGCTCCTGGATATCTCCTATTTCTCCCATGATATCAGCAACTCTCTGCCTTCCATCCTTTTCTATTTAGCCTAGATCCCTTCTTGCAATTGCCATCAATTCGATTTTTCCTGTAAAACTTTAATCTTAGATGAAACCAACCATCAGACTTTTCTCATTAGATACCCCAACTCTTAAATCTTGCTAAAGAAACTCACAACGTAAAATGGATAGCCTTCTACCTCTGGGCTCTCATTATGCACTGAAAACATAGTTAGAAGCTGCTTCACCACATAAGTTCCATATGTTAGTTTAAAAAACAAACTCATTTTATTAAAAATTGGCTAAGCTTAAAGAATTTGTTGTTGGCATTCTATTTGTTAACTTTAACAAGTACTGTTGGTGAGCCTTTTTAAAACCATAATTGTATGTTTTTGTGTATTTAAAAATAAAGAAATAACATGCTGTATCTGGCATAGTATCTCCTAGACAAGGGATGGTAAATACACTTCTTTTGCATGCCAATTTCAATTATTTGAAGGGCCAGAGACTCATTTTTACTGGCTACTTCTATTAGTCCATTTTCATGCTGCTGATAAAGACATACCTGAGACTGGGTAATTTTTAAAGAAAAAAAGGTTTAACGGACTCACAGTTCCACGTGGTTAGTAAGGCCTCACAATCATGGCAGAAGGTGAAAGGCACTTCTTACATGGCAGCGGCCAGAGAGAAAATGAGAACCAAGTGAAAGGGGTTTTCCCTTATAAAACCAACAGATCTCATGAGACTTATTCACTACCACAAGAATAGTATGGGGAAAACTACCCCCATGATTCAGTGAATTCCCACCAGGTCCCTCCCACAACATGTGGGAATTATGGGAGCTACAATTCAAGATGAGATTTGGGTGAGGACACAGCCAAACTATATCACTACTGGACATAAGGTGCAAAATTTGGTTAACAATATTTAGATATAAAGGGTTAAGTAAGGCAGATACTTCACTGCTTGGAATAGCTTTTTAAATAGTACCTGCTGACATGCATTCAACCTTTAGGTTTCAGTTTAAACAGGACTTCTTCAACGGCTGCCCACCTCCAGGCTTGATTAGATGTTCTTGCTGTATGTTCCTATCAGGGCTGTTAAACAGCCTTTCTTCTCCAATAGACTATGAACTCCCCTAAGAGACCTGCCTGTCATGCCCACCATGGTATCCTACGCTTAGGAGAGTGTTGGCACCAAACAAGTGCTTCATAAATATTTGCTGAGTAAATGAACGGTGTGGTCCCAACCTGCATGTCCACACCTGTTCTCTGCATATTCTTCCTGTTCTAGCCAAACTAGGTCACTTGCTGTTCCCCTAAAGGCTCCACGTTTCCCAACTTTCAGAGTTGTAGACTTACAGTAGATTGAACTGCTCTCCTGGAACACAAACTCAACATACCCATTTTGAGGATGTATCCTCCAATGTCCATTTCCAATTCTACTCTCTCCAGGAGGTGGTTCCTAATCTTCTTTTTCCATTTGGAACTCCTGAACATTTAGTCACTTCCTTGTATGTATTTTTTGAACTGGAAGAAACCTGGCATTTCATTTGGTCCAACTCTAATTCAACATATGAAAAAACAGAGTCTTACAGCATGTAGGACCCTCCCCAAGCTGATTCTACTCAGTTGAGGACCTGAGCTTAGAAATAATCTCCTGTGTTCTTTCCACTGCACAATGCCACCTTCCTAAAGTAGATGGTCCACCTTACCACTATTAGCCAAGAGCTCTAATTCATCTGATGGATGCATGGGTATCTAATACGTGTAAGTGATCACAGTAGGGATTCTCACAATTTAAAAAATGCTTTCCAACTTTTAGGAAACAATTACGTATGCTCCCTCAATATAATTTTTTGGTAAATTGAGATATTCGTATGTCAACATCTCATTTCATATATCAGAAATTTTCACAATAAAATGCATCCGTATTAATGAGTATAACATTTGAAGAGTATTTCTTACCTTCATGCAAGCTGAATATATTCACCCAGACTCTAGATTTTCTTTTTTAAAGAAGCACTTTAAAGCCAAATACATCATGGTGATATTAATCTCCAAAGAGAAGCTTTTATGAGCCCTTCAGCTAGAATCTAGAATTGCAATTATTTTCTAAACTAAACTACAGCTTTCAGCTTTTATGGTTGAAACATTTACCAAAGGTTGAAGAGGCGCTTGTGCTGTAGTAGATTTTGTCCATGACCTCCACAGTGCTCTGCTCATTCCCATTGCCATCCCGCTGCCTGATCTTTTGGTTTAACCTATTAATATGTGTTGTGGTCCCCATGCCCATTATTAGTAAAGACTGATTTGGGGCCTTTCGTAAAAGAGAACATAGTAACAATAGTCAATGTAGCATTGCTCTAGCAAAGCCCTGTTTTTTTTTTAATATATAATTTCTGGCCATCTTAGCACACACCCTGCCTGTTCTTCCTTACTAGCTCTATTTTGCAGAATCATACTCATCTTTCAAGGCCCAGCCAAGTTCATGGCCAGCTCGAGAGTTCTTACATCTGTCAGCAGTGATTACTCCATCTGCTGGATCCTAGAGACAGATAGACCTTTGGATCAAGAGCAGCATGAATACACATAAATATTTGGAGACTGGTGGAATCTGCTTTTGCTGCTACCTAGTTTGCTGAAATAGTAAGTGGAAAAAATAGAAGAAAATCTACTAATGCTGTATAACCAGCATTCCAAGATGAGAATGGTTGATAATCTGGAAATTTCTAATAATTATGAAGTTGGCAAGTAGCTGATATTAGATAAAAGTATGAGCTAAGAAAACGTAAAAACTAAATTTTGTAAAAACACCAGATACACAAGCAGGCCAACACAAGGATAAAGTAACATAAGGATGAGGGTTATTTTCCCAGAAGTTGACAGAAATGAAATTATCATGGAAAAAGGGAAAGGAGATATATCAGAGAAAATTAGCATGTATTAAATGCTACTGTGTGTAAGGAATTATGTTAAGAACTTTATGTCATTTTATTTAATTCATACAACCATAGGTGAAAGAGGGTGACTTGGCCGGAGTATCTGGCTAGCTGTCATTTGTGCCAACTATTTTTGTTATAGATATGTATGTTTATTGTGTCCACTACTCCCCACTGGCTGCATGAAGATGCAAAATGCACTACTTTTCTAGAAAACCAACAGAGACTATGTGGGAATTGGAGTGATGTGCAGGGCTTTTGCTATATGTTTGAACAAGTAGAGCAGTCACAACACAAGATTGTTACCCTGATGAAGAAGAATTGTTGGAATAATTTCACAAGCTTTTCGTTTAGTATTGATAGTAATAGTAACTAGCCTTTATTGCTTTATAATACCAACACTATTATTAAGCCAGTGTAAGCATAAAAGTAAATCAAAATTTATTTCTAATAGTAAATATAAAGTTCTGGAATTAAAACCTATCAAATGAAATACCAAGTAAGGCTATGAAGAACACATAGTTTTATTTGATGTGATTATAACTCCAAAAACCCAGAACATTTTATATGAAATAGTGGTTTAGGATAAATGGACACTGAGCAAATGTTAGAAGTATGTGGATGTCAGAGACTTCAATAGGTTATTACATTCATCTTCTTGTTTGGGGGAAGAGCTTATTTAAACTTATCCCAATAAACCTTTTCTCTGGGTTCTTCAGAGTCTCTAGAAAAAAGAAAGGAAAGAAAGAAAGAAAATGAAAGAAGAAAAGGAAGGAAGGAAGGGAAGGAAAAGAAAGAAAGAAAAAGAGAGAGAGAAAGAAAGAAAGGGAGGGAGGGAGGGAGGAAGGAAGGAAGGAAGGAAGAAAAGAAGAAAAGAAGATGTGTTTCCTTAGCAAAGCATTGATATACTTGATAAAGACTTAGAAATGGAAAATTTTCTATCATTTGGGCAAGAATTCACTTTTTGGGGCTGTTTCCAATCCCCATAATATTTTATTACTTGCTATGCATCTTTAGCACTTTGTAATCCTCTGCATTTGGAGGCTAAACCATGCAGAACCACATAGATTGCAGAACCCAGCAGCTCAGAGAGCTTGCTAAGCCCAGTGTATTCTACTGTTGGCCTTTGCTGGCTCTATACACCCTACCCCTCCCAGCAGCATGAAGTGACGATGTTGCCTCGGCCCAGTGCTAGAACCAGTCTGGTTGCAGATGAGCAGGGGACCACGATATCATGTATTGCCCCAAGACGTGTCTTCACGCTGGCTAATCTGGGTCCCAGCTCCAGTTCACTAAGTCTAGAATTGTATGTTTCCTATGGCCTCTGTAACAAATTATCACAAACTTGGTGGCTTAAAACAACAGAAATTTATTCTCTGACAGTTCTGGAGGACCGAAGTCCAAAATCAAAGTGCTAGCAGGGACTCACTTCCTCAGAAGTCTCTAGGGGAGAATCTTTCTTTGTCTCCTCCAGTCTCCAGTGGCTGCAGACCTTCCTTGACTAGCAGTTGCAAAACTCTGATCTCTGCTTCTTTGTCTCTTTATTCTTTCCAGCTTTGTTGAGGTGTAGTTGACAAAAGTATATATTTAAGGTAGAAAGCATGATGTTTTAATACATGTATACATTGTGAACCGATGACCACAATCAAGCCAATTAACATATTCATGACCTCATATACATGTTTTTTTAAATGGTAAGAACACTTAAAATCTACTCACTTGGCACATTTCATGGTACAATACACTGTTATTAACTACAGTTACCATGTTGTACATTAAATTTTCAGAACTTACCTATCTTATGACTGAAACTTTGTACCCTTTGACTGAAAGCCCATTTTCCCCATCCCCTTCCCACAGCCCCTGGCAACCACCCTTCTATTCTCTGTTTCTGAATTTGATTTCTTTAGATTCCACATACAAGTGAGATTATGCAGTATTTGTCTGTGACTGATTTATTTCACTTAGCATAAAGTCTTCCAGGTTCGTTCATGTTGTCTGTCTTCACATGGCCTCCTCTATGTCTCAAATCTCCTTTAGCCTTTTACTTATAATATAATAATCATTTCTTAAAAGAAGATATACAAATGGCCAGTAAACATATCAAAAAATATTGCAAATCATTAATCATTATAATACGTATAAGGGCATCTGTCATTGGATTTAGGTTCCATCCAGATAATCCAGGACAGTCTCATCTCAAAATCTTGAACTTAATTACATCTTCAAAGATCCTTTTCTAAGGTAATATTCATAGCTTCCAGGTGTTAGTGCAAGGACATATCTCTTGGGGGCTATTGTTCAACCCACTATAAGGATATTGTTTCAGTTGTGATTTCTTATGCCTGTAACTTGTTCCACTTACCTTCAGAGTTTGGTTAAGACTTTTGGGACTTCATCTCTGATACCACCCATCCCAACCACAAGTTTTTCTCCAACTATAAGACAGGGTGGCATTTTTGCAGGGGTTTTAAAAGCAGAAGGCCTAGATTCAAATAAAAATTTTACCACTTCATTCATTCATTCATTCATTCATTCATTCATTCATACGTATTTACACCTACTTATTGCCAGGCACTGTCCCAGGCATTGACAATAGAGCATTATAGAAACAGGCCAAGTCTGTCTTCTTAAAGGTAACATTTGAAAGAAGGAGGGGACAGGCAATAAATACATGCAGTATATCATATGATTTCAGGTACTGACAAGGTAAGGGGCACACAGGTATCACAAGGTAAGGGGCACAGAGAGCCATGGCTGGGGATAGAGTTGAAAAGGAGGGCTTCTCCTAGGTGGTCATGTTTGAGCAGACTTGAGCAAAGTGTCATACTAAACCACGAGAATATCTGGGGAAGTACCTAACTGGAAGAGGAAAGAGTAATAACGCCCTGGGACAAGAAAGACCTTGATGAGTTTGGTGCATTTGACAGTAGGCAAGAAGACCAGTTATGACACCCATGTTCATAACAACATTATTTGTAATGGCCAAAATGTGGAAGCAACCCAAATGTGCATCGACAGATAAGTGAATGCACAAAATGTGGTGTTATTCTTACAGTGGACTATTATTCAGCCTTAAAAAGGAAAGAAAATCTGACCCATGCTCAACATGGATGAACCCTGAAGTCACTGTGCTAAATGAAATAAGCCAACACAAGAAGTCAAGTACTGTGTGATTCCATTTAAATGACGTAATTTGAGTGATGGGGCTGAAAGGAGGGAGGAATAGGGAGTTGTTTAATGAGTATGTACTGTTAGTTTTGTGAGATGAAAAGAGTTCTGAAGATTGGTTACACAATAGTGTGAATGTACTTAACACCACTGAACTGCACACTTAAAAACGGTTAAGATGGTAAATTTTATGGTACGTATATTTTACCACAACTACAACTAAAATTTTAAAAAACACAGTTGTTAAATCTCTGCAAGCCTCAGTTTCTCCACTGTAGAATGAAGATAGCAATAGTAAATAGATCATACATTTGCTGTAAGAAGAAACAGGGTCATCCAAGTAAGAGGTATCCACATGGCTTGTAAAAACTGCTCCTCCCAATGTAACTGTTCTATTATCACCATTGCTGTTGTTGTTCTTACTGTTCTCCTCATCAGCAGTTCTCTCAGACACTATCTCTTTACTCTGCTTTATATTGTTTAAAGCGCTAATCAGCTGGGTGCAGTGCCTCATGCCTGCAATCCCAGCACTTTGGGAGGCCGAGACAGGTGGATCACCTGAGGTCAGAAGTTCAAGACCAGCCTGGCCAACATAGTGAAACCCTGTCTCTACTAAAAATACTGGGCGTGGTGGTGCATGCCTGTAATCCCAGCTACTCATGAGGCTGAGGCAGGAGAATCGCTTGAACCCAGAAGGCGGAGGTTGCAGTGAGCTGAAATCACACCATTGCACTCCAGCCTGGGTGACAAGAGCAAGGCTCCATCTTAAAAATAAATAAATAAATGAAGTGCTAATCTTCTATGAAGTATTTTATATACCATAAAGTTTATTATTTCATTTGCTATCTCCCTCATGAGAGCAATAATTCCTGTTTTAATTTATCACCGTGGCCCCAGGGCTGAGAACAGTGCTGGCACATAGTAGGTGCTAATATGCCAGTACATACCACTTGAATAAATCAATTCTATTATTGTTATTGTTAGTATTATATGAGAGTTGGGTATATTCCAGCACAACGAGTTAAGGACTCTGAAGTACAAGAGATAATGCTGATGAGCCCAGATGACCCCTATGGAAGTTTCTTCAAGCAGTTGAAAATGAGAGTCTTTCCCTAGGATGGTCACAAATTAGCTTCAGAGGTGATCTGACCATCCAATGTAACTTTATTGTTATATTCACAGATATTCTTAGAAGAAATTTACTCCTGCCCCCTTTTGCCCAGCCATCTGTGTTTTAAAATAGGTTTCATTATTTTTTGGTATGGTGGGGACAAAAGATCAGGAAACAACTGCCATTGAAAAGATGTTTGTTATGTACTCGCAGAGCCCAAGAGAAAGGGGCATGCCACACATAAAGGGCCCCACAAGTAAGCACCAGGTCAGGCAGGAGGCCAAGGGAGACGTGGGAAATGTGGACAGGAAGCTTGATTGTGGTTTCCATGGAGGGGAAATGGTGAGGTATGGTAAGCAGGCTTAAGATTAGCCAGTTTGTTTAGAGCAATCGGGCAAGAGAAAGAAATAAAGAGCATCCAAATTGGAAAAGAGGAAGTCGAACTATCACTGTTTGCCTATGATATGATTGTATAGCTAGAAAACCCTAAAGACTCATCCAAAAGGCTCCTAGATTTGATGAACAAATTTAGTAAAGTCTCAGGTTACAAAATCAATGTACACAAATCAGTAGCTCTGTTATACACCAACAAAGACCAATCTGAGAATCAAATCAAGAACTCAATCCCTTTTACATCAGCTGGAAATAAAATAAAATACCTAGTAATATATACTTAACCAAGGAGGCAAAAGATGTCTACAAGGAAAACTACAAAACACTACTGAAAGAAATAATAAGTGACACAAAAAAATGGAAACACATCCCATGCTTATGGATGGGAAGAATCAATATTGTGAAAACGACCATATTACCCAAGCAATCTATAGATTCAGTGCAATTCCCATAAAAATACCATCATCATTTTTCACAGAATGAGAAAAACATCCTAAAATTCATATGGAACCAAAAAAGAGCCCACATACCCAAAGCAATTCTAAGAAAAAAGAACAAATCTGGAAGCATCACATTACTGGACTTCAAATTATACTACAAGGCTGTATTAACCAAAAGAGCATGGTACTGGTATAAAAATATTCACTTAGACCATTGGAACAGAATACAGAACCCACAAATACTAAATACCACAAAAGCTAAATACTTACAGTCAACTGATCTTCAAGAAAGTATACAAAAACATGAATTGGGGAAAGGACACCCTATTCAATAAATGGTGCTGGGAAAATTGGCAAGCCATAGGTAGGAGAATGAAACTGGATACCCTTTTCTCACCTTATACAAAAATCAGCTCAAGATGGATTGTACACTTATACCTAAGACCTGAAACCATAAAAATTCTAGAAGACAACACTGGAGAAACTCTTCCGAACATTGACTTAGGCAAAGACATCATGACTAAGACCCCAAAAGCAAATGCATCCAAAACAAAAATAAATAAATGGGACTCACTTAAACTAACAAGCTTCTACACAGCAAAATAAATAATCAGCAGAGCAAAGAGATAACCCACAGAGTGGGAGAAAATATTCACGAAATATGCATCTGACAACGGACTAGTAGCCAGAATCTACAAGGAGCTCAAATCAGCAAGAAAAAAAAAATCCCATCAAAAAGTGGGCAAAGGATATGAATAATCATTTCTTAAAAGAAGATACACAAATGGCCAGTAAACATATCAAAAAATGTTCAAAATCACTAATCATCAGGGAAACGCAAATTAAAACCACAATGAAATATCAAGATATCATCTTACTCCTGCAAGAATGGCCATAATTAGAAAGTCAAAAAACAATAGATGTTGGAGTGGATCTGGTGCAAAGAGAACATTTTACACTGTTAGGGGGAATTTAAATTAGTACGACCACTATGCAAAACAGTACAGAGTTTCCTTAAAGAACTAAAAATATCTAAGCTATCCCACTACTGGGTATCTACCCAAAGGAAAAGGAGTCATTATGTGAAAAAGGCACATGCACACACATGTTTATAGCAGCACAATTTGCAATTACAAGAATATGGAAACAGCCTAAGAGTCCACCGAATAATGAGAAGATAAAGAAAATGTGATATATATACACCATGGAATACTACTCAGTTATAAAAAGGAAAAAAAAATGTCTTTTGCAGCAACTTGGATGAAACCGGAGGCCATTATTCTAAGTAACTCGGGAATGGAAAACCAAATACTGTACGTTCTCACTTTTAAGTGCGAGCTAAGCTATGAAGATGCAACAACAAACTGAGTGATATAATGGACTGTGGGGTGTGAGGTGGGGGTGATTGGGAAGGGGGTGATAGATAAAAAACAACATATTGGGTACAGCGTACACTGCTCAGGTGACAGGTGCACTAAAATCTCAGAATTCACTATGAAAGAACTCATTCAATAGTTTTGTATACCCCCAAAACTATTAAAATAAAAAATAAATTAATTATTTTTAAAAAAGATTAGACAGTTTGAGTAATTTCAGTGGGCTCTGGAGCAGAGGGACTGCCCCCTGTCATTTGGTAAGTGGCCCTGAGTAGGGCATCTGGACAGTGGCCTGGAGTGTGAGAGCCCAATAGAGGAGGTAGCCAGGAGTGTGGGCTCTGGATTGGTTGATTTCCATATGAAAATCACACTTGGGGGTGAGCTGTTTACTATCTCTATGGATAAGGTAGCCCTGGGAGTCCCTCCAAGATCAGCAATGGCCAGATGTCAAAGCATCAGAATACACAAAATAAAAGCCATGGTTAATACAACTCCCCCAGGCGCCATCACACTCTGCCAGAATCAGGAACATTTCTTTTGCCAATCATAGGATTGGTCCTGCCTTTTATAAAGAAAATACATCTCCTAGCTACTGCCTTTTATAAAGAAAATACATCTCCTAGCTACTGCCTTTTATGAAGAAAATACATCTCCTTGCTAATACCACCTCCTTCCTACTGGCACGCCGTTTTCCACTGTGTCCATATTTAACATAATGATAATTATGATTTTGTAAAGAGAGATGTGATTCAACTGTGACATTTCAGAAAATGCCACTCCCATGACTATTGGCAGGCGTTACAATCAAGGCTCTGTTTTTTAAGTTTTTTCAAAGAATAGACTTTTCCCAATCTATTCTCACTGATGCATGTCCATATACATGTTCATGTAAACAGATATTTCAGATCACTCTTCACTCTGCCTCTTCTCTAAAGGCAAAGTTGGCCTCACTTGTGATCCAGGGCAATCTGCTGCCTTGGACTTGGGCATCCAATAGGTGCCTGGTTTATGTCACCAACTTGGATGAAATGGTCCCGAGTAAAATGAAACTTAATCACAGTCCTTTCCCTTTTCCCCTCTGGTTGAGGACTAAAATAACAGTGGGCTAAAATCATGCTTGAAAAGTATGCTTCAAAAGATGCTTGAAATGTATCCTAGAAGCTCTAGAAAAGCCACAGGCAATGCTTCTTGCTTGTCTTTGCTGATTTATAGTGTCAGATGTGCAAACACTGAGTAATGGCTTTTGATCATCTCCTTTTACTCAGAATGGCACAAGACATTCTTTTAAGATTTCAGCTTTAAAGCTGAAGTTCAAAGCCACTGATATTTATTTTTTAATTTATGCAGCAATTACTATACTGTTAATAATGATCTAGTTAACAAGTTCTTCTACCTCTGAATTTTAACTTTATCCCAAAAGGAATGGTCAGGAAATAAGTTCAGAATTACACACTCCATTCATTGCTTAAATGTGAATTCAAAATAAATTTGCGAAAGACTTTTACTCTGCTTATTAAGAATACTTTTATTACATGTACAATAGTGGGTGCAACTTAAATATAAAAGCCTGCATCATTTCAATCATCTGCTTTTCTTTTCTATTTATTTATTTATTTATTTGTTTGTTTATTTTTTTGAGACAGAGTCTTGCTCTGTTGTCCAGGCTGGAGTGCAATGGCACAATCTTGGCTCACTGCAACCTCCGCCTCCTGGGTTCAAGCAGTTCTCCTTCCTCAGCCTCCTGAGTAGCTGGGATTACAGGCATGAGCCACCACACCCAGCTAATTTTTTTTTTTTTTTTGTATTTTCAGAAGAGATGAGAGTTCACCATGTTGGCCAGGCTGGTCTTGAACTCCTGACCTCAGGTGATCCACCCACCTCAGCCTCCCAAAGTGCTGGGATTATAGGCATGAGCCACCGTGCCTAGCCTGCTTTTCTATTCTTGAAGGATGCCTCATATAAAACATGAAACTCATGTTTGGATTGTCACTCTGCCAAATATGCACTGAAACCCTTAAACCCATTTTCCCACAAAATAATGGCCTCTACCAACGTTAACATCACATGGAAATCTACAGTTGTGTGATACATCTCCAAGGACCAAAGTCAAATACAACCGGGCAGGAAAAGAAATCTAAGACGTAAATATTTACATACCTTTATCATGAAAAGCATTTTAGGTAAAATAGCTACATGAAAAAAATATCTAAGTATTTTCATTCTTAACCGAGAAATCAATCTTCATTGATCCCTATCTGTAAGGTTAAAAAAAAAATCCTTTACAATGCCTTCTACTCAGACTACAGCTCCAGTTCTCTCCTTTTCAGGCAACTTTATAAGAAAAGTGATCTATAGTTGCTTTGCCTTCCTCTTCTCCAGCTCCATTTATAACCTACGGTAACCTGGCCTCTGGACCAAGTATCTTGTGTAAAGATAACAACTTTCCTGTTTGAGTTTTTAAAGATCAGAAAATTTGCAGAAGAGAAAATACACTGATTAGCATGTCAATGCAAGATAAAGGAGGTAATTAAGATTGGCACATAAATACACTGGTGCTACTCTCTTGGCCATCTGTTGTTTATGCCTGCTCAGAATCCATTCCTGCTTCTGGTAATACCACCCTGATTTTTTTTGAGAAACTTCTGACAGCCCCATGGTTAACTGGGCGATAGTGTAATCCAGGTCTGGCCAATAAGATACAGCTTGGCTCTAGTGATGATTGCTTAAGGGAAAAATCGCATGACTCAAGCTAGACCAATTAAAGCAATGCAGAGATTTTGCCACAACTCTTGGGACATTCTCTTTCATTGCACTTGGTGTATGAAATGTAAGTTTAGTGATGCTGGTTATGAATTTGCTACAAAAACAGAAGGTAGGAAAGTCAAGAGATAAGAAATGTCTAATGACATCATTTTAACCAAAGGAGCTGATCTTGCCCAGGAGATCCACTGACAGCATCTTATAGCTTTGTTACATATTTTTACCTTTTGTTCTGGTTGTTAAAGCCAGTCAGACTTTGGTTTCTAGCTTTCATTTATACTGAAAGAACTGAATGAACAGAGATATCATCCAGTGTTGAGCAATAGACAATCTAGTGGGATTGTTAACTGTTATTTTTTTAAGTTTTTAATCTTACAAAATGTAAAACTTTTGCATCTAAAAATTAGAGAAAATACAAAAAAAAGAAAAAAAAAAGCAATTCGAGGGTCAAATGTGCTTTTTACTTCTCAGTCTACTAACAATCACTGAATCATTATACGTTTCCCACTTTGAACTCTACTTTGTTGACTTCTATGACCACACAATTTCATGGATCTCCTCCCAACCACTTCCAATACTTCTTCTGGATTTCATTTACAGCTTCTTTTCGTTTGCTTAATTTTAGTGTTCCAGAACATTATCCTCAGCACTCTAGTCTTTTAACTCCATGTGCTTTTTGTGGGTGGCCTTAATTATTCATGTACATTTCCTAGATCTCCAGTCCCCATTTTTTACTTAAAGTTCAGACAGGATTTTCCTATAGGGTAGGCCTATTGGCTCCCTCCATCTGGATGTGCTCAAATTCAACATGCCCCAAAGGGCATCTATTGTCTTTTCTTCCTAGACTACAACTTCCTCTGCCATCCCTTTTTAATTGAACCAATTGTCCAAGCTAAAAACTTTGGCAGCATCCTGATTTTTTTCCTATAATTCACTTCCCCACATCCTATGGATTAACAAATTTTGTTAATTTACCTCCTAAATATTTCTTAAAACTCCTCCTCCTCTTTTTTCTGATACTCTTTTAAGAATTCTATTACTTCTCTTCTAGACCAGCAATTCCCAAACCCAAGTGTGCAAAAGAATCACCTAGAAAGTTTATTAAAAATAAAATCTCTAATTATAATTTTTCAAGAGACTGTGGTGGACTTGGTCTGAGAGATAGACTTGGTCTGAGAATCCCATTTTGAGAACACTATTTGGATTATTGCAACAGCCTTCTAACTATGCTGCTGTGGATGTTAACTATTCTGATAATTTGTTCACCTGCTTGAAACTTTGTTCATCTGCCCACAAAGATAAATTACAAACTCCTTAATATGGCATACCATGCTTTCAAACTGCAGCTCCAATCCCATCTCTCTACCCCTTAAGTAAGCCATCTGAAGAAAATGTCTCTGGAGAATAGGTCTTTTCTTCTACCTTTAATTCAGTTCAACTTCATAAGAACACAATGTGTTATTATCTAACGAACATTATAAAGTCCTTCTAGCTGCCAAGTTCAGTATTAAATTCTTATCTATATTATCTTATTTAATTGATGCTACAGCCCTATGAAGTAGGCAGCATTGTTATTACAATTTTACAGCTCAGAGGATCTGAGGCTCAATAACTTGTCTGTGGTCACACAGCTATTAAGTCCTGGAGTGGACTTTAAATCAGAGTATGGACATCTTGTTACAGGCTTGCCACTGCCTCTGAACTATGAGCTCCTCAGGAGCCCAACTGTCAGGCAGGGCCCAACTGTCAGACAGGGTTCAACATCAAGCCTTCTATACAGTGGTTGCCTAACTAACTTTGGCTAGTTAGGATAACTTTGGTTAGGATAACTAATGGTTATCCTAACTTTCCAATCAATGTTTTATATAATTCAAATAAGTTTTTCAGGAAATAATACGCACTGGAGTCTCAGAAAGATGGGAGGGTGGAAGGGAGATGAGGGATGAGAAATTACTTCATGAGGGATGAGAAATTACTAAATGTGATTTCATTTTCAGGAAGATATTTTCCTTATTAATAAAGCTACCTTTAAAACTTCCACTTTGAAAGGCATTAAAACTCATTCTATATTTTCAATTGATCTTCATTGACATAATTATAGATTCACATGCAGATATAAGAAATAATACAGAGAGATCCTGTATAACCTTTGTCTAGTTTCCCCAAAGGGTAACGTCTTGCAAAACTATAGGACAGTTTCACAACGAGAATGCAGTACTGACATGAATACCATCAAGATACAGAACATTTCCATCCCCACAAGAATCACTTCTGTTTCTCTTATGTAGACACACCCACTTTCTCTCCTGTCTCCTTCTCCCTAATCTGTTCTCAATTTCTATAATTTTGCAATTTCAAGAATGTTATGTAAAAGGAAGCAGACAGCATGAAACCTTTTGCAACTTTTTTTCTGAGTTCTTTACATGTTCTATGATGCTAATAATTTATGGGGTAAATAGTTTCAACTATTTTCTCCCAGTCTATAACTTATCTTCATTGTCTTCACATAGGCTTTAAAACAGAAAAAGTTTTAAATTTTTAATAAAGTCCAATTTATCAACTTTGCCTTTTATGGATCATGGTCTTTGTGTAAAGTCTAAGAACTCTGCCTAGCCCTAGCTTCTGAAGAATTTTAAAATATTTTTTCCTAAAAGTTTTGTAATAGTATGTTTTGTTTTATGTCTAAGTCCATGATCCTTTTTTTTTTTGGGTTTTGTTTGTTTGTTTGTTTGTTTTTGAGACGGAGTTTCACTCTGTCACCCAGGTTGGAGTGCAGTGGCACGATCTCAGCTCACTCCAACCTCCCCATCCTGGGTTCAAGTGATTCTTCTGCCTCAGCCTCCTGAGTAGTTGGGATTACAGGCGCCCGCCACCACACCCAGCAAATTTTTGTATTTTTAGTAGAAACGGGGTTTCACCATGCTGGCCAGGATGGTCTCAAACTCCTGACCTCGTGATCTGCCTGCCTTGGCCTCCCAAAGTGCTGGGATTACAGGCGTGAGCCACCGCGCCCAGCCCATGATCCATTTGGAGCTGATTTTTGTATAAGGAGCAATCTTTAGTTTGAGTATCATTTTTATGCCTATGGTTGTCCAGTGGCATCAGCACCAGTTATTGAAATTCTATCCTTCCCCCATTGAATTATTTTTGTACCTTTGTCAAAAACGGGAATCTACAATTGTCTCAAAATGAAAGTTTCATTAAAAAAAAAACTGAGGGTGATGAAAATTTCTCAGAACTTGATAAAGATGATAGTCACACAACATTGTGATTTTATTAAATGCCACTTAATTGCATACTTTAAAATGGTTAATTTTATGTTATATGAATTTCATCTCATTAAAAGAGTGGAAAAGCTTATCCTAACTTTCCAATTGATGTTTTATATAATTCAAATAAGTTTTTCAGGAAATAATACACATTGGAGACTCAGAAAGGTGGGAGGGTGGGAGGGAAATGAGGGATGAAAAATTACTTAATGGGCACAAGGTATACTATTCAGGTGATCGTTACACTAAAAGCCCCAACTTCACCACTACTTCACTACTGCATGTAATAAAACTGCACAGTAGCCCCTAAAGCTATTTTAAAAAAAGTTTTTCAAAGATCTTGTCTAAAATCCTCTAATATACTTTGGCTGTGCTCCCATCCAAATCTCATCTTGAATTCCCACGTGTTGTGGGAGGGACCTGGTGGGAGGTAATCATGGGGGCAGGTCTTTCCTGTGCTGTTCTTGTGATAGTGAGTAAGTCTCATGAGATGTGATGGTTTTATAAGGAAGAGTTTCCCTGCACAAGCTCTCTCTTTGCCTGCCACCATCCACATAAGATGTGACTTGCTCCTCCTTGCCTTCCACCATGATTGTGAGGCCTCCCCAACCACGTGGAAGTGTAAGTCCTTTCATTAAACCTCTTTCTTTTGTAAATTGCCAAGTCTCAGATATGTCTTTATCAGCAGAGTAAAAACAAACTAATACAGCCATTTTTTATATCATCATACAGCCTATTTTTTTCCTCCGTATTCACTTACAGCTTCCAGATCCCTCATTGCTAAAGTGAGGTAACATCCTAATGTCTAATCTCTGGGGTAAACATTTTTAAGTGAATCAACATGTGGGCAGTTAAGAGCAGCAGCAGTTTTTAGCAGACCTAACATTTCCTGGCAATCAATTCCTGCATGTCCTTAGTCATCCTCTGACCATTATTTATATCCTCACTTGTCTTCATCCCTCTGAATTAAAGTGCCCTAAACAGAACACTCTCTTATATCATGTGATGATCACTGCCTTCTTTCTCGGAGCACACAGCTCTGGAATAATTTATTTTATCACTTTCTGGCAAAGAGTTCACAGGCCTCTTCTGAATGAGAGCAACATAGTGAGTCAAGGGCAGCAAGTCTAAGAAGCCTCTGACTTGATGAATATCTAGAGAGTCTTGTACTGAAACTTCCTCCCATATATTCACTTTGATTAATAGCAAATGGGTCCACATTTCGATCTGGAAATGTCCTATCTCAAGGAATCTTGAGGCTGACCCTAGGTGAGACAAATACCTTTCCAGACCTGGAGGTCCATATCATCAACTGGCTTCGAGAAATCAATGAGCTGTTTATACCACTGCATTCAGATCATCTTAAAATGCCCAACCAGTGTCAGGCTAGAAAACTCCACACTTAGCATATATCTTTTTAATACTTTTTGTGAAGAAAAATCAGTCTTTTACCTTCAAGTTGTCTAACTCATGACACCCTGGTCATGGCCATCAAGCCTTACAAATTTAGTCCAGAAATCATGGTAAATTGGAGCCAAGTTTTGACACAATAAAGTGTCTTCTAATCCAATATGTCATCATATTAGAAGGCTGAAGTGATTAAAAAGGAGAGGAAACATTTCCATTTTTCTATGGAATATGCTTTTTGTGGCCTCTAATACCCTGAACCTAGATGAATGGTGAGAGAATAAAACTTACAGTATCACAATCTGCTTTTAATTCTATTTCACTGTTACTGTTCATTTATGCAAGTATTTGTCACTTCTTCCTTTAAGCCCAAATGGCACCTCCATCAGGTAAATACCCCACCATCTGTCAATGTGCTTACCATTTTTTTCTTCATGTTATGCAGTTTCTAGCATAGTTTTCCCATATTGTGCTTTGATGAATATTTGTATACCAAGGAAATCATAACAAATCTTCCATAAAACATGTCCTATATTCTAGTGCATTTGGGAAACATTGCATACCATCATTGTCCTCCAAAGTCACCATGGTTATTAGTATATTAGCAGGTTGGAAAAGTCCTATAATAGAGAAACCTGCTTGATTCTGTGTTTCTTAAACTCATTTTCACCACAAAATACTTGTATGGGGTATGTGTGTGTGTGTGTATGTGTGTGTGTATCTCACTGAATAACAACTCTGGAACATAAATGTCTGGAATGCTGTTCTGAAATAAAGAAGCTACACCTGCTGATTCTATTTTCTCACTCATATTACTGTATTAAATCTGCAATCTCGAAGTATACCAGCAATCTCCAAAAAGTAAAACCAGTTATTGATTTTGGTTTCCTCCAATTATTATTTGATTTGACTTTTTTGAAGTAGCCTGCACAATCAACAACGTATACATTCTTCAAACTCCCCACTTGGATTTCATAATTTTTATCATTATTATCAACTATTTATCTCATTTTTTGAATGCTCATAATGTCCAGTGTCCTGACTTCTTAGCCTGGCATTCCAGATCCAGCTGTATTTTCTATCCATGTCTCTTTCTAAGCACATCCACTGATGTTTATCATCTGTCCGGACTGAGCCACTCACCATCCCACCAAAATATCTGGTGCTTTTTCATCTCAGTGCATGTATTCATCCTGTTTTTGTTAACAAGGTTGCTGTTCCCTTCTTCTGTTGCTTAATCTTACTCATCTTGAATGCTGATGACCTTTCCTGACCCAGGCTTCTCTCATCATTTTTGTAGTTTTTTTTTTTTAATCAGTTTTCCTCATTTAGACTGTAAATTTCATAAAGGTAATGACTATACATGTGTTCCTACATACTAAATATCCATCTTAGTTCAGTGCATGACAAGTAATCTGTAGATGTTCCATAAACAGATGTTGGATTCAATCTAAATTTTTTGAATTCTATAGTCCATGTTTCTCATTGCCTTCTCTCTCATTTTGCATTAGTGTCCACTGCTTTGTCTTGGTAGTTGCCATTTTGGATTGTGTACTGCATTAATCATCTTAAATATACCACCCTCTATGACCCTAGAGTTTGGGAATTATGTGCATTTTTATACCGTTAGCAACTAGGATAGTGGCTGATACATAATAAGTACTAAATAAACCTTGATAGGTTGGCTAGTTAATTCAGGGGACAGTGTAAGTCTCTTTTCTCTCGTGAAGTTTTCCTATGCTGTGGCCCATATTAAGCTTCTCTCTCATTCCTTCCTAGCAGTTACTGTCCCTCCAGCTCATATTTGTAGAATTTGTTTCATACGTGTGTCAAGTTTCTTCTATCGAGCTTGTGAATGCTTGAAGGGTGAAAATCTGTGTTTAACGGTTTTTGTCCTCCAAATAGGTAAGAACATAATAGGAATTAAGTTTAAATGGAAAGAAGCTGAATTGGTCATACTACATTTCACTTTATTATTATTAACATTTATCATACACGGTTACTATTCCAATCTTTCATGCAGACAAAAATAAACAATATAAAATACATAATGCACTTTGATAATTTTAACCATACATAAAATATGGAGTAATGGAAGCTATGTTACATGGATATTTTACAAAGGAAAAAAAGATGACTTTTATAATAACACATCCAGATGAAATTTATCATTAAATTTTGGATTTCATATGATGTTAAGTATGGATATATTCAAAACAATTACTATTTATAGAACCAATTTGATATTTTGTCATTTAAAATAATGAATACTATGTAAATGAGTACTTATAAAAATATTTTTAGGCAAAAAGCTCTGTTCTACTCATTTACTTGCCAGTTACAAAAATATATATTCATCTGAAACTCTAATAAATTTGCTTGAGGCATTAGATATTCAAATTCAAATGCATATTTTCTAAAGCGTCTTACCAATTTAGTGTTCTTGGCTACATACAGTATATTTGTATATATGATATTAGGTTTGTGTTACAAATAATGCCATTTTAAGCAAAAGACACAGATGATCAATAACACACAGAGACACCACGAAGGTTTTCAAATCAAACATGTCCACACATATACCAGCCCCAACAGCTGTGCCTTGCACAAAGTGAATTCTCAAAAACATTTTTCGGATGAATGCTTGATCAGATAGCATTTATCCTGTTATTCGCACCTAAAATTAACTCTCCAAAGCTATTTCTAGTAGAAATGCAATTTTAAAATTTAACAATTTTGTTCTAAATTAGTTATTTCTCAATGGCAGAGCCAGGTCAGTTGATTCCAGATTGAACAGCAAAGTAGTGTCAGTGATCAAAAGACCAGGTACATTTACACATGGTTGGACAGCTCTGATGCTTACAGTAAGACATTCATTCAATACATTGAACAACTCGATTTGTCGTACATTCATACAAAACAAAACAATCTTATTAATTTTTATAACATTATCACAAACACTAGTAAATATAATAATATATATAGGCATATACATACACATATATATCTCATTTAGTAGACTTAGTAGACTTCAGGTATCTCTTCTCAGCGAGAGGAGCAAGCTATCCTGAGTGAAGCAGGCCTTGTGTCTACATAACAATTGCTCAATGATGCACAGACCACACTTTAACAGTCTTCCATGTATGACCAGCAGACTGTTGGCAGTATGAATGCTGACATCACTGTTAATGCCAAGCCTTTGAAGCAGTAACATTTTTGTGAAACCAAAGACTAACTGTAATGACTAGTATGGAGTTGTAGCACCTAGGAAGATAATGGTCAATATTTGTTCAATGGAATATCCTGGGGCCATTTTTGGTACAGACCCCTCTTGTAATTTTCCCCCACCTGTTCTGCTTCATGCAGGGTGAAACTTTGCTGAGGCTCATCACTAAAAGTTCAAACATTCGATAGAAGACAGATTATTTTTCTCAATCAAAATTCAGATCACTTTAAGTCATTTCAAAGCTTGGCCCTAGTACTTAAGCAGGACAACCGACAATTCATTTAGCAAATTGGTTAGTATATATATGTGTTAATGAAATTACTGCTATGAGAGAGTTCTTAAGTGATAATTTAGTAAGATAATTCACATAACAATGTCTTTAAAAATTAAACATAGTTTCCAAAAATTCACAAGCAATTTAGTCAAATATTAAAGGTTAGTTTCAATACCACTAGTGCATAAAGTCTAAAAACGACCTTTAAAGTAAAATGTAAAGTAAAAGTGACCTTAAAGTAAGACTATTCATTTTAAATTTCAATATTATGGCTTTTCAGAAGTATAAGTGAATAACTGCTCTGCATTAAATCATGCTACACAGGAAAAGATCTACTTCAACTAACAAAATAATACTTCAGTATTTTAAATGCAAAGGTATTAGTTTCAAAACACAGAGTCATTTACTCTCAATTGAACACTTCCAAATCAATAAATGCTAATTTTGTCTATAAAATGTACAAGCCCAAAGGACTGAAAATAGTGTGTTTTGTTAAATTAATTAACATGACCCTTAGGCTTTGTTTACCCATTCATTTTTTTGGCTCTCAAAGTTAGTATCAAGGTCAATTTCATTTCATTCTGAATGTAATGATCCCAAAATTTAAATTAATAGACTCAGAACCAATGTCATTTCAACGTCATATATATTATAGTATCATAAAAAGTTTACCTAATTTTAAATTGATTTAAAATTTGCTGCAAGAAGAGTGGCCAATGAATGCACAATGAACCCAAGCCACCAGAAGAATGTGTTTTAAAGAGACAGAAAACAGTATGAGACTTCAGATTTGCGAACTGATAAAATAAAGCTTATACTATAAATTCAATATTATATATCCAATATAAGTAAAACTAGCACAGAAATTATCTCCCCATTTTCTCTCTTTAAATAGGAATGGAAATACATGTAAAATTCTAATCTTCTCAAATTTTTCATACTTTAATATCACATTAAATTTTGTAATATTTGGAATTAATATTAGAAAAAATTATAGGAGATAATAGAATGCTTAAAAAGTATTGACTATGAATTTTTAGTTCACAATTATTTTTGAGTCAGGCTCTAAGTTAAAATCCAAACTTTCTATGCATGACCTTCCCTTTTAGGTTGGGGGGCGGTGGGAGTTGTCCATGCTCAGAACCTGGAAGAAGTTAGCAGGTTTTAGCAGTATTTGAAGGTGCACTGGTTATAGAGGAGCATGTAGCATTAAGGTAAACACATCCTAAAACCTCAAGGCCATTTAATGCCCAATGTCACATGGAGGTACATATGGCATTGAAAAAATTGTCATTATTCATTCATCCATTAGGTATGTTTTTTACTCTTACCACTGTGTTGGAATTATAATAAAGTTGTATGAGATGTACTATCTAAAACTGTTATTTTTGATGAGGAGGAACATGATACAAAATAGTTTTTCAGATTGCAACACTGTTGAGTTACCTCAAAATGTGCATCCAGAGTTGTAAAATGTCCAGGAAACACTATAATTTTCATATAATTAAAGCATTTACATATTTCCATTCACCGTTTTTTAATACAAGATGTATAATTTAATGACAACACATGCCGCATAACTCCAAATTTACTTACAAATCATCGTAATATTACAATAGTTCTTATATTGATAAGGAAAAGTAGCATAATGCATTAAGAAGGCAGACTTCCTGGGTTCAAATTTTGGTTCTACCCCTTGTCAATCATGTGACTTTGTGCAAGTCACTGGGTTATTCTTTGCTTTGGTTCCTCAACTCTAAAAATGGGCGCGATAAAAAGAGTACCATGTCACGTCATTATTATGAGGATTAAGTGAAGCAATAACAACAGAATACAGGCAAAGCATTTGGAGGTATTACTGGGCATGTAGTAATCCCTTAATAAGTGTTAGCTACAATTTTTATTACGATCAGAAGTTAGAGTGACTGATGTTAATATAAACCATTACTAATTTTTGAGCATTTAGTAAGTACCAAGCATGATAGACGACACACTTATGTTTAACCCTAAAAATAATATGAAGCACATTCTATTATGAAGAAAGTAGATCCTTAAAAATATAAAATATGTTAGCTTATAAATACCACAATATAGCTGATAATTTGCCCCATGAAATATGGCAAAGTACAACTGAAATCATTTTAATGACCCTTGCATGCCTCTAATGAGGATTACTGCTTCCAGGATGGTGATGAGAAAACAGTCATGACAATATGAAAGGACTTGCTAGCTAATCAGCTGTGTTCCTTTATTAGTCCTACAAATGTTAAATCCTTGAAGGTTATTTTTGTAAAGATATCTTTATTAAATTCAAAATGTTCAACTTTTTCTTGAAAACTCTGATGTTAGGTTCCTTGTTTTTCATTGTATATGGACTTCTCACAAAAGTCTCTAGAGCTTCTGTGCCAAATAACAATTATTATTACCTTACCTAGTAGTATACACATATTGCCTACACATGTAACATGGTATTTTTGTTATTCAATACATAATGGTTAATGATAAAGGTTTTAATAATAGTTTGAAAACCATGATCAAATTTCATAAATTAAAATTTAATAATGGGCCGGGAGCAGCGGCTCACGCCTGTAATCCTAGCACTTTGGGAGGCTGAGGTGGGTGGATCACTTGATGTCAGGAGTTCAAGACCAGCCTGGCCAACATGGTGAAAACACGTCTCTACTAAAAATACAAAAATTAGCTGAGCATGGTGGTGCACACCTGTAGTCCCAGCTCCTGGGAGGCTGAGGCAAGAGAATGGCTTGAACCCAGGAGGTGGAGGTTGCAGTGAGCCAAGATTGCACCACCGCACTCCAGTCTGGGTAACAGAGTGAGACTCAGTTTCAAAAAATAAAAAAAAAATTAATAATAGTTTGCACATAATTTAGATATGAAAAGCATTTCACATACTAAATTAGTGTAAACCCATATAATTATCACAATCATGAGTGTTTTGTTTGAAAATTATGGATTTAAAATAAATATTACTGTATTTACTATGCTAAAAACAATGTTATTGCATCAATGTAGAAATGATAAACATTACATATACTTTAGAATAAGGATAGAATACACCTTGTGCATCCATAAATTACAAGTCCCCTAATGGTCCTTTTAAAGTACAAATAAAGCCTTATTTTCATATCTTATACATATATCTTAACAGAAAAATTCTCATGATGGTGTATTCTTTGAAGAGTCTGACCTCTCATATGAGAGCCTTCATAAAATTAAGAGTTTTAGGTATCTAACTTAAAGGTTTAGTTTTAAAATAGGCTTACAGTCCCCTTCTTCATCCTGGTTCCCCTCCCTGATCCCCAGGGCACTTCCCTGATCCCCAGGGCCATTATGGCACAGCACCCAGTATTCATGGCCCAAGGAAGCCATGCCCATTGCAGACACCAAAAATAGCATTGATTTGCTAGAGCTGTCCACAAGAATAAAGGATGCCCAAAGGCAGCTAGAAGAAAGTGAGTCCTGCTGGAGGCCTTAGTCAGCTTTCTTCTCCTCTAATAAGAAATAAGCCCTTAGGAGAAAGAGTAAAGCATGCTTTTCCACCTTTTACACATTAATGACTTTCTCTCTTGCAAATGGGGGACTGAAAATGTATAGCACACAGTCTATATTGTCCTTAACATTTCTCATGATGATTTGCAAGATGTCGCCAGGTTTCTTCAATAATGGCCTTCTTCAAGAGGAACTCTCCATTATTACATGTGTCCACTTGGGAAAGATGAAAACAAGCATAATAAAACCATTTTAATGAATGGGAGAGGAGGCATGGTGGTTAATTTTTAAATCTCTAATATTTTTTTCTTTATGTCCCAGGGATGGATTTTACTCTAAAAGTGAATACTTAATGTCAATACAGAGAGACATCAGTTCGTGAAGCTGAACTGTCTGATTGAACTTCTATCCATTTCCAGCATAAATATCAAAGTATAAACTGATCACTACTTGTTTGCAATGGGAAGAAAGATTTACAGAAAAAAAAAAAAAAAAAAGCATTGATGTATCTTCAGTGGAGAATGTTTAGCCAGCATGTAGTTTGTCTAGTCCAGCATTCAGGAGCTTCTGCCTGCCTGGTTTCTTGGGAGTTCTTTTCATTCTTCTCCAGCTGGGGGAGGTGGCTCGCACAGCTTGTACAGCCTAGAAAAGGCATGGTAAAGTTTGACAGTGACTTAGTGTATTACCATTACATGAGGTGTCTTTATTGGTAGAACAAATACATTGATGATAATTTCTTGTTTCGTGAGTCATGATCGGATTGTCTATTTCACTAAAAATAACATATGAATTGGCAAACTCCAAAAATTAGATTCTATGATTTAGAAAACACCAGTGCCCCTCTGCATAGCTTGATGGCTGTGGATGAAGCAATCCTGAATTTTTTAAACCTGCTGCTTTTTCTCCAGTGCCAACCGCCCAGGCTGTTCACCACACTTGTGGTAAAACCTACTCTCTGGATTCCAGGAAATGATATTATTACGATAATTACCATCATGTCTATCATGATTATTTTGTAGCAAGATGGCACCTATCTCATAGGGGTCTACTGATTTTCTGACTTGTTTTAGAAATGTGCTTCATTTTGTACTATCCCCAGAGTGCAGGCAGTTGGCTGTGGATAGGCTGACATGGCAAGATTCCTGAGACCTAAATCTCAAAGGCACAATTGGCTAGAGTTTCCTAAGGATAAATTACCCAGCTCTGCCCAGGGCCCACTCACCCGACTGTGGGCTCTCCAAGTGGGTCAAGGATCCACTTAAACCATGGAGATGCCTGGAAATGCTTCCCATTGCAGCCCAGGTCTAGTTGTTCAAGACTATACAGCATTCAAGGAAAACTCAGGGGGTTTAACTACAGTCACACAAGTTCTGGTGCTCCACATTCTCCTCAGTGGTTAAATGATAACAGCAGAACCAAAGTAAAAGGGAACATAATAGCTGCTTGATAGCCCTAGTGATCTCAAGGCCATATGCATTACTTACAGCATATCCTGAGAGATTGATTGGCTGAACTAAAATGCTGGATTGGACTATGCCTGTTCTCTAAACAGCACCCATGGCCACACTGGTCCCACTGCAGAGCTTGGACTAATGATGTCAAAATATAAGCTGCAGATTTCCACATGGCATCTTTTCATAAAAGCACTACAACCCAGGACTAGCTGTGGTGATTCAATCCCTTTTACCGACTAAATTGAAAACAGCTTCAATGTTGTTGATCAATTTAGCAAATTATAAATTTCCTCTCCCTTTGACATTTAATCCCATGCTAATTATAGATCAAAGGAGAAGAATGAGCAAGATTTAATATTGAGTTATAACTCCTGGTTAACAAAATGAGCTTTCCTAGTATGAGAACACGTAGAAGAAGCTATTGACTTTGGAGGTTTGCAAAACGTATTTCAAGTCCGGAAGGTGGTTGATGCACTACATGTTATCTCCATGCAAGAGGCGAATACTGAAATAAAGACATCTCACATCAGAAGAAGCTTATTTCATCCTTCCCAGAGAAAAGAATACATTCAATTGACCCGATGTACTTCAAAGGTTCTTTTGCAGCTGAAGAATATGGTGTTACTTCAAATTGCATTCCCAGGGCTGGGATAATGAAAGAATAAGGAGGCTCTTTTTCTTCTTAATTTCCTTCCTCTTATTTCCCTGACAGTGCTGCCTAATGATTGAAAAGGCACAATGGGCTTAGTCACGTAGGACAGGAATGGGAAGATGGGTGGCGAATGTCCTGCCCCATGAGATCTGGGCTGAGCCATCACATTCCATTACCTTGCTCAGCACGTTTCCACATAATGTAACTAATAGCACTGGGTAGACGAGTCTTTGAAATGTCTGCCTTGCAAATTGAAGAAAAGGCTACTCCCTGTGATCACCTAATGAAATAGTAGCTCTGGGTATTGTGGAACTGGGCAGATTCAGCTTCTGTGAGGCTTCTTGGAAGTGACTCAGGGTTATTTGAGTTCAAACACATTTGTAATGGAAATTGCAGAGCTTTGGGAATTCAGAACAGGCAGATGAAATTTCTAAGTGAAATGTAATAGATAAGAGTTGGACTCTCATCCTGCACTGAAGCATTTATTTTTTGGCAGATAAATTGTTGGGCAGAGTGAGGCCTTGGTCTGCCCATCATTTGGGGCCCTTTTGTATACTCATTCCACTCACATCAGTGGCCCTGCACGAAAAAGGTTTGGTTTTGGCCTTCTTTCTCCTATTCTTGTTTGAGCTTAGGTAGCCCAAATTTCCTGACCAAATGCAAATCTGCCAAGAGCAGAACTTTCCAACTTCATGCTATAGATGGTGCCTTTCACCTTTCTACACAGCAACAATAAAAGTTATGTGAAAGGAGACCACAAAGTAAACGCCTCTTTCAAGGTTAAAGCATCAATCATACTCTGTCCCAAGGCAATTCTCCCCATCTCACAAATGAGAAAACTGAGTCTCAGACAGGAAAAAACTCCTGACTAAATAAGGTCACATAGCCATTTTTTTCTTTCTTTTTTTTTTTTTTTTTTTTTTTAAAGAGACAAGGTCTCACTCTGTCTCCCAGGCTGGAGTGCAGTGGTACAACCATAGCTCACTGCAGCCTCAACCTCCTAGGCTCAAGCTATCCTTCCATCTGTCTCCTGAGTAGGTGGGACCACAGGCTGACAGCCCGGCTTATTTATTTATTTATTTATTTATTTATTTATTTATTTAGAGACGGAGTCTCGCTCTGTCGTCCAGGCTGGAGTGCAGTGGCGCAGTCTCGGCTCACTGCAACCTCCACCTCCTGGGTTCAGGAGATTCTCCTGTCTCAGCCTCCCGAGTAGCTGGGACTACAGGAGCATGCCACCATGCCCAGCTAATTTTTTTTTTATATTTTTAGTAGAGATGGGGTTTCACCATGTTAGCCAGGATGGTCTTGATCTCCTGACCGCATGATCCGCCTGCCTCGGCCTCCCAAAGTGCTGGGATTGCAGGCGTGAGCCTATGCACCCGGCCATTTTTTATTTTTTATTTTATGTAAAGACAGGGTCTTGCTTTGTTGCCCAGGCTGGTCTTGAACTCCCAGTATCAAGCAATCCTCTCACCTCAGCCTCCCAAAGTGCAGGGATTACACATATGAGCCACCATGCTCGGCCAATTTTTTTCACTTTTAACCACCATAGAATGCCCCCTCCTGGTTAAGCAACTAAAGAAAATCAGGTTTTCATAGCACAAGAGTTCCAGATTTTGTGACATAACAAAAACTTTATTTTGTGAATAAAGCCAGTGTGCTGGATGTGCAATCCGACATCTGGAATGTAATATTTGGTTCCTGAGGAAGAGGGGCTTATTGCCCTGAAGAGCCAATGTATGAAACTGGGAGGGGGAAGGTCCTTTGTACTCCCTCCTCACATACCCATTCTATCCTATCACAATACCCATTCACTTGATTCTCTAAATTTATTTTGTCTTTGTATTCTACTAGGCTGCAAGCTCTTTGTGTGCATGAAGCATTTCTCATCCATCTTAATACCCCAATGCCAAAAGCAGTTCTGGACACATCTTTTAGACACAGATTGCTAAAGGGGAGAATGCAAAATGCACTGGAGCCAAGGGTGTCCAAGAAACATCCCTCCCCAGAGCAGGCTTTACCTACCTCAGAATTATTAAACTCTGATACTCTGCTTTCTAGCTTTCTGATTTCCTAAATTATTATATTCACTCTCCCAGTAGTGTGACTATGGCTGATTGCTCCTTTTTGAATGCCAGAACAACCATCTCCAGTCCATAGCTCACTTTAGATTCTGTAGCCCCGCTTCCTCTGCTTTCTCTTCAGTGCTGACATCCCCTGAGGGTGTCCTGACCTCCTCTCATCTCTCTTACCCATACATTGTGGTAACGAAATTGATTTCTGTGTCTTCACCTACCTCCTAAATATCGAAGACTCATAGGACTATAGTGCCACCTATTCTTTTCTCCTTGGCTTTTGACCAGTGTATTCCACTGTCCACAATGTCCTCTCCAGGGATGAGGATTGATGCTCAATCTCAGTACTACCAAGCTGAGCTCCCCATCTCCTCCCTGTGCGTGTGCTTCCCTTCTGCACCCACTGTCTCAGAGGAAAGAACCACCAGCACCTCATTATCCAAGCCAAAGATTTGGTGGTCATCCTAGAATCTTCCTTTTCCCTAAACTCCTTTATCCAATTCGTGTCCAAAGACTATTGATTCTGTCTTCTAAACATCTCTCTAACCCATCCTCTCATCTTGGCCTCAATACTACCATAATTTTTTTTAAGCTCCTGCTTCAGTCTTAGCTGTCCTCAAATGGGCCATCCTGATGTTGCCAGAGATAAATTCTAAAATTCAAATCATCCAGATAAGAAGATTGCTTATGCATGCCTCCCTATTGTCTTCAAGTTAAAATCAAAACTCTTCTGTACTCCTACAAGTCTCTCTGATCTGGCTCTGCCTATATCTCCAGTCTCACTTCACATCATACTTGAATCACATTCAACCACCAGTCATTGAGGTCTAGGCATAGTTCTCAAAACATCACTTCTTCTGTGGTCCTTGGTACTATTGCATCCCCAGTATGGGACATGCATTACAATGCTGACAGGCCCAGGAGTATTCTGTGACCTCTTCTCTCTGTCCTTAGGCTGCATTATGTCCCTTCTCTGTGTTCTCATGACAATCTATGCCTATTTCCATCACACACTGTGTACTATTTTCATTCTATTCCATTGTTACTCTACTACACTTCAACAACTGGTGGAGGACACTATGTCTTTAGTCCTCTAGCTTTTAGCAAGGGGCCTGACACCTATAGACACACAGCAGAAATTCAATATATATTGCTCTGAGTAAATTTTTTAAAACATCAAGAGGATGGTAAGAGGAAAACTCTGATAAGGATGGGTTGAGGATTTGAATCAAATAGTATCTCAGACAGAGATAGCAAACTTCAGCTCCATGAAGATGTTTCCAGAAATATTATCCCAGCTTTGCTCATGGATGGCCTTACCTTGACTGCCAAATGTGTTCTTCAACTCACTGTCTTTGGGGCTGGAGTCCAGGTTCTCAGCTGGGAGAGATCCCAGCCCCTCTGTGCTCCTTGGCATTCTCTCTGCACCTCCACAGGGTGATTCCTGTTTTCTACCTTTCCTTGTAATTATGCCTTCTTCACCTCATCTTTTTAATTGAAAACTGTGTGAAGGCCAGGGCTATTTCTAATTCAGGTTTATACTCTCCTTGGGGCATAGCAGAGTGCTTTGCCTTTCTGAGGTCCTCAATAAATATTTGCAGAATGAATGAAAGAATAAATAAAATAAATTTTAAAAATTACTCTTGCTTTCTCTCTCAGGCCTATTACTCCCTTGTAGATAATGTCAACTTTATGGCTGGCTCATTTTATTGCGTTTCGTTTCGAGTGTTTTTAACATCACCCAATAAAGAAAAAAAAAGCAAATTCATTGGTTTCTTTTCTTGTGTTCAGCTTGCACACTGGTTTATTGATCAGGGTGCTGAAGTCTGATCCCCACCCCACTGTTTATTAGTGTTTATAGGTCTAGCTAAGAACACCTTGCTGAGCCATGGTCTTGTTTTCTTATTGGAATTTTAACACTTCACTGTGTCTATTATCCAAATATACCATGCTTCCCAAGGTGCTGGATGGAGAATGCGTATGTAAAAATAATCCTTTAGCAATATAAAGCCTTAGATTCTAACCTAATCAACTGTGAAAGACGACATTAACAAAACTTCAGGATTAAATAGAGTTAGGAGTCAGCACTAAAAATAAGTGCAATTAGAACATGAGTGCTCCAACCATTTTCAGGGGGAAAGTTTGTTTTCCCTTTGAAAGCACTTTCACTACCCACATGGTTTTTCAGAATGAAATATTACTTCACAAATGCTGCAGCCATCATTCCCACTCTGGTAACTGCTCTGTGAAGAGAAATAGTGTTTTGTCTGTGGCAGTGTTTGGAAGAACCTATTTTTTGTTAAAATACAAATGTGTAAAAGCAATCAAATGTAAAAGAAATTATTTAGCTTTTCCCCCCTTCAAGATAGATGGTTGCCTACCCTCATCACCATGGAAATCAAAACCAGAGCATTTCTCTGATGGCTATTATTTATGTTCATTTATTTTAAAGTCAATGGGAGTCCTTTCTTATGATGCTGTGTGAACTGTAAATATTTGAGATAACAAACAAAAAAATCATTCATTTCTTCATTCAGACATTCTTGAAATCTGTTCAGATATTTGATGTTTACTATGATGAGTAATAAATAAAATCCAAAGAAATATGTCTGCCTCCAGAAAACTCATATTCAGGTTGGGCAAAGGAACATGTGACAATATATTGCAACAAGATATGATAAAGTTTATCATAGGTCAATATGACAAGATGCTAAGGGAGTACAGAGAGGAAGGAAACTCAAGCAAGACTCCAAGGAGAAAATGACATCTAAGCTAGGTTTTGCAGTGAAATAGGAGTTTCCCATACAAACACATATGGGAAAGGCAATCATGCTAGAAGGAACAGCATGTACAGTCACAGAAGTATAAATGAAAATGGGATTTTGGTTGTTTGTCACAGCTGGATTTCAAATTTTAGTAGTGCCTGTGTGAGCTTTTCTTTTTGAATTCATGATAGAACTTGCAAAATAGAATAATATCCATTTATTTCTGAGAGCATTTATGTGTAATCACACTTAGCCATTGGGTGTTTCAAGGGCAATCTCCGTAATTACAATCAGTACGACACGGGGCACATCCTAGATCAGTTGCATTAGCGGAGGGACACTGCCGGGGAAAATGCTGGCAAATCTTTCGGGCAAGGGCAGAGCAGGGGATGCACTTACCTTGGTGCAGACTGTGGAGTCCGGTCTCTGACTCCCAAATTCTTCGCTGTGTTCTGAACTCTTGCTCCCTGAAAGTCAGGAAAATCACTTTTATCCCTACAGTGTGTTAGTAATAATTTAACATACCATTAACATTTGTGTGTAGGATACTTATTCAAACAATGTCTTTAACATCAAGGGAGATTAGCTAAGAGAAAGACAGACATCGCTGTCTGAGCATTTTCAAAATCAATGCTTTTAATAAAAATGTGCTGTTATGTTGCTTTGTCTTTATTCCTAGAAGCGATCAATACTTCAGATGTTGAAAACAGGCCAGGCACAGTGGCTCATGCCTGTAATTCCAGTACTTTGAGGGGCCAACGTGGAAGGGTTACTAAAGCCTGGGAGTTCAAGACCAGCCTGGGAAACATAGTGAGACTGTCTCTACAAAAAATAGAAAAATTAGCCTGGCATGGTGGCACGCAATTGTGGTCCCAGCTACTCGAAAGGCTAAAGTGGGAGGATTGTTTGAGGCTAGGAGGTTGAGGCTGCAGTGAGCCATATTTGTGCCACTGCACTCCAGCCTGGGAGACAGAATGAGACCCTCTCTCACAAAAAAAGAAAAATAATAAAAATAAATAAAAATTTTAAAAAGATGTTGAAAATAGTAAATGAGCAGACTATAAATACCTGCTCTGTGTTACCACTTTTCTGGAACAGAAATCACAGTTTTATCACACCTGTGCACTTGTTTTTCTCTTACGTGAATCATTAAGTTTACTAGTATTTAGCAAAAAAATATTTTCTTAACTAATTCTAAAGCAATTTTTGGACAAGCTATGTCCATGTGGATCTATGAAATCTAGTAATTCTGCCTCAGAGTTTATAATAAAATCTACTTTGGCAATGAAAAATTCTTCACAGTCTGTCAAGTTCATGAATGAAGTTATAATCACTTTAGTTCCTCATGAAAATTACTTACTACATAGGACCAAAGACCAGAGTTTGGGGTTTGGAAAAGGTTAAGGAGAGTTGTTCAAAAACTCTGAAACTCTCTCTCCAGCTACTACATTCTGAACTAAGGAAAGAAACAAGATAAAAAGAAGGAAAAAAAGGACGTAAAATAGGAAAACAAAAAGGGAAGGGGGTGTGGCATCAAAAAGAAAGGTGGGAAGAAATTTAGGAATTGCAATTAAGGACTTAAGAAAAACTATTTTGGCTAATCCAAAAGCAGTTATCTCAATTGACTGTTCATAGGCAGTTACAGATCAATTGAACTCATTATTCTGCTCTTTCCCCACTTTTCACCACTGCACTTAACCAGTCTTTAAAAACAAAAACAAAAACAAAACAAACAAAGAAAACTTTTTATTTTGAAGTAATTTTACAGTTAGAGGAAAATACAGACAGAACTGAGACTTCACATACTCCATGTGGCTTCCCCTAACGTTAACCCTTCACTTAACCACAGTGTGATTACTAAAACCAAGAATTAACATTGGTACAATATTATTAACTAAACTGCGCATCTTGTTCAAATTTCTCCATTTTCTCCCACTAAGGTTTCTTTTCTGTTCCAAGATCCAACCTAGGATCCCATATTGCCTTTCGCTTACCTGTCTCCTCACTCCCCTCCAATCTGTGACAGTTCCTGAGGTCCTTCCTGCCATTCATGACCTTAACACTCTTGATAAGTATTGGTCATTACTTTGCAGAATGTCTCAGTTTGGGTGTGTCTGATGTTTGCTCACGATTAGATTCAGGAAATGCATTTTGGGCAAGAAAATCACAGAAGTGATGTCATGCCCTTCTCAGTGCATCCTATCAGGGGATACAGGATATTGGCATATCTTATCACTGCTGACATTAACTTTGATCACTCTGGTGTCTGCCAGATTTTGGAACTGTAAAGTTACTCATTGCTTTTTTTTTTTTTTTGGTAGTTAATAAATATATTTAGGGACATACTATGAGACTATGCAATATCCTGTTTCTCTTCAAACTTTCACTCACTGATTTTAGCCTCTGTTGGTGTATCTTGTCTACAACAATAATATTGTTTTGTTTATGGACTGGAATTCTGTTAAAAAGAGTAATCTCTTCTCCCCAAATTATTTATTTATTCAAGTATATATTTAAATCAGTGTGGACTCATAATTATTTTATTCCATGAGCTATAATCTAATACTTATATACATTTTTTTTTTTTTTTTGCTAAAATTGTTTCAGTTTTGGCCACTGGGAGCTCTTTCTGGTTGTTTCTTGTGCCTTTTTAATATGCTGCCATCATTGTTTAGTACTCCTTTATTTTCTGGCACCTCAAGATGTTCCAGACTTGTCTTCCTTTTCTCGTCTGGTAATTTACCAATTCTCCAAGGGGCCCTGGCTATTTTTATTGGAGAATGGTATTTAGAAGCCAGGATTTGGACACTGAGTGTGCTCTTTACTACTGGGAGAATAACTGCAACTAGGCCTTTCCAGCAGGCAGGGCTAATTTACAAATACAAACATACTCATACATCTATATTCATTTCTACATCTATCCATATTTGTATGTGTCTGTGTGTGTGTTTATCAGTTCATACTGATACATGTGATTTCAATCCAGTAGCATAGGGTTCATTCCAGATTCCAGCCTTCTTCCTTTCCTTATTTGTAACTTTTTTCTCAGACAGTGAGAAATCAGCCTCTCGTTATTTACAATATCTTATTTGTTCATTCTTAGTAACACATAAATTAGTTTTAGAATTCCCAAATCATACCCTATGAAAAATAGATTTACTAACTAGTGTGACGTATTTGTGTACAATGCTTTTTGTCTATAGTCTTATAATATTTCCATTAAGTAATTCCATTAAGAAAAATGTTTGCTTTCTTAAAAGGTTTCAAATAAAACTGATGCCTGTCATGCTGAAGACATCTATTGGCACATTTCACTTTAAATTCATCTATATTGTTCATAAACTCAACACTCCAGCTACTTGCATTTTTACACTCTGGCTTATATTGCCATTGCTCCCTCTACTTAAATACTCTTCCTGCCCCCTTCCCTTCCTGTCTGCATCATATTTATCTTCCAAGTTCCAAATCAAATATCATCTTAGTTAATAATTGATTGGTCACTCACCATATCAGGTACTGTTTTAAGTGCATTAAGTATATTTACTTACTTAATCCTCACAACAACACTATGAAACAAGTACTATTATTATCCTTGTTTTAATACTGAGGAAACTAAGTACCAAAGAGGCTAAGAATATTTCCCTGAATCACCCAGATAGCCAACACTGAAGTTGGGACTCAAACTGTGGCTGCTTGGCTCAAGAGTCTGTTCTCTTTTATTCACAATAGCAAAGTCATGGAATCAACCTAAGTGCCCATCAACAGTGGGCTGGATAAAAAACATGTGGTACATATACACCATGGAATATTATATGCCATAAAAAGGATAAAATCATGTTCTTTGCAGCAGCCTGAATGCAGCTGGAGGCCGTTATCCTAAGTGAATTAACACTTGAATAGAAAATCAAATATTGCATGCTCTCACTTTTAAGTGGGGACGAAACAATGAGTACACATGGACATAAAGATGGAAACAACAGATACTGCGGACTCCAAAAGGGGAGAGGAAGGAAGGGGGATAGGATTAAAAAATTACCTATTGGGTATTATGTTTACTGTTTGGGTGATGGGTTCAATGGAAGCCCAAACCCCAGCATTATGCAACGTATCCATGTAACAAACCTGCACACGTACCCCTTAAATCTAAAACAAAACAAAAACTTGTTCTGTGCTTTTAATCGCTATCATAAATTCATCTTCTGCATGAAGCCCTTCGCCAGCTATCCTAGTTAGAATGACATCATTGAACAAGTATCTTTTGGCATTTACTTTGTACTAGGTACTATTTTGGGAAACTGTGATACAAAAATGAGTAAGACTTATCCCAGCCAGGGAGGGGCTCAGTCTACTCATTTGCTCCCTGTTCTGAGTCTTGATACACTGAGGTTGGTTACCCTGGAGAAACTTGCTTGCTTGTGCCCGTGGCATGGTGATTTTCCTTTGGATGTGTCCACCATGAGATAAGGCAAGGAGCATGTCAACCTCATGTCTTTGTTCTTTGTGTCCAGTGTGATGCTTTGATACTGAAGGTAAGGGGTCAGGGTACTTTGGAATCCCAGTTTTTATTAAAAAGGTTGAGAAGACATTTCTTTCTAGGCTGCCAACAAAGAACACTAGGAATATATAATTATGGCATAGAAAACTTTAAATTTATAATGTAAATGACAGTTTCTACTGCAAGCCTTTTATTAATCAAATCAGCTGGTTACATAAAGTGCTGCCCAAGGTTGTTACAATCATTAGCAAAACATCATGAAAACATAGTACCCTTCTCTTCTGTCTTTTATCTTTCCTTCAAACTCAAGCAGTGAATTAAAATAACAACTGTATGAAAAGTATATACACAAAATCTGCAGAGGAAAACAATATTGAAATTATAAATAAGAACAATAAATCATGCCAAAAAGTTTCTTATTCCCAAAAAAATTAAAAAATCTTAGTTTTTTCATTATATTATTCATTTATATATTATAAAACTTTAATAGTAAATATTATTCTCTAATATATCATAATACAAATTCGATAATGCAATAATGCAAATACTTCAATATATACTGAAGATGACAAATATCTAACCACTTGGTCTCTAAAAAGCTGAGTCTAAATGGTTAAGTAATTGTCCCTGAGGCTGAAAGGTAAAAAGGAGAGAAAACCCAGGCTAGACCTTTGATTCAGACTTGCATTCTAACTGCTCAAATCATAGGTAGGTAAGAGTTGGCTTGTGGATCGGCCCTCAGCCACAAATCTCACTGTCTGCTACTGCTGAATACTGGAAGGAGAATCCGCGACAGGGGACTGTTGAAGAAATCTCTGGGGCCACCAGTCTGCCCAGTTTCCTTAAAGAGGGTCCCAGGCTCTATGATCTTTCACAAAGAAGTTAAACCTTATTTCTTTGCCTCTCATAGCCATTGGGACGTCACAACTTGGGGCAGAGGAACAAATAACAAAGGAAGAAAGCTACCTATTCCAAATGTATTCATTTTTTAAAAAAATTCGGGGGAAGAACAAGTGATATATACTGACAAAATAGTGCAGTTTATATACCAACAGGAATTTTATAAGGAACCCATGACTTTTGAGTTTTAAAATTATACTATACTTACATAATACACATCAATATAGTAATACTATATAAATATAATTTACATTGTATTTTAAAGAGCTTTACACCAGTTAAGTGAGTCATCGGGGCCTGCATAATATCAATATTACTTTTTCTCTATTTTCTCTATTTCCACTTTTAGTTTTAAGAAGTTAACGTATTTGATATAATTATGACTATTCAAATCTATACAGTAGAAATGGATATGTCACCAACTCATAACTACCTCCTTAGTGGAATATTCTAAAAGAAAGTAAATTCCAGTCTCTTTTGCTTGTTATAAGCTATAATTTTGAGATGGCGCTTCCCAAGTCTTCCTACAAACCTACTCTAATAAGCAACATAATCAAACAGAAAGGCAATTAATTTCTTTCTGTATTTCTTAGCAACCTAAATCTCAACTCTGATATGGATAATCATAAGTTTACCTGGATCTACTTTTTAAAACATAATTTGTATATATATCCAAAAAGTCCTTCCTAAACCTGCTGGCAAATCACATCTGTGTTTACCCTTTCCAGCTGGCCCACAGTATGTCACATGCTTCTTAGCTCTAAACTTTACTTAACAAATCTCTCTTGGACCTTCTAAGATCTTGGTTTTCAATCTTCAGCTCCTGAGCCCTAACCAGAAGTACCAATGTATATGCTCTCTCTGTGCCTGATCTTCGCATTGCAGACACCAGCTTGATGTTGGCCTCTTCATTTGACTTTTTCATGGGCTTTGTTGGCATTCTGCAATGCAGTCTTGGGAGCAAGCCCAGAGGGATTTATACGTTTGCCTGCGAGTTAGATACTAAGCTTCCAATAAACAAAGTAGTCATAATTACAAAGCATATCTTAAAAATTAAATCACTCACTGTCACTGGGCAACTCAAACCAAGTCAGCAAGTAGAGAAATTTGTTAAATCAATTTCTTGTGGTAGCCCAAAGAAAAGGTGGTAGAATAAAATATAAAATTTGTCTTTTGATTTCTTTTGTCTTTCTGTGGGTTAAGTATCTTTTCTGCTAGATTAAGCACATTTTTGTAATTAGTAAATTGGAGCTTAGTGCATTTTTTAAAATAACTTTAAGGGGTAAAAACTAAACCGCCACACTTAGAATACTATTGGGCTACTGTATAGAATAAAGTTCATTCTATTTATAAGAGAGTATATTCTCGCCTATAAGTACTCCAGTGACCCGAAGACAGTCCAAAGACTGCTATTTATCCCCTAAAGGAAAATTTGAGGTAAGTGCTTTATCCTCAGAAAAATGTACACACTGAGTATGGCATGAATGTCCCTTGGCAGTCACCAGGAACCAGCAGGACCCTCAATTCTTTCCTCTTCTTCCTTGCTGCTGTGCCTCTCCGTCCCAAGCTTTACCACTAACAATTGCCAAAAAATGCCATATGTCCTTTTACTTGTTCCTTACATAAACGCCAAATTCACTGCTGCCTTATTCCACTTAATCAAGTCCCTTTCTGCCTGCAGATTACTCCGTAGACTTCCCTTTTTCCAGAGTTGTCTAAGATTCTTGCAGAACCTCAGACTGGTGCCTGCAGCATCTTCTCCCTGGGAGCATTTCTCATTCATGAGTTACCTCTGAGCCTAGTAAACTGTCCATCACATCCAGGCACCTGTCAAACCCCTGATAAATGAACAAAGGAATCTTCAAGTCCAGGGCCTACAAAACAACTATTCCCAAGTCTGCATGAGACCTACCTGCTTCCGCATCACATCTGTAGCCTGCATGATGTAACGAGGTGGCAGTCCGTGGCTTCTGGCCAGAATGATGGCTTGCTCCAGCGTCACGCTCAGGGTGCACCTGTGGGCCAAGGCAAGGGCAAGTCAGACCCCATGGTTCCTGATACACCCTTTGAGATGATGTGGATTACTAATCACAAAATCAGAAAGCACCAGCCAAAATAAAAGCAGCTAGACAATGAACCGCTGATTTTTCTACATAAAATACCAGTTTAAAAATAGATTATAAAGGTACATTACTGGGGTCAGAAATTAAGTATTTAAATTTAAAACAATCCCATGATGAACTGTTTATAAGAGCACTTATCTACAGAAAATTAAATAACCAGAATTAGAACAAGTTTTATTACTAAATATTATTCTTTAATGATATTTCATGTAATTTAGAAGAAATGACTAAAGAATATTTATCATTAACTTCTACATATTGATAGTTAATAGATTTATACTGATTTGTGCACAAATATAGCAGAAGAATAAATGGTGAAATTACTATTTACTGAGGTCAGAATTGATTTTTTAAAATGTGTTTATTGGACTCAATCTAAAAGAGTATTTGTAAAAGTTCCAAAAGGAACTCATAACTGGTTATATAGAAATGTGATACCCAGAGTAGCCCTGAGAAAAGTGTTCTAACCAGCATTTAGTGACTGGTGAGCCTTTGTTCTTTTCCTTCTCTCTCTCTCTCTCATTTTTTTTTTTTTTTTTGTTTTTTTGAGATGGAGTCTTGCTCTGTTGCCAGGCTGGAGTGCAGTGGCGCATCCTCAGCTCACTGCAACCTCTGCCTCCCAGGTTCAAGCAATTCTCCTGCCTCAGTCTCCCAAGTAGCAGTAGCTGGGATTACAGGTGCATGCCACCACACCCAGCTAATTTTTGTATTTTTAGTAGATATGGGGTTTCACCATGTTGGCCAGGATGGTCTCAATCTCCTGACCTCGTGATCCACCAGTCTTGGCCTCCCAAGTGCTGGGATTACACTGTGCCCGGCTGTTCTTTTCCTTTTCTTTAAGGCATTCTTTTATGTTCTTCCACATTGATCTCTACAGTACCCCTGAAAGCCTATGTTTATTTGTTAACATTTTCAGGTGCTGGTCTCTGAATTGTTCTTTTAAAAGTTCTTTTGCATGCACTAAAAAGAACATTAAAAAAATGTTCTTTTGCATACATTTCATAAAAATTGTCAATTTTAGATGCTTCTCCTAAAATTGTATTAATGGATTTTGTTTTGTTTTTTCCAACATATTTGTATTTTAATTAGCCTTTTCCTTATTTTGCATTTACCTCCCTGTAGTTTGTTGTTGATTTGTGTATTTTCCTAGATCTGTCTAGTATTTTTCCCTGCAAATAAAAGTAAGTTCTACAATGCAATTGTTCCTATGGGAGAAAAATCTAACTCATTAGCTATGTGGCTGTAACACAGAAGTTCTTGGTTATGAGGCTCTAACACAGAAGTCCAATGCATTTGGTAGGTTTTGATACTGATAATTAAGAAAAAGAGGAGAGAGGGATTTAAAACATTCTTGTTGTAATATTAGAACCTCACAAAGTGCAACTGTGTGATTACATATAACTGCATTCTAAGGAGAAATATGTAAGTTCCACTGGCTGTTAAATGACTTGAGAGGCAGCTTTCTCATTACAGAGAATTCATTATTATTATTAACACATGTTCAAGTTTCATCATTAAGTTCTAGTTGTACATGATGTTCACAAACTTTTAGTGTGTGAGTCCGATAACAATGCATATTGTCTTACATGTACATGCAAGCTGCAGAACAGCCTATGCCAATGAAGGCCAAGCAGTAATAACTAATAGTTCATGTTTAAAAAATCAGTTTTCAGCCGGGCACGGTGGCTCACGCCTGTAATCCCAGCATTTTGGGAGGCCGAGGCGGGCGGATCACAAGGTCAGAAGATTGAGACCATCCTGGTTAACACGGTGAAACCTCGTCTCTACTAAAAATAAAAAAAAAATCAGCCAGGTGGTGGTGGTGGGTGCCTGTAGTCCCAGCTACTTGGGAGGCTGAGGCAGGAGAAGGGCGTGAACTCAGGAGGCGGAGCTTGCAGTGAGCAGAGATCGCACCACTGCATTCAAGCCTGGGCGACAGCGAGACTCTGTCTCAAAAAAAAGAAAAAAAAAATCAGTTTTCTACAAAGCATTTAACTGCCAGCTTACTCAACAGACCATAACCTTTTTCTCCTCATTAAGGTCTCCTCCACTGCGATTTTAAATCTTTATTGATCCTAACATTTTAATCAATAATGTTCATTACACCAGCTGAATGAAGCCAAGGGGAGGAAAAAAAAAATCTTTATCTGTTTCTAATCATGCTGAAATATGTCTGTGCTTTACTGATAAAGCAGAACTTGCTTTATCTCTCGTGTACTCACTTATAAACAAGACTTACACACTGTGAAGGGTTTTTAACAGACAGCCTACAATTACTACTCATTTTCTTAATCCTTTTAAACTGATCTCTTTCTCCCTACCTCAAGTTGTAGTAAGCAGCAGTACAGCAGCAAATTACCCGCCAGAGATTTTAAAAGATTTTACTGCAATCAGGAAGCGAATGTGCCCAGGAACATGCTCTCTGAAAGGATACCTCCAAGTGTGATTTGCAACCAATCACACAATACCTAAGAGAAAAATCTACCTTCAAATGGATATGTGTATTTTCTTTCCCCAGCATTTCCAAAACAGATGGCTGCACCTTTATTTGTCTTTTCATGCTAACCATTATGTATCTTCCAATTAGGAATCAAAATTAATTTGAAATTTTAAAAAAGTAAAAAGTGTTAAAAAGAGGCAATCACATAAAGGTGGGAAATATTGCCTGTAATTTGATTCATGGTTGATGGGTCCAACCAAGGCCTTGTATTTCCACTCACAGCATCACAGAATTCTATTTTCCTAAACTAAGCATGCGAAAGAAAGCCTCTCAGGAATGCTGCCACTTTTCTGTCACTTTTATTTGCCCCATAGCTTTTCATCTTCTCCCAACTATCTCAATTTGAATGTCAAGTGGAAAAAATCAGCATCTGCAAGAAACATTCTGATGCTGGCATTCTCTGATGGACTCCAGGTCCAGGAAGGTGGCACACAGTTTTTCAGTGGTACATAAATATATACTCAGAGTCAGGTTTACGAGAGCTCATTTGATTTTACAGGCACTTTCTGATGACCAGAGAGATTGATATGCTAGCCCTGGGCAAAAGAAAGAAAGGAGCATATTAAAGGCCAGGAACCCTCATTCAATAGGAGGTTTCTCTTTTTTTGGAGATAGGGTCTCACTCTGTTGCCCAGGCTGGAATGCAGTGGCGCCATCCCAACTCGCTGCAGCTTCGACTTCCTGGGCTCAGGTGATCCTCCCTCCTCAGCCTTCCAAGTAGCTGGGACTACAGGAATACACCACCACATGCAGCCAACTTTTGTATTTTTTGTGGAGATGGGTTCTCACTATTTTGCCCAGGTTGTCTTGAACTCCTTGTCTCAAGCGATTCACCTGCTTCAGCCTCCCAAAGTACTGGAATTACAGGTGTGAGCCACCATGCCCAGCCCAATATGGAGTTTCTTACCTGATGCCCCAATCTTCTTTCTAACATGAACTCTGTTTTACAATTAAATTAAAATGTGAATAAATCTGTATTTTTACCCCACCTGGAAAATATAGGCCTTCAATTTTTCAGCTCCTTCTACTACAACATCACTTAAAAAATATTCACACAATTCTTTCCCTAGAAGCCACAAAATAACAAAATAAATGTCACAGAGTAGTATTTGTCCTTCATAAAAAGGCAATTGTAACATAGGCAATGAAGAAAATTTGTCCTTAATTTTAGTAATAAGACATTCCAAGTAATGGCTCTGCTTAGAGTATACATGTGAGGAAGCACACTTGATAAGGTAGCAAAGTTATACAGAAATGTTTAATTTCCCCATAGGAAGAAAAAGGAAAAGGTCAATATATCTGTGCTTATAATTAATAAATCTCCTTGACATATTTTGTACTGAGAATAGATCCCAAATCACTCAGATATTTAGCACAGTTTTAATATGATAAATGTAACCTGCAGCTAATGGGTCCCATTTAATTTGAAGGACACTTTGATTTGGCAATGCTAAGGAAGATGTATTAAAATATATTTTATTGCATGATTCTTTCTTTCATTTATTCTTTTGCCAAACATTTTTTGCCTGTCTACTTTGTACCTACAAATACCACAAGTTGCTGGCAGGAGTGGATTTACTGTGGAGCTACAAAAGCTTGAGTTTCAAGGCCCCTTACTTGTACGAATCCCTTTCCAGGTTCTGGGAGGGGCCTTAGCACTGTGTTCACATAGTCACATACCTTTACAAATGTGCAAAAGCAAAGTGTTTTAACTGCAAATGATATGGCTGCTGTCTTCTTTACATCCCAGCTTCCTTCTGTCATGTTGGGTAGCGTTCAATTCGCTGTGGTTATTTTTGAAACTGAGCTAAAGAAAGTTGAGTTGGGATGCAGTCAGGCTAGGTTTGCTGGGATGTATTTATTGGACAATAATTACTTTCATTTATGGCTGGGTTATTGTAGTATCCTGTGTAGAAATGGCATCCAGAGTATTCCTACTGCCCATTGTACACAGTCATCCAATGCTGGAAAAGAGGTGCAGGGCCAGAGGTCATGATGTAATACGTCCATATCCTGAGGCCCCCAGGATGGGAAATATATATGTTTTGGAGGACAAAAAGGTTGGAACTGTATACAGCCAGAAACTACTCTGTGGCATATTCTCTCAAATTTATGGTTCATATGCTAAAGAAACTTAGAGAAGTTTTTTCTTTTTTTGCATTTGACAGCAATTTAAAAATGTATAAGACATTAGTAATAACTCATTTTGATGTTGGAAAGCTTTGATAAACTCTTAATAATTTAAATTTGATCATCCATGCTAGAGAAGAGACAAAATAATTGTTCTATTCTCTCTATAGAAAATTATATTGCAAAGTTGTTATAATTTGAAGAGGCAAAGAGTATGTTACAAAAATTGTGGAGAAAAAATGTACAGAAGTGGGGCAGTTCATAAAGTAACAAAAATTATTGTTTTGTGGATTTTATAATGCTTGTGTTACTTATCAGATTTTAAACATTGCAATTTATTTTTCTTACATTCTGAATATTAACTTTCATTCCTATTTTGTTTTGTAATTTTCTAAATTCTTTCTGACTTTATTTTACTTAACTTCAGACCCCCAAGTCTCCATTACTCCAGTGTGTAGGAGATGCAACAGTGAACAAAGCCAAGTCCCATCTCTTTTGATGATCAAATTTTAGTGAGAGGACAAAGAAAATAAAGAAGCAGATGAATAATATCAGGTGGGAATGAATTACCCATAAAAATAAATGTTGTGGCAGATTAGAAAGTGGAATGGTACTAGCGAAGGGTGTAATGGCAGAAGGAGGTACTGTTTTGGGGAAGACCATTTCAAGGAGAGTTAAGTGCAAAGGCCCTGAGGTTAATGCTGGTTCAGTCTGCTCATGAACAAGTGTGGAGCTCAATATGCTGGTGCACACAGGGAGAAGGAGATGAGGGTGGAGAAACAGCCTGGGCTCAAACATGCAGAGCCTTGGGCATCAGAGTTTAGGAGTCAGTGGGTTTAGTTACTTCTCTGGTTGACATGAAACAATTTCTATATTTACATTACATGATATCAAAGAACAATTTGTTACGTAAATTACCAAAGTAATTTACTAAATACCCAACCATAACAGTTTATCAACACTGTATTCAAAGCATCTTCAGTTGCTTTCCAGTGGCAACATTTTCAAAGGCAAACTCTTCATCCTCTCCCACTTTCCACTTCCTTGTCCCAGTATCCTACTTACTCCCCACAACCCACAACTTCTTTACGCTTTCAGTCAGCATCTTAGTACCATTGTACAAACCCCTCCCCCAATCCCGTGTCCATTTTTACTCTGTCTTTCACTACTTTCAAACTATCTTGGAACCTCTTTCTGAATGCAAAATGGCAGCTGACAACAGAAGGGTTTGAAGACAATCTTATGGAGCTGTACCCAGGTTACTTCGACTCTCAGGCTGCATCTCCTCTGTGAATTGAGGAAAGCAGGTGTACTGACCTCATAAAGTGCAGCAAGAATGACCTGAAGTGATGAGTGTGATACCTGGCCATGGTAAGTCTGTGTAGAGGAGCCTCCTCTTTATGGGCAGTACATTATTTGGAAAAACTTATGGAACACAAGTAAATCCCAGTTTCTCAGATCTCATCATATTTCAACTATTTAAAAGGTTTATACTTTTATAGTCCTTTTTATTCTAAAGAGATGTTCATTAAAGTAAACCTGGAGTAAATTATGATGTTATAAGATTATAATAATTACATGAAGCTAAAGACAAATGTATGCCAATATTTGTTTTATAAACTGAGTTCAGTTAAAGTAGAGTCCACCTGACTATAATTTGGGCATTTGCTGATAACATTCTTTGTGATTGTTTTTTCAGGTGTTTGTCCCAGTTGATCTTAGATATCAGATCTTGAGTTTATTTTACACAGCAAACTGTAGAACTAAAGGAAGGTCAGGAAAAGCATGTGAACTGGTCTCCTCTTTCCCAACTGTATTTCTAGATGCCAGAGGTGTGTCTCTCGTCCCCTCCTCAACTAAGTCTCAGAAGAGAGACAAAGCTTCGTTTCCTAAATTGGCTTACATGCAAAATATTGTATTTCAACCATTTCTAACTTAGGTTCATTACACTATATTTAGTTCACTTTTTAAGATATCAGTTCTTACCTAAAGTGGATATTGTTTACATGTTAACCCTCCCCTTTAAGATGACTCAACATTTCTATAATAAATTAGATGGAAGAGTCTCCCGAAAACTACGGGCCTCCTACAGTTGGTCATTTACCATGATTGCAGACAAAAACAACCATTTTATTCTAAAATCACTTCTATATTTCAAAACCTCCAGAAGCCTACTACTGCCTCATTTAATATTGATTCAAACTGTACTGAGCAAGGAAGCCAATCTCTCAAGGACTGAAATGCATTTTATTGAGCACTTGGGGAGATGTAACACCCCTTTTGGGCCACAAGGGTGATTCAGTAACTCACAATGAAATGACATGGGAAACCAGAACAATTCGAGGTTTATGGTTCTGAGCTCTGTTTTCCTACTGTGGATTTATTTGCTAGCTCTCAGCATGCCCACTGTCAGGAACACTGATATTTTGCTTGGTAGCCAATCATTATATTGCTATTTCCTGAGGGCAACCCCAAACGTTTGTATTACTAGTAGAGGAGGGTTACTCAGACCCTAACACATTAAATAAAACACATGAAAATCTAGGGTGATGATCTCTGAATTTGTAGTCATGACAATTTGCCATAAATTGACATTATGTAGATGTTGCAGTAAAAAAATTTTTTAAAGTAATTACAAATGGGAAATGTAAACTTTAGTAGGGGATGCTTTTTATTTCCCCACATTTTTAAAATCGAGGGTGGGATTAAACATTAATTTGAAAACTTCTATAGTTCTCAATAATGCTACCTACAAAGGTACCACTAAAAATTATCCCTGAAAGAAAAATACACTGAAATCACTGAATTTAGGGATACACGTTTAGACTTTGAAAGTTACTTGAGCGGCAATTTTTAACTCTTTTGTACAGTAATAACATAACTGAATCACTTGGATAAATATGATCTTGTTTTGTGTTAGTGCAGTTTTATAATTAGCAGAAGAATTTCCTGTTAGTAAACTATGATATTTGGCAAACACACTACAGGCATATGTCAGGGTTTTCTGAGTTGAAGGGATCATGGTCCAAACAATAGTTTGATCAGCTGTAGAAAGCGTGTACTAGCCACAACCCCTTGAAACTCATTTTGATTCACTTGCATTCTTATCGAGGTTAGTTTGATTTTGTACTAAATATAAAGGGAAATCAATATTTGTTAACGAATTTGAAATCAGTAAGTTTTTCCCCAATGTAGAATTGGGGAAATCAGATCACAATCTGATTTTGTTTTTTAGTTTGGACTTCCACGTACATTACCTCATTTTCACTGTTCTTTATAACTATGAGGCTACTTTTAGTCATGGAAACAAGAAGGATTCAATTCCCCTGGGGAAAATGCATGCTTCAGAGATTATGTATATAAGGACAGTCTGAGAAACCTACTAGTGTGATAATATTCTTCACATGAATTATGTCTTTATATAGCTATAGATTTATATTTAGAATCTTACAGATTTAGTTCTTAGAACATAAAATCATTTCCCCTACTTTATGAGGGTTCTCCTTTTTCCTTCTTTAATTAAAAGCCAGGTCATTATCTTTCTTCAAATGACTATAGCAAACAAGTTATTAGTAATCTAATCAGATGTGGTTGTCTATGATACTTTACTAAGCTGAAGTTACCTGGGCAGCATTCAAATTTTAGAAAGGAATAATGACTATCTATTTCAACCCCAAGAGAACTAAGTAAATGCAATAAGCTGGAACATAGCACAGAGCAGCTACTCCTCCTATTTGTACACCACTCTTTTTATAAGCAGAAGCTTCCTTTTTTTCTTTTTTCTTTCTTTTTTTTTTTTTTTTTTTTAAATGAGTCCAGGTCTTGCTCTGTCGCTAAGGCTGGAGTGCAGTGGCAGGATCATGGCTCACTGCAGCAAATTCTTGCGCTTAAGTGATCCTCCTGCCTTGGGCTCCTGACTACAGGTGCCTGCCATTAATTTTTTAAATTTTTTGTGGAGATAGGGTCTCGCTATGTTGTCCAGGCTGATCTCAAACTCCTGGGCTCAAGTGATCCTCCTACCTTAGCCTCGCAAAGTGCTGGGATTACAGGTGTGAGCCACTATGCCCAGCTCAGAAGTTTCTTTTGACAGATGCAAGACACTGCTGATCATGTGATTTTATGCACTCCAAAGCAACATCTGAACACCCATCCTGGAAAGCCTGAGGCAGATTAGTTTCAGCAATCTTTGAACTAAAGATACATTTCTACATGTCGGAAGAATGTAAATGATTCTGCTCAGTTTCCAAATGCTTTTTACCTCTTCCTCTGCTTTTCTCGTGGTCCCATTTTATTCAGCTATTAAAAAATAAGCATCTGCATGAAACAGATGTGTTAGAAATTCACTGAACCTGATAAGAGAGAAGTTAAAAGAAATGAGACATAGAAGTTATTTAATTTCTTACAAATTTCTGTACCATGATTTTTTTTTTCAGTGGCCTCAACCTTCCCATTTTTTAAAACCTTGCCAGAGTGGGTGTGGTCAGGATTAAAATTATTGCTTTCCAAAAATCTTTGTTTCGTGATTTATGACTTATTTCATGTCTAGAGTAAGAAATGTTATAAACCTCCAAGTTATCAAATTAAACTCATCCATTACAAGAGATTAATGCATGTGTACAGTTCAGTGTGTTAATGTATTCACTACAGCACATTTCATGCCTATTAATTTCATATTTTATACTATCTCTCAAATATCTCCTCTCTAGCTGCACTAATATCATCTCCTGCCTAGATTGGTGCAACCTCACTCTAACCTTTCCTGTCTGGCCTCTTTCCATTGGTCTTCCTCCATAGTGAAGGTGACCTTTTTAAAATGCAGATATAAATACAAACACAGGAATGGCTTCCCATTTCTTCACATGAAATACAAGATCTTCACAATATGGTCCCTGTTTTCCTCACTTCTACTCCATACTTAAATGATTTTGTAGTTTTCTGCAATCATCAACTATTATAGTTCCCATATTTGTATGATCTCATATGCCCTGGTTGAAGTCACACACAGTATCTCTTACCCCACTGTTTCATACTCATCTGGAAGGTGTAGGGATTAAGAACATGGGCAAGAGAGAGAATTTCCTGAGTTGGACCCTGGCTTTGCTAATAACTGTGTGACCTTGGGCAAGTTACTGAAGCTCCTCAAACTCTGTTTCCTCCTCTGTAAATTGAATTTAATAATAATATACAACACACAGTGTTGTTTTCAGGATTGTATGAAATAATTCATGCCTAATACTTAGTATGAAGTATAGCGTGTCATTTATTCTCAATAAACGTTCAAAATTTTCATTACTATTACCACCACCACCACCAGGCTGTACTGGTGTCTATATTGACTGTAGCTTTTCTAGACCCTAGCATACTTCCTAGGACTCAGTAAGCATTCAATACATACTTATTTTAAAAATTACATGAATTCCTAATGTGTGCCAATGATATTATATCCATGCCCCTAAAAGACTAGATTTATTTATTTATACTCTGTGCTTTCCAAGTATTTGCTCAAGAAGTGTTCACTAATTAAATATATTCTGGGAAGTGATCAATGCATTATGGAGATAACAAATATTAGCAAAAAGAAATCACAGATTCTCTTATGGCTTCTAAATGGGATATGATTCTTCTTTCACAACCATTGCCTTGCATTTCCCTTTCTCTGGATTTTAACAATTGCTCCTACCACATCTGCTGGTTAACAACTCTGTTTGAATTATGGTAATACTTGAAATATATATATATTAGAGCATACTGATTAGTCTTATAGTAATTATATTATTAATTGTTATATCATCAAAATTGTCCATTTATTTATCGATATTTTCCTAAGCCAGAAGAACATTTTTGAAACCTCAAGAGAATTGTCAAACTGACAAGTATATATTCTTCCTCTCCATTGTAGTTTGAAAAGTATGTATGCTCTCCTTTGGGTCACTTAAAACCCAATCCTTGGACTATATTTTCTTGTTTTCATTTTCATTATTAAAAAGAACTGACGCTACATACTACGGCTGTCTGGCTTCCCAATGCGGCTCCACTGTCAAGACATCAGACTCTAAGAGCAATGAGGCAGGCATCCTGGGGTCTCCCAGGCTGGGGTAGCAAAGTGCTTGACACATAGCAGTGCTCCACAGTTTTTTCTTGCTCAACAAATAAATGGATGAGCAAATAGATGAATAAACGTCTAATTCTTTTTAAATCCTAAACATTTGTCTTCTGCCATACGCTCTTGGGTTTTGATACTAGGAAATAAAACCCTAGTCTTGAATTCAAGGGTAGCTCTTCTGCTGCTCTTGAATGCCTTTTTCAAAGCTCTAATAGGACCCAGCACTTTGTGTACTCCATTTCTTACAGATCAGAAGAGGTAACTTTTGTATTTTTCATAGTCCTCCCTATCATTCTCTCTGGTGACCCATTACTGTGATTTTTAATAGCTCTTACAGGGGTTATCCTATTTTTAGTAGCTACAATCTCATTTAAAACAGATGTGCTTCATATTTCTAGCTCTGCAACGAGAAGATGGATTCGCTATCAAAAGCACAGATTTCAACTGAACATTCTGAGTAGTCAGGAATGCTAGAACTGTACTAGCTGTTTTCACATACGCTGCTCTTTTAATCCTCAAGCCATCATTGTGAGAAAGAAATCATTATTCCCATTTCACCGATAAGTCCCTGAGAGACGAGGTGATATAATCACTCACTCCCTTGCACAGCGAGTAAACAACAGGATTCAAAACCCATTTTTGGACTCAAAATCTAGGACTCTTTCTACTCTACCAAATTCGAATCACGTAGATTAATATATTTAGAGAATTCCAGCTCCCAACATCCATAATTCAACAATCACAAGCTTGGTCTCAGCATTTATATTTTAAATGCATTGTTTAGGTAGACATCAATTCAGGCGGTCCAAATTACTTCACTGTGAATGTAGACTTCATCATACTAAAATGAGTTCATGATTAAAAAGAAACTAGGTTTGAAGCATGCTAAGTAAGTATATTGATTGTAAAGTGATCAAGTAGTAAAAATAAATTGAAGGGAGAATGTGTTCCTTCTTGACTAAAGATTTGCGTTTTTCTGCATAAAATGCACCGTTCTGTGTAAAGTGTGTTCATTCCTGTAATGATCACATTTATTCTGGCTTCTAATTACTTTTACAGAGCACGACTGTGAAAAGTCTATTGACAGCTAGAATGAAGCACCTGATTGAAGAAACTAATTCTCTAAGGTTTTGCAGTTATATTTTCCCTGATCCCTTTCATTACCTTCCATGGAGGAAGAATTGTACATCTGAGGACTAATGCAGTCTGTTAAATAGTGATCAATCCCCACGTTGCTGGTACGGTTCTACATAGGCAGAGACTGCAAAATAAATACGGAAAAGCCTGCAGCTGACCTATTGACTTTCCCACCTTATTCACCCTGAGCAAGGCTTTGGTGACAAGCGAAAGTCTTGAGAAAATTGCTACAAGTCAGTGAGAATGTGAAAAACCCAAACACTTAAGTTATTATTTTCCTGTAGGACAGAAGCAGCTTTTAAATGAAACACATAAATACTTTTATGTGGAGAAAAAAAGGACAAACAGACTATTTGTTTCAGCAACAAGTTCTCTTATCTAAATTATTAAATATTGATACTCTCTTTTTAGGAAACTTTGAATGACAGGCTAACAACTGCAATTCAAAAGCCAGTAGTTACTCAGGCAAGTTTTTAGTATAATTTATAGAAATAACCTCCCAATATTTATTGATACTTTCAATATGATTGATCATTTGACTCTTGTTAAAAGGACAGCCCTGGTGAAATCTTCCTATGACCATACTGGGTTTCTATGAGTCATAGCCCGAGAGCTGGAAGACAAGGGTTTCCGAGTAGCTTAAAAGAAAGCAGAGGGGGCCGGGCGTGGTGGCTCATGCCTGTAATCCCAGCACTTTGGGAGGCCGAGGCGGGCGGATCACGAGGTCAGGAGATCGAGACCATCCTGGCTAACACGGTGAAACCCCGTCTCTACTAAAAATACAAAAAATTAGCCGGGTGTGGTGGCAGGCGCCTGTAGTCCCAGCTACTCGGGAGGCTGAGGCAGAATGGTGTAAACCCGGGAGACGGAGCTTGCAGTGAGCCGAGATCACGCCATTGCACTCTAGCCTGGGCAACAGAGCTAGACTGTGTCTCAAAAAAAAAAAAAAAAAAAAAAAAGAAAGAAGAAAGAAAAAAGAAAAGAAAGCAGAGGGAAAGCAGGCAGAAAGTAGCCCTGTGGAAAACAACTGAACAGAATGCAGCAGAGATGGGTAACAGCTGGGTAAGATCTGATCCTGGCCGCAGACAGAGAACTTGATTGAATACTCCACTCACTCCATCTATCTTAGGGCAAAAAAGCAATCGAATTGAAGGGATGCATTTTCAGCGCTGCACAGGGAATTAGCCATGAAATTCTCATTAAAGATAATGGGACTTTCTGTTACCACTTTCAGTACATTCTCTGAAAGTTCTCAGCATTTATCTTTAAACTAAGCTTAAAAATCAACTGCCAAGCAAAAACATTCCACATCCCTCGTTACTTTCTATGCAAGCCCAGTAAGGTATGTTTTTCTTTGACACAGTTTCATTGTGGAGGTTAGCATAGAGGTGATTAGGGACCTTCTGGGGTTGGGTAATGAGCATTTAGGCACTTGGAGAAGTATTTGCCATGCCAGGAATGTATATGACTATGAAACAGCAGTGTGTTAGGACCTTAAATACTGCAGCCACCAGGTTTGAATCTGCTTCTCCACATTTTAGATTCTTCAGCCTGGATTTAACTCACCAATTTATTTCATTTCTATTTTGGTGGGTGGGGCGGGGGGAATTTAACTGAATAGGTTGGGTACCTATCCCAGCTACCCGAAGTTCCTTAACATTCTTATTCGTTCTCTAGATCTCAAATTTGACTTTTGTCCTTACTCCTCATAGGTTCTCTGATGACATAAATACTTTAAAGAGATGTCTAGTATGTGGTTTTCATCCATATCTCTAGTTCTTTGACACTGGACCATCATTGTTTTCTCTTTGGCCTGTTTATCTGAGACACTGAACAGAACTTTGTGCATTTGACACCTTTGAGTGGATCCTTCTGTTTTACCCTGAGGCTCCTCATCAGGGTGCACAGAGGACGGGGATGTGAGGCACCAGGGAATATTAATACTCTATATGTGCTGCCTGGGGATCTTTCTTCTTTTCTCAACTTCTATAGTTGGCAGCTGATTATTCTTTTCTCACATTTCCATGCCTGCTCCTGGAATACCTGCTCCTAAAACCCAAAGTGTGTTCCCTAAAAATTCTTAGTAATGTTTTAAACCCAGCTCAAATATATCTCTGTAAAGCCTTCTCTGCCATGATCCCCCTTTCTCTCTCTGTACTAATCACCTCCACATTTGTTTTTCCATAGCCTCCTGATGGCTGTCCTTGTCAACTGTGAACCCATCAAAGGACATCTAAAATTCAACATGGGACAGTGTAACAGATTAATTCAACACCCTCTCCACAATCCCCTCAAAGATGAATGCATATTTTCTTCCTGTAGCAGCCCTCCATCCTGATTTATTTCCAAGCTGGTGAGTCAGAATCATCGATACTCCTCTGTGATGGTTGACTCAGGGTGTCAATTTGGCTGGATTCAGAGATACCCAGACAGCTGGTAAAGCACTAATTCTTTTCAGTGCTTCAGTAGGCACTGAGCCCGTTCTGCTGAGAGGGAAAACCATGTAGTGTGGCATTTGATTAGAATGATTGAGCTGTCCCAGGGGTGTCTGTGAGGGTGTTTCTGAAGGAGACTGGCATATGGGTCCATGGACTGAGTGGGGAAGATTCACCCTCAATGTGAGTGGGCACTGTGCTGTTGGCTGGGGACCCACGTGGAACAAAAAGGAAGAGGAAGGGTAAATTTTATGCTTTATCTCCAAGGAGTGTGACCGGTAGTTGGACCAGGAGTTTCACAGCATTGGCTTCCTTGGTTCTCAGACCTTCTGACTTGCACTGAGCCACACTACTGGCTTCCCTGGTTCTCCAGCTTGCAGACACCCTACCTGGGACTTCTCAGCCTCCACAGTGCAGTGAACCAAATCCCCTAGTAAGTCCCTTCTTCGTCTCTCTGTCTCTCTCTGTCCTATCAGTTCTGTCCCTTGGCAGAACTGTGACTGAACATTCTACCTCTCCCCTATTCTTTATTTCTCACCAATCACCAAGTCCTGTTGACTGCCATTTAATACCTTTCACAACTAGCCTTTCCCTTCTAACCTCTGTGCCAGTGCTTCGGTGCTAGGTCTCATCTTCTCTTGCTGTAATACTGTAAAATCCTGCTGTCTCCCTGCCTCCGTCCTTGTCCCATTACAGACCATGATAGTAATCTTTATTTTTGTTGATATTTTAAAAAATATCTAATCATGTTATTCTTTAGCTGAAAACCCTTCATTGGCTTCCTAAGTCCTCCAGGAGAGAGTCACAAATCCTTCACCCAGCAGCCAGAGCCTTCCACTCTCCAATCCTGTCCAGTCGCTACCCTTTCCTCTCAGCGCTGCTTCGCTCTCACTTGACCACCCAGCAAGAGCACAGGATTTCCTGTGTCCTCCAGCCATGTAATTACTTCTCCACTTTCATTGCCTGGTGAGGGCTGGTTATGCTTTAAAAATATGTGCTACCTGGCTGGGGGCAGTGGCTCACCCCTGTAATCCCAGCACTTTGGGAGGCCGAGGTGGGTGGATCACGAGTTCAGGAGTTCAAGACCCGTCTGGCCACGATGGTGAAACCCTGTCTCTACGAAAAATACAAAAAATAGGCAGGGTGGTGGGCGCCTGTAATCCCAGCTACTCGGGAGGCTGAGGAAGAGAACTGCTTGAACCCAGGAGGTGGAGGTTGCAGTGAGCTGAGATCGTGCCACTGCACTTCAGCCTGGGTGACAGAGCGAGACTCCATCTCAAAAAAAAAAAAAAAAAAAAAAAATAGGTGTTACCTTACTCCCTTCCTGGGTATTTAAATCTCACCCCTCTATACTCTTCCTGAATATGTTAGAAGACCTGGTGCCAGTTTACGATCAACATCACAAAGGCAGGAATGCTGCTTCCTTCCTTCAGCCCTATGATGGTTAATACTGAATGTCAACTTGATTGGACTGAAGGATGCAAAGTATTATTCCTGGGTGTGTTTGTGAGGGTGTTGCCAAAAGAGATTAACATTTGAGTCAGTGGACTGGGAAAGGCAGATCTACCCTCAATATGGGTGGGCCCCATCCAATCAGCTGCCAGCACAGCCAGAATAAATAAAAGCAGGCAGAAGAACGTGGAGAGATTAGACTGGCTTAGCCTCCCAGACTACATCTTTCTCTCATGCTGGATGCTTCCTACCTTCAAACATTGGACTCCAAGTTCTTCAGCTTTGGGACTTGAACTGGCTTCCTTGCTCCTCAGCTTGCAGACGGCCTATTGTGGGACCTCACCTAGTCGTGTGAGTCAATACTCCTTAATAAACTCCCCTTTATATATACATCTACCCTATTAGTTCTGTCCCTCTAGAGAACCCTAATACAAACACCCTCCATACTACCTGCTCTCCTGCTCTCTTAACATGCAAAAAAAAGAGAATCATTTACATCGGTGAGATACTCATATTTCTTCCCTCCTCTGGAAGATGGAAAATTTATCTTACGTCACTTATTAGAGTAGTTAAAAAACCCCTAACCACAGAGATCTCAGTAATATATTCCAGAAAATGACTGGAATTTTTATTTATAATATAATTTGGTAGACTTAGAAAAGACAATAACTTCAGTTTATTTGAAACAAATACAAAGAACTATGCTCTGTTTAATCGTTTTTAAAGTAGATACTGTATTTATCCCTATATCTATGCAAATAAAATGTAGTAATGTAAATACATTTTATTAATATGCTCAAATAGTAAAATTAGGTTTGGCAGATACAGATGAAATATAACTAATATTTATGTATTCATATGTTTGACATATTAGGACCTAGGTTTTTCCTATTCTAATAATGAAAGGCAGTCACATCCTCTCCTTTTATATGCACCAAAAGCAAGGCCTGTTTGGCCAATATCACCTGATTCCTAGATGTCAGAACTAGAAAACACTGCAGTAAGATGTCACCCTTTCATATACTGATTTATTAATCCTTGCTCACCATACATCTAATTTTAAGAAAATTATGTACATTTTAAAATAAAATGATTCAAGATACTAATTTATTAGGGTACATATTAATCAAGCAAAAAAAAAAGAGACAATGATATCACATGCAAATATGACCACCTTTTTAAGGATAAAGAACTTTTATTACAGATAATGGAAAAAAGTAATACAATGAAACCTTTTCATATTTACAATATTTGATTTCTTCCTATAATTTTAACAATTTACCTGTATTATTTATCTAGTTGACTAAATTAGAATAAATTTTAATGTTTATTTGCCTATTTTACAATTCAGTAAAATTTCAAATTCTGTACTTATTTATAATGAAGGGAACATCTGAGAGTAATTAAGATTTATCTTTATGAAAAGATAGTGGTACCAATTTATCATGAGTAGGATATATTTTGTCTTTCTGCCAGGCCCCTGTTATTGTAGTATTTTCTTTTTTCCATTCCAAAGGGAAATTAAAGCATATATTTTATAACTTCTTTTGGGGACTATATAATATCCTTGGGTCATAAGCTAGAAAAAATATTTCTTCTGATCTATTTAGCCATCTCTCTAGTGATATAAAATTCAGGTGTCTCCTCTAATCTTGTTACTGGGTCTTTCAAAACTTTTTTGCACAAAAAGTAAATAAATACATTTGAAAGCTTTATTGGCTTATTGAAGTTATTTTTTCTGTCCCATACATAGAATCTAACCTACATATAGAAATCCCCAGAGTAAACCTATTCCTTTTACTTAATACGTCTTCATTGTGCAGTAGAGAAAAGATGCAGCTTCATCGTCTGCCCTATGGGAACTCTTTGATTACCTAAGACAGGTTACCTTGAATGCTCTACTTTAAAAAGATTCTGCATTACCTAATCTGGGCCTATTTGTCAATTTGTCCTTTGATGTCAGGGTAATGACAGAGTAAAGTATTACAAAGAAAGAGTCCTTTAAAAGTTCCAACAAAAGTGGGTTTTTAAATTGTTAATTGGTAGTTACCTGAATAAGATTTTTTACATTGCTTATATGAAGTGAGAGTCATTATACTGTTCATCTTCATTTGAAATAAAAACTGTTCCATTAACCATATTGGTAATACAAATTTCTTGTTAGTTGTTTTTATATTTTCCCTTATAAATTTCACTTTTTTAACAAAGGCTTATAATCATATTTTAGGTCCTGTGTTCTAGTTAGAAGACAGTTTACATTAGTTTCTGTTAGTGGGAGAAGGCTCGGTAGAGCCTTGGTAATTCAACCCCAGTCTGCAGCATTGTTAAATGTGAAAATATACCCAGCATTGTTAAATGTGAATTTCCAAATCATCAACTAATAAGTGCATTTTGGGGAAAAAACTTTACATATGTTAAAGCTAACTTCTACTACATATTCAAGTAGCTGACACTGGATTACATGGACAGTAGCTAGCTTGATGGTCATCACTATTATGTGTTTTACCAATGGTAATGGGCTGGTCTTGCCAGACTTTCTCTCACACCTGTGTGGGGCTCTGCACACAGGATATTTATGATGCCACCTGGAACTGGGTGCTGGTGAACCCCCCCATGCCAATGCAGCAAGGCCTTCTTGATGGTGCCACTAACAACCCCCACCAGATGATGGACCACAGGGTATGCTAGTTAAAAATCCAGGACCCTGTTTCCTGGAATAGATTCACCCTCGTAACAAAGCACGAACATAAAAGGTAACTCATATATACAGATCTCCAGTGTTTTGATTTGAAGACATCACACACTATTCAGAGCATGAGGCCTGCACTCAAGTCACCCACCTTCCCACATGGCCAGACCAAGACTCTGACACCACTGATAACCTATTATTTAAAAATATAGAGTGAAGAGAATATGAAGACAAAAACTCTCTGGAACAAGTCATTACAGGGGAAAACTGTGATTCCAGATTTCTCACCTTCACTAGAAATTTCTTACACATATCCTTTATTCTTTCAGGTAGACTCTGCAAATTTCTACTCACTTGTTCCTACTGGCTAAGGAGGCCGAAATTAATGTGGAGGGAGGAAAATGGCATTTTTGTTTTTGGACTCAGTCAGACTCATGCTTCGGGCTTTATAACGTTTGCTGTATACTGATTTATATTGGTTAAAGAAAAACAGTCAGCTATTAAGCAAGGTGGGAATAAAGAACCAAAACAAATTAAAACACCACATTGAATGGAAGGATGCTGCAATAAGAAATAAAAGAAATTTAGAAATCCCGGTAGCAAGCTTTTTGATTGCCTGCCACAATAACTGGCATGGGTACAAAAGCAAATTTGAAAAGCCACAGTGCTGACTCAATATCTTAAAAAGATTCAATTTGGCAAAAAGTAACTCTGCCTACAAAGCAGGTATATAAATATAAATAGCACAAGTCTTAGTAGAGAAACAAATTCAAAAGATATTAAATACTTTTATTTGTTCATCAAAAAAGGACAAATTAAAGAACAAAGGAAATATAATTGTAAACCTAGTAAAGAAGTACAATATATAAATGGATTCTAATACCTTCTGCAGACATGGCAAGGGTGAAAGTGCCTCACAACTATCTATTCCACTGGTGTACTGTACATAAGGACAACTCTTTTGGGAACTTGAACAATATATTAACCAAGAAGGTTTAAACTCTTTGACACAGTGATTTTATCTAAGCGTTTGGCTTTTTTCTTTTAGATTAATGGAAAATAAAACTGAAATTTGAACAGTAACATATAGAAAGATGCCGCTCTGTAGTTTCTTATATACAATTGAGAAAGAAGATAAATCACCAAACTAATAGTTCAGTTAACTGTGGTATAAAACTGGTTGACATATTATGCAGCAAAAAAAAGAGAATAAGAAAGTCTATGTGCTCATTTTATATGTATATATGTAGCATATATATAGCATATATATAATATAGCATATATATAGCATATATATAATATAGCATATATATATAGCATATATATTATGTATATATAGCATAGATTATATATATATTGTATATATATAATCTGCCACAAGTATAAGGCAGATTATTAAACTATATGCTCTGGTCCAAATGTGTCCTTCCAAATACATACATTGAAACTTGACCACCAATGTGGTAATATTAAGAGATGGGGCCTTTAGGAGGTTGTATTAGTCCCTTCTCACACTGCTATGAGGAAATACCTGAGACTGGGTGATTTATAAAAGACAGAGGTTTAATTGACTCACAGTTCCACATTGCTGGGGAGGGCTTAGAAAACTTACAATCATGGCAGGAGGCAAAAGAGAAGCAGGCACCTTTTGCATAGGGAAGCAGAACAAAGTCAGTGCAAGCAGGGGAAATGCCAGATACTTATAAAAGCATCAGATCTCATGAGAACTCACTCACTATCATGAGAACAGCATGGGGGAAACTGCCCCCATGATCCAATTACCTCCACCTGGTCCTGCCCTTGACATGTGGGGTTTATGGGGATTATAATTTGAGGTGAGATTTGGGTGGGGACTCAGAGCCAAACCGTATCAGAGGTGATTTAGTCATGAGAGTGGGGGTCTTGTGAATGGATTAACACCCTTATAAAATAGGTTTGGGGAGCTCTTCCCTCCCTTTTGCTCTTCTGTAATGTGAGAATATAGGGTTCAAGGTACTATCTTGGAAGCAGAAACCAGGACTCTCACCAGACACCGAATCTGCCAGTACTTTGATCTTGAACTTCCCTATCTCCAGAACTATGAGAAAATACATTTCTGCTCTTTATAAATTACTCAGTGTGTTAGTCCGTTCTTGCACTGCTATAAAGAAATACCTGAGACTAGGTAATTTATAAAGAAAAGAGCTTTAATTGGCACATGGTTCTGTAGGCTGCATGGGAAACGTGGTTTCTGCCTCTGGGGAGGCCTCAGGAAACTTACAATCATGGTGGAAGGTGAAGGGGAAGCAGGCGCCTCTTACACGGCTGGAGCAGGAGGAAGAGAGAGTTGGGGGGGGGAGGTGCCATACATCTTTAAAGAAGCAGATCTCATGAAAACTGGGGATGGTGCTAAATCATTCATGGAGGATCCACCCCCACGATCCAATCACCTCCCACCAGGCCCCACCTTCAACATTGCGGTTTACATTTCAACATGAGATTTGGGTGGGGACATAGATCCAAACCCTATCACTCAGTATCACATATTTTCTTAAAGCAGCACAAGTAAACGAAGACACTATATATATGTACATATATATATATGTACATATATATAGTGTCTCCATTTTATTAAATATATAAAAAAATATATAATTCATATATATAATATATAAAGCTATGTTCAGATGTGTGTTGTTGATAGAAGTTACTAGAGATAATGCAAAATGAAAATGAAAAAGGATGTCAGAATAGAATGTTTTTCTATATATTTAACTACCTTTTAATCGTATTTATACGATTAAAAAGCAAAAATTAAATTATATTATATTAATTAAAAGGCAAAAATCTGATCAACTCAAAAGAGTCCAGCCTACTCCTCTGCCACTATTTAATAGCAATGATGACATTAAACTTAAGCGAAGTTGAACAGAGTACAGACAAGGAAGTCCCTCAGGAGACTTGTCATTCACACAAAAGAGTACTCCAGAAAAGATAATTTACTAAAAACAAAACCAGGCTAAATGCTTTGGGAAGATTTTAATAATTCATCCTGAATTCTATTCCTACTAATCTCATATTCACTGTTGTATGTAGCTCTGCCATCTGATTCAGATTGGCATTAAAACATCTAGACATTAATGTTAATTAAATCTGCCTTTTCGTTCCAAAAAGCCACATTCTTCCCTTTAATATCAAACACATACAATATAATTCAATAGTTTTAAAAAACATTTTAGATCCTATTTCTGTCCAGTGAAATCAGAAAAGGCAGGAAATTGACTATCTAATGTAGATACCACATTGTTGACTTTTTTCATCTTGATTTTAAAAGTAAATGATAAAAATGGCTTGTGTAATATTTATTCTGATTCATGCTGTGAATTTCTCCCCTCTGTCAGAACCTGAGGGTAAACCTCCGTGTTTAATGTTGCTTGCAGGTGTGGATCTGGCTTGGGTTCCTCTCTAGCTGTCTAAATTAGAATTACTAAAGGACTATTTTAGGAACAGCCTTCTGTGGGGTTTTGGATCCTAATATAAATTAACACATATCTTATCATCATGAAAAATCTAAGCATAGCCTTCACTGAAAAATTAAAGAGTATTTTACATTCCCCATTTTATTCTGCATAATGGAAAAATAAAACTATACAATTTTCAAATAGTTTTGACCTTAAATTCAGCCCGTTATGGGGCATTGGTGTCTACAGCTTGGTAAATGTCTCGTGAAGTGAATTAACTAAAGCTATATTTATTTTGAATTGTAGAAATCAAGAAAGTTAAAGTATTTTAAAATGTCAATGTCCCTTGTAATTCTAACACACTAATCAATGCATATAGTAAGTAATAGCTGTGGAACATCAAACTATTTCTCTTATACAATACCAGTCTAATTCTAAAATTGCTCGTGAAACATCTGAGAGAATAATTTGGACAACTTAGTCATGGTCTCTAGGGTTAAATGGCAGATTTAACTGAATTACCTTTCAGTAAATTAATGTGGAGTTAAGAGTAGGTGCTTATAGTTTCAAAGTCTGAAGGACCCCCTTGGTTCCAGTGTATCCAGACCTCTGATAACTATGATCTTGTACCAGGGTAAGAGAAGAGCACAAATACTCAAGGCAATGATGCTTTGTTGAGGCCACAATGGACTCCTTGTTGTTGCTTGAACACACTGGGCACTTTCCCACTTGAGGACACTCAAGCTGCTGGTCCCTATGGTCTCAAAGCTCTTTCTCTGAGATATCTGCATGACCCACTCCTTCATATTTTTTTTTTTTTTGAGACACAGTCTCGCTCTGTTGCCCAGGCTGGAGTGCAGTGACATGATCTCCGCTCACTGCGACCTCCGCCTCCCAGATTCAAGCGATTCTCCTGCCTCAGCCTCCCGAGTAGCTGGGACTACAGGCATTTGCCACCATGCCCGGCTAATTTTTGTATTTTTTTTTTTTTTTAGTAGAGATGAGGTTTCACCATGTTGATGAGTTTGCTCTCGAACTCCTGACCTCCTCAAGTGATCCACCCACCTGAGCTTCCGGAAGTGCCAGGATTATAGGCATGAGCCACTGCGCCCGGCCACTCCTTCATTTTATACCAGTATCTTATGAAATCCCCCATCACAAATCTCCCCATCTGATTCAGGTTGGCATTAAAATATCTAGATATTAATGCTAATTCAATCTGCCTATCTTTTCTCTACCCTATCTTCCTTTATTCCTTTGAATTCTGTTCTTTTTTGGATTTATTCCACTTGCCACATTACATATTTATTTGTTTACTTTATCAACCGTTTCCCCCCAATGCAGTACGTACTATATGAAAGTAGGGACTTTATTTTCTCAATGCTGTATCCCCAGCAACTAGAACAGTGCTGGCACATGATTGGTGCTCAATGCATATTTATTGAATGAATGAATAATGAATGAATGAATAGGAACAGACCATATGAACATAAGCTTATCAGAAGGAAGATATTATTTCTTTGCTAGCAAAAAAACTTTCAAAGCTTTGATCCACTCAGATACAGATGATATTTTCAATTAAGCTTTTAATAAGCTTGCAATAGAGAGCAAAGTACACAGCAATGAAAATTAAAGTGAAAAATTCTGCATATTTTGCCAACCACAAAAAATTAATGTTCTTTTAAGAGAAATACTCTTGCCATTTTTCATAAGCACATTCATGCTGCATAGGGCCTGAAAACTAGAATGTGGCCATCTCAAGGCAAAATGGAGTTTCCCAGATGGAGAGGCTGCTGCCTTCAATGACCTTTCTTTCTTTTCTGCCTCTATAACCTGATCCATGAAAACCCAATTCAAACATAACTTCCTCCATGAAGAGTTCCCATATCTAACCATCTCAAAATCTATTCTCCCTCTGAATCCTACTCTTTAGCTGTAACTTTCCTAGACCATTTATGTCTTCTTGTTCTTGAGTTGTGTGGGTTGTATGTGTGTGTACTTTTATCATTATGTTATTTTTGTTAATATTTTTGAAATTTTTTTTGCTTGCTCTTCATCCTTTATGTCTCTGACATGAACACTTTATGATATTACACAGCCAACAGCACTGACTGCAATCCTTTGCATGGATTCAGTGCCAAGTAAATTTGAATAAATAAGTAAACACCATCCTCAAAATCAAACCGACCTAATGTAGGTGACGGGTTGATGGGTGCAGCAAACCACCATGGCACATGTATACCTATGTAACAAAACTGCATGTTCTGTGCATGTACCCCAGAACTTAAAGTATGATAAAAATAAATAAATAGAAGAAGAGGCTGTCTCATGACAGACTAGCTCCCTACTTAGGTTAAAACAAGGACTAAAATTCTCTTCTATTATTTCCATTTACTTGATTCTATTTCCTTGTGGCAATGGAGAGGCGAAAGCATATGATTATGAAGAGGGACTTGACTCAGGGATTCCCACTCGCACTTTTGAGTCTAAGTCTGATGTATCTACAGGAATTTTTATGCCTGTCATCTTGGCTGCCTCAGACAGACCACAGTTGCCTAAGATAAACCACCTGAAAAGAACCCATCAAATATTTCCCCTTACATTTTCTGGAATAGCACATTGTGTGAGCTCCTGGACCATAATTTCACCAGTAGTTAGAAAGCAGTTGCAACTCCAAGCAGCATCTAGCTCACAACACTTGGGTTGTAAGGATTGGAACCACTGAATAGTGGAATGTCTATCAAAGGCAGTGAGAAAACCAGTTTTGTTGAGCTAGTTGAGTCAGCTCCTACTAATTTCTCTAGTGAATAAAATGAATGCACATTTTTCCTAAAATGTAAGTATGTTAATATAAATGCAACTATGATAAGATTTTGGGCCACAATGATATAAACGTGGGATTGCCTTCATGTGTATGACTAAATAGTCACTGAAAATACAAGAATTAAAACCAGAAAACGTCCAAAATCTTATTCCAAATACACCTGAGTCTTTGAATGTTTCCAGTTTTAATTTTGTGAAGCCAAAATGTAAACAAAAACCATCAAATAAAGTGTGATCTAACAAAGAGGCAAGCAAGGCGGGAGGGTCACATACCGATGCACACCGCTGCTGCACATGATGATGTGGCAGGCGCCCAGCCTGTTGCACAGCTCCGAGGAAACTGACAGCAGTCCAACCCCAGAAGCACTGCAAGCTGTGTTTGCACAGGCAGCTGTGCGCTTGGATCTGATAAACGAGGCTACCAGTCGGTAAAGTTCATCCAAAGCGTTGAGAGGCCTCATTAGCTGCAGAAAAAAAGTGATGAACGTCAAGTTCAACATGTTTAGTAAAATTCTTTTAGATAGGTTGGTATAGCTGTTAAAGAATAGTCTAAAATTTTATTTCATTTTGGTGGTAATGGAATTAGAGACTACTAATATTTATAATTACTCATATGTCTCTGACATGAACACTTTATGATATTATACAGCCAATAGCACTAACTGCAATCCTTTGCATGGATTCAGTGCCAAGTAAATTTGAATAAATAAGTAAACACCATCCTCAAAATCAAACTGACCTAATGTAGGTGATGGGTTGATGGGTGCAGCAAACCACCATGGCACATGTATACCTATGTAACAAAACTGCATGTTCTGTGCATGTACCCCAGAACTTAAAGTATGATAAAAATAAATAAATGAATAAAGAAGAGACTGTCTCATGACAGACTAGCTCCCTACTTAGATTAAAACTACTTAGATTAATTTTTCTGCAGAACAACAGCAGAAAATTAAAAAGGGAGATATTTAAATTAAAAAGCACCAATAAATATAATCATCTGTTTTTACCTTATCTACATAGGCAGCTTTGGATGTGGAGTTTGGTGGTGAATTTGACTTGTCCAAGTAGAATGCCCTGTAAGAATCCAAGAAATAAATTATCATTTGTTGTTAGGAAAAGACATAATATGCATGAAGATGTTCAAGAATCACTGACTTTTTTTTAAAAACAAGTGAATAAACAAAAGCATTGAACATTAGAAGGTTGGGGTTGCACAAATGTCAAAAGGTTTCCATTTTAAAAAGATGGATAAAATTACCACCGGGTCTATTAGAAACTGTGTGGTCTTGGAGAAATCACTTGTCTATGCTTAGTTTTCTCATTTATAATTTGAGGAAAGCATTAGCTTCTACTTCATAAGACTGCCAAGATTAAATGAGTTAATGCAGATAAAATATGTAGAACAGTGCACAGCACAGAATAAGTGCTTATTAATATTTATAATGATCAATATTATTAAAAAGTTGAAGAAATACATTTTTGTGACTATTGAAGAACGTTATCCAATTTTCATTTATTGTGAGAAAGATTATGGAACGAAGGCTCATAAAAACCTAACTTTAAACAACACTGAGGCGATTCTTTCCAGCACCAAGTTATGCTCCGATTAGAAGTGAAACTCTCTCTAAGGGTTCAATGGCTCTTTTTTATTACCAGGATACAATATGGTAATGACTATTTCAACACACAAAGTGGAATCCTAGTGGCCTAATACACTTTGTGCAAAAAACAAAGGACACACTGCAAAGGATATGATCTCATTCTATTTTATGGCTGTATAGTATTTCATGCCATTTTGTGTATTAAAATAGCCATTTTAATATGCAAAGTGGAATCCTAGTGGCCTGCAATAATTACAGCAATTTCCAAATAATTATCGCTGTGTTTGCTTTGCTTGTGGCTCGATACTAAACAGAAATTTTAAGGGAATCATCTATGGAGATAAAATAGTTACATTTTATTTGATCTAGTATCTATTTTTTTTAGTGATGGTAAAATGTATACAGTATAATACAAAATTTAGCATTTTAACCATTCTTTTAATTTATTTTAGATTCAGAGGGTATACATACATGTTTTTTACATGGATATATTACATAATGGTGGGATTTGGGCTTCTACTGTACCCATCACTCAAATAGTGACCATTGTACCCAATAGGTAAGTTTTCAACCCTCATCCCCTTCCTACCTCTCCACAAGTGGGAAGAGGTGGGAAGGGGGTTGTGAAAAGTGTGTATTGCTTTTCAACCCTCAGTATCTATTGCTTCTATCTCTGTGTAAGTGGGAACATATGGTATTAAATTTTCTGTTTCTGAGTTATTTCACTTAGGATAATGCCTCCAGCTCCATCCATGTTGCTACAAGGCACATAATCTCATTGTTTTTTACAGCTGCATATTATGCCGTTTTGAGCATTCTCAAGCATACAGTTCAATGGCATTAAATACATTCAAATTCACCATCTAGTATCTATTTTTGATGAGGTGACAAACTTCACATTTCTAGAATGTGACATTTTAATGTCGGTGGAACAAAATAAGTCCCATGATATTAGAGTGAGTTGTCATATTAGATATTCAAATAAAAGCTGATTATATTGTTGTTTCAGAGCATCTGTAGGACTTCAAAGTGTTGGTAAATTATTATCAAATTCACAGTATAATTGGGCAAAATCAGTGAGCGACAACGCTATACCCTGTGTGGGATTTTTGAGTCCCACTGAACATATGTGTTCACACCCACACACAGTGATATTCCCATTACTAGCAATAGTGTTTTGTCTTTTTAAAATAAAGTAACATGGATTATTCAAGCTTTACACTTTAAATTATGAATGCTTTAGCTCTAAAGACTAATTTCCAAAATGACAATTATGCTCATCTTTATTGAGAAGCAGTTCCTTCTTGTCTAAAATACATATTGAATCCTCCTCAAAAAGTTTTGTAAACAACTCAGCATCCAAGATTGGCTGTTACTCATTATAACTCTCTTTGCATTCCTAAGAGATTTCCAGGTACCATCTGCAGTTCCCTCAGCCTAAGCACATAACACTGATGGGAGTGTGGGGGCTACAGCAACCCCAGGCAGCAACCCACCAGACTGGGTCATGGTGACATGAGCCACTGCAAAGTGGAACATCCATCAAGTGCCATGAAATACAGTTCTAACTAGCTGAGTGAATTAGTGTCTATAAAAGCACTAGATCAAGAGCAAAATAAAAGACTGAGGGATTATTTCCATGATGAAAATCAAAGGTCTCATTTGAGACATCATTTTAAAATTTTCAAGATTTTCCCCAGTATCTGAAAGAGATATAATCTGAGAGGAGTGCTGTCATCATAAAAGGAAATGAGCTTGAATTGTGTGAGGAACATGCAATGGGGCAGGAGCTGGGGCAGAGTGAAAGAGCAAGTTAGGCCAGAGAGGTAGACCCCAGGACCTTACAGGCCCTGATAAGGTTTTACCCTAAGCAAGTTGGGAGCCACAGAGGTAAATGGCCATGGAACTTGCCTCATTGCCAGAAGACTGGACGTTTTAAATATTATTGCTATGTCCAACAATTCATGTTCTACTGAAAGGTCTGTGTGTCCTTTCACGTCAATTGTACAGGTACTTATGTAGGATTAAACTGTGAAAACCCACTTATGCACCATGCTTTAACAAGTCTGAGCATTTTGTTCTTTTGCTTCACCTTTTAAATAAATAAAATATTACAAATACAGTGGAAGCCTCCTGTTCACCTATTCTTATTTCATTTCTGCCACTAAAATGTAAACTCCCCACTAGAATGCAAATCCTCTAGTAGCTAAGGATTTTATTTATTTTTATTCATTTCTGCATCTCTAGCACCTGTAATAGTATGTGGAACATAGTATGATCTTAATAAATATTTGTAAATAAATAATAACTTGACATTTTTGTTTCTTTATGGATGGCTGATATGGTTTGGCTGTGTCCCCATCCAAGTCTCACTGAATTGTTATAATCCTCACGTGTCAAGGGTGGGGCCAGATGGAGATAATTGAATCATGGGGGTTGTTTCCCCCATACTGTTCTCCTGGTAGTGAGCAAGTCTCACAAGATCTGATGGTTTTGTATATGAGAGTTCCCCTGCACAAGCTCTCTTGCCTGCCTCCATGTAAGATGTGACCTTGCTCCTCATTTGCCTTCAGCCATGATTGTGAGGCCTCCCCAGCCACGTGGAACTATGAGTCCATTAAACCTTTTTCCTTTATAAATTACCCAGTCTCAAGTATGTCTTTATTAGCAACATGAGAACAGACTAATACAATGGCATTCCTTTGGGCATCCAAAATAGACTTTGCAAGCCTGTTTCGATCTATTAAATCTTCTGGGGAAAATTCATTTTAATGGTCCATTTTGTTGGCTGTCTTTCTTACTGCTAGGTTTCCTCATGTGCTTTGGAATTATGTTTTGTAAGTTCATTTGAAGTGGGATGGTTTTTAAATTATTTTTATTTAGTTTTTTTGATATAGCTCCATCCTCTCTCTCTCTCATCATCCTCTTAAAAATGGTTTTGTGCCCAGGATCACACATTTGTAAGCAGTTGCATATCTGATCTATGACATTGTTTTGACATCTGGATTATCACCAGTCATGTCCCCAAACTAGTGAGTGATTTGGTTGAGTTTGGTTCAGTAGTTCAGGGCCATGCCTAAAACAACTTCCTCTTCCCATCTTAAACACCAAGCATCACAAAAGCTAGTCTCAAGCAACAGTGATCAGCAGATTTTTCATACTTTCATATTTCATTCAGAAGTGGAGTCCTCTACTACCTGGTTTCAAATGGTGAGGCTAGCTCTGGATTTCCACCTAGTGTACAATAACATTCATGTCCTATTGCTCTGCAAACGCTGTCCCAGCCCCCTCTGTCCACCTCCAGAGTCCAGCAGGCCAGAGGCCTCAGTGTAGCCCACAACTCATCACTTGCATTTCATCTCCATTCTTGGGCCACAGAGATAACAAACTGTTTTTGAGCCCAGCTGTGATTTTTGCATTTCCTATCCTCATATTTTATCTAGCATTTGTTACATGCTTGGAACAGAGGCGGCATCTCAAAGCTGGAACGCACAGAAGTACCTCGATCAGATGTCTTCATGCCTTTTCTCAAGTAAACTTGGTAGAAAAAGCAATGTGGTAAAAAATAGTATACAAGTCACAGTCAAATTATTTAGCCTGTCATAGGGTCAGTTTTCTTATTTTCAAAATGGATATTAGAATTGCCTGACATAGCATGATGTTGAAGATTAAATTAATGCATATGAAATGATCATTAGTGTGATAAGCATATAGGACTCATTCAATAGACAATAATAACTATAACTCAAGTACACACAGTGGGAAGCATCATTGGACAATTTTTAGCCATGATAAGGCATAATATTAAGGCCAAAGCCTTCCTGCTTTCCGTGGAGGTAATCTAAAATATTTTATGACACATGTTAAGAAATAAAAATTAAGTAGATATTTGGAATCTATGTAATTTCATGATCAGTGTGCAAGTAGAATTTAGGCCTAAAAAGAAAAGAATGTTTTTCAGGGTAAAGGAAAGAAGACTGTCATTTAAACGGCTTAACTAGGTGCAGCTCTTCTAAACCTTGAATTATCTGGGAAGAAAACTATTCTGTAAAAGCAGCCCATAGCTCATCAGTACCACCTAAGGGAAGCATTGCTACAGAAACAGCTGGTTGCATGGAGCACTCTGTTCTTTCTGAAAAAGATGTTCCTTAAAAAAAAAAAAAAGTTGTCATTGATTCAGCCAGTTAAGAGCTGTTTAGATCATGTTGATCTGATTCTGCGACATTCACTTAAATTGACTTGATACAAGTCTTCAACTATTCAATGGTGCGAATGTTTAAAGGAAAAAAATAAGTTACAGAAATAACTTTTAAAGGTCTAAAATGTAGCCCACATCAAGTGAAACTTTATTTAGCAACAATCTGCCTTTTTAAAACTGCTATAGGCTGGGCACGGTGGCTCACACCTGTAATCCCAGCACTTTGGGAGGCTGAGGTGGGTGGATCACGAGGTCAGGAGTTTGAAACCAACCTGACCAACATGGTGAAACCCTGTCTCTACTAAAAATACGAAAATTAGCTAGGCGTGGTGGCGAGTGCCTGTAATCCCAGCTACTCAGGAGGCTGAGGCAGGAGAATTGCTTGAACCCAGGAGGCAGAGGTTGCAGTGAGCTGAGATCACACCATTGCACTCCAGCCTGGGCAACAGAGCAAGACTCCATCTAAAAAAACAAAACAAAACAAAAAAACCCTGCTATATAGCAGAACTAAGATAGAAAAACATCCAGTGTTTCTTAAGCTTTTTTTACACATTTTTTAAAACATTTAAAATACTCTTAAAAGACAAACGTTTACTGAAAATTTAGAATTAGATATATTGGCTCATCCAGACTTGTGCTAGCAGTTAAGATTTGTTAATCCATGGTAATGGAAAGCAATAAAATATTATAAAGCATATCTATGCATGGATGAAGTCCAGAGAAATAACCAGAAAATAAAGCCACTTTGATACTCCTATGTAATATAAATAGCCAATAATTTTTTAATTCAATTATTTTTTAAAATAAGAATTTATACTTGAGGCTACAACTAATTTCAGGTATTTCTCATCAGAAAAAATTGTTCAGATATTTTACCAATCATAATGTTTACAGGTATCTGAAGAACTTCAGTATCTTTCAGAATTTGACAAACTGTGGACAGGACATAAATATCCAAAGCACTTTCCTTAATTAAAAAAGTCTTGCAATGCTCCTTAATCAAATTTTATGGGAAAAGTTAATGGCAAAATTTGATGAATGCCAAAACTAACCATATTTTATTATGCTTCTGAGGTTAGTAAGAATGACATCATGGTCCTTTGTCTGAGTATAGAAAATCTTATTAAGACATTTTGAAAGTATGGCTACTATTTTATATGGGCTGCAGAGTATGTTTCCTTTCATGCTGGCATACAGCAGGCCTCACTGTCATAACTTCGTCAGTTAACTCTGCCATGTAAAATAAATATATTATGACACTATTTCTTTCATTTAGTCCCTATAGGATAAAATACCAATGAGAGAGGTGGTAAAATGTAAGTTATAGTAAGCAGTGGTATAAATATATCCAGTCAAAAAACTACAATGAAAGAAATCTTGGCATTTATTGCATACCATCTAATCAAGAAGACAAATACACAGGTATTTATAATGCAAGACAGGGAAGTGATAGGTGAAATTAAAGGTATAAAGAGTCATTGGGTCTACAGAAGGAAGGCCACATAAGAATATGGCATAGGAGTTAGACTTTGACGCATGGGTAGAATTCTGACAGGTCAAACTGGGAAAGCTGTATTTCAAGTGGAAGCAATGCCCTAAACAACAGAGCAGGTACAGAATGAGTGGAGCCAATGTGACTGAAGACTGGGTTCATGTAAGGTAGAGAGAGAGAGAAGGCTGGCTAAGTAGGCTGAATCCACATTATAAGGAAATTAAATATCAAACCAAAGATTTGTAATTAACTTGGTAAGCAGTGAAGAAGCACTACAAAATTAACACTTAGCTATCAGCAGAAAAAGGAAAAACAAAAGGATGAACGAGAGGAAATACATGACTCATCAAATATGAAAATTGAGAGAACTGAATGCTGCGAGAGACCCTAAAAAGGAAAGAATCATTCAGCATTCAAAACAAGACTGTGGTAATATAAATAGGGAACTGATGTTTGCCGTGAGACAGAGTAAAGGAGTCTGAGGAACGCTGAGATTGGTTTAGACAGTTATGTAAGTTAACATACTAATTTAAGAATCAGGAAAGTGCTTTATCAAATGGGTAAGTAATGAGAATCCTAGCTCAATAGGGTTAAGCTGGTGCTCCAGGGATGCTCACTTTTTCACACAAGGAAAGATAATGCAATTGCCTTATTTAAAATATTTAAACCAATTTATTTTGTCATAGGAAATATACAGAGGTTAAATCAGTGACAAAAATGGCATTCTTCTCATCTGGCAAACTTTTTCCCCCCGTTTCTTGGCATGATGGAGGATATCCAATTCTTAAGAGAGATGATTAAGGCCTAAGAGCCTCGTGCTTTGTAAATAAGAAGGAACTATACTATTCAGCCCAGATTTCTGCTATACTCTTGCTTCTTCTCCAGACCATTGCTTATGAGATATTCTCCATATTTATAATCATTTACAGAAAGTTCTCACTTGGTCAGACAGATATATACTTCTCCTGATATTGCTTCCTATCCCAAAATATTCTAAACGGTATTAGGTTGCTTTTATGCATTTTACAAGTATTTTGGATTTGATCAAGTGTTCTGCATTTCAGAAAAGAATGGTAACAGTGTTTAATCAATTACAGATATCATTTATAGACATGATTAGATATGTCATTATAATGGTACAGCAGTTGACTACAGGTGTGACTGGGTATCTCTATGAGTTTCACTGTTAAACTGAACTTTACTACTACAGCACCTAAATTAGGAAAATATAAATCTATAAAAAATTCTCATGAAGAGACACTGATCTCTTGTATAAATGAAAATCACCAGACAGGTTCAACCTGCGGCCACATGTGGTTAAAGAATACACGACGATGAGTGGAAAGGTGGGAGAATATTAATTTGCACCTCTATCCCACCTACCTTCCCCATGCCCATAAGCATCAGCATTGACTTCTCTGGTATGCATTTTACTTAAAGTTACGTGAAGAGAAATTCTGAATAATGAGATAATCTTCTATTTGCCTGGATGTCTTTTGGCCTGACAAAAATGGAGCACCTAGGGTCACAGTTGTCATTGAACTGCCTATTACCAATTAACAGCTTCATTTCTACTTGAGTGTTTAAAAAACCTGCTAGAATATTAACAAGACAAGACAATAAATGTGACTATAGAAAGTAAGACTTTACCATATTTTTTAAAAAAGCATTTCCCTGACTTCTTTTATCCCCTGAAAATGTAATGATGTTGTGAGAGGTAGTGGAGACACACCTCTCTACTCTTCACTGCTGTCAATACTCTCACTCTTCTCCTTTTTGAGAAGCCTCCATTAGTGACCTGACTAGGTTGAAATCCTATTCTCTGCTTTCCAAATGCTCCGTCACTCCACTTTGATTTTTGCTCTCTTTTTTATGATTCTGCTAAGGTGACATTCCTTCTCCTGCTCCTGCGATATGTACATATCACTGTGGATGCCACCTACTGTTAAAATACTGCATATACACATATTTTCGAATGGCAACACAATGTCCTGCCATTAGGGAATATTATCTCCATGGAAATGGACAGGAAAAGAAGCAAATCCTTTCAAAACATCTCATTATACCTAGGAAAAACATTAAAGGCAAGTCATATACAAAAACATTAAAGTCAAGCCAATTATTTCAAAATAATTCTATTTCATTTGATAATTGTGTTTCAAGATAATTCTGCATTTTCATACCAAAGAATAACTTTTTAGGTTCAAAATAATAAAATTCTTACAATGACACTATGAATAGCAAGTTCATGGGTTGGATCTTTTTCCACCATGTCCTTTCTCTGTATACCCTATTTAACTCCAATCTATCTCTAAAAATACCTTTGTAAAGCATAAATACAATCATTTCATTACCTTGCTTTAATATCATTTAAATTTCTCCGGTGCCAAAAGCCTCACATTTTAGCCAAGCATTCAAGGGCCTTCCTAATTATTTGCCAACAAACTTCCCATTCCATCTCTCAACACCGTGCCTTGCCATGTCCTTACTTGATCTCCCCCAACACACCATCCACATGCAAGTTTTCCCACCTTTTTGCATATGGTTCTCTCCTGCCTGGAATTCCCTCTCACCTCCTTCTGCTTGGCAAAACTCTACTGATTCTTCAAAACTTAGCTCAAATGTGACATCTTGAGAACTTCTCCACTGAAACAAATTTATCCAGCTCTATTATACTGAGTTGCACTCATCCTGTTCCTTGTGCTAAATTATGCACTCTCAGTGGGCAGAGACCCATTTTTTAAATTTGCAATCCCATAATGCAAGGCAATGAGTGCCTGAAACATGGCATGTACCTAATACTTCTTAATGTAGTATTGAACTGAATCGAACTTTATTTCATGAGAGCTAGAAAGGGTTGAAGTTACTATACTTACACTATGAAACTATATATATACATAAAATCTAACAGAGGAAAATGTATTACAGAGTTTAATTTTAAAGACAGATTAAATCATTATGTACATTTTTAAGAGGATTCTTTATATGCAGGAGGAATTACTCTTAAGCTTATAAATATTAGCTACAACTCCATTAACATTGAAACATAATACTTAAAGGAAAGTATTTAACAATCATCAGAACTTAAAATTAGAGAGTGAGTATGCTTACCAATCTCTCCTTCAGTGAGAGACAACTATAGTCAAGAGAAAAATATTCTCAGGGTCTCCCTTGCAAGTCACACAATAAGTGTGATGACAATAGCACCGTTTTACCTATAAATTACTCTAGCAAGAAATGACACAGCAAAATTCTTGTTCAGTTCTAAGAAAAGACTAAACATGGTTGCATGCTATTATACTGAGATTTTAAGTGCTTAACTCTTAGCTTATATACTTTTGCACTAGAATCAATAAGAGGCTGAGCTTTCCTTTATTTGGCAAAATTCAAGATCCTTAAGTACAGTAAGTCACTCAACATTGCTTATTATTATTATTCATTCTTCCAGACTCATCTTCCACATCACCTCCTCACTCAAACTTTGCCTGTATCTTTCAAGTCAGTAGTTTTTCCCTATACCCCAGCACCTGGCACATCCCTTAACTTCAGTATCTGCTGCTTCAGTATCTGCTGTGACGTAAGGATTTGTTGACATTTTTATTTCCCCACTAAACCATAAGTACCTTGAAAACAGAGACAATGTACAGTTTCTCTTTTATCCCAACACACAGCACCAGGTACACAGTGAGTGGTCAACATATTTTGGTTGAATAAATAAATGTATAATTAATTTCCAAAATTTATTGATGAATAATAGCTCCAAACAATTTCCAAGGACAATGTATCTTCTTTCAAGTAAGATTTCATATCAAAAAATACTGAAAATTATCCATCATGGATGGTAGCTGTTGCTCAAGAAAAAAACCTGCCAAGCATAATAAATTTTCTCCATCACAAAACATACATCCCTTTTCACTATTTATCTTATAAATTGTAGTTATAATAGGAAAAAGATAGCTGACTGAGAAAGACAAACCAGGTCTCTACCCTATTTTAAACTTCCAAAGTGCTTAATTCAAATCAACTGAAGCAGTATGGAATTGTCACCATCTTCTAAGATATTAAGGCAGACAATTCAGGAATGAGTCTCATCTTATAAATAGCTGTAGACATCTGCTACAGAGGGAAGGCCAGGAAAAATGGAATATGGCTAGAATTATAGATATACAGACATTAGAAAGATGTCACTAGCAGTATTTAGAGACATTGTGAATACCGTAAGAGAAATATATCAAATAATTGAAGCTTCCTTTTGATACCCGTTTGGTAACTTCACTCCTCAGATGAACAGACCGATCAAAGGTGAATCTTAAGGAAATAGCTGGAATTGAACATACTCTGCATGAGGACATGGACTTTGTCATGTTTATCGCCTTAAGCTCAATACCTAGGCAACTAACCGACAGAGAGCAGTTGCTCAGTAAATATTGTTAATGAATCAAAAGTAAATAATTTAAAGACAAAATGAAAATTAATAATGAATAACAAGGGACAATCTCATGCAATATTGAATCTTCCCTGCAAAGAAATGTAAGCTTGACCAAGTTCATTCTAGTGAAGAAATAAATATTCATTCACTCCCTGCCCCTTCTAGACATAGTCCAATAACTCCTCTCCTTTTCCATTCAAATTTCTCCTGAAGAAGTCCAATCTGCTAATCCCACTTCCAAATCTTCAACCCACTCTCCTCAGCGGACTGTCATCCTACGAGAACCATTCCCTCTAAGGACGCCAATGACTGCATTGGTCCAATCCAGTGGATACTTTCTAGATATCAAGTCCTGAATCTCTTCTTAAATGTAGCACCCACTCCTTCAAATTCTCTATTCCCTTGCCCTTTTGACTTTGCCCTGGCACCTTGTTGGTGCTCACCTACTTTCCCTGCTTTACCTACTCTGTGTCCTCTTCACTGCCTATCCCATAAGCATCTGTTTTCTTAGGTTCTGCTTGCCTCACTATTCACACTTTGAAACTTTTCCCAGGCCATCTTGTTTTCCTCTTAGGGACCCAAATCTGTAAACTCATAACTCTGAACTCCAGATTTGTGTATTCACTTATTTGTTCATAAACAAATAATTCATAAATCAGGCAGCACCAAGTGCTAGGGATAAAAAGGTAAAAATAAGACAATATTCATCTGTAAAGAACCAATGGTGTGGTTTAGAAAAGAGGAAAATAAAGATATAATTATAATCCAGTGCAGTGAGTGATCTACAAAGGTTTAGCAGAGTGCTGGAAAAACACACTAGGACAAGGATGTATTAGAGAGGCAAAGTGAATGAAGAGTCTTTAAGACATAAGGAGAATCTTAAGGGTGAGAAAAGGAATGTCCCATTTTGATCATAGAATTTAAGTCTGGAAAGGTATTTAATTCCCTGAAAAGAGGGGGAGGTATGAACAATAGAAATAGCAGTTGGGAGATTACTCAGCAGATATGAATAGTAATTGAATGAAGGAAACAATTGATGAAAGAAGAAAACAGAGGAGGAGAAAATAGACAAAAGGTGGGAAGAGGAGAAATAGAGACAATCTTATTTATCATTGATTCTGCCAGCAGTGAGGAGGTAAATGATATGAGACTTAAGAGATTTTTTTTCACTTGTTCTTATTGTTGATAAACTATGTAAAATCTGTCTAACCTTCCTGAAACCCTGTGGCATTCAACAATAGAAACATGAGAATAACAAAAAATACTAATCACACATTATGAATTCTGGACATAAGGATGTGTTCTTAATACTTTCAGTCAATTATTTCAACAAATATATTTTGAGCATCTATTAAGGTACAAAGCAATATTCTGTAGAGCAGCAGACAAGAGACAAAGCTCCTTCCTGCAGGAAATATGCATCTAGTACTCAGGAGTCAGGGGCGTGTCCTTCTTTGCCTGGCAAGTGTTGGATGAACCCAACTTGTGCAGCCTTTCCTTTATGGGAAAACAGAAACTGCTAACACTGGCTCTTTCTGAACCTGCTTTTCTACTATAGGGTGACCCCTTCCCCAGTGTTGTTTTCAATGACATTTTTTCACCTGGGCGTAAAGCAAACTTGCTCTCCCTCTTTCAGAATCTGCTCTCAGCTCAATTTCCAATTTCCTTCCCTGTTTAAAGAACACACACAGATATATAATAGGCCAAAGCTACATCTCTCAGCAGCTTTAAAAAAAAAATCCCAACCTATGTCCCCTAGCTCATTGTCACTCAAAATACAGCTTGCAGCCTTCAGTAAAGAAATTGTAAGTGAGAATTTAGAAATTAGATTTCTAAAAAAGTCTAAAATTGAATTTAAAAACTAGATTTGGTCAATGCAAACTGTGTAACAATTTATACTGCCCTGACACACAAACATTCAAAAGCCTTTGTCTTATTCACCAGAGGAGAGACTAGAGCAACAAGTCACATGCGGTTGCACCATCATCATGCACAGTAGGGCCACATCACAAGAAGTAATGTTTGTTAATTATAAACCAAAAGTGTATAAAAACTGAAAAAAAACTTAAGTAGCCATCTTTATTTAAAATCTGTCATCTCTGCAATATTTTAATTTTTAATCAGACTTTTAAAAATGATAGTTTAACATTATTAACTAAATTAGAGAAATAAAATTGATGTTTTTATATGTAATTTATTGATTGCAATACAACTTCACTGGGATTTTATGGAGAAATTGCTTTGAAATCTCTTCCTTCCTTACTGTAAGCATATCTCTATGAGATTTGTTTTCTTCTACCAAGAGCGTTATTAAAGCAAACACAAAAGTTTAAATGTCAACTTTTCCCTGTAAACTATGTTGTCATTCCAACCTGGATTAGATATATTACCAAGCAAGAAACTAGCTATTAGTTTCTCATATTAAAAACTTTAAATATTGGCATATGCAGTGTTTATTAAAATACATGGAAAGAGCTTCCACACAGCAAAAGAAATGATCATCAGAGCAGACAACCTGCAGAATGGAAGAAAAATTTTGCAATCTATCCAACTGCCAAAGGTCTAATATCCAGAGTCTACAAATTTAAAAGAAAAAAAAACAAGCAACCCCATTTAAAAATGGGCAAAGGACATGAACAGATAGTTCTCAAAAGAAGACATACATATGGACAACAAGCCTATGAAAAAAAGCTCAACATCACTGATCATTAGATAAATGCAAATCAAAACCACAATGAGATACCATCTCATACCAGTCAAAATGGCAATTAAAAAGTCAAAAAATAACAGACGCTGACGAGGTTGCAGAGAAAAAGGAAACACTTTTACACTGTTGGTGAGAGTGTAAATTAGTTCAACCATTGCGGAAGACAGTATGGCAATTCCTCATAGACCTAGAGGCAGAAATACCATTTGACCCAGCAATCCCATTACTGGGTATACACCCAAAGGTATTATAAAGATGCATGCACATATATGTTCATTGCAGCACTATTCACAATAGCAAAGACATGGAATCAACTCAAATGTCCATCAGTGATAGACTGGATAAAGAAAATGTGGTATATATAAACCATGGAATACTATGCAGCCATAAAGAGGAATGAGATCATGTCCTTTGCAGGGACATGGATGACGGTGGAAGCCATTAGCCTCAGCAAACTAATGCCAGAACAGAAAACCAAACACTGCATGTTCTCACTTGTAAGTGGAAGCTAAACGCTGAGAACACATAGAGCAAGGGGGTGGGGGGAACAACACACATTGGAGCCTGTTGTATGGTGTTGTGGGAGGGAGAACAGCAGGAAGAATAGCTAATGGATCCTGGGCTTAATACCTAGGTGATGGGATGATCTGTACAGTAAACCACCATGGCACACATTTACCTATGTAACAAACCTGCATATCCTGCACATGTATCCCAGAATTTAAAATAAAAGTTGAAGGAAAAAAAAGTACATGGAAAGATGTTGAGTTTGGGGAATTACTATTTCATTTACAACTTCTTTAAGAGACAGGGCCTTACTGTGTCATTCAGGCTGGAGTGCAATGATGCAATCATAGCTCGCTATAACCTCAAACTCCTGGGCTCAGGTGATCCTCCCACCTCACCTACCTGAGTAGTTGGGACTATAGGCATGTGCCCCCATGGGGCTAATTTTTAAAACATTTTGTAGAGATGAGGGGTGAGGGTCTCTCTATGTTGCCCAGGCAGGTCTCAAACTCCTGCCCTCAAGTGATCCTATTGCCTTAGTCTCCCAAAGCTCTGGGATTACAGGTGTGAGCCACCGCACCTGGCCACAACTTTTATTTTTGATTGCAAAATAACAGAAATGACTTAATAGCCATTCTTTATTAACTGCCTACAGAATCTGGTAGCATTCAAGGCATAGTAAAACAGACCTGACTGTGATACTTTTCAAATAGCTTTCAATTACACATTGCATAAAAAGTTCCTACTTCAAATACTCCCATTGGAGGTACTTGTAGGCCTTTTGTATCATTGTTCTCAGCAGATCTGGGCAATTATCTTTTCTGTCTTTGGGCTAAATCCAGGACTGGAAGCACAGCTGAAGCTGTACATTCTTCTGGATAGTTTTTTTTTTTTTAACAATTGTCTCTATCTTTATAATGTTTACTAGTGTGAAATCAAATGCAGTATCTACATTATTCTCAGGAACATGTCTGCGTGCAAACAAGGCTCTTCCAGTTGCATTTTGCATAGCTATTTCATGCAAGTTACTTCTACGTCTTTTCTACTCAGTGGGGCCTGTTGCCTCAACACCAAGCACCCTGGAGAAACTCTTGATGTTAATTTTGTTCTCTGAATAAGTTGCTCTGCCGAAAAACTCACGAAAGCTACCTTCCATGAAACCCATCTTCAGATACAAATCTCTGTGGTTAGCCATTCTATAGGTTAGGCAAATACTGAGGATAATACATACCTCTTCTCAGCTAATGCTCATGACAGTCTGTGAAGCATCAGTAGCCTGAATGGACAGATTAGAAAACAGGCTTGAAAATATTAATATCAAGCCTGTTGGGGGCAATTTCTTAATATTTTCAAGCTAGTCAATGGAAGGGTGGGGATTGGAATCCAAGTTTGGCCAACTCTCCATCTTCCAGTATATTAATGCAGCAAATTCCACATCATTAACTTTCTGTGTCTTCTCACTCACCCCACTGCAGAAATTTCATATTTACCCAAAACAAACTGAAAACTTTCTCCCCATAACCTAAATGTCATTTGGTCTATTAAGCATATTTCTATATTTTTTCATACCTGGCTCAGAAGATATGCAATGAATGTCATATTAGATCTACTGAAAATACTTCTCCTTAAGACTAGAAAGGGATTTGTTCCTCTGTCATCTCTCATTGTGTTTTCTGAATGCATCTAATTTTACATCTGAGTTCACTGGTATCTCAAGTACATGAAGTTCAAAGTTTACAGAAACTGAAGCACATCCCAGACTTTTTTCAAATATTAATGTGTACACAATCTCCCAAGTTCTGGGATTATGAATTAATGTGTATACAATCTCATAAAGTTCTGGGATTTCCTTTACAATCATATGAAATATATTATGAATGGAATAGAACTATAGGCTTTCAATTCTGCTTGACTGAAATGTCTTAATATTTAAATAGACAAAAGAAAATATACTAAGCTCTGCTTTATTCTATTAAAACATTTTATATTTAAAGATATATATTTATCATTATACAGTTAAAATTATATGTTACCATATATAATATTATGTACTATATATTTTGATACTTTTTTGGAATTTGATACAAAGAATATGGCTGCTAATGCATTTTGATGGCATTTAAAATTGATACAGATGAATCCTTCTTCCCTGACCATGTGAAATATTGCATGAGGAACATTCATTATGAGAGCAGGAACACTTTAGTGGGCCTGATTCACAGTCTCACACCAGAAATACTTTCTTTTGTTTTCAAGTAACAGTAAGACTCCAACTATTTCAGTTCCTTCTGCCTTTTTCTTCCACTCCATCTCCATTTGTATCTACTTAGGGTTCTCATTATCGCTTGCCTGAAATAGTTTATGTTTCCTAACCAGTATCTCTGGCTCATCTTCTCCTCACCCCTAATTTGTCCTCAATGGTACCACAGGGTGCACAGTAGAATATGCATCCTCTCCGACCCCGGCCTGCCCCACTTAGAAGTCACAAGCCAGTTGCCTCACTTACAGGCTTCTGCTGAAGTGTCTCAGCTGGCATCTGAGGTCCTCTGTGGCCAGCTCCTGCCCCTCAATCCCCCAACTTCACTTTCAGCCCCTTCCCACATATTATAGTCCCACAATGCCTTGGATTGTATTGTTTTCTCTCTCTGAAACAGCTTCTCCACTGCTCTCCGCCTGGCCCACCGGTAGTCATCTGTCAGAACTGCCCCCAGTCCCTGGACTCCTCAGTGTTTCCTAAATGCTCCTGTTCTGTGCTCCTCGGGCATCTCAGGCATCCTGTTACACCAGCCATGGCGTTCGGTAGAGTATTTCAAAATAACCTGTTGGTTTCATTGACTCTTCCTTTTAAAATTCTCAAGAGCATATTGTCCGGTTCATCTCTGTATCCTCAGTGCTGTGCACATTCCTGCGCTTGCATACAGGTGCACAATATTGTTAAGCCATAAAGAATAGTTCACAAAACAGAATGGAAGGAGCTAGGAAGACCCGTCTGCTAAGTCATCATGATGTGAGTCAAGAACCTGCCTCTGTTTATATCTTGTGTCCTGGTTTGGTTGCTCTGGCTTTTGAGCATTCACGTACATACAAACATTTATTAATAATCATCTATTAGTAGCTGCTTTGTCAACAAGCAACAAACAACAACAACAAAAAAGACAAGGTGAAAGGAGAAACAGACACAAAAAGTATATAAAGCATAATGGGTTAAGTGTTACCATAGAATCATGGAATAGGATTATTTTTAAAAGACTGATATAGGGGAGTAGGAAGACCTCAGTGGGGAAAGTGGTGGCAAATTTAGGGGCATGTGAGAAAAGATGGGTAGGAATTGGCCAAGGAAAGTGAAATGGATGTCATTCTAACTAAAATTATGAAAAGCCAAGCCAAGCCAAAATGTGTTGATTCTTTTCCTAAATGACTGACAGAATTTCAGAAACTTGAATCTACATAACAGAGAACTGTGCCCCTACTTGAAGTTTGGTGTTGGGGGGAGGTAGGGCAGCATTTAACCAGGCAGCTAATTTTATAAATCTAAAGATCTATTCTTTACACAAATCATGAGTTTCAGTAAATCCATATTAATTTCTTCTAAGTTAAAATCATGGCTTTTCTATCAAAAGTTCTGGCTGCAAGCTAAATTTCCTGACAGGTGCAGGGATAAAGCTTTGAAAGTATAATTTTTAATCACTCATTCACCTGCATGGTACATCCACAAAACAAAAGAAGTCTGAAATGTCAGCAAAAAGGAGCTGAGCAAAAGCAATAGGAAAAAAATCACTGAAGGAGCTTGACTAAGATGCCTTGAATATATTTTTAAGATGGATTGTCCTTGTGATCAGATAGAAAAGTCAACAGAGTTAAAAATAAAAATCAATCTTGCTTCCATAAGCACTGACAATTTTTCCTCACTGAGTATATTTCCCTAACTATCTTTTTGGGGTATGCTTATTTTTCCTTTGACACTTCCAACTTTCATTTATTTCCAAAGGAAATTCAGAGCACAAATACTTTGATCTTCCCTTTGCTTTGGTGAAAACAATAGCTTGTATTAGCTTTGAGACAGAGGAGGTTCTCTTCAAAGAATTCTTTTTGAAGATGATTTCATCTGCTCCTACTTGTCAGCCAGAATATCTATTCATCCTTAAAAATATTATCACAACGAAGGACTTATCACAAAAATAAAAAACCCATAGGTAAACAATTCTAATCTCATTTGTTGCCCTTACCTAAAAATTGCATTAAAAATTTCTAACATGAAAGTAAAATAGATATTAGTTATAATTACAACTTCTTAAGGTCAAATGAATTAGTCTGAATTAAAATAAGAATAAGTCCAGTCCAGGTAAGTTACATAATACTACATGCATAAATGTACGTGCAGTTATATCACATTCTCAGTAAAGCAATGGTGGCAAGGTTTCATAGAATTATACTATTTTTCAAATTAAGACGATATATATTGTTTTCAAAGTGTCACTACAATTTCAACTTTATCTGATCTTGCCTCATGTGAAATTTATGAACCTTGGCTATGCTGATGAATTTTCTTGAGATGTCTCCAACAGAGTCAGCATCTGCACCTTTCAAATGGCCTGGAATTTTTTGGATATAAAACAAAGTAGGCTGGATACTGGAATAAATTCAATAAAATGATAATACCACAGAAAAGATGGCCAATGTGTTATGACTAATCTGGTTTCCAATTCAATTCAACTATTTTTATGGTACTAACTTTGTACCAAGCACAGTGAGGAACTAGGACATGGTTGCCTTCAATATGTATTGAGGAAGTCAGACAAATAACCAACAAGTCCAATTAAAACACATGAAATCAAAGAGGTTATTAGGTTTTAAAGAAGAGAGTGATTGATTAATTCCAGCTGAAGCTATAACTAAAGGCATTCTGCAAGAAGATACATTTGAAATCAGTCGTAAATAATCACACTATTTGAGCAAATAGAAATGGAGCTGAAGCATGTCCTGGGTGAAGGCTGGGTTAAAAGGAGTTGAGGAAGAGCTGGATGCAAAGAAGGTAAAAGAAAATATGTTGATTCTGGTCACAAGTATGTTCCAGGTCCCTCTTCCTCTTGAATCCCAGCTTCCATAACTACAATTTCTCCTTTCCCCTTTAGGATTTTCCCTCCATGCTGTTCCCTCTGCTAGAAAATATCCCTTCTCCCCCAAATACTATAACCTTAACTCCTCTTTCAGATCTCAGATTAAAGATTGGTTCCTCTAATTCATTCCTGAAACCTTCAAACATCACCACATCCCCAATGGCTTAAGATTGATTATCTTCTTGTACTCATGCATAGCACTTTACACTTCCCCTACATAATTTGTTTCACATATTGCTATAAATTATTAGTTAAAATTTTGTTTAATATTTATCATAACCTACAGACAAAATGTTCTTGGCAAGCAGCAATTTAACTCTTGTGAGGCTCTCGGGCACGAGGTGCTGTCCTTGGTACTTGACAGGAGCACAGTATTTGTTGAATACATGCAAGTACCCGCAGTTCTTTAGTTTTACTTTGTGCAAGAATTTGGCATTTGAGTATAACATATTTTGTAAATGGTAGATCTTTCATAAATTTCATGTGTAGGAAAGACATCCACAAAACTTTCAAGCATTATAAACTAATTCAAATACTTTGTAGATTTAGTTGTTTTCTCCTGCCAGGGGAGAATCACTTCTCAAATAAAACAAAACATACAACTATGACAACTCTGATTTCCAAGTCTGCACACAGAAATGAATTGAATATGAATATACACATTTGATTTACAGCTAGTCCTAAAGAAAGCAAAATATGAATGCATCTTAAGATATTAAAAAATGAAATTCTGCTAAAAGAGAGAACAAAAATAAAACTGCTATAGAGGAGATAAATATGCATCTGGAATGTTTCTCGTTAATTTAAAAAGAAATCACATCACGTAATATCTCTAATAGCTGTAGCTCTATAAATAAAAAAAATTTAAGGACAAAGGCATTCTTTACATGCTAATTAATATTCTCTTTCTCCCTCTCTCTTTCTCTCTCTCTTGTTCTTGCTCTCAGATTTTAAGCTATACTCTTGTGGTTTCAGGTAGTTTCCAAGATTCTTATGAATAGAACACAAAATCTTCTATTTCTATATACTGTTTGTTGTCAGACAAGGGATGTGACACACAGCTGAGGGCTCAGGGAAGAAAGAGAAAGGGATGGGGAGATGTGCCGACACTCAGAGACAGGGCATGGAAGCTGAAGTCCCACTGTCCCTTCACTTTCTCATGCTGTTCCTCAGCTGTACTTAAAGACATGAAATGGCAGTAAGTCCATGGCATTCTTCATATTCATCGCATTTCAGGGGAGCATAGCTACCGATTTTTTTTTTTCCTGCAGAAGTAGTGAGAAGTGACACATTTCATAGATACACTATCATACGAACAGTGAAAACACACTTCTGGCCAGACATTTCTCAGTTGAAAAAATTGTCCAAAATACATGGTTCTCAGATTAGTATTTGTGTAGCACTTCTTGTTAACATGAATAAAATATCTATCTTCCTTCTACTTATTACATAAAATATATTTGGCTTTTAAAACTTTCTTTAAAGAAAATGTGCCATTCTTCATTGATGAAGGCACACCATCAGAGAATACTTGCTTTGAAAAAGTTTCTTCTTTCCTTTCAGTAAAGATGATGAATTTACATTCAGATATGCCAAATCATAAGCCCCCAAAATTCATTATAAAGTTGTCACTTCATGCAAAAATAATCTCAGTAGCTAACATATAACTTGTTTCTCTTTTTGATTTTTATCTCATTTTACTATTTTATACTGAAAATAATATTCTAAACATAATAATCTAAACCCTTCAAATCTGAAAGGAATACTTTGACACGAAGAACACTGTTCACATTTACATTTTATCTGTAAATGTAAATGCAGTTGTGCTTTTACCATGCATTGATGCTTCCTGCCAATAAGCAGAATACATTAAAATGAATGGGTTTGGTAAAGATATATTACCTTTAAGTGGGGCAGGGAAAAATGAGGCTGATAGGGATGATAGCTCATGGCCAGAGAGACTAAAAAGGAAAGACTTAGGTAAGAGAGAAAAGAGAAAACAAAACAGGGTGAGAATGGTGAATGGAGGGGATAAAAATGCCCCATCCCCTGAATTTCTTCGTCAGAATTCCAGAGTTAAACACTTTACATGCTGTTACTCTTCAATAAATAGAAAGAAATCAATCAACTGACTTGGCCCAGGAGGAGGTTATATTGTGGAAACAGCTGTTAAGCATTTCTGCTAGCTCAGTTTATTCACTGGGGTCAAAAAGTAAACCAGGTTTTCTCCAGGCAACTAGGATGAAGGCTATAATGCATGTGGCAAAGGCTCTCCAGGTGCCTGTCTCTGTTCGTGTTTCCACAGGAGACCGGGGGAAAATGGTCAGGCCAGCCATGTGGCCTTGGCCGGCTTCACTACTGCCTTGTGCAAACTTTAACTATTTTCATGACTACTGATAATCGATGCATGAAATACAAAGGGACAGCAATAACTCAATAAAACCCTTCAGTGGCCTCTCCATTCTGTTTACAATAAAATAGCAGCTTCCTACAATGGCCTACATACAGCCCTACATGACTGGGGCTCTGTCCATCCCTCTCAACACACACCCTTCTACTCAATGTGCTGGACTCCCACTGGCCTTCTCTGTCTTCCTCAAACATGACAAGCTTATTCCTATGACTTGAGTGCATCCATTCACTGGCTCTGGGAAGATCTTACCCAAGATTTTAGAAAAGCTGTCTCCTTATGATTCAGGCTAATGTTCAAATATCACCTAGTATTTAAGTCATCCTTAACCACCTCCTCTGAATTACTAACCTCCTAGTAGATCAGCTTGTTTTATATTTTCTTCACTGCATTTTCCACCATCTAAAAGACTTTGTTTATGGACTTGTTTACTTGTTCATTTTCTGTCTTTCTCATTCTCACAAGAATGAAGATCTCCTGAACATCGACTGGATAAATAAATACCTGATGGAACGGAATCAGGGCAGTTGGGGGCAACTGATAATATCTGACACCAAAGGTTAGTAACACAGAATTTGTTCTCACCGTCTACTGTTCACTCCATTGACTCAGATGGCCTAATACAGTGTAAACAATATGGATAATAAAGAGAAAATGTCTTTGATTTAAATTCTGATTTTCCCACTGATTATCTGGGTAACCTTAAATTCCCCTTAAAAATGGAAATAATAATATGGAATTCACTGGGTTTTCAAACAATCCATATAACTCACCTAACATTGTGACTGATTCTTAATATGTTCTTAAAATTTGGTAGGTATTGTGGTTATCTTTTTCTTTTAAGTATAAAATGACTTCTACCTCTTTGCTGTTCTGGAACAGCGTGCCTGTTCCACGTCTGTTCCATCTCCAATTATGGAGTTTGTTCCACATCTCTGGAACAAACTCCATAATTGTAGTGAAATTCATTGACTTTGCTTGTCCAGCATTCTGACCCTCACTCTTGGTGACAGTCCCTTGGTGTTATCTAGTGCCAAGCCCACCCAGGAATGGGTGCGTGGCCTGGGTCTGGCTGATTGCCTCCCCAGGTCCTTCACTGGGGCTCTCAGAAAGGAATGGTGGTTTCACCTTCTCTTCTTCTTCTGAGAATAGAACACTCGTTTGTAGGAACCATCTTTACCCCAAAAGGAAGGCCACACAGAGGAAAGAAACTTCAGCAGATGGAGAGAGAAATGGTATCTTCAGGACCTGTAATCCCCCTGGATAGAGCTGTGCCTGAAGTGGCCACAGCCTGGATATCTCTGTTAGACGAGCCAAGTCAGTATTTTACTTATGCCAGTTTGAGTTTGGTTTCTGAAACTTATAATCTAAACAATGCTTTCTAAGACAATGATAAAGAGTTTGTTGTAAGTTAAAAAAAAAAAAGTCATCTTCTGAGGTCCAACTAGTAAGTAAACAAATTACTTTCCAGAATGAAATGGTTTGAAGTAAAAGTGTGAAAAAGGCACTCGGTTATTAAGGAAAGACTGACACCTCAGGGTGACTTTTTAACACAGGCAGTAAGAGCCCCTATAAAGAATTGGTCAGTGTGGGCTTGTGGCCCGTAAAACCAAGAGCAGATTGCCCAAAAGCAATTTAGGAGTATTTGTGGTTACAGATTAACAGGAAAAATAAAGGAAGAAATCAACACCTTACCCAAGAAGCAAGCAAAATGAGAAGGCATTATTGAAAGTCAAAAGGAAGATAATTGTCTTCCTGTGCAAAGGAAATCTAATACACAACAAGGAGGATATACAGCAGGTAATTCTGACAAAGGCACCTAATTTGTACTGGAGATTGTACATTTAAAAATGCTTTCTCCAAGAAAGAGACATTAAAATGTTTTCTTAGGAGAACAGGGTATCATGTAATTAATGCTCATGCTATTTTCTTAATAAAGTATAATTATTAAAAACATCTTGTCAGCTGTCTGTTTGATATGAGTATATATTACATTTCTGTTTTTTAATAAAAGATCCACAGGAGTGTGACTGGTATGTCACATTCCCATTTCTCCCTGCTAGTTATACCTAAAAGCTTTAATGCACTACACATATATTTGTGGAGAGATTCTTAGGCAAAATACTTTGATAAACACAATGGGTGATACCAAGATAAACGTAGTACATGTATCAAAGAGCTTATACTAGAATAAAAAGATGAGAAATCCGTACACGTAGCTGTATCATTTTCGAGGAACACTGAATTCTGTAATAACCATAAATAAAGCACATTTAAAGACTAGTAGAATGATCTGATATTCATTTTGGCCAAGGGCAATGGTTCTGAAATTTGAATGTGCATAAGAATCACCCACCAAGTTTATTAAAACAAAGGCTGCTGGGCCCATCCAAGAGCTTTTAGCAAGTCTGCAGATGATACAGATGATGCTTGTCTCGGGATCATATTTTAAGAACCACTTTAGGGGATTTGTTTCCAATTTGGGGTGCACAGTAGAATCTCCTAAGAAGCTTTCTAAAATTCTAGTGCTCAGCTTTTATTCCAGTCCAATACTAAAAGAAAAATATTTTACAAAGGGAACTATACTAGAACTGGACATTGATTTACACCAAGAGTAGTTTTATAAACAGTTGGAAGCAGATGCTAAGTGAGAGGTGAAAAGTCATGGAAGAAGGCAAGTACAGCACATGATTAGAAATGAGGGTCAGACAAGGTGTCTCATGCCTGTAATCCCAGCACTTCGGGAGGCCAAGGTGGGCAGATCACCTGAGGTCAGGAGTTCAGGACCCATCTGGCCAACATGGTGAAACTCCGTCTCTACCAAAAAATACAAAAATTAGCTGGGCATGGTGGCATGCCTATAGTCCCAGCTACTGGGGAGGCTGGGACAGGAGAATAGCTTGAACCTGGGAGGCAGAGGTTATAGCGAGCCAAGATTGCACCACTGCACTGCACTCCAGCCTGGGTGACAGAGTGAGACTCTGTCTCCAAAAAAAAAAAAAAAGAAGAGAACACATCATTGCTGATGCATCCATAGACAGTAGACAAAAGCAATCTTGGGCCAAGTCATGAAAGATCCCAACTGCCATGCTGAGGAGTTTGTGACTTTTTTAGGAGGTGGGAATAAGACATCACTAAAGCGCTTTGAGCAGGACAGTGACACAGTGTGAATCGTGGCTTAAAATTATTATTTGGAAGCAAAATTCTCAGTAAATTCAAACAACTCTGGTTCTTCCCAACAAGGAGATTAAATTGCTACAGCAATGATGTAGACCCATTTTCTTAAACTGGAGTCAAGAGTTATATTCTCAGAGCTACAAGTTCTCTACAAATGCTTTAATTTTGCATTTTGTTTAAAACTAACGCAAGAATAAATTTTTAACTTTGATTTTTTTTCTCTGTCACCCAGGCTGGAGTGCTGCACTGTATGATCACAGTTCACTGCAGCCTTGACCTCCACAGCTCAAGGCATCCACCCACCTCAGCCTCTGGAATAACTGGGCTATCACACCTGGCTATTAAAAAAAAAATGTAGAGACAGGGTCTCTCTATTTGCCCAAGCTGGTCTTGAACTCCTGGGCTGAAGTGATCCTTCTACCTCAGCCTCCCAAAGTGCTGGGATTATAGGCACAAATCACTGCATCCAGCCACAGAAGAATATATTTTGTCAGATATCAAGGCAAAATTTCTCTTGTGATGACAATTGACAATTGAAAGATTTTTGCAAGATTGGACTTAAACTTCTTAAATCAATGTTTCTTAGTCAGTAGACATACTTCTTAAGAAGTCAAGATTAACTCCCCATCCCCCTTTCTTCCCTTTAAAAATCCACTCCTAACTGCTGCTAATCAAAGTGTTTATTCAGGGCAACTTGAATCCATGCTCCTAGGTTGCAATCCTCAAGCTTGGCCCAAATAAACTCTCTACTTATATTAATTTTGCTTTCGTTTCTTCCTTTTAGGTCGACATATTTGGCATAACTTGGCAGATTTCAGAGTGACTCCCCCGGACCACCTGGTGTTTTTCTCTGAAAGCAGGGCTTGGTACCAGCACAAACATTCCATCTTCAGAAGTCCTATTGGGTGTTTCAGGTGAGTTCACCTGAATTCAGACCTCCCAGTCTTTGGTCAAAGGTCTATACTTTATTTGGGCTGTTTTTCAAACCCTCTCTCTTTCCTTTACGAATGAGGGCTTCAGTCTCTGTCTTTAGACAGATGATTCAGGCAAAGAGCTCTGCAGAGAACTGCCTCCTTCAGCCTGTCTCAGGACCAGGGTCTTCAGGTCAAAGTTTTCCTGCCCCTGTCTATAGCAGAGGTTTGGGTAAGGATTGCCAGTTAGGCACCAGTGGTCTGGTTTTACACAGCATGCTTTAAAACATTGCAGATACTTTCCTATTTTTGAAATTTGGGCTTCATTTTTCATCTGTGACCAACTCCTATTAAACATCAGCTGAATTTATATATAACACTATGGACATCTTCTTGTAAATATCTAGGAAAGTGGACCCACCTAACATAGAATAGTCAAACAATAAACCTTGCCAAAACTGGGGATCTTTTGAAATACCTAAAATAATTTATTTTTGTGCACAATAAGAAAAAGCTGGTTTTGGAACCAGATAATTAAAGACCTACTTCCAATGGTACTGAAAAAAAAACTTCTAAAAGAAATCCTGAGACAATTGCCTCCATTCAGGAGGTAAACAGTACATACCCATCACCACCACCACAGGGAATTCCCTAGGTGTTTGACTCCCTCCCTGAAACTCCTCTTGTGACATAGTGACTCCAGTCCTGGAGTCGCTGTGAGCAACTTCTGGTTCTGGGGAATGCCTGGTTCTCAAACTATTCTTTGCTCAACTAAAAAACCCGTCCGTGAAAACACCGAGGGGATGGGGGATAAAAAAAGAGAAACTTAAGTAAATAAATAAATGAATAAAAACACCACCCAATGAACAAGATGGGTCTCCAAAATACACCTTTGTTGCCTAGCTGACAATTGCTTAGGTCGATATAACAGGTAATTAAAAGACTAATAGTCTAAAATGGGGAAATGAATGAAAATAAAAGTACTGAGATTATAAACATGTAGATCCGACCATTTTCTTTAAACCAAGACGAATTATTGATGCTGATGTTGAAATGCTAACATCCAGGGAATGAGCTGAGGCAGCACTCCTGCTGAGATTACATCTGAATCAAGTTAAAATCCTCTAAATGCTCAAACAGGCTGCTTTGAATACCCAGCAAGATTTAAAAACCAAAAAAAAAAAAGGCAAAAGTAAGAAAGCCTTGTACTCTGTGGTCTAGTGGCTATGATTTTGTGCTTTTACCACCAGGGCCTGGGTTTTACTCCTGATTAGGGAATTAGCTCCTTTTGGTTTAATATTTTTGTGACTTTTGACTTTGCTACTCAGGAGAGTGCCTTTGGTAAAAAAAAAAAAAAAAAGGTTTGGCCGGGCTCAGTGGCTCACACCTGTAATCCCAGAATTTTGGGAGGCCAAGGCGGGCAGATCACCTGAGGTTGGGAGTTCGAGACCAGCCTGACCAACATGGAGAAACCCTGCCTCTACTAAAAATACAAAATTAGCCTGGCGTGGTGGCACATGCCTGTAATCCCAGCTACTCGGGAGGCTGAGGCAGGAGAATCATTTGAACCCAGGAGGTGGAGGTTGAGGTGAGCCAAGATCGTGCCACTGCACTCCCGCCTGGGCAACAAGAGTGAAACTCTGTCTCAAAAAAAAAAAAAAGAAAAAAGAAAAAAAGAAAGAAAAAAAAGCCAGATCACCAGCTGTTTTTCTTGGCTATAATCTGATAATAAAAGATTTATTAAAATGTATTTTTTAAAAGGATGCTATGGTCAGAAGTCAGCTTGACTAAAAGCTGATATTCAAGTACACACACACACAAACACATTATATACATATATTAATATATATAGTGTGTGTGTATATATATGTGTGTGTGTGTATATATATATATATAATACATATTAAGGCCTTTCTGCTTTTTCTCTTTGGATCCTGTTTTGGGGACTACTATTTTCCTGTGGATGGAAATCCTTCATTAATTATCTGCTGGTTCCCTCTGCTTACTTTCTTTCTTAAAAATTGTTCTATTGTTTACTTCTATTCTTTCCTGACTCCTTTTTCCTCTTTGCCATCTTAGGTACCACATAAAATGATCTGGGAGAGATATCTAATGACTCAGACTGTTTAAGAAACACAGAAAAAGGTGCCACTGACCCCTTTTTTGGGTCATCTGTCTTCCTGTAAAGTCTAGAGAGTCATGGACAGATTCGTCTGAGGTCTCATACCCTACCGCCGTCTTTTGTACTGTGTTACCTGATCTCGTTGGCTTTCAGGACTACCAGAGATTACTTTGTACTAAGAGAGAACTTGACCTTGGTGTATGTGATGACTGGAGAGTCACTGGCAGAACTGCAGTTTTGGAGGTGGCTGAGGGCTATTGTTTACAATAAATGGTTATTGCTACAGGACACTACTCATTTCCTTGGGAGTTTAGATGAGACAGGTGAGGTTTAAACCTTGGAGAAATGTCTTTGTAGCACAGTGCACTGTAGAAGCATTGCTTGGCCTGGTCCCATGGTGTTTCCCTTTCTTTGTGAGGGGAGAATCCAGGATTCAGTGCAAAATTAGAATGCTTGATTTAAAAAAATCTAATTGCTCTGCCTTCCAACTGTGACTGCTTTTCACGTATTTAAATTATTCAGCTTTAAAAACTGCAAATACTTTGTTGACCCTGTTCCTTAATGGGCTCCACCTTAAGCCCATTTGGAAAACAGACACTAAATTAAAAGCTACCTATCTAAATGAAATTGGCCTCCTTATGAAATTCTATGGTAAATTCCTATGATTTTGTGTTACCTTGAAATTCATTTTTAACCTTCCTCTAACATACCCAAATTCATTCTTTAAAAATATTACATTTTCTATCTTTGATTTGAGATGCAAATTTGCTACCCTGTTTCTCTAAAATTCAGTAAGGGCTTCAGCCACATGAAACAGATAAACTTTAACCTTTTCCATTTACAAAGACACAGTTTGAATACAACTGTCCTTTTAAACTAGAGAGTTTTATCTGACTCATGGCTAAAGTTTTAAAACTAAACCTATAAGATCTTTATGACTGCCTGTATTTTTGTGTATACATGTGTACACATCTTTTTTTTGTATGTTGTCTATAACACCAAACTGGCTTGTACATAAGTGTACCCATAAATTAAATAACTAGACCAAATGCTTTTCAAATTCACACGATTTTAGTAATCTTTGGTAAATAAAGATAATTTAAAAATTGTTGGTAAAATAAAATAGGAAGAGCTTCATAATTTGGACATTTTTGTCTGTGTTTGCTGGTCAGACAAGTTTATACTATCTCTGCTAGATATTTTAAGGTCATAAAACTGTAGCTTGTATGATATTTTAAAATATTTGCTTAATTTGTCTGTGAGCTTATGTCTTTGGATTTGAGCATGTAGATCTGGGATCTGGACAGATGGCCACAGTGAGGTCTGGGGACAAGTCCTCAGAGCCTAGACCACCAACTAAAATGCAAAATAAAGCTTAACATGGCCTCTTTCTCCCTGGCCCAGCTTTTCCTCCTGGCCATGCTGGGAGGGGTCCGATCCTCCAATCATACTCTTCACAGCTCTCTCCTCTGTTCTGAGCTCTGTACTTGGTGTGGAAATTCAGGAACCAGGTGAGCCATTCTCTTCATTGCCATCTTTGGATGCCATGTAAATATTAGGGACCTAGGACAACTGGGGAAGACATTATAGAGGGTACCTGTTTCATAATTTCCTAATTCTTTTCAGTAATTTAAAAGTCTTAAGATTGTGTTATGTTAAATTAAGTAATAGCTAATCATAAAATGTCTGAGTCATTTCTAAGTAAGTTAAAATACTGAAACATTAATTGTTAAACATAAATTCACATTTATATACTTTAATATCATATTTCTATATGGCATAGTAAAACTAAATATATTTAGATCTGTTAGTAAACAGAAATTGAGAAAACCTCTTTCTAAGGAATTATAAAATGGTTTTCATCAAAAAATACTAGTATAAAATCGTTCAAAATTACTTACTTTTTAGGTTTTTCACTGAAAATTAGTGACTAGGTTAAAACTGTGATATGGTTTGGCTGTGTCCCAACCTAAATCTGGAATTCTAGCTCCCATAATCCCCACATGTTGTGGGAGGGACCAAGTGGGAGGTAATTGAATTATGGGGGTGAGTCTTTCCCATGCTGTCCTCATGATATTGAATAAATCTCAAGAGATCTGATGGTTTTCTAAATGGGGGTTCCCCTGCACATGCTCTCTCTCACTTGCCTGCTGCCATGTAAGATGTGACTTGCTCCTTCTTGCCTTCCACCAGGATTGTGAGGCTTCCCCAGCCATATGGAACTGTGAGTCAATTAAACCTCATTCCTTTATAATTACCCAGTCCTGGGTATGTCTTTATTAGCAGTATGAGAACAAACTAATGCAAACTGTAATCAGTATGTGTAACTAAAACTACCAGATATAAGAGAAACATGTCTATATACAGAACATATAAAGAAAATACGATGTAAAGAAAGTTGAAAAGATAGAGTAATTTTTTTTTTTTACTTGAGAGAGAACTTTATATGGTCACAATAAGGGAGAAGGGAAAGTAAATTTTTGTCCTATGGTAAAATGTAGGATACAACTGATGTTTTAAGCAAGCTGTAGAAGGTTTGCGGAAGATGGATCTTGTGAAAGAAATTTTGTGTGTGATCAAGTTGGCTGAAATTAAAAGGGGATTATTTAGTTTTTCTAAAAACTTAACATTAATATTAAAAGCACACTGATGCAGGGTCAGGATCTGGGGCGTGCTATTAGAATAACAGGGTTTTCTTAGAGCATTGTTCTGCTCTCTAATAGAAAATTTTAGGCCAGGCATGGTGGCTCACGCTTGTAATCCCAACACTTTAGGAGGCTGAGGTGGGCAGATCACGAGGTCAGGAGTTCGAGACCAGCCTGGCCAACATAGTGAAACCCCATCTCTACTAAAAATACAAAAATTAGCCGGGCGTGGTGGCAAGTGCCTGTAGTCCCAGCTACTTGGTAGGCTGAGGCAGGAGAATCATTTGAATCCAGGAGGCAGAGGTTGCAGTGAGCCAAGACTATGCCATTGCACTCTAGCCTGGGCAACAAAGGGAGACTCTGTCCCCCCCCCAAAAAAAAAGAAAGAAAGAAAGAAAAGAAAAGAAAATTTTAAAAGGTTATAAAAGGTTTATGAAAATCTTATCTTGTGTGGTCAAAGCTGATTAAGATTGGATGGATTTGTTTATAAGGTTTTATTAAAATAACTTTACCATTAATAATACACTGATGCAAAGGTAGAACTTGGTATTTTCTTTTGAATAGGATTTTTACACAATATTAATGAGATAATAAAAATCTTTTGTTTACCTTTTGAGTAAACTGTCAAAAAAGAGAAAGATTCTGTTGGTCTCATACTGTCTTTATTAGGTATTTTGATTTTTTGAAAAACTAAGTCTTCTCTCTATCAAAGAATAAAGATTTTTGCCTTTTGAAATCTTGGAATTATCATTTTGGCTAAATGAATCTCATTTTGTAGTTACTTATGATCCTATTTTGAACAAATGTTTTAAACCTTTAATATTTGACATACTTCCTCAAATCACATTTCAAATTCTAAAACTGTGTTTCCCAAAGTAACCCCTGTAAGTCCAAGACAGACATATTAGGCTTATTTGGTATATTACATTCATACAGGAAGTACTATCAAATAAGAAATGGTGTTTAGCATTCTTTGGGTATATTTATATAAATGTGTTAGTAATATGTGTCCTAAAATTATATGAGCTTTCTAAAATTCTGGTTTGCCTTGATATATGTTATCAGTGATAATTATGCTTATTATGTTAAATTATTATAGGCCACAGACATAAACAAATTTACTTTTCAATTGTATATATAACTATGATGATTTTAAGTCATTTGCACAGTTAATTACTTAATTCTGATGCATCTTCTAAAAGATCTCTACAAGCAAGTAAAATTCTAAAGTGTTGTGTCTTCAAAGAAGTTCATGCAAGGATGGAAAAGACTGATGTGAATATAGGTTTCTGATTACTTGGAGATCATACCATTGGACTAAGAAAAAACTTCCAGGATTCTAACTGAAGAGCTGATATGTTCATGAGAATTGCTAACCCAACATCAAGTGGAACAAGAATTAATTCCATGAGACTAAACTAATAGAGGACTAAAATAATTTTTAATGATTTTTTTGTTTGAGATATTGCTGATGCTTTTTATGTTTTATTTTCTAGAGTCAAGAAAACTATTTTTTTTCTTTGTGAGCCATTTACAGCTTATAGCAATTGGGTGAAGTATACTTTTGTGAGTAAAGCCAAAACAATTGACTTTCTCTGTATCACATTTCTCCAAAATTTGGGAACTATTTGTGAGTACTCTTAATTTCTAGCAATGTAGTTGTTTATATAAATTCAACAAAAATCTGTATTCTTTTTTAAGATACATAATTAGATATACTGGTTCTTTTACTGAAACTTTGACTGGAATGGCATAGTTTCAGATATAATCAGACTGCTTTGAGGAATTGATGTGGACTTTATAGAGCCAATTAAAAAAACCCTTGGAAAGACTGGTCTGGTACTTTGTCTGCACAATTCCTTTATAAGGTTTCTGTCCTCATGGTAACTAAAGAATGTCACTTTCTGACAGGACCAGGAACTCAGGTTATTTTGGGATCTCAAGAAGAGCAGAGTTCACCCATTTTTTACAAGTACTGCAGACAGTCTGAGGGCAAATCCTTGGATTGGCTGGCCTTGGGGCTTTTAAAAGCTGAATCTAAAGCTACTGTGGAAGTCCCGGTAAAGCCAACTTAAAAGAGACTATATGGCCATTCACTATTCTTCTTGCACTTTATGCAAATAAGTAGGCAAAGCATCATAACACTAAAACTTATTTTGCAAATAAATTGGTTCAACTAAGATTTGTCTTTGGTAAAAATGGAGAACTGGATAAAGAAAAAATGTTTCAGAAAAAAACTATAGTATGCCGGTTATTAGATTCTAGTCTTGTCCATTGTTTTTGAGTTTTATTATTTGCCTACAATTTGGATTAAATCTTGAATTACTTCCCAGCTATGAGTCTCTAAAGAAGAACCTGGATTTAATTTTCTTCATGATATTTTTAGTTGACTGCCTAATGGAATAGTTCTGTCTTTGTTGCTGTTCTGGCATTCAAATTTTATTTTTAGTTATAATCCTTACATGGATTATATTTCCACTATCTCTTGTTGTTTTCCTTCTTCTGATGAAACTAAATTGACGATACTCTGAAGTCTAGCTACGATTCAACAAGCAACAGCAGCCATAAATCAATGACTTTGACAGAACTACTTGGGAATGAGCCTTCCTGATGATGGACACCTTGAAACTCAAATTTTGATCATCAATGCTGTTAAGAAGAAAGATTTTTGATCAAAAGGGGGAAATGAGAGAAGAAAATAACTTTCATCTGAGGAATGCAAGCTATTTTAATTAACAGGCCCAGAGAGACATTAAAATGAAACAGCAATTACATCCTCCTAGTCCCTTTGCGCTATGTATTTATCTCTTGAAACTGCTGGCTATCACCATAAGTAGCTGTAACTTAACATAAAGATGCCACACTTGATGCTACAACCCACACCCTAGAGCTTAACAATGCATAGCCAACCACTTGTCAATGTTATTTCTGTAAATCAGTGAGAATGCCTGACAAACAACTTTGTATCAGCTCACTCCTTGTCTCCCATTTTTTCCTTTAAAAATCTATTTGTAATTGCTGCTAATTTGAGTGAACATTCAGAGCAATTTGAATCTATGCTCCTGGCTTGCAATTCTCAAGCTTGGCCCAAATAAACTCTCTACTTATACTAATTTTGTCTCAGGTTCTTCCTTTTAAGTTGACAGGACAAAAAATTAAAAATGTCAAAATAGTATTTTTGATTTATTAAGGCTCAAGATAGAACAAAAATATTTTTTCTTTTAAAAATAAAAGCCTTAATTTGTTAAGTTTTTAAAAGTGATCTGTCAACAGGGTAATTCATAAGATAAGAAGGAGATATGTGTGTGTGAATATATATACACATATATATTCATATATGTGTGTATATATATATACATATATATACACACATATATATACACATATATATGTGAATATATATATACATATATATATTCACACACACATACACTAATAATTTGTTGACAAATAAAGCTTTTGAATTATAACACATTTCTTTTCACTTACTGTGGTTAATTTTCCCTGTCATTTATCATTGTACCAGTAACACTATTTTTTGGGGGGAAAAAGACAGTAAAATGCAAGCATTAAGGGACACATTTGAAAGTACATATTTTTCCAATACCAAGCACATGATCAATCATATCTTCCATGCTGAACACATATTCTTCTCTCTGTGTGGGGGTGCCAGCTATTTGGTGGTACATAGAGAAACCTGTTTTACCCTTAATCCAATAAATCTTATAGGGGACACCACTATAACATATGTCAGTGATTTTCTTTCTTGGAAACGGTCTACTACATATTTAACCCCTTCTCTTTATCTCTTCAGAAATTTTTAAATTTGCATAAAAATGCCAACACACTTTTACTTAATTATTTTTACTGGGAAAAAGTATAACAAATTAGAATATTTAAAATATTAAACCCTAAATCCGAGGAATTTATATCAAAAGAAATGTCATTAATAATCTAATATGATAAATAGCATCAAAAGTCCTATTAATACATTTCTATCAAAATATAGACACTCATTATTTTTCAGTTGGATTGTTACATACCTGAGCTTCTGGTTGTACTGTTTGACCTTTTCCAGTGAGGCTGCATTTATCTGAGCTTGAAATTCTTCCACAGAAACATTGTCTCTGTAATAATATCCTTCCATGCTCTCTAGTGCTGTGTAAACAAGTAAACATATTTTACAAGCAACTTTATAACTCAATTTCTCCACGTGTAGTATAATTTTATTGATTATTAGTAAATTTAGCAAATAGGACCAATTATCAACATATATGCAAAAAAACTATGTTAGGTCCAAAAATGAATGAAAACTGTTCTGCTCTCAAAATAAATATCAAACATTTGGTGATTTTTCTGTCCAATGGGCAAAGAAAATTTCTGGTTTAACTGTCCTCTATTTTTAAAACATTTTGTATATGTTGTGGGAGCCCAAAATATGCCGCTCCAAAATATAACTGTAGGAGACCAGAATATATCACCCCAAAATATGCCTCATTGGCATAAGGATTATTTTGATCTGGTTATTTTGAGAAACTGCACGCAGACACAGGAGAAACTCTGAAAACCGAGTAGAAGTTTCCCTTTGATAAGGAAAATTTACATCCATAAAGGAAACCTCTACTTGTAACAGTGTCTCCCCCTCTGTACTAGGAAGAGAAGGAAGATGATCACAGATAGTTTTATCTGCACAACAAATCTTACCCTTTTTTTTATGGTGCTTTCCTGGTCACCTCCCCATAACTGGGCCTTCCCTAGACCCTTCTTCTCAGTAGAAAATGGTTATATTTAAGCCTAAGTTCAAAGCTACCTCTTTCAGATTTAGTCACTATTCCTTAGGTATCTCCCATGTATACATGAGGTATACCTGTTATTAAACTTCTGTTTGTTTTTCTCTTGTTAACTTGTCTTTTGCTATGGGGACCATCCCAACGAAGAACTATGAAAGGTAGAGAGAAAATTATTTTTCCTCCCCTACAACATTCTTTGTGAAGCTAAACTCACACTTCCAATGTATTTGATATTTATACACACACGTCTATTACATATGACACATATATGTACATATTCGCAACATATGTATGAGAGGCAGAACTGTGCATTAACGTATGTCAGAGGCCTGGCACAGTGGCTCATGCCTATAATTCCAGCACTTTGAGAGCCAAGGCTGGTGGATCATTTGAGGTCAGAAGTTCAAAACTAGCCTAGGCAACATAGCGAGACCCTGTCTCTAAAAAAACAAAGTTAAAAAATTAGCCTGGCATGGTGGCATGCACCCGTAGTCCTAGTTACTCAGGAGGCTGAAGTGGGAAGATAACTTGAGCCCAGGATTTTGAAGCTGCAGTAAGCTAGGATCGTGCCACTGGACTCCAGTCTGGGGGACAGAGTAAGACTCTGTCTTCTAAAACAACAGTAACAACAACAAAAACATGTCAGAGTAAAAAAATGGAAATTTTCACTCCCCATGCATATTCACATTCTTGTATAACCTTCATTAAGAAATATTAATGTAATAAAAAGTATAAATTGAAATCTTAGAAAATCACCTCTACTCAAATTGTCAATTTAGTTATAATATCTCACTAATTTTAAATGTATTTTGAAAAGCATATAAATTTCCTTTTTAATAACATTTTTGATTCAGTATTTTTCCTTTAACCCTTATGAGGTATCATTTAAAAAATTTTGGAGAGGAAATAAATCACAGGACAAGGGCCCAGATATACAAGATTTCCTGTGGAAAGGTTGCCAGTAACAGGAATGGCTATGGATCCAAGTTGGAAATGTAAATTATTTTCCCTTGAAATGCATCACTACTTATGAGCCTCAATTTTTAATAAACAATTTCAAAATTCAAAACAATCTTCTTTCAAGACTGCTAAATGCACTAGTTTCTAAACTAAATCACGAGATTTCTTTAAAGTGAAAGAAACTATCACCATTTTGAGGGGGGGAAATAGGAAACTGACTGCTCATTTTAGCTGTGCTATAGTTTTATTAAACTAGTCAGAATTCCAGAACACTGAAGAAAAACAATAAAATTTTAAAGATCCATGTCAAATTTGCAGATTTTTTTTAAATGGAAATTTAAAAAACCAGTTTATACTTGAGAAAAGCAATTGTGGAAGATTAGGGAGAAAACATACTACATTTACTTCAGTACAGAAAATGAAATTTGTGTGCTTGTTTCACAGATTTTTAATTTGTTTATTTCTTATGGCTTCTGGGAAGGAGCCCAGGAAACTTTACCCTTAAAATATGACACTTTGGTATACTGATTACTTTAAATTAAAGGCTTCTGCAAGTCAGCAGATATTGGATGAGGCTTTTCTCTGATATGCCCTATCTACCTTAAGACTAGACCTGCAAAAGAAAACACAATTGCTTTCCCTACCCTCCCTGGAAATCTCATTATCTATCCTAGAAAAGAAGACTGTGGAATGTAACCCACCTAGAAGGACTTTTCCCACAAGATAATATCTATTTCTCCAGCTCATTCAAATTCCAAGACAATCATTTACAAGTTAATTTCTGTCTCTTGGGCCCATTCATTCTCCCTAATAAACATTTTACTGCCTCCTACATTCCCCACCTCTCCCATCGCCTATGAAGAAGGGTATATAAGTATCTGGACCTCACTGAATTATTGGGTAATCACTCTCCCATGATTTTGCCCCGTGCACATTCAATAAATTTTGTATGCTTTGTCTCCTTATTAATCTGCCTATTGCAAGTTCATTTTCAGCAACCCTTCAAAGGGAAAAGGACAGGCTTTCTCTCTTAGAGCCTACATCTTCGTTAATTAGAATAGTTGTAACTGGCTCAACGAAATTCTGGTCCTGAATACACACAGGAAATAAAAGAAACTCTCCCTGATAAAATAATCCTTAAATACATGCCATGTTCACAAGCTGCTATTTAGGAAAGGTAAATATCCCAGGAGGATTCAGTCTGTCAATAGTCATACTTCAAGATAAATTACTCTTAACAGCTGGAAAGCTGATGTATTAGAGTAAAATTCCAGTTTCTGCTGTGTGACTTTGGTCAAGGTAATTAATATCTGAGATTCTCAGGTTCTGCATTTTTGACTTGCAACATAAAAGTACCTACTAATTATGGTTAATGAGAAAGAATTTAATTAAATACTAGTATTAAGACAGCTCATGAGTATTCTTACTTATTGAATGAGTTTTATTTACTAGGCAACATGCCAAATGCTGTACAGGTATTACCTAATTTAATTCCAAAGAGATACTGATTATGCAGAGTGTGCTTAGCCAAACACAAAGTTTGTAGGACTAAGAGAAGGGTCCATGCAAAAACACTTTGATTTGTGACTTAAAACCAGAAAGACAGGAAGGAGAACAGTGGGATGGCACAGCAGTGGAACTGTGAGGGGAGAGGGCTTGGGGGAAACCACCTGGGAACTAATTTTTGTAAAGATCTTGATGGTTCAACTTTGGCCAGAATGGCCAGTCCTGTCCCAAATTTTATATAAGAACAAGTATGTAAACATAATTTAATATAATTTTAATGAATACTTCTACAATCTCATAAATTTCCATTTTCATTACATTTTTGACAATATTATTCCAAATTAACAAGGCAGTTAAAATTCACAATCACATAACATTTTTTAAAAATTGGAAAAGTGCCTAACAATTTTGCCAAGAGTCTTAGTAAGAATTCTGTGTCACATGTATAGGGTTGTGGGGAATGAACAAAAAAAGATGAGTTTTATATTTAAAAACTAAAATTTGTATGACAGAGAAGAGGAAAGATGACAACATTCCCTATTTTAGCTAAACAACTTGTTTATTTATTGTTATAAAAAACCCAGAATGACATTCTACCAAATTAAATAACATGTTAATTTCAAACATGTTAAATTTGGCATTTCCTTGTCTAATTTCCTTAGTTCTCATCCATAAAATAATATATTTCTCAAAAGCAGTATCAACATACTTGGTTGAATATTTAGTTTATTTACTTCTACTACTTTTCAAGTAGAGGAAGAAAAACATTCCATTAAATTTAGGTAGTCAGCAAAAAAGGAAAACCTAATGAATGTTAGAGAAAATTAAAGATTAAATTATTCTTAGACTGAAGCGGGCTACATTTCCACTTACTCAAAATACCTTTCAAGGCTTTCCCAAGAAAGAGATTAATCAGGAAAAACATAGAATCTCTGAAGAATAATTTTAAGAACAGTGTCAGTCTGCTAACATTCTCTTTTGATAGCACACTTGTTTGGTTAAATAAGACACAGCACACGCACTGCTAGAATTCCCCAGAAATGGTCACCATGGGTCATAATTCCTCAGAATTGGTCCCAGTTATTGGGAGAGAAGCAAGATTTGTTGATCCCATTATGACATGTGAGAATGGCCGTGTGATACATAATAATGTTTTGTGATTCTAAATGTCTTGAAATGGAGTCATTTATGACAAGTCACTCAGCCCACAGTGAAACTGCTGACCCTTCAAAGTGATAAGCACATGTATGGTGGACTGAGGTGATAAGATGACACCTCCCATGGCCAGGCACCTCAGAGACACCACAGGAAAGTGAAGCTAAAGGGGCTGAGATGATGACTACGGACACACTCCTGTGGAGATCCATAAAAACAGCAAGAAACTGACAATAGTTGAGATGCCTGCAGAAGCTTTGCCAGGAGAACTCTGAGGCCTCCTCGCCATTGGTAGTGGCTGCTAGAAGCTCTGCCAGGAGATGAGCAGGGACCCCCATCCCCTTGCTGGTCAGTGTTTCCAGGGAAATCCAGGCCTTCCTTGTGCCTCAGTCAGCCTGCGGGCCTCCTGAGCTACTCACCATGGTTTGTTCCCCCTCTCTTTTATGTCTGCCTGTGTGCATTGAGTATATTTGCATGATTGTTGGTGTGTGAAATCCTTGCAATAAACTATGAATTTGAAAGCATTTAATTGGCCATTGAGTCGTCGTGAAACCTCCCATCCTCCTCCAATAGGAGCTGGCACAACTAGGCTGATTGGAACCGTGCTGTCTGAAGAGAGGTGGGTTTACACCTTCCCACAGACTCCTAACATTTTGGAAATCTCCATCCTGGAAACGATTTCTTCTTTTGTAAAAAAGCTATATTGTTTCAATTATAAATATTGTGTAAAACCCAAATGGAAAACTAAAAGATTTATCTTTTTTTTTTTTTTTTTTTTTCTCTGAGAGGGAGTCTCGCTCTGTCGCCCAGGCTGGAGTGCAGTGGCGTGATCTCGACTCACTGCAAGCTCTGCCTCCCGGGACACCATTCTCCTGCCTCAGCCTCCCCAGTAGCTGGGACTACAGATGCCCGCCACCAGGCCTGGCTAATTTTTTGTATTTTTAGTAGAGACGGGGTTTCATCGTGTTAGCCAGGATGGCTACGATTTCCTGACCTCGTGATCCACCCACCTCAGCCTCCCAAAGTGCTGGGATTACAGGCGTGAGCCACCACGCCTGGCCAAGATTTATCTTTTAAAGAGCCTTAAGAAGAGTTTAGGAGAAAAAAAATTGAATAAAGGGCACTTAGAAAATGACAATGTTTATAACAAAACGTCCCCTTTCATTTAAAAGAGAAAGCACTCAAGTTTCTATGTGATTTTTATTATTCTCAGAGCAAAGAAAGATACCTTGTCAAGAGGTAAGACTTAGGGGTGGTTGGTTTGGGTGGCAGCTTTTTTTTTTTTCATAGGAGGTTAAAAAAAAGAGAATACTCAAGAGCATGCTGGCAGAGAAAAGACCAGCATCACATATCCTATTTGGTTTAAGGCAAACTACCATCAGGAGACCCAGGAAATAGGTATTTAACAACACTTTACAAGGAAGGGATGCTATACTTCAGGACACTTTATATTCACTATATATATTCAAAGACCTGTATATGATGCCACATTCCTGAGAGGTAGAATACCCAGGTCCAGGAACCAAGGGTGAAAGCAGAAATGACCGTGCTTAACATCTGTCGAGGTTTGTATGTGCCCACAAAAAGAGATGACAAAGTCCTAACCCCTTGGGGCCTACAAATGTGGCCTTATTTTTGGTTTTGTTTGTTTTGAGATAGGGTCCCACTCTGTTGCCCAGGTTGGTGTGCAGTAGTGCTATCATAATTCACTACAGCCTCGGCCTCTTAGACTCAAGTGATCCTTCCACCTCAGTCTCCCGAATACGTAGGACTACAGGTGTGTGCCACCAGAACCAGCTAATTTTTTTTTTTAAGAGATGAGGTCTCACTATGTTGCCCAGGCTGGTCTCAAGTTCCTGCGCTCAAGTGATCCTTCCATCTTGGCCTCAGAAAGTTCTGGGATTACAAGTGTGAGCCATCACATTCAGCCCTGACCTTATTTTGAAATAGGGTTTTTGCAGATGTAGCCAAATTAAAATGAGGTCCTACTGAATTATGATAGGCCCAAATCCAATGATTGGTGCCCCTATAAGAAGAGGGCAATTTGTATGTAGAAACACAGAGACAGACACACACAGAGGGAAGAAGACCGTGTGAGGATAGGGGCAGAGATTGTAGTTATGCTGCCACAAACCAAGGAATGCCAAGGACTGCTGGAAGACACCAAAGGCCAAAAGAGGAAGGAGGAGGCATGGCCTGACAACATCCTGATTTCCAACTTCTGACCTTCAGAACTGTGGCAGAATACATTTCTGTTGTTTTAAGCCACCGAGCTTGTGGTAACTTGCTAGGGCAGCACTGGGAAATGAACGCATCATTTCCAATGACTCACTTGGGTAATGTGAGCTTCCAATCCCTGAAACACTTGGTCTGTGGGTTTCCAAGGCACCCACAGCCAAGAAGATCAATCGCCACCTTGGCAAAGCTGCTCCACCCTAATCATCAGAAGCAGGTAGGGCTATTGTTACACAATGGGAGCCAGAAGGAATACGTTTGGCACCCAGGTATCTACTGGGGTCCCTCTTAGTACTTCCTTGCACAAATTTGATGATAAATGGACAACTGCAATAATCCTGGTCTGAGAAGGGTAGAGTAATCAGAGGATCAAGCCCCTCCGGGATGAAGGTATTGGTCATGCCACAGCTTAGCCACAGAGACCAGCAGAGGTTCAGACAGAGGGTGAGGCTAATCTACAATGGGTAGCAGAAGAGGGAAAGTGAGACTCTGTGGCAGCTGTAGACAAGCTGGGGCTGCAAGGGCTATAGCGAATCCTTTTAATTTTTCTCTCCTAAATTATCCCCTCCCCCATCCAGAAAGGAGGCCCAGGGGAGTCCTGGAAAAGCCTCTCCCAGTCCCTACACAAAGACATGGGTCTGACAGGTGCAAAGCATGGACTACAGAGGATGCTCAAAGAGCCACTGGCTCAGATCCTCTCTCAGAAATGATGGGCTCATTGCCCGGCTGCTGTGATAGCCGCAGCAGACATCTCTCAGCTGTTCACTCTCCAGCCTTTGCTGGAGAAAACTATCCCACTAAGATCACACCTCCTCCTAAGGACAGCCTGCATCCTAACAACCTAACATGCAGAAATATTTTATATTGTTCCTGGACCCTTTGCTTCAGCTCCCCAGAATCTAGACATGCTGAACATTTGTAAGATGAATTAGTCTAATTAAATAAAGATTAGCTGGATAATTGCACAGCGTTTCATAATCCACACAGACCTAGAGTGGTTTCTCACTTTTGGTGGACTCCAGAATCACCTGGAAAGCTTCTAAAATATCCTGGTATTTGGGCTCCACTTCTCAGAGATTCTGCCTTAATTGATTTTGCATGGGGCAGAGCCTGGGTATTCTCTAAAACCTTTCCAAGATCATTAATGTGCAGCTAAGTACTGAAAACCACTGACAGATCAGGAAATTTAGTCAGTGGGGAGCGTGTAGAGAAGTGGCCCTGAATATTTATCCTCTTTGTACTCTCATTTTCTGCCAACTTATAGTTGCTTGCTTTATCTCACCAAGGGCTGAGGGATCCCAACAGCATTCCCTGTCCTGTAGGAAGCACTTAGGAATACCAGCCAGAAGATTGTTTTAGTGTGATTGGCACACTCTAGCAGTTTGGTTGGTTATGCTTTGCACTTACTTTCCTGACCAGCTGTTTCTGTGTTCCTTACCTTGAAAATCTGTATCACTTTTGTCTGCCTAGGTTCCTGTTCTTCCGCAGTTCTTGCCTTCAGCAATACACATTGGCCGCCAACCCTGCTCACTTCCAACCCTGAAATTCCTGATCTAATAGCTGGTCCCATCTCTGAAGGATGCCCCATCAACTACTGTGCCCTCCTTTTCCCAGTGATCCATGGAGGCAAGGAAAATGAGAAAGGGGTGACGCATTTGCTTCCTGTTCTACTCTGAGTATATGGTACCACAGACAACTTTAGGAGGGTTGACTTTAGTAAATTTCCTAGGAAAATTTCAAATTCATCCATTTCTTCTATTTTTTTGCTAGCAAAGAGTCATGTATATACAAAACTAAAATGCTTTAAATAAACTTTCATTCCAGGAAGAGATGACATTTGGAATCTCTTTCATTTACCACTGCCTTCAATTACCAGATGGTAATCTCTACTCAAACTAGGTCTGATTTTCCTGTACTTCTCTCAATCTATGAATACTAAGCTACTAATGATTCCTCATGGGAGTTTTATAAAGGCAGAAGAACTTCTGCACCCCCGTTAAATAAACAACTTTATCACTGACAGATTTTTAATGGTACAGAATGTTTTCCATCTTGTTTACCTATCTGTGACCTCAACTGTAGAAGTATTTCTACTGTTACTTATTCAAATCATTTTTCATATTTTGCTGCTGTGAGCATACCAAAACCTAATGTTTGCTATAGCTTTTCTTTAAATTACATTTTAAAAGCTATAGTATATTCACTGAAATAAGACATATTTAGGGATTATTTTTAAATTGGCTTTTGCCAAAGTTATAAAATAGAGGTTGCTTGCAAAATAATTTTTTGCCTATGTGTACATTTGCTGTTGGATATGATTATTCAGCTATTTATGGCTGATGTGTCATAGATGCAATAATTTTTTTAAAGATGCTTAGTGCCATCTGTCATCTCAGTAATAATTTCAAAGTCAAAATTTTTAAGAAGAGAGAAATAAAGGAAAAGAGAGAAATAAAGGAAAAGAGTCTTTAACAATTGTAAGTCCTGGCTAAACCCTGTAAAAGTTAACATTCCAGACCAACGTCCATCCCTATCTTCTCAAACTATCTATCCCTGTAGTGGCTATTTATTTATTTATTTATTTATTGAAGCAGAGTCTCACCCTATTGCCCAGGCTGGAGTGCAGTGGCATGATCTCGGCTCACTGCAACTTCTGCCTCCCAGGTTCAAGCAATTCTTGTGCCTCAGCCTCCCGAGTAGCTGGGATTACAGGCGCATACCAACACACCTGGCTAATTTTTGTATTTTTAGTAGACACAGGTTTCCACCATGTTGCCTGGGCTTGTCTCTAACTCCTGACCTCAGGTGATTCACCTGCCTCGGCCTCCCAAAGTGCTAGGATTACATGCGTGAGCCACCGCAACTAGCCCAACATATTTTAGATTAAATTATTCTTCTAACTTGTCTCCAAAGGTCCATTTTTGCCCACTGCTTCTTTTTTTGTTCTCTTCCTTTTCATTATAGAATCTGGATTACCTACACTGACCCTGTCTATAAATCACAGTCCTCCAAAGAGAAATGAAAATACCTTCTAGTAACTCCTAAAATCATCTCTTCACTGCAATCTTCATCTGTTAAAATGTATTCCTGCCAAGTATATTTGAGGTACTCACAGTTTTTAAACTATGGTAATTGAATTCAGGGTTTTAAAATAATATGCACGTGGTATGTATTAGTCTGTTTTCATGCTGCTGATAAAGACATATCCAAGACTGAGCAATTTACAAAAGAAAGAGGTCTAATGGACTTACAGTTCCCCATGGCTGGGGAGGCCTCACAATCATAGTGGAAGGTGAAGGGCAAGTCTCACATGGTGGCAGATAAGAGGAGAGGGCTTGTGCATGGAAACTTCCATTTTTAAAGCCATCAGATCTCGTGAGACTTATTCACTATCACAAGAAGAGCATGGGAAAGACCCACCCCCATTATTCAATTACCTCCCACCAGGTCCCTCCCACAACACACGGGAATTCAAGATGAGATTTGGGTGGGGACACAGCCAAACCATATCATGGTATAATGCAAAATTTTCATTTAGTAGTGAATTTAGATTTCATATGCCTGTCCATTCTTTAGTTATATAGATAGATACATTTTATTCCCTCTACTCTTCTCATTTTTTATTAGAGCATTGAAATTCCACAGCAAAACCAATGTAGTTCTTGAAAACTCAAAAGAAGAAAAAAATAAAATTCCCTATGGTATCATTCAGAGAAACTGATACAATCTTGTGACATGACACACATTTTTTTTAGAATGTGGAGGGAAATAATAGACTAGAGGACACGCCACAATAATCAAGACTTCTGATCTTTTTTAGGTAGCATTTTATGACCCCAAAATAAGAAAGATTCAAGACCTTCCCTCAGAAACAGAGCTCACTACAAGAATTTTCTTGCTCATGCTAACCTTAATTTATTCTACTGCAGATGTTGATAGTCACTCTTGGAAAAAACAAAATGACAAAGGAATATATATTTTCTGACCAAAAAGAAAAGTTGACATAAAGAATTTTAAAAGCATCAATTTAACCACCCATTGATACTGAAAACATTTAACATACATATATGTAGGTATAGACATACATGTGTGATATAATTGAGACTAAAGTATAAATTCTGTTTAATAATCTGCATGCATATATTAACTTTTTCTATCTCATAAAATATTTTAACCATGAAACTGTAATGATTTTACCATAATTTAACTTACTTAAGCAGTTTATTTAACCCAAATTATTTTATCTTTATCTACACCACTCATGTCTTATTTCTCCACTATAAATAATGCTGCAACTGTATTTGGTAAATATTTAAATCATGCATTATTTCCTTAATAAACATTCCCAGAAGCAAATATATTGGCTAAATAATATTTTCAAATTAATTTAAAAATCCCAACTGTTAAAATCACATTTATAAAAGCATTAATAAAGATAAAATAATTAAAGTATAGCAGCCATCAAAAGAGAAACAGTTTACCTTGTGCAAAAAGAACAGGATGAATTTTAAACCCTCCTCCATTTTTCAGCCGTTGAGGAAGTTGTTCAAAATGATAACTATCAATGTAGAAGTAAACTTTCAGAGCTTGCCGACTTCCTTCTGCTTGATATGTAAGAGGAACATCTAAAATGATATTTAATAGTATATTACTTCCTAAAATAAGGATATGCTAGATGGTACTTTTGTTAACTTTCAGAAAGAATCCTGAGAATTACTCGACACCAATATATTAAACGTGATCATGTTTATCAAGTTGGGATTCGACATACAGTGCTATTCAGTGAAAGTATTAAATCAGTTCTCAATAGTTAAAGCAATGGATGTGTTACTATATTATAAAAATTCCATAATAGGAAACTTTGTTACACTTTGACATATCAGATGTCTCACTTAACTAAATGAGGTGTTTAGCTACACATAGTTTGGAATCAAAATCTCCCAGGGCAGCTGCTTCATTCACATTTTAGTCAGAATGAGTCCTTGGGGTATACTTCTTAAGTAGTGTGCAAGAAATTGAGTACATAGCAACCACTATCAAAATTAGCATGGGTTCTGCAAGCTCTATTCCCTGAGCACCAGATCGGAAATATATTAGCCTTTGTTGATGCCCCACAGTCATTAAAAATTGTCCCAAGTCTTGTAGCTATTTTCAAAGATCCTAAATTTAATTACTTAAAAAAAAACCAATCAACTTGAAAACTAAATTTCAGTCGGAGTATTTCACAATGCTACCATAAATCCTCTCCATTTGATGATACTTATCCATGACAAATATTTCTGTCTCACTAGAAAAGAATGTAAAATCATCCTAAAAGGCTGAATAGTCATAATAACCAGTTAAAAATTAAGGACAAACAAATGTAATCGGCATTTAATACATGTTCCTCACTCAGTATTTATAACTTCTGACCTGCTTCTTGAAATAAAACTGTATATAAAAGTAGAGTTCAAGGTTAAATGGCATTTATGATCACAGATTCCAGGCTCCTTATTAAATCTATCTATTTAATTCTGCATACCAATATGGGAAACATGACATTAACATCTATTTATCTCCTTTATGCCATATAAAGTACTTATTTTATTTTTGTTACTATTTTTTAAATGAAGACATGAAGCATTCGATTTAGAAAAGAGAATGAACAGATTTCTCACCCAAAGGGTTGAAAATTAATAGCATTTGAATAATTGGGAAAATCTTTTTTTTCTGATTTCTAAAATAAAGACTAAAAGAACTATGGACACTAAAGAAAATACAGATTTATACCTACTAAATATCCGTATCCTCTAGTTCCCCTTTTCACACACTGTCTCACATATATATTTTAATTTGTGTTAAATTCCATACCCTTCATCTTTGGCATCAATATAGGCAACCTCTATGCTAACAAATGGATAATGTTATTGAAAGAAAAATAGTGATAATGATACAACAGTTGGAGTTTCATATTATAGAACTAACATAGAACAAATAAAGATGTTATATTAGGAATCAAGGAACTAAAACTTAATGAAAATTATAAAGTATATTAATTTAAAGTGAAGTTCAAACTAAGAGCACTAAAACTCCTGGGATCAAGTGATCCTCCAGCCTTGGCCTCCCAGAGTGTTGAGATTACAGGCATAAGCCACCACACCCAGCCCATTACCACTCCTCTCAACATCATACTGGAAGTCCTAGCTATTGCAATAAAACAAGACAAGAGAAAAGAAACTATAATGATTGGGAAAGGAAAATATCAACAAAAAACTGCTCCTGGAACTAATAAGCAATTATAGCTAGGTTTCAGGATACAGGTTAATATAAAAAAGTCAATTCCTTTCTTATATACCAGCAGTGAACAAGTGGAATTTGAAATTAACAACATAATACCATTTATATTAGCACCTCCCCAAAATAAAATACTTAGGTATAACTTTAATAAAATATTACAAGATCTATATAAGGAAAACTGAAAAACTGATGAAAAAAATTTTTAAGAACTCAGTAAATGGAAAGACATTTTATGTTCATGGATAGGAAGACTCACTATTGTCAAGGTGTCATTTCTTCCCAGCTTGATGAACAATGTCAGTGAAACACCAAGTAAAATCCCAACAGGTTATTTCTTGGATAGTGACAAACTAATTCTAAAGTTTATATGAAAAGGCAAAAGACCCAAAATAGCCAACATAACATAGAAAAAGAAGAACAAAGTTGGAAGACTGATACTCCTTTAATTTAAGACTTACTATAAAACTACAGTAATGAAGACAGCATGGTATTGGCCAAAGAGCAGACAAATAGATCAATGAAATAGAACAGAGAGCTCAGAAGCAGTCCAACATATATATAGTCAACTGATCTCTGACAAAGGAGCAAAGATAATACAATGGAGCAAAGATAAGTCTTTTCAACAAATGTTTCTGGAAGAACTGGGCATCTACATGCAAAAACATAAATCTAGATACTCACATTATATCCTCCACAAAAATTAACCCAAAATGAATTATAGACTTAAATATAAAATGAAAAACCATACAATTCCTGCCAGATTATGTAAGAGAAAACTTAGATGACCTTGGAAATACTGATGACTTTCAGAAAGAACACCAAAGGCACAATCCATGAAAGAAATAATAAGCTATATCCCATCAAATGTAAAACTTCTGTTCTGCAAAAGACATTGTCAAAAGAATGAGAAAACAAGCAACAGACTGGGAGAAAATATTTGCAAAAGACACATCTGATAAAAACTGTCTTCCAAAATACACAGATAACTCTTCAAACTCAACAATAAGAAAACAAACAATCAAAGTGTGTTAATCCATAAAAATGTCTGAGTGAGTAATTTTTAAAGAAAAGAGGTTTAATTGGTTCATGGTTCTGCAGGCTGTACAGGAAGCAAGATGCTCACATCTGCTCAGCTTCTGAGGAGGCCTCAGGAAACTTATAACCATGGCAGAAGACGAAAGGGGTAGCAGGCACATCATATGGCAAGAGCAAGAGAGCAAGCTGGGACATGCTACACACTTTTAAACAACCAGATCTCATGAGAACTCATTATCATGAAGACAGTACCAGGGGGAAGGCACAACATCATTCATGAGAAATCCACCCCCATGATCCAATCACCTCCACCAGGCCCCATCTCCAACACTGGGGATTACAATTAAGCATGAGATTTGGGTAAGGACACACATCCAAACTATATCACCAATTTTAAAAATAGGCTAAAGACCTCAACAGACAACTCTTTCAAGAAGATATAGAGATGGCAAATAATCATATGAAATGATGCTCTTATCATTTGTTATAAGGGAAATGCAAATTAAAACCGTACTGAGCTACCACTATACACTCATAGAGGGGCCAAAATCCAGAACACTGACAACACCAAATGCTGACAAGGATGTGGAGTGATAGGAGCACTCATTCATCACTGGAGGGAAAAATGCAGATTTTCCACAAAATAAATTTCATGATATAAAATTTAATCCTTTAGCTAGTTTAGTCCTCTCTCACTAATTAAATAATATGATATGGGAGTACCTTGTAGTTTCCTTATCACTAAAGTGGTTAAATTGCCCATTTATGCCTTTGTATTTCTCACCAGTCTCCATGCACATAGCCACTCTGGAAAACAGTTTGGCACTTTCTTGCCAAACTAAGAAGCTCTTAACATACGATCCAGGAATCATGGTCCTTGGTATCTACCCAAAAGAGCTGAAAACTTATATCCACAGAAAAACCTGCACATGTGTGTTTATAGCCACTCTTCATAATTGCCAAAACTTAAAAGCAACCAAGATGTCCTTTGAATGGATAAACTGTGGTACATCCAGCCAATGGAATTTTCTTCTGTACTAAAAAGAAATGAACTATCAAGCCATGAAAAGACATGAAGGAAGCTTAAATGCATATTCCTAAGTGAGAGAAGACAATCTGAAAAGCTACCTACTGTACGATCCCAACTATATGATGTTCTGAAAAAGGCAAAACTATGGAGAAAGTAGAGAAAATCAGTGGATGCCAGGGGTTGGGTGCAGAGTGGGAGGGAGGAGGAATGAACAGGCAATCCATATGGGATTTTAGGGCAGTAAAAATACTCTGTATGATACTATAATGGTGGATACATGTCATTACACATTTGTCCAGATCCAGGGAATGTAGAGCTCCAAGAGTGAATCCTAATGTAAACTATGAACTTTGAGTGATTTTGATGTGCTAATATAGGTTCACTGATTTTAAGAAATGTGCCTCTATCGTGAGGGCTATTGATAGCTGGGGAGGCTGTACATGTGTAGGGACAGGGGTATGGAAAATCTCTGTACCTTCCTCTCAATTTTGCTGTGAACCTAAAACTGCTCTAAAAATATAAAGGCTTTTTAAAAAGTGCATAATACTAATGTGGAGTTGAAAATTGTTGCCTTTTATTTGTGGAAATTTATTAGCTATAAAAAACAAACTTGATAATTAGGACTATATAATATTTAAAAGTTTCAAAAAATTGCAAGAGGAAAAGGTCTCTGGTAGCATCCTATAGAGGGATTCATCCCACAGAGGAGTTTCAACAGTGCCATCCCATCCTTGTAAACATAGCCTCTAATCATTGAATGGGCCCGTGAGTTTCAAAATAAGTCTTTGACTAAGAAGCTGTTAGTTCCCTCTGCCTTGGTTGCTCTTCCCTGACTTTCTGCAGGGTTGGGTCTTTCTTATGCTTCAGATCTCAGCTTAAAAGCTACTTCTGCAGAGAATCCTCCACCAGTCACCCCTTGAAGGGCTGCCTCGCCTTTTTTCTTTATGCATCTGCTTATTTCCTTCATAGGATTTATCACAGTTTTATTTTTATATTGATTTCTTATTGATTGTTGATTATTCATTCCTCATTCATTATTGATTCCTAATTCCTTATTCCCAACTAGGCTGTCAGCTCCATGAAGACAGGAACCATGCATGTCTCATCCATGATGGCACCCACACCTCCAGGCACAATGCCTGGCCCATATAAGGATAGTGGGGACTCAAACATATTCATTCTCCTAATAATGAACTACTATAAAATGACCCATATGACCATTGAAAAGGAGAAGACCTGCTGTCATTACATTATTCTCCTAAACTGATGCAGATTTTCCACAAAATAAATGTAATTATAGACAAACTTACCATTTAGCTAGTTTATTACTCCTTCACATTGTGTGAAGCACCTCGTATTTCCCTTATTACGAAGTGGTCAAATTGCCCATTTACTTCCTTGTATCTCTCATTAGTGTCTAAGTTCCATGCCAAAAAAGCCTTGTTTAATTTGCACACCATGATATCCCTAGAACTTGGTTCAGTACTTAGCATGTTATATATATTTAATAATTATTTCTTCAATGAAAATGAACTGTCTTTAATCAAGATATTTGACTTCTACTTGCTTGGCATGCCATAATTCTTCAGAATCTCATTATTCTTTTCATGCAAAAGTGAGATTATAGGCGATGCTATAAATATAGCTTTTGAGAAGAATGCAAAGTAATAAAGTAAGAAGGATGAATTCAAATACTTACTGAATACTAGTATAGCCATATGTAATGCTAGAGTCTTTCAAATACATTATCTTATTTAAGTCCCTCAACCCTGTGAGTTAGGGAAAGCTATAGTTCTCATGCTTAAAGATAAGAATGAAGCCAAGATTCGGACCTGGATTTCTTGACTTCAAAGCCAATGGTGTCTTTACACCTTCATGCTTCCCCATCTCTGTGCTTAGTCCTCCCTCAAAGGCATGCAGCCAACTAGTCTCCATCCCAGTGATACAGGATTAGTGAATCTGACTTCTCCACATCTAAGTAACAGAAAGATCAAACTACATGCAATGCATAATAAAGCTTCATTTTCTTACACCACTTAAATAAGATGTGATGACCTCTGAATACAGAATAATTCTCTTATTTCCTGCATCAACTTAAAATAAGAATTATATTCCTATCTTCGCTGTTTTTAGTGTTCAATAGTGCAGCATTGGAACCAGCCCCTCACTAGAGAACTATTTTCAGAAGTTGAGGTTACGCTTTGAAGAGACACATTAAAATGTATTGCCAAATATATTCAGAATGCCTGTATCTGTTATAGTGACATCTACATTTACATACTATTATTGCTTACATGGTCCCAATTATTTTTTATATTTAGTGTGTGTTCCAAAGTTAAGTCTTTCACAGTAGATATGCAGTAAGGAAGTATTTTATCAAGCTTATGATATTGGTTCTTCTCCTACTTGTTCAACAGACCATTTGCCAATAATGTCATAGGAGAACCATGGAAAACAGTACTCCTATGAACTTACAGTTCCTCAGGCAAAACTTTAAACAACATATCAGGTTATATCACAAAAATAGAGTTCTCTCTGCCTTCAGCAAAACTATGCCCACATTATTCAAGTAAATGAAAATATATCCTATTCTATACATATCCACAGAAAACCACACAATTTGTTCAAATAATATTATCCTTATCAAATACCCTCTGCCAGAAAAATTCTTGAATAAATATAACCTAAATTTCTAACTTTGTGCTTCTTGTTCTCTTCCTCATTCATCAGAGGAAATGAAACTTTAATAATATTCTGTTCTATTTTCATAAATTAAACAGCATTGACATTGCTTTATTTTTAAATAATCTCCACAGCTACCCTCCAGGCCAAGTCACCATCCTCTCCCACCTGGGAGAGGTAGCTTTCTAACTGATCACTGGGCTTCTGCCCTTGGTCCTAGAATAGTCTATTTAACACAGCAGTCAGAGACAGCCTTTTAATATGGAACACACATCCCGTAATTCATCAGTTCAATGTCATGGTTAGGAAGCAAAGCTCTTTCAACAGCTGGCATGCCCTTCATAGTCTGGCCTCCTTGCTGTTTCCATCTCTTTTTCTGTTCCCCTCACTTGCTCCACTCCACCTATGCAGGCCAACTTCCTATCCTGAGAGCATGCCATGTCTGCTCCCAGCCTCAGAGTCCAGTGAGCCTGGGACACTGCTCCTCCGATATCGCCATTACTCCCTCAACCTTTTCAGGGCCTGCTCTCCTTTTAGGTAAAGATTCCTTGCTACCCCATTCATTATCTGCAACCTTCCATCTGCCCCTTCATTGGTATCCTTTGCTCTCTTTTGTTTCCCTATATATCTTTCACATAATTGCCTTCTAATTTATTATAAAATTATTTTGCCTATTATTTATCTCTCCTCACCTTAACTTAAGCCCCATAAGAGATATCTATCTGTTTAGTTCTCTACTGAATCCAACACCAAGAATAGTCTTGGCAAGAAGTAGGCATTTAAGGAGCTTTTGATACATGAATAAATGAGTGATTATCATCTTAAGTCAGATCATGGATCAAATGAAAATGTATGGAGTCCTTATTTATTGTACTGGACATTAGGAATGTGAGAAATAAAACCTGAAGAAGCTTACACCTTCTAGCCTAATACACACGATACTCATACTTTTGAAAAAACAAGAGACATATAAAAATAATAACAAACTACTGAAGATTTCTTAGACTGATAGATATATTTTAACTATATTTATGGGAATGTGGAAATAGTAGATAATGATAACTTGCAGAAAGTAAAAGATATGGACATTAAACCATACATATTGCTACTTATCTGAATATATAACTTTTAAAATACTGCCTTTGTCAGATTAGTGATGGAAAATTTCTAAATCAAAAGGATACATTTCAATCATTCAGTTCATAAAATACTTATCAAATATATTAATACCAAAGTTATATCATATATAATTATTTGATGCCAAATAAATTTTGTAAATACCTAATTACTTACTTGCAACCAGAGGTTCCTCTTCTGATGGTTTAAAGTAAAAGGAAACCTTTTCCAAATCAAATAGTGCAACCAGTGTATCTTCTAACATGGCTTGTTCATCTGTCTACAAAGAAAGAAAAACAATATATAATACAAGATGATATAAAGCAATATAACGTAACATGACATAATGTAAATTCAGACCAAAACAACTTTGCTGTGTTTTATTTATATACAGGTACAAAACAAAATTATAAAGACTTCTGTAATAATTTACTGCCCAAAATGAAATGAACAAATCTCTTAAAGTTACAAGTTTCTTTTATGGTTTTATATTTTCCCTTTTCTCTATTGTTTAAATGGTTATGTTATACACACATTTTTCAGTCTATTATGTAGCTGGATTCTAATCATATTGATTTCATTTATTATTTACAGAACACAAAAAGCATGCTATTTGCATCTAAACTTCTAAAATCTTATAACATCTGAAAAGCAAAAATGTTGTTTTATTTAAAAGACAAACTACATAATAGCTATCCTATTTTATAATGAGATAACTTATTCATATTCATTTGCTATATTTAGTAACTGTGATTAAAATCAATTTTAATGTGTGATTATTTGGCTTCCAACGAGCTTGGGAGCAAGAATCATTTTCACCTCACTTGGCTTTATGGCGTCTTAGTCTAGAATCTTGTGAGTAACAGATCTGGTTTGTTTTAATCATTCGTCTCATTCTTATAGCATATAGTTTTATAGCTAAGGCAAGTAAGGCCCAGACATTAAAAAAGTTAGTGTGTGTCTCAGTGATGTCATCTTTCTGGTACTAGCTTCTGGCCTTCCTATTAGGAGTTTAATGCATTATTTACAGGGTCTTTTAATAGTTTTATCATGAAAATATAATTAACTTTGTCATACATAGCTTATCTTCTAAAGGTAATATTTGTTTCCTTAAGAATGTCAATGGTCAGGCACGGTGGCTCACACCTGTAACCCCAGCACTTTGGGAGGCCGAGGCAGGAGGATCACTTGAGCCCAGGAGTTCAAGACCAGCTTGAGCAACATAGTGAGACACTATCTCTCAAAAAATCAAAAAATTATCTGGGTATGGTGGCATGCACCTATGTAACCTCCCAGTTACTTGGGAGGCTGAAGTGGGAAGATCACTTGAGCGCAGGAGGTTGAGGCTGCAGTGAGCCAAGATTGCACTGCTACACTCCAGCCTGGGCGACAGAGCAAGACCCCATCTCTTAAAAAAAATAAAATGTCAATGATCCTTTTAAACAGTTAGTTTAACATGTTGTATACAGCATTTGTAAAAGTTGCTGTAGGCCAGGCATGGTGGCTCACGCCTGTAAGCCCAACAGTTTGCGGGGCTGAGATGGGTGGATCACCTGAGGTCAGGAGTTCAAGACCAGCCTGACAAAAATGGTGAAACCCTGTCTCTACTAAAAATACAAAAATTAGCTGAGCATCGTGGTGCACACCTATAATCCCAGCTACTTGGGAGGCTGAGACAGGAGAATCACTTGAACCTGGGAGCCAGAGGTCGCAGTGAGCTGAGATTGCGCCACTGCACTCCAGCCTGGGTGACAGAGTGAGACTCTGTCTCAAAAAAAAAAAAAAGTTGCTGTAACCTCGTAGCCAAATCTGGGGGCAGCATCAGTAGAAGATGAAGGAGGTGGTAAAGAATTTCCATTCTGTGAAAAAGAATCAGTGGAGGTAGCCCCAGACCCCAAAGGAGGGCAGCGTGGAGACACAAAGAGGTTGGAAGAACTGTCACCTTTGTACCTTGGTGTGATGTTTAATATAGTGCACAGTACACAGTAAGTACTGGAAAAATGTTTATTAAACCATTATCTTAAAAAAATCCTTTTGAAGCAGCAAAAAAATGTCATGACCCTAGAAAGAAAGGACAGGACTGAAGAATCAGTGCATTTTCCGGTAGACAGAAATTCACAAAGCAAGAAATGTTCCAGACAGTGTGGCCTTTGAGAGCTACAGCACAAGCCATGGTGTTCCAGCAAACATTGCCAAAGCCAGGCCCAAGTGACCACTGGCTGTGCCTCGCACTCAGGGGCACACAGACCACCAGAGCGCTGCTCCTAGAGCCATTCACATTCCTGGGTGGATGTTTTCTTTCTGCCTTTGTGACAGAAGCAGAAAGACTATGGGTTTCTTGAATTTTTCTTTCCTTAGCAACCTCTCTATTTTCTTTTTAAAATCAATTCCTTAAATAAATTTAAGGGTTTCACAAGACCAGTTGAAAAAAAACCACACCGCTTCATTGAGATATAACTCACATACTGTAAAATTCACCCATTTAAAATGTATAGCTCAGGGGTTTTACTATATTCACAGAGCTGTCCAGCTAGCACCATTGTCTAACTTTAGAATATTTTTATCAACCCCCAAAGATAACCAATACCCAATAGTATTCACTCCTCATTTTCCTGCCCCCAACCATCAGCTGTAGGCAACCACTAGTCTACTTTCTGCCTCTAAAATGTACCTAGTTAGTACATTTCACCATAATGGAATCAAACTATATGAGGTCTTTTGTGACTGGCTTATTTCACTTAGTATAATGCTTTCAGTGTTTATCCATGTTGTAGCATGTATCAGTACTCCATTCCATTTTATTGCTGAATAATATTCCATTATATGGACACATCACATTTTGTTTATCCATTCATCAGTTGATGGACATATAAGTTGTTTCCATTTTTTAGCTACTATGAATAATCTTGCTAGGAATGTTTGCATACAAGATTTTGTGTGAATGTAAGTTTTCATTTATTTTAGATATTATCTAGAAATCCTATTTCTAGGTAATATGGAAACTCTGTGGTTCATATTTTGAAGAACTGCCAAACCAGTTTCCAAAATGGCTGTGCCACTTCCCACAAGCAACTTAGGAGGGTGACAAAATTTCTCCACATCCTCCCCAAAACTTATTACTATCTGTCTTTTGTATTACAGCCATCCATATCACATGCATTGTGGTATTTCACTGTGGTTTTGAGTTGCATTTCTCTAATGGCTAATGATGTTGATCATCTTTTCATGTGCTTTTTGGACATTTTTATATCTTTGGAGAAATATCTATTCAAATCCTTTGTCTACTTTTTAATTGGTTATTTGTCATTTTACTGTTGAATTTTAAGGGTTCTTTATATATTCTGCATATGTCACTCATCAAATATATGATTTGTAAATATTTTCTCATATTCTTTGAGATTTCCAATAAAATTAAAGTAAAAGCACCGGCACTTGATTAGACAATGGCAGTTTAAAAGTAAGGAAAATAGAATAGAAATAAAATAAAGCCTTACTCATTTACACATTCATTCAACAGATAATTGATGCCTACCATGTGTTAAAAAGTAGGCTTCCTATCATATGTAATTCACACACACACACACACACACACACAAAATTTGTTTTTAAGCTCAAACATGTTACTTGGTAGCTACATTTTCTATGTGTACTTTAACAGATGAAATAGGCTCTCATGTTTAAAATCACAGTTCTATTCAGTGATCACCTAACATTTATATATTAAAGTGAACACATTTGCTTTTAAACATGATGATAACTATCCAAACCACAGGAGGTATACGTGAAAAAACTCTTAAGTTCACCACAGTTTTATTTTTCAAATATTTCAAGATGCTTTCATCATATCCACTGTGGAAACCCAATGCATAAACATAGAATATTCTACAGTAATTAAGGCAATGCTCTTCGATTTAACAGGACAAACATGCATACAAAGAAAAGAACTAAAATTATTTAACATATGCAAATTTTAAACAGATTGTCAGGCAGTATGGTATTTGAGCTCTCCAAGCTTGGCTCTCAAGCCTGCTCCAGGACATCCATCTCAATAGGAGCTTTGGTTTCACAGCAGCCTGTGTCCTTCGACTGGGAATAAGGAACAGCAGCAGAAAGACCCTTTTTCTTCTGATGACCTTCTCCAGTCAGCGTGTAGGGATACAAGAATTAGTAACAGATGGAGGCTTTCTCAGCTTTTAGCAGCCACAGAGAAGAGATACAAATCAGGAAAGAAGGAATACATTCTACATACTTATTAAAATTTGAAGGACCACAGAAAAATGTATATTTTTAAAGTAGCTGAATGCACGCACATTCATAGAGATAACCAGCGGGAAAGAAATAACTACTTCTTATTTCAAAACATGTTACAGTGCAGGTTACAGTTGACACAGACAGTGGGAGTCATGTGATTTCCTTACCAAGTTTGGTGACAGAAGTGACTGAAAGTGAAAAAGAACACCTGCATTCGCTATCTGGTCCAGCCACCTCCTGCTGGCTTCCCAAGTTTCCATCTCATTTTCCTTGCTGTTGTCAAACATCTGGTTCAAGGCCGCCATGAGCTGCTCAGAGAAGGCACAGACAGTGGCCACAAGAGTCTGGCAGAAAACCATGTCTCTACGGAGCTGTGTCTCACTATCTGTGATCAAAGAGAACATAGAGAATGCTTCGAAAAATGTTGCAGATGGTGAAAACCAATGCGTTCAGCATCTACATTCACTAGCATTTCATCTTTTCACTAAACTCACGCATGTGAAAAATGTGAATTTGAGCTCTATAAATGACCACACACATTCTAGCAAATATGCTTTACAGAAAACACTAAACACCAAAAAACGTTAGAAATATTAAAATATTTTTTCCTAATCAATATTGTGACTCTATTCTAGAATCATTAAATTGTTTGATAAAATCTGAGGGAGAAAAATAAGGCTTCATTTATTTATATTTTCTATACCTGATGGGACACAATTTGCATTTGCTGCAATGACATTTTCCTAAACAAAACTCAAAGTCCAATTCGTCAGTTTTTGTTGGCAAATTAGATACAATATTATTAATACAATTTTAAAAATTAACAACTAAACCTACTCAAATACTAATGTGAAATACACATGGGGAAAAAGAGTATACGATGTTCAATTGTTTGCAATTATAAGCAAATCTGTCTCTCCTGAATGGAGTTATTAAATTTCATGAGCTATAAGTATGTTCTAATATATAAGAATATGAATTCCTATAATTCTTTCAAATAAGTAATATATTTATAGTTTTAGTATGAATTGATTTGTATATGTTTACCAGGATTCTTATCCTGCAATTGACTGGAGTTTTGGTTAACCCACTGATATGGTTAGGCTTTATGTCCCCACCCAAATCTCATCTTGAATTGTAATCCCCAGGTGTTGAGGAAGAGACCGGGCGGAAAGTGATTGGATTATGGGGGTGGTTTCTCCCATGCTGTTCTTGTGATAGTGAGTGAATTTTCACGAGATCTGATGGTTTTATACATGGCAGTTTTTCCTGTGTTCTGACACACACGCTCTCTGCTCTCTCTTGCCTGCCGCCATGTAAGACATGCCTCCTTCCCCTTCTGCCTTCTCCCATTCTAAGTTTTCTGAGGCCTTCCTGGCTATGCATAACTGTGAGTCAATTAAACTTCTTTCCTTTATAAAGTACCCACAATCTCAGGTATTTCTTTATAGCAGTGAGAAAATAGACCAATACACCCACTTTGAAGATATGTTTACACTGTGAAATTCTGAACTAGAGATTTTTCAAACGGAAAGAAGCTAACACACAGAGTTCATTTCTTCAGGTGGTTGGATATATACAAACTACAGAAACACAAAGCCACACATTCCACATATTGGAAAATCACTTCCACTAGAAGTGGAAACAACAAAGGGAAAAATAACCTCCTCTCAAATGTGTACTAAATATTTCAAGGGTTCATAGACTCTTCTGGAATAAAGAAGCATTGTCAATATTAGTGTATAACACAGAGATAAATGCTGACTTTATTCAGTGGTGAGCTCCTGTTTTATTGACAAAAAAGGCATAATTTTTAAGATTTACCAAGAACACTGAACATCTGTTTTTAATAACCATCAAAGGCATGTGTACACATAATTTAGTTTCTATGATACTCGGTTTCACTGTAAAACCTACTCTTGAAAATTTTATTAGAAAGATAATTAAATATTTAAAATATTTAATTTTGTATCTGAATATTCACTTATTAGGCTCAACTATAGAAACATGCTGCTTTGGTAGGTTAAAATGGTGGAATGTGGCCATTCCATATGGCTCAATTTACTAACTTAACCAACAACATGTGCCCCATGCTACTAGATAGGAAAGGGCATTTATAGATAACTATAAAATCTCTAAACTGGAAATGAACTTTGTCCAATCCTCAAGAAAAAAAACTAAACACCTATTTTGTTGTGCACAATTTCTATCACAGTAGACATTGAACAAATGTTTACTAAGTCAATGATTAAAATAAAGAGTCAGTGGCACTAAAAATAAATAAAAAAGTGAAATGAAAAGACATGAGTTCATTCTCTGGTTTCTTGAAATATCTGGATTTAATTTTACTTAAGAGGCTAATTCAGATAGCTTGTTAGCTCCAGTGTGCACCTAGGGTACTGAGGTTCACGACAGAAACTAAATAAGTAAAATAAATTGCCCTACATCTTTGTTGAAAATTATTACTTTGTTTTTCATATGTTCTATAGTGAAGCAGAAAATCTGGGTGAATTTTTAAAAATACTTCAGTAGATTTGGCAGAAATACTCCCACCCATACCTTGAAAATGATTTAATAAAAATCTAATTGGAAAGAAATTATGGATATTGAGTGAAAAGCAAAAATCTAGAGAAAGAAGGATCTGCACTGTAAGCTTTCACAAAAATCACCAGGATTAATAACTTTGCCACTGGTAGAAATAATTATTTCCAAGTTTCTTTTGTGAAAAAGTTCTTTTCTATTTTTATCCTAAAAAGAATACTTAGATGTTTATTCTATACTCTGCTACTATATACTATTTGCATTTAAGCCAAAATAAGATTTTTCCTTCAACCTCTTTATCAAATCAGAACTGATTGCAATTAACGTCAACTTTTCAGTGTGCAAAACCAAAGCCTGTTGATAACTTGTAGTTATTTTCATTCACCAATTCAAATGTTTAACACTGAATGAATACCCTACAGGAATTGACAGCTGCAACAACTACTAGAGGATCCAAGCTGGGGCCTCAGCCATATTGAATAAAAATTCATATTTCATGAGATAATTTTCTGTTGCCACCTTCCTATTTTCAGCAGAGAGTAGATGAATTGTTCGCACAGATTCAAAATGTACATATTATATCAAGAGCTTTTCAAGTTAACTTTTTACAAACCATCATCTCACAGTGAATAACAAAGTTAGAAAACAGTGGCATAAGCGGGACCTTGTGACCTATCCCCTATTTATATTTACAGCTTCTCAACATACCACTTCCCTCCATTCATTCCACACTACAGCAACAATGTTCACAGAATTATTGGGAGAGCACATTAAAACAACATATCTGAAAGCAGTCAGAAGTGTGGGGTACACAGACCTGTCCTCTTTGAGCCACACAGTACCGCTCAGCAGTCCTCAAATACCAAATGCCCTATGGCGTACACTGGGCCTATACCTTTCTTCCAGATGCATTGCATGCCCTTGTCCTTCTCCTCTGCCTAGCAAACTTTAAATCAATCTTTAAGAGTCAACTCATCAAACTATTGAAACTCATTGAAAGATTATCTCCCCTTGTGAAATTCCCCTCTCCCCAAGGAAGTACTGGGGCTCTTCTTCTGGTCACCATAGACCTGGGGGTATCCTTCTACTGGAGGGCTAATTATATAGCACAGTGGGCATTCATTTATGAGTCTGTGTTCCCAAGCAACCATCAGTACATCAAGGCCAGAGAAGTGGCCTGTGACTTAGGCTCACCCTCCTTAGAGGCATATCATCTGCTTTCAACCAACCATTCTAAGCCATATTTTAGGTATCAGATCCCCATGTGGAAAATGGGGTTCATTCCTCCTTCTTAGGTCTACAGTAAAGATAAATGAGATAAAAAGTATTTAAAGCACTTAACAAAGTAAAGTGGTGTAGCATTATCATTGTGATTCTTCTTTTTGTTTAGCATCTAGCACCGTGTCTGGCACTGAGTAGGTGCTCAGCTTTATTGCTCATGGAGAAGGAGCAATTTGTTACATAAATACAACAAAATCTACTAACTCTCAGCAAAAATATCCAGGTCTTTTTCTTTCAATTATGCAACCATTCAAAATTTACAAGTATCCATCCTTTACCAAAGGTATTTTTGGGTTTTTTGTGTGTTTTTGTTTCGTTTTGTTTTGTTTTTTAAGAGAGCATCTTGCTCTGTCACCCAGGCTGGAGTACAGTGGCACGATCATAGCTCACTGCAGGTTCAAACTCCCAGGCTCAAGAGATCCTCCTACCTTGGCCTCCCAAATAGCTGGGACTGCAGGTGTGTGCCATCACATCTGGCTAATTTTTAATTTTTTTTTTTTTTTTTTTGCAGAGGCAGGGCCTCACTATGATATCCAGGCTGGTCTCAAACTCCTAACCTCAAATAATCCTCCATCCTCAGCCTCCCAAAGTGCTGGGATTATAAACATGGACCAGGGCACACTGCCTTCATTTCCTATTTTTTATGAATAAGAAAGAACTACAGCAAAAATCACATCTGCTTTCAGCTACTAGCAAAAGAAGAAAAACAGAGAATTTGAGGGTTTTTTTTTTTTTGCTTACTATTGTTGTAGAGTAAGATTTTTATTATTTATTTTTATCATAGAGTAATATTTTTCTTATAGTGAGAGTACACTCAAAAGAAATGGTTTTTGTACCTATCAAAGGCTTCGGTTTCATTTCAGTATTTAAGCACCTATTTAAACTCATCTTCTAACACATGTTTTAAATTACACTATTTAATCTTGGCTGTTTAGAAGTTTAAGATCTGTAATTAGCTAGCTGGTCTAAAAAGAATGAGATGGTTTCTAGACACACAAAAGCAATCTCAGAAATTATTCTAGCACAGAGATTGCAGGGAAAATAAAGCAAAATAAACAACAAAAAAGGAGATTAGAAAAAGAGAAAGGTAGAAATAAAAGGAGGTTAAGAATATTTAAAAGACACAGTCTACCCTTTTCAAATAAACATAATTTCGCAGCCAAAAATATAAAGTATTTTGGCTCCTGTTTTGGTGTCATCCTATATAGAAGAGGGGAGAGAGGGTGAGCAAATAAAGCAGGAAAATAAAGAATCATAAGAGGAATAGAAAAATAAAATTGAAATCAAAATAAAAATCTACCAGAGCATCCATTTGAGCATTAATGAATAAAACGAAGCATCCCAGAATCACCTCCGGAATTGGCAAACCTAAGTTTGAATTTCAAAACTGCCACCTACTATTTATTCATTTATTCAATAAGGCATCAATATGCCTAACCTTCTAGATGCTCCAACGTCAGTGTTGACTGTATACTATGTGCTGGTTATTATTAATCTGCCAGAATGTCAATTTCTTCACCTTTAAAACTGTGGAAACAATAATATTCTCACATAGTGGGTTGTGGGGATCCAGTGAAATCCAAGAAAATGAGGTCCATGAATTGTGTTATTAGTAAAGCTCAGAAACTCTCAGATATTTTTGTCATTATTATTACTCAGTCAAAAAGCAAGGCAAAACCTTTTTTCATTAGGGCAAAAAACCAATGGACAAATAAAAAAGCCTTGTTGGTTAACTCGGTCCATTCATAATTTAAAATTTCCAAGTGTGGTACTTTGGAAAAGTGGTCACAAATTCTTTCCCTGCCTGTATCCACACTCTTGTAATGTAATTTTGAGACCCTTTCCTTCAAAAGTAGAATCTATGTCTCTACCCCTTAAGTCTGGCCTTGCCAGTTACATGCTGGGGCCAGTAGAAGGTGGCAAGCTCTTCGACATTCCCACTGTCTTCCTGGAACCCTGCAAATCCACCATGTGAACAAGAACAGGCTAGCCTCATAGATGATGAGAGACAGGCAGTCCAGGCAGCCCTGTTACCTCAGCTAACAGCCAGCCAAATGTTACATATGTGAGCAAGGCCACCCTAGATCACCTGTGCCTAGCCAACCCACCACCTGACTGCAGACACATGTGCAAACCCAGCCAAGATCAATAAAACCTGGCACAGACCACCAGAAATGGCCAGATGACACTAGACAGGTAAGCAATAAGAAATGGTCATTGTTTTATGCCAGAAAGTTTGGGGAATTTTTTTAAACACAACAAAAGCTAACTGCTATCACAAGTAATCATTCAGGTTATATTTTTTAGGAACAAATCCCTATCAACATCTAGTTAATGTAATAGAATTTCTGTGTATACACATACACATACTTTATGGGAAATAGATTAAAATAATAAAAGTAACTCATTCAACATATCTATATATCTCTGAATCTACAGAAAGAGACGCACAGCAGGCTAACATCAAACTGTTCACTGTAATTAAATGGCATGTAGTTGAGTTTTCCCAATCTTTACGATCTATTTCCTTGTAAATGCATTTTGAATGAAAACCTTGTTGAAATATTTCATACATTTTTCCTTTTTTCATTCATATAATTTTTCATTCATTTTTGCCATAAATATTTGTTGAATATCTATATGCCAGCCACTATTTTAGGCATTTGCTGATGAACAAAATAGACATAGTGCCTGCCTTTATGACATTTACAGTCTATCATCTGCAATTTAGAATCTCATCAAATATTTAATTGTCCTTTAGTGTCATTTTCCATTACCAATATTTTTTGAGCTCCCACTAAGTGCATGGTAAAAGTGTTTTAATGTAAGATTTGTAAAATGTTTACATACATTCATTCTTGCTCATAAACAAAATTTAGACACAATTAACTTTAGCAAAACCTACTCCCTTTCTCCTGTTTAATAATATTTTGTTTAAATCTATATTCATATATGTTTTCATGGTTTTGCTTATAAGAGAATACAAGTATGTGTGTATATATATATATGTATATATATATATTTGCATTTTTATTAAAATGATGTGAGTACTTTTTCTAATCTTTCCAAAGCTTTGGAGAAGGTAGGGATCATATTTCTATTTTGTAAATGGTTGAAGGCGTTGTCCTCAAATTTCAAGGCCTTTATGATCCTGGGCCACAATCACTTAAATAGTAAAAAAAAATAAAATGCAAAATGTTACCTGAATATTCAAGAAGAGCCAGGAGTAGCCTACACTTTACCTCTGCAGAGAAAGAAAACACATCAGTTAATTGTTCACTCTTTCTGTCACAAATACCATATTTTAACTGTGTAGTCAAAATTAGTATGATCTTATTGGACTAGGTTCATGCAAAAGTAGTTGTGGTTTTGCCATTACTTTCAATGGATGGCAAAAACAGCAATTACTTTTGCACCAACCTAATATTAGATAATAAAAATCAATTCACTTGACATGCTACGCTTGCCTGTTTGCCTACACAAATTCTATCCATTGTTCAAGATCCTGAAATGTCTCTGAATTATATCAGTCAATGAAACACCATTCAAATCCTGGCAGCTTTTTAGGTCATCCTTAGCTGTTTTAGCCTGCTTGGTGTTCTGCAAGCTACAACTGTTGTAATCACTAGCAATAAACTGTCAAACAATATTTTTGCTACTGTTATTTAAACTTTCAAAGTTTACACATGTGTGTATATATATATACACACACACGTATATATGTATATATATATTACACACATATATATACACACACACATACGTGTGTGTATATATATACTCTTCTTCCAACTCCAACCCACACAGGGTCAATCACAGATGTTTGATAAATGTGTATGAATTTCATACGAATTGCTAGGTGTCCAATGAGTTACATGTCCATTTGTTTCCAACTAACAAATAATTATAGTTTATGTGCAATAGGTAAATTTAAAAACTTACAAAGTTCCTGCTAAATGCCCAAGATTATGGGAAAAAAAAGATTAAGTTATATCCTATTCTAGACAGATTCACAGTAGAGTCAGAAAGACAGAATTGACTGAAAAGAAATGCAGGAAATACTTCAAAGGGCACCACATTTTACAAGTGAGACTGAAAGCAGAAAAGGATTTCAGAGGCAGCAAAGTACAATAAGCTAAGAGTCAGAAGACTGCTGTTATATACTAGCTTTGTGGCTTTAGAAAATTGCTAAATTACTTTGAGTCTCAATTAACTCATTCATAAATGAAGATAACATCTGCCTTATCTATTTTACAGGTCTGTGTAAAATATAAGTGAGAATATGTGTGAAAAGTCTTTGAAATTTGTTTAAAATCCTATATACAGGTGAAGACTGTTATTATTGTAATCTGAATCTGGCCAAAGTTGGTATAGAATTCTAAATGAGACTAGAAAATATTTCATAAAACTTTAAATTATCACTGTCAAGAAAAGAGATACATATTCTAAGATTGAGAGATTTTGCTAGCAAAGGAATATAGTAGAGAATGAATAACAATTATCTAACAATCTAGCCTACAGAGATTTTATTATATCATTAAGAGACTGAGATTGGGATATGATTAGAAAGCCCCACTGAAAAATGGCTTCTAACAGATCAATGTGTTTAGTCTTACCTAATAGAAAATCACCGCAAGACTCTGTGACACAGTAGTGAAATTATGAACACGATATTTTAGGAAGATGAATCTCGTAATGGTTTTAAGAATCATAAAAAGATAGGGAGAGGGACGTTAGCCAGAAAAATCATTGTAATTACTGAAGTGTGATGAAAAAGGGAAAAACTGAAGAGACACTCTTTAGAATATTGGGACAAATGCAGGGAAAAAACTTTCTAAAATATAGGTTGCTAAAAAAAATATGAGATTTAGAATAAAGCATTTTTCTTTATAGGGAACAGAAAGTTGAAAATGTGTTCACTAATAAACATCTGAATTTAAGGTGATGGTGGGCTACTCAAATAAAAATCTCTTCATTCAGCTGATAATATGAGGCCATAACTTACCTCAGAGGTTAAGCAGGAGATAGGCATCGTCTTAGGGACACCATATAATTAATCTGTCCTCACTTAATTCACTATCTTCTCTGCTCTCTTCTACACACAGTTTAATCTGCTATGAATGGGTGAGTATATAATGATACAATTTTTGAATAGCACTGCAACAGTTCTAAATAAAGATCATAGAATTATGACACCTTGATATCACCTGTGGTATATAACAGATGGGGTATTTTGAAATCGGAGACTAGGAAAAACATTAGAAATGGGGTCATCCCAGCTGCTTATATAAACCAAGAAATTCTGGCCTGGTAGCACCAGGTTAAATTAAGTTCCAAGATCTAACCTTTCATTAAGTCATTCACTATATAAAGACAGTCTAGGAAGTAGAATGAAAATGACTTAAGTTGAATAGGATAAATTCATGCTGAACTAGCAAAGTTACTCAGAGTGCCTCCACATAACAAGCAACTGATTTCAATGATCCTAATGCTTTTTTAACTCCTAACAGGACCGGACATCACACAGATTACCAGGAAATGGTAGCATGCCCTCTCGCTTGCATAGTCCATTGAGATGAAGCAAAATGTAATCATTTTTAAAGACTCACTTAACATGGTGACAATCACAGCTGTTACCCAAACAGCTCACTGAAACTCACTGAAATTTGCAACCAGAGATGCAACTAAATTCTACAGAGAGCCCTCCCCACACCATTGACTATAAGACTCTCAGCCCATCCAACCACACTCAACTAGCCATTGGACTCCCATGACCAAGAGTGGCACCCAAATTCACAACACATATCAATCAATCCATCAATCAGTATGTATATAGTTATCATTCCTATAGCTGCTTATTGTGACATGAGTTACAGAGAATACAAAAGCAGGTCTTGAAATGAAAATGTAAGATTCTTAAAATGAGTACTTTTTGAAAAATTAAACTTTTTATCCTGCATTAGAAATATATTTTTTTAAACTTTTAAGTTCAAGGGTACATGTGCAGGTTTCTTATATAGGTACACTTGTGTCATGGGGGTTTGTTGTACAGATTATTTCATCACCCAGGTATTAAGCCTAATACCCATTAAGTATTTTTTCTGATCCTCTCCCTCCTCCTACCCTTCACCTTCTGATAGGCCCCAGTATGTGTTGTTCCTCTCTTTGTGTCCATGTGTTCTCATCATTTAGCTTCCACTTATAAATGAGAACATGTGGTATTTGGTTTTCTCTTCCTGTGTTAGTTTGCTAAGGATAATGGACTCCAGCTCCATTCATGTTTCTGCAAAGGACATTAGCTCATTCTTTTTTATGGCTGCATAGTATTCCCTGGAATACAGGTACCACATTTTCTTTATCCAGTCTACCACTGATGGGCATTTGAGCTGATTTCATGTCTTTGGTATTGTGAGCAGTCCTGCAACGAACATACGTGTGCACATATCTTTATGATAGAATGATTTATATTCCTTTGTTTATATGATGAACCACATTTGTTGATTTGAGTATGTTGAACCAACTTTGCGTCCCAAGGATAAAGACTACTTGATCATGGTAGGTAAGCTTTTTGATGTGATGCTGGATTTGGTTTGCCAGGATTTTGTTGAAGATTTCTGCATTGATGTTCATAAAGAATACTGGCCTGAAGTTTTCTTTTTGTTGTTGTATCTCTGCCAGTTTTTGGTATCAGGATAGTGCTGGCCTCCTAGAATAAGTTAGGGAGGAGTCCCTCCTCCTCAATTCTTTGAAATAGTTTTGATAGAAACTGTACCAGCTCTTCTGTGTACATCTGGTAGAATTTGGCTGTTAATCTCTCTGGTTCCAGGCTTTTTTTTTTGGTTGGCAGGCTATTTATTACTGATTCAACTTTGGAGCTTGTTATGGAGGTCTGTTCAGGGATTCAATTTCTTTCTGGTTCAGTCTTGGGAGGGTGCATGTGTCCAGGAATTTATCCATTTCTTTTAGATTTTGTAGTTTATGTGCATAGAGGTGTCCATAGTTATGGTATTTATGTGTAAATGCACATAACATGATAGTTATGTGTATTTCTGTGGGGTCAGTGGTAATATCTCCTTTGTCATTTCTAATGTGTTTGTTTGGATCTTCTCTCTTTTCTTCTTTACTAGCCCAGCTAGTGGTCTATCTACTTTATTAATTTTTTCAAAAATCAACTCCTAGATTCATTGATCTTTTAAATGGTTTTTTGTATCTCAATCTCTTTCAGTTCAGCTCTGATTTTAGTTATTTCTTGTCCTCTGGCACCTTTGGGTTTGATTTTCTCTTGCTTCTATAGTTCTTTTGGTTGTGGTGTTAGGTTTATAAATCAAGATCTTTCTAACTTTTGGATATGGGCATTTAGTGCGACAAATTTTCCTCTTAACATTGCCTTAGCTGTGTCCCAGAGAGTCTGGTATGCTTTACCTTTGCTCTCATTAATTTCCCAGATTTATAAAGCAAGTTCTTAGAGAACTTCAGAGAGTCTTAGACTCCCACACAATAATAGTTGGAGACTTCAACAACCCACTGTCAGTATTAGACAGATCATCAAGGCAGAAGATTAACAAAGATATTCAGGACCTGAACTCAGCACTGATCAAATGGTCCTGATAGACATCTACAGATATCTCTATCCCAATACAACAGAATATACATTCTTCCCATCACCACATGGCACATACACTAAAATCGATGACATAATCAGACATAAAACGCTTCTCAGCAAATGCAAAAGAAGTGAAATCATAACAACCACTCTCTCAGACAATAACACAATCAAATTAGAAATAAAGATTAAGAAATTCACTCAAAACCATACAATTACATGGATATTGAATAACCTGCCCTTGAATAACTTTTGGATAAATAGTAAAATTAACGCAGAAGCCAAGAAGTTCTTTGAATCTAATGAGAGCATTAGAAATTTCTATCTGAAAGATAAAATTGTTCAAAACAAAAAAGTGGGGGAGATGATTTAAGGATTTCTCCATTCCTAGCCAATATGCATTTACCTTAAAACAAATATAAAATCTCAAAGATGATGAGAACAACTGCAGAATTATAGTTTCTAGTAGTGTCATAATACTGGCATCTATTCAGCAGAAATGTCTTTTACTCAGTAAAGTATATACTTAAATTTCTAAAACATAATAGTTTTTCAAAAATGCATTTAACATTTATGCTATTCATATTTTGGGGAATTTTAAATTCAGACTTTTCATTAAATATTATGTTATAAAGTATCACAGATAAACATTACATTAGGCCATAAAATAAAAATATAGCCAAGAAAACCAGCTGTCAAATACACGATTTTATCGCAAGATAGAATCACTATGATTTATTTGGGGAAGTATTCCATATCTGTACAAATTTCCTTTCTACTAATCTCTAAACATAAGTTGTTATATTTGAGTATAAGTCTATGCAGAAGACTTAGTAATCACAGAACATTTAAGCCATCTCTGTCATTTAATAAATGTGGAAGTTGAAGCCTAAAAGAGTTAAGTGACTAACTCAGACTCCATTTGATATAAGGGGTTGTCTTTTGTCAGCAAAATTTACAGCTCTCTTTAATTTACCCCACTTAAGGTAATAACTGCAGTTACACTGTAATTCTGTTAAATACCATTGAATACTATTGACCACAACCAACTGACAAACAAATGACTGAAGAATAAAAATGTAAACACAGGAATAGTATTTATTGTGTGGGTTTCTCGACCTTAGCACTATTAACATTTTGTATCAGAGAATTCTTCCTTGTAAGGAACTGTCTCATACATTCTAGAATGTTCAGCAGCATCCCTGGCCTCTATCTAGAGGTCAGTAGCACACCCACAATTGTGACAACCAATACCTCCAGATGTTGCCAACCACTGTTCTAATCACTGGGAAGAAAATTTCTGAGTTATATATTTTTACAACTAGGTGAATTCTCATTTTATCTTTTCCACCATAATCATTTTTGAAACTCTCAGAATTTTCACTTAATCACACTGATTCTAAACAACATGCAATCTATCTCAATGAAGTCGTCTCAAAGTCATATATCTCCAATTTACAGGTTTTACCAATTATAGAATGTCATGTAAATAATGTTATGGTAGTTAATAGCAATCAACTTAGACAAACACTTCTGATATAAAAACTTAAAAATCAATGATGCAACCTATGTGATTATTTTGATTCTCATACAGCTTCACAACTGATTTTTTTTTTGTGGATAAACTTTTGCTTCATGCCTTTTTGTAAATCCTTCAGAATTTGTTTATGATATTGTCTCCTTTTATAGAGTCTTAAATTCTCTTCACGTTCTATTTGTCTTCATAACTTTGAGCCCTTATTTTATTCACTGAGAATATTCTCCATGATGTTTATAACCTTGGGACACAAGACCCTATAATCTTATTCCTTCTTGCCCTCTTCCTCCCTCACCATTTTCAGTACTTTTATTTTCTTCACAAAAGGAAACACTGCAAAAAATAATCAGGCATTACCAAACTTTTGGTTTTAGTGGGTTTTAAATTGATTATTGCTAATATCATGCAATGTTCTTTGCTTTTCATGCTGACCTTCAACAAATTTCCTGATGTTCTGAGCAAGAGTCCGGACGCTGCTGGGAAGATTCCAAGGATCTTGCTTGATATGAAGCCGTAGCCTTTTTGGACAACTCAGCTTTGGTTCCATTTCCTGTTGAAATTCTAAATAAACACAGAAAATCTCTCTTAAGTCTCAAATAATTCCTAAACAATGAAGCCTTTAGGCTTCAAAACCTTCTTCTGTCACTGTTGTCCTAGACTATTGACATGGTGGTCATTTCTTTTGCCACACCATCAGAAAATCCGTTAAATGTAAAAAGTCAAACCTTCATGTTATTTTCTTATAAATGTTTAAACGAAGCAAATTTAGATGAAAACTCTACTTTCATTATCCCAAACTAGTTACTTGTCAGAGTGGCAGCTCCATCCTTTCCATTCATCAACTCTCATTCCCCACACCCTTTCCTCACCACTGGGAAACAGCCAAGAAGACATTACGCTTGGTTTCAGCAAAATCAACTTCATGTTTATGTATCTTCAATTAACTTATTTTTGCTCAGCCTGGCCCCTATAGGCATTAAACATTTTAAACTTTCAAAGAAACAGACATGTAAAAATTCCTATGCTGACTTTTTTACATATTCAAAAATTATCAGAATAGAAGTAGTGTTTGGTGAATTATGAAACATGAGTAACTGGAATTGTTCCTCTTATGCAATCTGCTTGCTTCATGACTATATTGTCTACCACCTTGTTTTTCTCAATTGCTTCTACTAGTTAATTTTTCAAGGCTTACCTTGCAATCCTCGGCCTGGAGTGAGATACTTGGTTTGGTCAAAGGCCCTCACAACAGCCTGCCCTTTTAGGAGATTGGTAATTGAATCCACCTATCAATAGTAGAGATTTCCGAGTTACATATTTCTCATAGTACATGATACGTATTTCTAAAAGTAAATCTTATAAAATATTTTTTCTTAAAGCAACAATTATTTTTGAAACCCCATGATGCTTGTGAAATCGATCTTTACATAAAATATTGAAATAAATGCACCTGATAACATTTGCAATGACATTTCTTACTATCTTACCATATATTAACACAAAATATAAATTTACTGTATAAGTTATTGGAATCCTTTTCAAAGTGGTAAAATCTTCTACTACAAATTTTGGTTATGGCTATAAATTTTGTTAATGTAAAACAACAAAATTAGCATCCAAGGCAATATCTTGTGCTTTTTAAAATTAGAAATAATATTGAGCAAGAAATATCATAAAGCTTTCTGAAAACAAAAAAACAAAAAAAAATACTAAAAAGGGTAACTCCTATGTGTATAACAGTAATTTTCCCAGGACTGTAAAATACTTGATATTCACAAAAATCCTTTAGGTTAGTTGGCTGAAGGAATGTTGATTCCTAGTTTAAATGTCAGAAATTGAGGTAAAGGAGGTGGAAGGACAGATTGAGGCCTTTCTGTTCTAACTCTGAGCTCCTTTTACTGCATATGAAAAAGGGACTCCTCACAGTTTAGTTGTGGAACAAAAGCCCCACAAATGCCCGATTGTACCTGGCTGAAAAGATGCTCAAGGCAACTATGTATCTTGTCCTGTTTATCATGAGATATGCGAACACTTAAGGGAAGTTCATCACCTAGATGTCAAAACAAAAACAAAACCAAAAACCAAAATCACTCATCTTATGTTTAACGTACCAAAATATTGTAATATTCAATAAAATGTAAAAATTAAACACAAGCTGTTATTCCATGCACAGTTCTCATGTTCAGAGAAAGAGTTCCAAAAGATTTCATAGCTCCTGGGATGTTACTATTTCTTCTGAAGGCGGAGTGCCTCCCAGAAAAGATACTTGTTAAAGACTCTTTCAAATGATGTTCCTCCAGTGGTTGAAGAGTTGACATAAACTGCATAATCAAAAATTAAGATTTTCCCTAATTGGAATGAAAGGTCTTTGTTCTTAACACACACAAGATAATATATTTATAAGATAATTATATCAATCTGTTTCTCTCATTACCCTCAATCCTCAACATCCACATATAAAGCTAGCTCAGGTGAACCTGCTGTCTTAAATGCTTCAAACTCCACACCTGCCCATCCCCATCAACCATGCCTAATACTTCCAGTATATTTCCTGTGTACCTATAATCCTTCATAGAACCATACAGAGATAATGGAGCATATCTGAAGATTACAATTAGTTTGCTTATTTCATTGCTTTTTAACTCACTCCCTTTAAAATGGGATTGGGAAATAGACTATCAAGCTCATAAAACTGAAATGCAGTATGTGTGGCCACAGAGAGTGACTGATAAAAGGTAAAAATAAAAATTCATATGGATCTACGAAATTAAAACCTTAAAGTTATCTCCTATAGGACTAATATCAAAAAGCCCACAGGCCTTCACCAACGAACACACCTGAGTCCATTTCATCACTGTGGAAATACGAGCTGCACTGGCTGCTGCAGATGCTGGTGAAGGAGGCGATGGAATTCCTATTGCTGTTGCAGTCACTGAAAACAACAGGTTTCATGTTACTGTAAGAGTGCATCTGCCCAGGTGTCCCTGCAATTTCTTATGACATAAACTTATATCAGTTATATTTATTAGTATGTTTTAGAGAAAACTATGAGAAAGATAAACTTGTTCAACTCAGTCTATCTTACTTTTTAAAGACGGCATATTTTCTGTCTTTTTTTTTTTTTTTGGAGACGGAGTTTCGCTCTGTCTCCCAGACTGGAGTGCAGTGGTGCGATCTCGGCTCACTGCAAGCTCCGCCTGCAGGGTTCACGCCATTCTCCTGCCTCAGCCTCCCGAGTAGCTGGGACTACAGGCGCCCGCCACCACACCAGGCTAATTTTTTGTATTTTTAGTAGAGACAGGGTTTCACCATGTTAGCCAGGATGGTCTCCATCTCCTGACCTTGTGATCCGCCCACCTCGGCCTCCCAAAGTGCTGGGATTACAGGCGTGAGCCACCACGCCCGGCCAAAGATGGCATATTTTTGATTCAATTATATTTCAAATTTTCTTGTATCATATAATCTAATCCTAAATGATTTTTTAAGGGCAGTTAGCTATAAAACTAGGAGTCATGCCAAACTTAAAATTCTTTATAATCTGTTTCATGATACATGCCAGTAATTAGATAACTTGCTAATAGAGACAAAATACTGTTCTGTGATTTCTGTCCCTTTCTGGTGGCTTAAATCATAACTTATTGGTTACACTCTGAGCTTCCTTAGGGAGGACAGGAAACTTGTCTGTCTCCACCTCAGAGCTTTTAGCACAGGGAAGTGCTTGATAATGATGAATGCCCAAGGAAAGAAAGGTTCAATATGTTTGTGTGTGAACAGGGACAAATTTCAGAAATAGTGCAGGAGATAAAGTATTTTCTTTCCTCTCAGAATAAGTAAAAAGGACGTCCTTAACTTTAAATTTACATTTAAAATTTCTATCTTAGCCTAGAGGGAAACTGTCAGGGTAATTTTAATTATCTGATAACTAGAACTTGAGGTAAGAAAGTATTTTTAGACATGTAATTTCCCACTGGGAAAAACTCTACAGATTCCTATTAAAGAGCAGGTTGGGATGCTTAGAAGTGAAAAGTAAATGAAGTGATAAAAGTGGTTAATCTGTCTGATCTATTATTAAATCTCTAGAATAATTCTTATGTGTTCATTAAGATCCTTTTTGGAAACATAGAAATTGGAATAGTAGAGTGGTTAAGAGACAAACTGGGAAGCCAGACCACCTGGTCTCATAGGTAAATGATATCAGCCCTCTGGGCTTCAGCTTCCTGATATGTAAAATGGAATTCCTATCAGAACCTGCCACCGAGGCTTGCGGTGAGGATTATGTAAAATCTTCCTCTTTCCCCCATGTGTTTGATAAAAGTATATTTTTAATGTTAGCTCCTAGTTTGTAGCTAGTTATACTCTGATGAGAACTTTGATTACTATTTAATCAATATCTTTTCATTGCAAAACACTGCATAATAAATGAGTGAAGAAGATAGTTTCTGCTTTCAATTAATATAAATGAAAAATATGTTGAAGTTGTATACACAGCTTATGTGGCTGGTTATGACAGTCCTCAGTGAGGTATCAGGTGATACATGGATTCAAGGAACAAAAAGTAGTTTGAATTAAGGAAGTTCACGTGAGGAGACATCATTTGGAAGTCTAGTAGGAAGACAATAACAGAGTTTGGAGGGAAAGTATTTTGGGTTGAACTAGGTCTCCCAATAAAATTCATATGTTTGAAAAGTGATCCCTAGTACCTCAGAATGTGACTTTATTTGGAGATAGGGTCTTTACAAAGGTAATCAAGTTAAAATGAGGTCATTAGGGCGTGACCTTAAGCCACCCTATAAAATGTCCTCATAAGAAGGGAAACTTTGGACACAAGACACATATGGAGGGAAGATGACGTGCAGAGACACAGGGAGAAGATGGCCGTTTACGCGTCAAGGAGCCACGCCTGGCACGGATCCTTCCTCCACAGCCTTCAGAAGGAGCCAACACAGCCCACACCTTGGTTTCAGATTTTTGGCCTCCAGAACTGTGTGATAATAAATTTCTGTTTTTTAAGCTGCCCAGTTTGTAGTAATCTGTTACAGCAGCCCTACAAAACTAATACAGAAGGTATCCAAGAGAGTAAAAACCACAAGCCTTGTCTCCGAGGTAGGCAAGGAACATTAGTCCAATTAGGTTGGAACATAGACAATGAAAAGAAAAGAGAGAAAAAAGAGCCAAAAGAACTCCTATTCACTACCCAATAAACCAGTGACAGAAACAGATAGTTGAAAACAATGTTAATCCTGTATAGGCACAATTTTCTTACCAGCTATCTGTGTTACACAATCCATATACAGAACAACTCTCCCAAATTAGGCTCACACAACCAGCGAAAAAATGCTTTTTCCAAGCTACTCATATTAGAAAAGGGAAGGATTTGAAATATTACATTGTCCCACTATGCTTTGTCTGAGGTCGGTAGTAACAGGTGATTATTGTGAAAGACCAATTAAAAGAAAAACAATCAAAAACTTTTTTCAAGATCTTTGTGGAAAATCCAGCATCATATTTGACTTTGTTAAGAAAATGAGTTTGAGGAATTAGTGAATTACCTGTAAGAGTCTCTGTTGCTGATGGTGTCATGACCAGAATCTTCCTGTTCATCTCCTGCTACATTAAAACATACCCGTTTGCTGTTTCTTTCTCCCTTCTCATTGTCACTGTCTGTTGGTATTATGCCCTCTGATGTCTTACGTTCTAATTTAGGAGAATATGTTATTGAAGACAGAAGGCTGCAATGTAATATTAAAAAAAAATGCACATTTTCAAACTGTCTGCTATATATAACTACCTTATTTGCTGAATACAATAGGCTTACAAATATTTCTAGAGTGCTTCAATGTTTCATATCAAGTAAATATTCTATTGCATAAAAAGCATGTCATTCAAAGTTCTCTTGTTCTTCACAAAATAAGTCATACAAACAACATACAATTTAGACCAGAAAGCTTCATTGAAATACAGGTTGTGCCATGTATGACTATAGCTAAAACAAAGCTGTGATAGTTTTGTTTGACACTTGTGAAATGGAGATAATGAGAATAACTGGCTTCCATGACTGCTGTGAGAATGAATATTCCTGGTGCATAATGGGTGTCACCTCTAGCCCCTGGCCATTAGCACAACCATCACCACCTTATGAAAATACTCGGTAATCAGCCGGGTGTTGTGGCTCATGCCTGTAATCCCAGCACTTTGGGAGGCCAAGGCAGGCGGATCACCTAAGGTCGGAAGTTCGAGACCAGCCTGACCAACTTGGAGAAACCCCGTCTCTACTAAAAAATACAAAATTAGCCGGGCGTGGTGGCGCATGCTTGTAATCCCAACTACTCAGGAGGCTAAGGCAGGAGAATTGCTTGAACCCAGGAGGCGGAGGTTGTGGTGAGCCGAGATCGTGCCATTGTACTCCAGCCTGGGCAACAAGAGCGAAACTCCAACTCAAAAAAAAAAAAAAAAAAAAAAAGAAAGAAAAGAAAAGAAAGAAAAGAAAAACAGAAAATACTCAGTAATCTTTAAAGTGCTAGCCAAATATTAAACCCAAACTATAAATGGGCCTTCATGTCCTCACTGGCTCATATTCAGTATTAAAAACCCACCTACCCTCTATCTATGCCTTGGGTTTTGCCCAGGCATTCCCTATTTGGCAGGGAGAATATTGGATTGTCTATCCGTCTCCCTGCTCGTACAAACAGGAGTCTTGGCCTTGGGGATTACAAGACACTAAACAGAGTTACATACAATGTGAGGATGGGGTAAATCTGCAAGCCAGCCAGGATGAAATGTCCCAAATCTGCCCACAGAAAGAGCTCCTCCACCTGGCTCCAGGCTAAAATGCCGCAGTCAGACTGAACTGTGTGAAACCTGCTGAGGACTTTGAGTAGCTGCTGACTCCAACACTCTAGGCTTGAACATTTGGCTGTGGCATGTTTCTGTTACAACTAACTCAAAATTAGGCAAAAATGGAATTGAACTTTATTATCAAAGAGCATGCTAAAAAACTTGCAAAATGAATTAAACCATGTATAAACAAAGGACCCATATAGGGCTTCTCAAGCCAGCAGCCATCTTCGCATTTACTAAATACCTGTGATTTTCAGTTCCAATCAGTAGCACATATCTTGATTCTCATTTTTCCATAGCAATGTAATGTTTGTTATTTCAAGACGGTGACGATATCTTATACCTCTTACGCATATTCCATAATGTCAAACCCAATGCTGTGCATTGAATAAATACCTATTAAGTGATTTCACTAAACACATTTATTATACCATGCACTGTTCTTGGTGCTGTGGATATAGTAGTTTATAAAACACACAAAAGGGCCGGGCGCGGTGGCTCATGCCTGTAATCCCAGCGCTTTGGGAGGCCGAGGTGGGTGGATCACGTGAGGTCAGGAGTTCGAGACCAGCCTGGCCAACATGGTGAAATCCCGTCTCTACTAAAAATACAAAAATTAGCTGGGTGTGGTGGTGGAAGCCTGTAGTCCCAGCTACTCAGGAGACTGAGGCAGGAGAATCGCTTGAACCCTGGAGATGGAGGTTGCAGTGAGCATAGATCACACCACTGCACTCCAGCCTGGGCAACAGAGTGAGACTGTCTCAAAAACCAACCAAACAAGCAACAACAACAACAAAAACAAAATACAAAAGCCCCTGCCTTCTTGGAGCTCAAATTCTACTGAGAGAAGACAAGTAAAAACAAGTAAACTTTCTAGTATATCAAATGGCAGCAAATGGTAAGGAGAAAAAGAAAGCAGGGAAGGAAGCGTGAAGCTGCCACTTCAAACAGTGGTGCAGTCAGGTCAGGTCTCACAGCGAGGTGAGATTTGAACAATATTTTGACATTTTATAGGTTTTAGACACCAGTGAAAAATTGAAGGAGCTATGTTACATTGCTTGAGGCCCTGTGAACATTTTTAATAACCAAAAGCTATGGATGATTTTAAACACAGTTTTTCTCTTTGGAAAGATACTTTTATGTCCTGTAAGACAGATTGTCTATTTATTCACCCTCTCCACCCAAAAGATTAAAACATTAGACTAACTCCAATTATCCAAGCTCCATGCTGCACAGACAGATGAACTCTGAATACCAAAGAGGGAAAAAATGCAGGAGTTCTCATTTTGCCAAGAGGCCTCTGTGCTTATGTATCTTTTAAATTAGAAGTCATGGGGCTAAGCATAATTTTTTTCAAAGTTATATGAATTGTATTCAGATATTTGCTTTTTATTTAAAACAGCTGCAATCATGCTTGCATTGACCCCGTGGGACAAGTGTTAGGCTTACAAACAAATGATAGAAAAACTGTATTTTTAACACCATGTTTTGCATAAAATTTCTAGATTCTGAAAAGCAACAAGGCATCAAACCATAATATTTGTGCTTGCAGAAATCCCTTCACTTTCATTGGTATAAAATATTAAGTTACCTACTAGAGGTCCATTAATTAAAACCTTCAGCAGCATGCAATTCCAGGTGAATCTTCTCCTTGTGCCATTGATAAGAAAGATTTTTGTATACAGTATGTTGCAATGACCTGTGTGTTTTTAAACATCATCATCATTGCTAACATCTGTTCAGCTTTCATGACAGTCACGATGCTAAGTCCTTAACAGGTATGAATTCATTTAATCTCTAAAACCACCTTATGAAGTAGGTATTATTATTTTCCCCATTTTAGAGGTGGGGTAGGCAAGACATATTGTTACATACATATCCTGTGCAAATTAAGCAGGATTTCCTCTCCCTGCATCTAACTTGCACACTCTGGAGGGAGTAGGGTGCATCCCGGTGTTTCATAACTCAACTCACAGAAGTACTGTGAGAATGAAATAAGCCAATGTATATAATAATGTAATCTTGCCTGGCAAATAAGCATCTATAAAAAAGTTGGCTTTTATGGTGTGCCCCTCTTGTTGTACATTTAGTAGCAAAATGCTTGGGGAAACCTCAGTGATTACTCTACCACCACCACCACCACCACCACCATTCCTATCTGTAACCCCCGGGTTACTAACTGTCTTAAAGTGTGGTTTGTTCACCACTCAATCCTGAGGCGTCTGGCACCTGCAAAATGAAGTCTGTTCTCAAATCCCCTATGTCTACCAGTCCCCTTTCCTCCCTGTGAGAATACACAAATCCTCTATTTAAAAACCCTGTCAAAGGTTTTGGACATTAATTATTTTTCCTTTTACTTATTTCTTGTACCTAAGTGTCATTACCCAGTAAATAGCCCATTGCAGGGCAAAAGTCTTTAACTTTCCAAAGTGAAATTGGAATCACAAATCCTTGATTAAATTCATTACATCATCTTACCTCATGTTACTAGACAGCAAATTCATCTCTAATTCCATCTTTGGCTCTGAAGCTAAGTAGGAGGATTTAGTGAAATGCCTATGTGTTAAAGGAAATTTCATTTCTAAGAGAGGTATTCCCAGGTGACAGAACAACCAGACTTTATGATAAGACAAGCTCAACCCCAGGACCTTTCACAGGGATGAATAACTTCTAGAAAAGCTAACACTGAGGTGTTATCAGGCAGTTTCTCTTAAAAGTTGGCAACACATCCGAGATCTGCTTCTTCACTTGCAAAGACATCTCTGACCAGGAACAATTACTATAGGGTGAGAAAATTGTTCAGATACTAGATTTTTAAATAATGTGTTAACCTCGACTGCATGGCAGCATCTCTGAATATTAAAGGCAAGGGGGAATCCAGGCACTTAAAATAATTGTACTGTTTTACAGGGATTATATTGCACATTAAGTTGTGTGGAACCTATTTATACTTAGAATTACATGATGTGGTGTACCCAAAGAAGACCAAGGTGGTTTCTCCAATCATTTGCTCACTGTGTGCCACTTTTCTAATAAACACACTCAGTTGGGTAGAGGTTTTTAGAATAACAGGGTGGGGAAATCTTCAGTGAAAAACAATCATTTTAAGTAGTTTTAGTTAATAAAAAATAACTAGTCTGAAACTAGTGTCTTAAATATAAATATTTTAAACCAAGTAAAAGGAGCTCCTTGGGTTTACATATTTTTCCTAAAAATATTTCTACATTACCTGAACCTTAAAAAAAAAAGTCAATAAATTAACAAAGACAAAGTCTGGAGGATTGTGAGGCAGTGCTAGATCGTCAATGCAGTAAAGATTAGTCCCTGAGCAGTGTCAGCTGAGGCACATCAATAATCTTGCCACTGACAAGACTCATCCCAAAATAGCAATAACAACTCTTGGAACTGGAAGTATGGGATTGGTCCAGATGTTTTCTTAAAATCCCTTTGAAGCCTAGGAGCTATGATTCAATGCCACTATTTATTGCCTTATTAATAAAAATTCTATATACTTCATAAATACCTCTGGGAGACAATAACTGGTTTCTAAAATATATCATGCAATAAAATCTCATTTATTAAATGAAGTAAAATATCATATCCTAAAATATAAACTGCTGTCACAAGGATTCCAACACAATTCAAAGATGTCATGCAATTGCTTAAAAAAATACTCTCCTTTTCTCTTAGCAATCTTGAACGGTTTAATTCATCTGTAAATGGGAAAAGTCACAGTATAATATACAAAACTAGCATATTAGAAATAGAAAAACAAAATCTTAATTCTAAATCACTCATAAAACTTCAGAAAATTAGCAAAGTAAATACTAAATATTGAGGATAATTTTTAAAATATGATGCATCTAATGTGATTTTGATCTCTAAATTTCAAAAATGTGTAAAATGAGAGATCGTGTCAATTATGACTTCATCCGTATAATGTCTAATTACAACAAAGGCTTGGAATAAGTTCTAAATATTTTGTGTCAAAACTGAATTATCCATGAAGTACAGGATGATAGGTGTGTGTGTGAAGTTAAAAGAGTTCACATCCGTAGCCATTTAAATCAACAACTTCACGAAGAGAGTACAATAAAAAGAAGATAACAGTATTTCTATTATTTTCAGAATCTGCCAATTTGGGATATATTCAATAATTTCCATCCCTTGAATGGATGAGCAAGCACTATATTAGGCAGTGTGCTGATTACTTTCTATATTAATTTGTATAATTTTCATGACCACAAACTTGTAATTCATTATTATTACTCAGTCACTTCTGTAGATGAGAAACTGAGCTACCTCAAACCCCATGCTGTTCTGACTATACAGAGCTGTCTGGACTAGATGTGAAGCATCGTCCTATACCATGATATGACAAACCATCCTACCAAGCTCAGGCAATTCTCCAACCATCATATTCTTACATAAGAATTAGAACTGATTTATTTGGAAAAGTGCTCATTAACTGCCTCCACCTTCTCTTGGTTAAAAATACTGGCACAGGTATTTGGGTTATTGCTTAGCAGGCTGTCAATTCAATCAGAACAGAAAAAAAAATTCGTCCTAGAGATACATAATTTTGCATTTACTCATTTAACAAGTATGTTAAGCATTTATTATACTTTATGTCTTTTATAAATATCTATTGAGTGCATATTCACCAAAATTTGCACCCTGAACTACAAAGAATACAAGGAAATCCTCATACAAAACTGGTATTCTTTCAAATATATCTTTCAAGGTAATATTTTTACACTGAGACTCATTTAGTATCCTTGTATAAGACAGAATTTTGTCATTCTCTTCCCTAGTATTAAATGCTTACTTAAAATATATACCTATATGTATTTTTTCCATTAAAAAACATTTTTAAGGTTTTGGAATGAAGAGGATCTATATAATCAGCACAAATCTCCTAAATTTCCAATAACTAAAGAGAGAATGATTGAATTTTTCTAAGCCACATTTTTATGGCTATTTTATTTGGCAAACTTAAAAGTGTAGTACAAAACACTTACTCATCTATTTGACAAACACACATCTCCACCTCTTTCAGTGCAGTCTGAAGTTTGCCCAGCAGTTTCTGATAGATGTCTTGGGTTTCTAAGTCTTCTTCTTTTAGCAGATACCTGAGACCATGGCCATCCTGCTGTCCCAGAGACAGACCTGAAGGGGCCGCCATGGTTGTGATGGTGTGCTGAATGTACACCATAGGGCTCAGTTTCCCTGAGGAATTAAAGTCATTCCTTAGTAATATGTATCACCTTTAACTTGCGATAACAACCCAGTCCAATTAATTTCATTTATTTTTTAATTGACAGATAAAATTATATGTATTACATGTACAACCTGATGTTTTGACGTATATATGCATTATGCAATGACTAAATCTAGGTAATTAACATATGTATTACTTCACATAGTTATCATGTTGGTGCTGAGAGCACTTTATACCCACTCTCTTAGGATTTATCAAGAATACAATATGTTAACTATACTCAGCATGTTATACAATATATCTCTTGAACTTATTCCTCTTATCTGATTGAAATTTTATATCCTTTGACCTTCATCTTCTCAATCCCCCACCCAACCACCCCAGGCCCTGCTACTCACCATTCTACTCTCTACTTCTATGAGATCAACTTTTTTATATTTCTCATATAAATGAGATCATATAGTATTTGTCTTTCTGTGTCTGGCTTATTTCACTTTAACATAATATCTTCCAGGTTCATTTATGTTGTCACAAATGACAGGATTTACTTCTTTTTATGGCTGAGTGGTATTCCATTGTGTTTATATACCCCATTTTCTTTATCCAGTTAAATTAAATTTGAGATTCCATAAAATAAAATGCTGATCCAATGCTGAATTTAGTTCAGAAATTAGAGCCCGTGGGGAGCTGTAATTAAAAACTAGAGGATAGTTTGATCCCTTGTCCTACTGTGATGGTACAGAATGGCACTGTGCATTGCTGCAGCTGTTCCTCAGGTATTGTCCTCAAAGTTTCAGGGCCATTTCAGATCAGCAGCTTTCACAGCAAGATGAGCTGTGCCTATCATATGCATAAGGAAAGCAAGAGCAATCATCCTTCTTAGAAGAAAAATAACAAAAATGCCTAACTCCATTTTCATTCAGTATACACTTAGGCATAATTATCCAAATGATTACAGCAAGAAATCCTTCCTTTATAAAAGTTCATGCTTGTTTGCACACCAGGTATCTATTGAATTTCAGGGATGCATGAATAGCTATGATTGCCTAAATTGCTTTTCATGATTTGATAAAGTTGCAAAAGCTAGCATACCTTGCTCCGAAGATTTGTTTTCTTTATCATGAGAATTATGCTTCCTGCTATCCAACTGAACACCAAATGCACTTCCCAAAGAGGTTGATGTTTTGGGATAAGAAACTTCCATCACATTGACATGGCAGTTGGTAGGGCAGAAATCACTGCTGTGCAGTGGGGAGATTTTAGATTTGGCCTGTTTAAAAGTAGGCCAGGCCCTATTCTTCAGTACACGAGAAAACTGCAAATTAAAGAAAACATAAAAAGCAGTTGAACACACAGTAATAACTCAGGCATCTTTTTTTCACTTGCATCATTCACAACAAAATCAAAGGCAAATTAAATCATGTCAACTGGAATGAGTGAAATAAATTATATGTTGTTAGAAATTCCATTGTGATTTCAAAACTGAAGCATTCTTAATAAAGCCAAGCAATATAAGCAGCAAATGCATATGATTCCTTTGAAACTGTGATTGCAACTTAGGTGTTAAAAGAAATGAATTTCTGTGGCCAGCACAATATACTTGGACTCAAATCCACAGGCTCCCAGCAGCTGAAAGAGCCTGACAGGGCAAGTGGCATCCCAGGACACCAGGAGAGAATGGAGATCTTCCAAACAAGGCAAAATGGCAAAACAGGGTAGCTGCCAGGTCAAGGGTGGAGGAAGATGGGATGTCCCAAACACAAGCATAAAGCTAATCCAAAGCACTAGTCTGTGTACAGGTCAGACAGTAGGGTGTGGAGGCTGAGGCCCAGAATGGCAGGACAAGTCTGTTTCCCATGCCTCCTGCTAATCATTGAGTCAGGATCAAACTGAAGACTAGTGTGCACTCTGCCTTTATGGTTTGAGAATAAAGTGATACTCACATGATTTATATGACTTCCAAGGTAGCCACTCCACTGCTTCAAACCTTGCCATGGGTTTCCATTCAAATGCATCTACTCCTCGCCAAGGTCTCCAAAGCAGCCCAAGTCAGATCCTCACCTAACTTCTCTATCTCAAGCTTTCTTCCCCTTGCTCCCTAAGCTCCTTCTGGCCCTCACTTAGTTCGTCTCACACACTATCTACTCACTCTGACCCTTTCTACAGGCTGTTCAGTGGGCCTAGAATGTTCTTCTTCCTTCATTGCCGAACTGTTTCCTTTGCAACTTCAATTTCTATCAAATCATCAGGAGGCCTTCCCTGACTCATAGTCTAGGTTCAATTTCCCTGACTACTGCTAAGTTCCAGCACGCTGTAACCTTCCTATTATATAGGTATAAATAATTGTCTTATTTCTAGCTCCCCCGGCAGATGGTAAACCCCATGAGGCTAATACATAGGTCTGTTCTGTGTACCATCAGTAAGAGTCTCATAGAGTTAGACTGAATTGTAGTCTCAAAAGCAAAGGATTCAGAGTCACTAGCTACCATGTTTTAGTTACAGCTGTCACAATAACTGATATGATGTTAGGCAAGTCAGTGTCTTTTTTGCATTCTTCGTAACACAATGGACATGGATTAAATAATGTCTATATTCTCTTCTCCCTTGAAAACTATAACCATGATCCTATCTATTTACTCTACTAGTAGAGTAATAATTTTGGCATGAATAAGAATAAAAATTAAGACTATGACTGGTCATTATCTAACTTTTCTAGATTAAATTCAAGAATAAATATCAAAATTGACATTGCATAAATATAAGCTCACCATTAGAACAGGGACTCTCTTATATGTATACGTGTAGATTATATATATATGTGATATATATACATACGCATGTATAATGTGTGTATTAAACTATGTCTTCAATTCACATGTCAGAAGCTATGTAGTTCAGCCATGTGCCAGCGCACAGTAGGAATCTAAATGGAACTGAATTGAAATGCAGGAAATTATTAACAAAATGATGAGCAAATTTAATAATAATGGATAGTGAAAATTTATCCTAAACATTTTTTGAAGAAAGGAATTTAGAGAAATCCTGACCTATCCCATCACTTTACTAATAAAGAAACGGTGACTTGGAGGCTTATATGGGACATAGAGTTTAAGGCTAGATGCAAAAAACTTTCAGTCAAAAGTTCTTTCCCACTGTTATTGCAGGATAAAAGTCTCACAAGGCACCCATGGCACAAATAAAGGCACTGAAATCAATGTTATTAGGTAACAGCATCCACCATAATAGGAAGTTATGCTTCTCTTGCCTTCTTCCATTTTAAACAATTATCCATCCATTCAAAAGCAAGAAGAGAGGCATCTATTCCAGACTCTGTGCTCAATGCTGGAGATATAGCCCTTGCCCTCCTGGAGTTCATGGTCTAGTAGGCACCACAGGAAAAACAATGCAATAGTATTGCTATATACAACAATTGTTTATTGCAATTACTAGGTTGGAGCAAAAGTGATTGCGGTTTTTGCCATTAAAAGTAACGGCAATGTGCCATATATATAATACATGTGCCATATATATAATACAGTAATGCATTGCTTAACAACGGGGATGTATTCTGAAAAATACACCAATAGGTGCATCTATCTGAACATAGAAAAAGTAGAGCCAAAATGTAGTAGTATAATCTTATGGGACCACCATTTTATATATATATACATATATATGTATATATATATATATGTGTGTGTATATATATGTGTATATATATCCATATATATATATATATATAATCCATATATATATGGTCTGTCATTTACTGAAATGTTATGCAGTGCATGACTGTATATATACAATTATATAATGCACGTAAAAGCCAGATAGTTAGAAATTTTGGTACAAGCTGAAAAGGAAATGAATAGGGTGATGTCAAGAAGTGTTAATGGAGTAATCGGGGAGAGCTGGCAGAAGATTCTCTTGCTAGGGGGACTGGCTTTCCAACTTGTAGCTCAATACAAATGCCTGTGAATACAGGATGTCCCCCTGCCCACATGCTAGGAAGGGCTGTGTACTGTGTCTAAGGGTGCCTGAACTGTTCCAAAGGGTAAGAATCAGACAGGGGCCCTCTCTGCTAAGAGCATTTCTTGAGAAGGAAGGTCCTCAGGAATGCAGTGCTGTCTTCCATCCTGGGATATTCCTAAGAGAGGAGGAGGCAGCAGGAGGAACTCCATAGTCACAGGTACTGGAAATGTGCTGCTTACACTGTGAAGATCAAAACTGTGCTCCCAGACAGCATGCCGTGCTGTGAAATTGTAAAACCTTTCTGAAGCTTGAACCTAAAATATGGAAGGTACAGTTCTTGAATTGATGGTGGTTCATGCATGAGAACATCCTGATTGTGCAAATGGCCCTGTAAACATCAATCTGCCTATCTTTTTAGCAACATCAAAGGAAACACTGAACTCATTAATCTGCTTTGGAGAAACTCCCAGGGAAAGGTTAACAAAACAAAAAGGTCTTATCCCCAAATAAAAACTGCAATTTTGCAATAAAGAAATGCACAGGGTGGGTGTGGAGAGAGGTGTATTGGGAGGGACAGGACTTTAGATCTACTATGGATACCACAAGCCCAAACTTACTGCCACCTTTATTCATTTACCCAACAATGACTTGTGGAAGGCTCTCTGTGCATCAGGTACTGCCCTCAGCATGTTGGGGAACATCAGTAAACAAAACAAAGATTCCTGTCTTCCGGGAGGTTACATTCCAGTGAGAGGAGAGGTCAACAGTGAATACAGTAAGTCAATTATGTAATGTTGATAGATGGTAAATGTAACTGAAAACAAAATTGAGCAGTGTAAGAGGGTTGGAAGTTTCAGAGGTGAACTGAAGAATGGATTACCAGTTGTAACCAGGATGATCAGAACAGGCCTCACTGAAGCTGGCATTTAAGCAGTCTGGAAGGAGTGGAAAGTTAGAAATGTGAGCATCTGGAAAGGGGTCATTTTTGGCAGAGGGAAGAGCCAGTGCAAAGCCACAGGGCTGGTGTGTCCAAGGAACATCAAGAAAACCAGTGTGACCAGAGCGGCAGTGAGAGGGAGGCAGAGGAGGCAGGATTGGAGAAGCAATGCAGGCAGGGAGGGCACAGATCCTGAAGGCCATTGAAAGGATTTGGCTTTGACCATGAGTGAAGTGTACAGCCACTCAGGACAACTGTGGGTTGGTCGGTAGCAGCAAAGATACCACTTACAGGAGAGATGGCAGTGGCTCACCCAAGGCCACCAGCAGTAGAGGTAGGGAGGAAAGGCTGCATGTTTGAAGGTAAAGCCACAAGAATGGTGTGAGAGAAAGGGAAGTGAAGAGTGTATTCGAGGTTTTAGGCTGAGCAATGGGGAGGATGGGCATAAGCCCGAGATAGAGAAGACAGCAGAAAAGCAAACTGCAGGAGCACTGGGGTGGGGCAGGGGAAGGATCAAGAGCTGATTTGGAACATGTGAAGCGTGAGATATGGATTAAACCCAGTTGCAGAGGTCAAACAGGCCAGGACCCTGAATGAGATCGCCAGAGGATTGAAAATGGAGAGAGAAAAGGAGAAGATGGAGTCCTGAGTCCTGGAGCTTTACCAAGGAAAGGGAAGGGGAGAAAAGGCGGAGTCAGCATAGGATACCACAGAGGAGCCCCCACAAGAAAGGACAAAAACCAGGCATATGTGGGGTCACGGAGAACCACCAAGTAGAGGTTTACGGTCAACTGCATCAGATCCCACTAAGACAAGGAATGCTATCAGGATAGTCAATAGACTTTGGCAAAATACAGCCATTTCAGTTACACAGAGGGAAGAAGAGGCCCACTGGAGTGTGTTGAGGGTAATGAAGGTGAGAAAGCAGGTATAGACAGCCTTTTCCAGGAGAAAGATCAAAGAAAGGGAACAGTGTGGGGTAGGGGAGGGCTATTTCTTTTTAATGTAGGTGATATAAAACATATTTGTACGCTGACACGAATAAACAATTTCTGAAGATGCAACTTCAGGTTTTTAATGCATTGGTAGCTAATTCGTGAATTATTGACTATAGCAGCACATTTTAATCCAACTATAGTCACTTAACTAAATGAAATAATACAATGGTAAGCTACTATTTTGCAGATAGCTTCCTATTTCAATTAAGCATAAAATCTTTTTGGCATGGGGTTATAGAAGTTTTGTATTGTACCCTTTTGAGGGAAGGGGACACGGGGAAGATTTTTTCCTGCAATTTTCCCAGTCCATATATCAGTGTGAGAATTACATGGCATTAATAAGTAAGGAGGGACTTCAGACATTCAAAGGAAGACTTCCAGTTCCTGCAGGTAATATTTTTGTGTAAACAGGAACTATCTCTTGAATATATGTTAAATATTTCTATCTAGGAAGTACTCCCAATACCCAAAATAAGCCCAATTATGGAATTATTCTAAAGCAGAAGAACAAATGTAAAACAAAGAAGCGTTTCCAGGACAATTTAAGGAGAAAGTGTTCCTCCCAACAGGGCATAATTTTACTTCCGAATTGTCCCCAAATCCTGCTCCACAGAGAAAAACATCTCGCTTAAGATTCATCCAGGTCATCAGTAAGGTCTGACCAGGTTTCACACATGTGCCAAAAAACATCTGTGGCCTGTACAACCAGCCAGGAAATCTATTATAATTGCAGCAGTCTTACTACAGAAACTATAGCAATCAACTGGTTTCTATTTTTAAAACCTAAAACTTTCAGAGTCAAAATAAGGTAAAGCCAGCATCTTTGAGATTTTAGTTTCTATGGATACATTTTATTTCACAAAAAGAAGAGTGTTAAAGCCTTCATCAGGAAGAAAAATATGTTGCTAATAATAGTTTTAAAGTATATGTGTGAAAATTAAAAATCTATATTCGCAAATGCTATGGGTTCTGTTGACATGCATTTGATACATAAATGGAGCTAATCTTACATGACCTATTAGGGCTACCATCTTAGACACCTAAATCTTATTCAAATTGAAAAGATCCTTGCAGTGTTTTCTTGCTAACCTTGCTTCTCTATCTAATGAGAAAACCAGTTATTTTAAATATGTTTATGGCCAAATGGTATGATGACAAGGAGAGCTTTTAAAGCACATAGGCCCTAGGTGACTACATGTCTCTTTTTTATTTCTAAATTAAATTAAACACAAGTGAGACTACATTCCATAGGAACCTAGTCTGTTAGTTGCCACCTACGTGACCTTAAGCAAATTCTTAATCTCCCGAAGAAAGAGGCAGGATGAGAGAAGAGTCCATACACATGGCTGTTTTGAGACTCAACTAACAATAATGTACATAAAAGAGCTTTCCATAATTGGGTGACATTATTTTTATCATCTAACATCATTGCCCATTAGCCTGCCCATCTGCGCCTTAAAAGCTTCTAGGATCTCAGTTACCTATGAGTAAATGGAACATACTTCTCACCTTCCAAGGTGACTATTGAGGATCTCCGACATTTATTTAAGCCTGTGTTCTCTTGGTCCTTATTCTTAAAGCAGCTGCATCAATTTGCTACCTAATATACCCTGATCCTAAGATTATGTTTGTTTATATAGTTTACCATTTTCCATGTATACTTCTTTAAGCTACTTCCACTTTTTTGTTGTGTGAAAGAATGAAGAGAGGAAAGCAGGAAGAAAGCAAAAGAGAAATGTCCCAGGCACGGTGACCAGTTTGACACCCAGAATCTGCCTGAACCTGTATCACACCTTCTTGTACAGATCCATTTCTAAAGTAGAACAACTCTCTTTTTCAAAACTTCTTCGAAAGGAGAATACTGATTTGCATTTGTTTAGCATTTTCGTTTGCATTTGTTTAGACCTTTTACTTCAATTTTACTTCAAAGCACGGTCATGTTTTATAGAGAAAGGAGAAGTAAGAAAAGAATCTTCTGTCCTTCAACTCCAACAAGGTACATTCATGGAATCTTCCCCAAACTCAAGTAGGTGAACTGAACTCAGCAGTCATGAAAAGCAGATTAACAAATGTGGCAGGTAACCAGCAACCCTGAATATTAGTTTTCTTCATGTGAGTAACTTTTTAAAAGATACAATAGTAATGCAAACTCAACTCAACAACCCAAACATTACAGGAATTGTTTAAAGGAAAAAATCATGATCTCTTTTCCCTTGACTCATTTAGTTTAGGTAACCAATGTTGTGAGTCCCTTGGGTATTAATTTACACACATCCCTATTCTCATGCAGCCAAATATAGACATATATGGGCTTATTTTAATTACCATATCAAGAACATAAAACACATATACTTAACACATATTCATATATATTGAGATAAAGAATATTATCTAGTACGGCTGCACCAAATTTTAAGCAACCAACTTCATTTGGATGGAAATAATTTAATCAATTAGTCTTCTATTGGTATAAATAGAAACAATTTTTAAACTTGTTTTAGCATGTGTTTTGGAGATGAATTCCCATTAATTCTACCTTTAAAATACGTCCCCAAATTCATCTAATGTTTTTTGTCTCCTTCATCTTCAATGTAGTCCAAGCCATCAACATCATTCAACTGGGCCATTGCAACAGCTTCCTACCAGTCTCTATTTCTCCATTTCTGCCCCCTTGCAATCCATTCCTACAAAAGCATGATCTTTCAAAAGCCTAAATCAGATGAAGTCATCCCCCTGCTTAAAACCTTCCAACTGGTTTTCATTAATATAAGAATAAAATCCAAACTCCTTCCCAAGTCCCAAAATGTACAGGAGCTGCCACAGCTCTTCACAGTTGGCCCCACCTAAGCCTCTGACCTTAAGCCCGGCCACCAACCTCTGGCCACCCTGGCCTTCTTTCTGCTTTGGGGCTTCAGTACCAGCTGTTCCTTCTCCCTGGAGGCTTCTCTCTCCAATTGAAAGGGAGAGTTCTACTTGTCAAGCCTTCTCAAAGGGGCTTTCTCTAGCCACAGAGTCAAAAGGATCAACCTGGCACTTAAACCATACTTCCCTATTTTGATTTCCTCATAATTCTTCTCAATATTTGATTCCCCTCACTTTGCAGGGATTTATTTACTTACTTGCTGTCTCTCCCACTTGAATGTGAGCACCATGAGAGGAGAGAAATTGTCTCCTTCCCTGCTATATTCCTGGAACCTAGAACAGTACTTGGCACATAGAGGGTGCCTAATAAATATATGTCAAATGAATGACTTAATCAATTAATTTTTAAAAGCCCACAGTCTATGTACTTTCTGATTGAGAGTTTTCATTCTCTTAGTTGGGAGAAAAGAAAAGAAGAACTATAGTATAATTTTAAATTTTGACTTCAGAATTAGGTGGTCTGCACTCAATGCCCAGCTCTATCTTTTACTAGAAAATAATTTAATTCTTTAGGCCTCAGTTACTATATTTTGAAGATGTGGGACAGTAACATAACTTACAAGTTTGCAAAGATCAAATGAGGTAATGGATGTTAAGCCATTTCAAAAACTCTAAAATGTTATATAATGTTATCATCTCAGTAAAATGGTACCTAACAAATATGTAAAGAAAATATCAAAAATTGATTTAAATTTGACATTCAAATAATAATTTCAACAATAATTGTGTATAAAATCAATAGAACACTTACCTTTTTATAACTGGATATTCTCTGACATAGGTGTTCAATTCTTTCACTGCAAAGGGCACTGAATTTACTCTGAAGGTCAGTAGGAATCACTTCATTTAGAGAATTTAGGCTGGTACAGTTTTGTACAAAATGCTCATCACTTTTAGCCAGGGCTTCAAGAATCTGCAATGACAAACACACACGCACACCCACACACACAAACACACATACAGACACACACATAGAAAAACAAAACGAAACAAGAAGAAAAACTTCAAAAGTAGCCATATCAAATTTTCATTAAGTTAACAATACAGGGCAACTTTCCTATTTTGTTCTCTGGGTAGCTGCCAGGGAATTTCTACCTTCAGTCAGGAGGCGCTGTCAGTGAAGTGATCTGACTTGTCTGTTTGAAATTTCAGGTTTTCCTTCTGCTAACTATAGGAGCCTGCTTGGTGAGGTAACTGGACTTCAAAGACTCCCTGCTGGATACATCAGTACATTCTGCTGTGGGACACTTCTATATTTTAGTCAGAGTCACTCAGAACATTTTTTTTTCTCAATTTGGTAGAACAAAAAAACATAAAGGAATCCAATATCATTCTTACTTGTTTCTTAGAGTCTGGCAAGTGCAAAAAGAATATATTTGACAACTGCTTGCTGAAGAAATGAATAAATGAAAAGTTATTTCAGTAAGGTAGAAATTAATGTTACTTGCAGCATCTGAGCTCTTGCTGATAAAAGCATTAGATAAAAGTATTTATGTGATGTTTTCAATTAGTAAGTTCTTTTGACTATTTGAATCAATTGTAATAATATGTGTTGATGGGGAAGGTGTACCATCAATCACTAAGAATTTCCAATGACCTGAGAATTAATTATGTGAGATATATATATATATATATATATATATATATATATATATACACATATATATGTAGCATTTCTGATTAATCAGACATTGCAAGAATTGATTATACCCATAATCAATATTTTATAATATTCTGTGAAACATAAAATGTATATATGTTCTGGTTATCTGAGCTCCCTCACCACCTCCACTTCCCTTTTATGCAGACTATGGAGTATGAGTTTTTATTTAATCACTAGTCTAGAACTTAGAGTTAACTTTATCATTAGCAGGGTGACCTTGGCTACATTTCTTTCTTGACTGTTTTTTCTTCATGTGTAAAATCCAAGTGATATTTGTAATACTAGTTCATATGCTGTCATATATAGAATAATCCATGTAATTCTGCAAACTTGAAATAGCTGGAAAATGAGAAAATAATTATAATAACCTGGTTCCAAACTTTTACATGGATCCCATGAATACTATAATGTAGACGGGAAGAGACTGCATTTTAAAAATATATATTTTAGATATCAGTAGATATATAGAGAGGTACAACATCATCAGAATGATGAGATTTTTAAAAAGCTAACTTTCAGAATATAAAACCAAAAGATAAAATAATTACTTTTAAAATAGTTCATTTAGATGTCTATATTACTTCCTCCCACTAAAATTTTAAAAATACATGTTAGAAATGCTACATCTATCTCAACTATTCATATTTTAAACAACAATTCAAACAGAGACATAAAGGTAGGAAAGCTACATCTCATTTTTCTTACTTGTGATATCTGAATTCTCATAGAATATAGAGCAGTATGAAACACTAAATCCAACACCTGTGGAGGATACAGTAGGAGTCTGATGGATTTACCTTGTAGGCAGGCCATGAAAAGCCAGCAGTTGCCTCTTTACCATGTATTTTATTAATTTGGATAAAGGCTCCCTTCCTTCCTCTCCATCTTGTTTCAGCCTAAAGACCTCTGCAAAGGTGATGTCCTTTCCAAATGAGAATTACATAAATATCAGAGGATCTATTCATAAACTGATCTCTACAGTTCCCGAAATTTTATGAAATAAACATGGCACTTGCCAAATTTGAAATTTCTTATAATGTATTTCACGACTTTGAATACTCTTCAGAGGATTATGTACATTTAAGAAAAAGTAGCATCTGTCATGAAAACCATCTGAATTGGATTCACAATAATGAATTCACAGACACAGCAAACTTAAATGCTGTGAAGTCTTTGCCATATCAATGAACACCTGCCTAAGCAAGGGTTTCATCTAACTTAACACTGTGCTCCAAAAGGATCAATAAAAGGAAGTTGTATGCATACCAAATAGTGGAGGAGGGGGAGAAAAATAAGAAATTGAATGAGGCTGGGCACAGCGGCTCACGCCTGCAATCCCAGCACTTTGGAATGCCAAAGTAGCTGGATCACTTGAGGTCAGGAGTTTGAGACCAGCCTGGGCAACATGGTGAAACCTCATCTCTACTAAAAATACAAAAATTAGCTGGGCATGGTGGTGCATGCCTGTAATCCCAGCTACTTGGGAGACTGAGGCATGAGAATTGCTTGAACCCGGGAGGCAGATGTTGCAGTGAGCCGAGATCACGCCACTGCACTCTCACCTGGGTGACAGAGTGATATTCTGTCTCAAGAAAAAAAAAAAAAGAAGTTTGAATGAGCTGACAGCTGCAACATGTATAGCTATTTTTATTTTTTTAAGTGAAGGAGAGGGAGGATTTCAGTTCCTTTATTTAGAACAAAAAATCTTATTTCTTCAGCATCGCTCCTACCTTGGCAGTTAAGCTGAAGAAACCTTTGGGCTCAATCATCTTTTCCACCACATTGCACTTGATGCCAGCTGTGCTGTCGTACTCATACACGACACCATATTCCAGGTGGACATTGTCCACTGTCAGACTCACATGCTCCTTCTTCCCATCAATGATGGCCATAGTGTTGAATTTGTCAATAACCTCTGGAACAAAGACAACTGTAACTCAGTAAATTCATGAAGGATTTGTTAATCTCCTCAAATAATTTTGTGTCTCTTTAAATAATTTTTAAAGAGTTCTTTAAGGGATGGTTAAATCTGATGTGTTAAATGAAGCATCTATTCTTGTTAACATTTTAAAAAATAACATTTCGAGAAAAGCATATGCTTGAGTGATCCAAACCTCAGCACTCTAACATGACTAGTCTTATCTTTGCATATCTACTTCAATCTGTGGACCATATGTCTACCTATTTATATCAGTATAAATACTATACCTAAATTTTTTTTATTAAAGACATGTATGACTTAAAGTCAGGATTTCTAAAACTGCCTCGAATGTTGTATGAATATTTTCTTAAAGCAGGAAAAAAATCCATAAAGAAGGCCATATTGAAGAAGCAGAAAGGAGATGCAAGAATCATTTTATTTTGGCAGACAGGGTGCCTGCAGTTTCCCAAACAGCAACTTACAGAGAGGGCTCATTGAGAAAATTTCTCATTGTTCACTATAATAAAATTTCCATCTAAAATGTCTGCCTATAGTTTTTTAGCCTACATATGGTACGTCAGCTGGTGAAAAATACCTAAAATCTCAAGTAAGAAACTCCTGGGAAACCTAATAGTAATTAAATAAACAAAACTAGAATATTAGTTTACTTAGAACAACAAAGCCCAAAAATAGCATAAACAGTAAATATTAAATAGGCAAAAGTAGAATATTGATTTATCTTAAAGTAACTAAGTCCTAGAATAGCTACAAATCAATTTCCAGAGCATTATAGGAACCAATCTACCTTTCAATGTGGCACCAACGTTGATTTATTCCAAATTAGGAATACAAACCTCAGAATAAGGTCCTGAGATTTGTCCTGTTTTGGATAAATATTATGTATTACCATAACAACCTTATTGCTCCAATGAGTTGAGATGTTTCTGATATTACCCATGATTTGGGTAGCATCCAACCAAGTGGCCTTCCAGGAGTGCAGAGAAAACAGCTTTTCCTAAGTACCCCCCATACGATCAGTGTGTATAGGGAATATACAGTAAGAAATACAGGCTAGGCGCCATGACTCATGCCTGTAATCCCAACAGTCAGGGAGGCCAAATGGGAGGATCACTTAAGCTCAAGAGTTTGAAACCAGCCTGGGCAACATGGCAAGACCTTGTCTCTATCAAAAATTTAAAAAATTAGCTGGGCATGGTGGCATGTGCATGTAGTCCCAGCTACTGGAAGGGGTAGGGAACTGACGGCGGATCACTTCAGCCCAGAAATTAGAGGTTGCAGTAAACTATAATAGTACCACTACACTACCGCACTCTAGCCTGGGTGACAAAGAAAGACTCTGAAAAAAAAAAAATGGAAAGGAAAGGAAAGGAAGGGAAGAAAGAAAGATATATATATACACACACATATACACACACACACACACACATAGATACACACACACACACACACACATATATGTATGTATGTATGTATGTATGTATGTATGTATTTGGCCCCGTTCCTGAAAAAAAGCTTTTAAATCCTTGTGATTTACTGAGTGATAGAGGTGACAGGAATGTCTTTTGTTATTTATAACAAGCCCCTTTAGAACATAACGGAGTTTATGTGAATGAGGTGGCACTTGGTGAGCCCACAGCTAGTGTCAGGATGGGGGCTGGTTGTCAGGGGAACCAACCATGCGATTAGGGGGTAGGAGCTTTCAGACCCACCCCTGGACCTCTGGGGAGGGGAGAGAGGCTAGAGTTCAAGTTTAGTCACCAATGGCTGATGATTTAATGAATCACGTCTAAGGAATGGAACCTCCATAAAAATCCCTAAATGACAGGAATTGGAGAGCTTCTGAGTGAGTGAACACACCCACGTGTCTGGAGGGTGGCACACCCCAACCCCTCACAGAGCTTCCCACTACACAGCTCGGTGCTCAGCACTCTTCCAGACATCGCCCTATTTATCTCTTCATCAGGCTTTTCACTTCTTATCCTTTATAATAAACCAGTGATTGTAAGTTTCTGGGTTCCCTGAGCTGTTCTAGCAAATAACTGAACCCAAGGAAGGGATGTGGGAACCCGCTGAATATATAGCCAGTTGGTCAGAAATACAGGTGAAAGCCTGGGACATGTGACAGGCGCCTGAAATGGGGGCAACCTTGTGGGGCTGATCCCCTAACCTGTGTGTCTGTGCTAACACCTGGCTTTACAACTAAATTGAATTGTAGGACACCCAGTTGGTGTTAGGAGATTTGGGGAATTGGTTGGTATGGGGGAAAACCCCACACATACAGGATGTCAGAAGGGTTTTGAATGAAAACACCTCAGAATAGGGAATTATTCTCCAGCTGTGCTGGTTGGGAGGAACCTAATAGTGTAACAAAGATATCCAGAGACATCCACCAATAATATGAGTGGAAAGACACCAAGAAAATATAAGAGGTGATTCATGGGCTTCTGTGAAAACGTTTTGAAACAATAATTTAAGGTATTTGTCAATTGCAGACATAAATGTAATTGCCTCTGTCGCCCTTGGCAAAGAAGCCACTGAACAGAGCCATTTGCTGGTTTACTCCATTGAGGAAACAGAAATGATAACCGTCCTTATCAAAAGATCTCTCTCTCCCTCTCTCTCTGTTTCTCTCTCATTTTCACACTACTAGTTTGCTCCTTTCCTTACTGTCAATGTTAGAATACAGTAAAAGTAAAAAAGAATCTTCTAGAGCAGGGCTTCTCGAATTTTAATATGCATACAAATCAAATCTAGTTAAAATGAGAATTCTGACTCAGTAGATCTGGGGTACAGCTGAGATTCTGTATTTCAGTCTAGCTCTCAGGTGATGTTGATACTGCTGCTCTGTGAGGCACACTGGAGGCCAGGTCTAAACAACACTGAAACTCCAAACAAGGAAACACATTATAACCTGGGTTTGAATCCTCACTCTACTACTTAACTAGTTTGAGCAAGTCCCTTAACCTATATAGGCTTTAGTGTTTTCTCCACTCAAAAAAGAATGATGATATTCATTTCCATTTTAGGAGATTTTCTTTTTTGATGACTAAGTGAGATAGTCCACAAAAACACTTCATAAAATGCCTAACAAATAGAATTTGCCAGCTACTAGCTATTATTACTTATGCATTTGACAGACATCTGTTTGGTGATAACGACTTAAGAATGTGGCTTCAACATGTACAGGACCTTCAATATTTGGGAGTAGGCACATGCACAGTGGAAAAGAATACTATAAGCACATGAAGAAGAAAATAAGAAACCTACCTTCTACTTTACAGTCAAAAGCATCCCCTGCTTCATCTCCAGGGGGCTTGGAGTGAGATTTTTGAAGGTCTTCTTGAGCACTCTCAATGCTATTATAAACCCATTGTATGGAATCTTGCTGGAAATGAGGGGGGAAAGAAACCTCAGAGGTATTAGTGCTTCCTAAAATACATGCCCATTTGGAGACTTGGCCTTATTTATTCCTCTAGATTCTTTAAAATTAGTAAAATTTGAAAGAGAGATACAATTAACATCAGAAACTAATAAAAACTCAAGGACAATTATATTGTTTAACAAACACTCTTTCTTTCTTTTTTTTTTTTTTTTTTTTTGAGATGGAGTTTCCCTCTTGTTGCCCAGGCTGGAGTGCAATGGTGCAGTCTCGACTCACCAAAACCTCCGCCTCCCTGATTCAAGCGATTCTCCTGCCTCAACCAACTGAGTAGCTGGCATTACAGGCATGCACTACCATACCTGGCTAATTTTGTATTTTTAGTAAAGACAGGGTTTCTCCATGTTGGTCAGGCTGGTCTCGAACTCCCGACCTCAGGTGATCTGCCTGCCTCGGCCTCCCAAAGTGCTGGGATTACAGGCAGGAGCTACTGCGCCTGGCCTAACAAACTGACTTTTTAAAGCTTCAAGTTTTATCTTCTAAGATATGTTCCAAAGATGTATGTTTTTAAATAGGATATATTCCAAAATATCTTACTTAAATGCTTCAAGTATATCGTAAGTAAGTTATAAATCACATTTTAAAATAATCAAATGTGGCTGGGCATGGTGACTCACACTTATAATCTCAGCACTTTGGGAGGCTGAGGTGGGAGGATCGCTTGAGCCCAGAAGTTCAAGACCAACCTGAGCAACGTAGTGAGACCCCATCTCTTTTTAATAAGACAACAAAATAAAACAATTGTGAGAGGGACACTTGTCTGATGAATCAATTATCTATAATTGTACAAATCATTTACATGTTCCCCTAATAGTCAGATATATTCTAATACATTTACTGCTATTTTAGAATCAAACAAATATGAAAATTGGAAGGACATCATTCATCTCATTGGTCTCCCAAGTAATGTAACTATCTTTTAATCCCTCCAAATAAAAAACATCCTATTTTTAAGGGCGATTTCCTTAAAAATTATCCTATATTTTAACAGCAGTTCCAGTCTTATTTAGAGAAATGAGAGAGATGAGATGACTACCAAACAAATGCTTCAAGGGTTGCATTACTTTAAGGGTTATAGATTTTCTAGATAAGATGTTAAATCAAATTAAACTGCATTATTGAAGTATGATACAATATGTATTATCTATTTTTTGTATTCGATTCTCAAGTGTGTCTAATTAATATATTGCTACAAATCATTAAAATGCTAATTAACATTTGATCATTCCATTACATCTTGGTGCCCTGTTGTGGCCACCAATGAGCCGCACCGCTTAGTTTCCCACATTGACCCTGGGCTTGGCCACGTGATTTGGTTTGTCCAAAGGGATACTAGCAAGTACAATCTAAGTAGAACATTTATCACTTGTAATGTTCCCTCTTAAAATTCAGACACACACTGAAAAGAAAACCCCGTTAGAGACTGGAAAGAGAGGCCATGCAAAGGTGCTCTGGAGGGTGACCTGCCACATGGAAACAGAGGCCACGAACAGGGGAAGCAAAAGTCGGGTCCCAGCAGAATGCAGCCACGTCAGTAACCTCATAGGAACCACCCCACGGCCGCCCCATAGAATCAAGACAAATAGTCAATTATCATTGTTTTAAGCCACTAAGTTTTGCAGTGGTCTATTTTGTGGCAATGGATATCTGGTAGAGCATGTTAGTGGATTTTTCTGCCCATTTATTGCTTTTCTTTAATTATTTCACTGATCAACACCTCTATAAGAGGGTAGGCAGGGAAAATAAAAAGAAATGAAACTCAAATCGATTTCTCTGCTTATTAACATTCTGGTAGAAGAGAAAAGATTTGATCATTTCCGATGAGACTTTAAACATTCATTCAATAATACAGTTCAACAAATATTTATCAAGCTTCTATCAACCAGAGTAACCTATGAGCCTATATATAACTTCCAATTTGCTATGCTAGGTCTGACCTTCTCATTAAGTAAAACTGATCAGTTATTTTCATGTAGATTCAGCATTTTGCAGGCCATCAGCCCTGGCTTATGAGAAAATGGCCATTCATCTTCCAGGTTTGGACATAGTTGCATCCTCAAATCCAATCCAGAAATGAGTACTTCATTATCCATGACAGGAAAATACAAGGCTTCTCCTGTAAAGTTCTGCCTGCATCTAGCTAATTACATTGCAGGAGTTTTCTTTTATATGCCAATACTCACATTTTCTTCATAATAGCTTTGCTTATGAATTATGATTCTAATTTTAGTTTTTTGTGGCACTTGTAGATCAAAGGATAGTGTTCTACAATTTTAGATAACGCCGAGTACATTTTGGTATTTTCTTTTAAGACCTAAATGCAGTTACCTAAATACATTTTGGTATTTTCCTTTAAGAGCTAAATCCAGTTACCTAAATAAATATACCTCAAAATCAATCATGGACCTTATAAAACCCACAATTTTTGCTTTTTCACAGAAGTTTTCTAATAAAGAATATAGGTATTTATAGTTCATACATACAGACACAGACACAATGATCATTACATATTCTAAAGCAATCACAAGGGCCAAGAAAACAGTTCAAACCTTTGGATTTCAATTTGATAGAACTTGTATCTCAATGAAAATGAAAATACCCCAGATCACTTTTTAAACAGATGGCGGTACTGTAATACTAAAATGTAACCATTTAAACACAATCAATTATAATTAATTATGCAGATAAAGCAATCATTATGAGATTTATAATGCTGTGTTTAATTTTAAACTTAAAATTGGAAACCACAAATATCTCTGGCACTATCCCACCTCAACCCCTTAGGTCTTTATGCAAGTAGTCACTCAGATCCAGATTATCTGAAGGGCCACTTACCTTCGTTGGCCGCCTGTACTTCCTGCAGGCTGTAACGTGTGCAATGACACTGGCATGTGTCTCTTTGCTGACATTGATTCCATTCACCTTGATAATGCACTGTCCAGGGTGAAGACCAGCTGCTGCAGCCACAGTTCCTATAAATACAAATGAGAAAATAACCAAAAACAAATTTCAGGAATAAGATTCATTTGTATGATATATACAATTATGGAAGCAATTTTAAAATATGATCAAAGTCTAGCTAGTATAATCTTGATAAACTTGGTTCTGAGAGCAATGCCCACTCAACACTTTTCTGCTTTTTAACTTAACTTTCAAACTGTGATCAATAGAATATTTCTCACCTCCCTAAGAATTAGTTTGAAGGGATGTTGCAAAGTGACCTTTATAATACTAATCAGTTCTTTTTCCTTCCAAATGTCTAGTCAGTCTTTCTAAATATGCATATATAATGGCAAAATGAGAAGACCAGAAACATATGCCTTACTTACCTTCCTTTATTCTACAACATTTCTAAATATTCAAATAGTATTCACTTCTGTTTTTTAAAATGACAACAATTTAACATGCACATAAAAAAGAAAATCCTTAAGAGAAAAATCAAGTCAATGAGCAACTATGATTGGACTGGTTTTTCCAAGAAAAATAAGAGTTTGACATATATACAAAAAGTCAGAAAGATGGGAATTTGTAGAGAACAGAATTAATGAGATAGCATCACTCATCCTGTCATTTTGTTTGCATTGATATAGATTTAAATATGAAAGTAACATATCCTAACCAGTGAGCTAAGATTTCTCACAACCTTCCAATTATTGTTATTTGATAGTGTGATCAAATCAATATTAACAAAATACCATTAATAAATACATGTAATGAATACAATGCAAATAATTAATACAAATGATTATAAACTTGTAAATATATTAGAGGAGACTTCTTTTGTGACCAATGTCTCTCATAAAGAAATTATTAAACATCTTTAAGAAAATAATTTACATTCAAGAATATATCTTTGCATTTCTTCTTAATCCCCATAAAATTCACTCCTAGAAATGTTAAGTGGCTTTCTGCATTGAATTGAGTCTTAGGGGAAAATGGAAAATTATCAGCAGAAAGAACAGCCTGAAAAATGGCCTTGCTTCAAGAAATCACCTGGCCACTTGGAAGCATCCAAGCTGTTCTGTTTGTGTGAGCTTAGAATGGGAGTGGATGGAAGAGACAGGATTGGAGAGTTGAATAGAGCCAACTGTGAAGTCTTTGCCTTGACTAAGAGTCTCAACCTTGCTATAAATGGAAGACTCCGAGGGCTTCCTGTCTGAAAGGCTGAATTTGTCTGTAACGTAGGAACAAGTTCATCTTGGGATATAGGAAGCAATTTTGAGGAGCAAAAAAAACTGATCAAGGACACATTTTTAAAAATGCTGAGTAGTAATACGGGCCCAGTAGAAGACAGTCAATTGGGAGACACTAATTCAATAACCATGACAGTCTTTTCCAGCTACAAGGGAAAAAGAGAGAAGATGTGGTTAGGTTGATCCAAGGCTGAAGTGCAGTAGCTAGAATGCAGCTGAGGGTGGGAGGCAGGGGAGCCTGGGGATGCTGGCAAGCGTGACTGCAGTGACCCACACGAGAAATCTCTTTTTCTTGTGGCAAAATTACAGTGCCAAAAAATAACCAAATATCTTTCCATTTCATACACATCTGAGAGAGAAAGCACTTGAGCATTTCTGTCTTTTACTCTTCAGAAGCAAAAAGCACAGAAACCAGACGTAGGCCAACCCCACCACTAAGCTCCAAAGATAGAACCTTGCTCTTTAAATGACATTGTAATAAGGGAAGAGGTACAGCTTGATTCACTCAGGCTTTAAGCTATTTTATAGCACTATTAATGTGAATTATTCCTTTTTGTCTTCATGAAAATGCAGAAGATATTTGGTGCCTCAATATCCCATTTTAGTTTGACAATATTTAATGAGTTATTGGGAAGATTTTAACTGTCTATCCATCTATATGTTTTAGAAATCTGAGAGAAACACAGCTTTCTGAAATCAGATGTTTTTATCATACATACAATAATGAAAGTAATGTTATAATAAAGGTCTAGCTAGTATGTCCTTGATAAATTTGATTCTGATAAAAATGCCCTCTTAAAATTTTCTTGCCAAATTTTTGGGTGATCACATCAAGATACTTTACATTCTTTAGTAATAAAAAGCATGTATGTCTCTTGTTAGATAAACACATGACTTCTTATGCTAATAGTGACACTTCTTGCTATAGGCGCAAGTTACTTACTATGTTTAGTAATGTGGGATCTGACAGTTATTTCCTTCAATTGTTGCTAGTGTCAATTTAAAATTTAAAAAATACATATGATAAGAAGAGATGTCAATAATCAAACAAAAAAGAATAAGTGTAAACATAACTTTTTAGTCACTAAAATTATTGAATTTAAAATGCATCTTATGATGGGATTTAACCACGGTTTATAAAAGTACCCGAAGGAAGTATATAGCAATAGGTTATAAAGTCCACAGATCAACTTTAAACCTAAAAACTCACAACTTTGGATTACTGACAAAGAAATACAATTACTTGAAATCAAGAAAAATACAAATAGAAAATCTTAAATTTATTATATTCTTTGGATAAACTGAAGGATGCAGAAAAGTGAGATTTAGGCATAATTCTTATATCAATTTTTTAACAATGATAAATATGGCTTAGAATTTTTTCGTTTTTTTAATGTTTCTGGAATGTGCTACCATTGAGTTAATACAGTGAAAATATAATTGAGAATCATCACAGCATGGTTCTGCCTATTTTAAACACATTCCTGTTCCATCGGGCACATCCCAAACCTGCTGGAAAGCTGTTTCCCTGCAAGACGAATTTCCTACCTCTTCCTACAGCATGCACAACAGAAGGGCCAAATCCCCGGATCTGGAAGCCAAGTCCATCAGCTGAATCTGGAATTTTCACTGTCCTAAATCAATCAGAAAATAAGGTAAGATGAAGCGTAAGAATCAAAACTGGTTGAAATAATCGTCGTGTACAGCTTTACACCTCTCAATAAATACATATTGAGGATCTACAGTGTGAAAGATGTTGGGCTAGAAATCCTTGGAGACGAACATGGTCCCCAACCTCATGCAATACAGTGTTTCTAAACTGAACACAGTCGTTACACAGTAAAGCCTGAAAAAGGAACATTGGAGTGTAGTGGCTTGATTACTGCTCACTGCAGCCTCAATCTCTCTGTCCCAGTGATCCTCACATCTCAGCCTCCCAAGTGGCTGGGACTACAGGCACAAGGTGACACCATGCTTGGTTATTTTACCTTATTTTTTTCATAAACACAGGGTTTCCTACATTGCTCAAGCTCATCTTAAATTACTGAACTCAAGTGATCCTCCTACCTCAGTCTCCCAAAGTGCTGGGATTACAGGTGTGAGCCACCATACCTGCTTAAACGTAGCCTTGAATCTTCAAGTAGTCAGTTTGTAGGTGGATAACTTAGATAAGCTCCTTAACTACTCTGACACAGAAAGATAACATTGTTAAAAGTTATTTTGCAGGGTATCTGTGGCAATTAAAAAGAAATAACCTTGGTAAGTTGCCCTGTACTGTGCTATGAGCTATACAGGTACTTAATAAAACAGAAACTTTTCTCCTTAGTTTACTGTTACAAAGAAAACAATGAGGGACCTATGAAATTCTTTATAAAAATTAATGTAACAGAAATACAGAGTTAATACATTTCTACCTATTGGGAGCTTTATCAAAGAACAACAAAGAGCTAGTTATAAAGAACAGATCTGTCAAACGTGGTATCAAAATATTTTAAGAAAATGATTCACTTTAGTATTTATGCAATGAAGGTTTAAAAGAATAATACATCAGAAGGCAAACCTGAATAAGAGAAGAAATCATTCCAATGAATCTACATTAAAAAAAGAAAAAAGATTATGAAGAGATGGGAAACTTGAGCAAGCTGTCACGGCAAACCAGTCAGGGGTGTCCAATTTGGCACTCATAAATAAGATACTCCACTGAAGAAAGCCAGAAATCAGATAGCAACAATGAAAAGCAGAGAGTGCAAGATGCGAGGGAACATCATAACAATACAAGTATGATATCGCAGCCGGGAACAAAAACAAATGAATACAACGCAATAAATTGTGATAGATAGCCCTTGACGCCCAAGAAACAAAAGTGTTTCCCAAAAGATGAGTTAATCACAAAGCAAATGTCAGCAGCACTTCAAGGGCATATTAAACAGAGTCTGAAGGTAGATACAGCAGGACTTATCTGCAGTTTATGAAATTGCTGTGGGAGAGTTTGAGCAAAACTAAGGGCTCAAACACTTCAGAAAGCCATAGGCTACATTTAGGCCTAAGGCAGAGAGGCTGGCACTGCAATCTCAAATATAACCTAGGCAGGCATTCAGGGATAGAAATGAAGATTTTCTGCTCTCGGAAAACTTGAAAGTATTATTATAAATTAGGTTATACACTATGAAGTTATCTGTATGTATGTGGGATAGAGGTCACAGAATTAATGTATCCTTTATCCTTAATTAAACAGTTTTTGGTGTACAGGGCTGTATTCATTTCCTTTGAATAACACATAGTTATCAGTGTTTGTCAAAGTTTCACTTGAAAATGAAAGATAACTGACCAAAGAAAGAAAAAGGGAATGAATACATATTTTGGTGAGCCTGAAACAAAATCAGAAGAAGTTCATGCTTCTATATATTACGAATGAGAGTTCACTTCTGCTGAAACAACATAGAACTTTCAGGCCATGGTGAATTATTGTTGCTTTTGGATTTTGAGTAATTCACAGTGGCCTCTCAATCTTACTGAGCAAGGCTTTTCTATCCTTCTAACACTGCTATGGAAGGTTGACTCTAATCTTTAAGAGAATTATTTTTTCCTTAATCGAAATTGTACAAAACACCATGACATGCATTTTGGTCCAAATGTTGGAAGCCCCTTAGTAAAATGATCTTTAGAAAACATGTTTCCCTGGTGAGAACATTATATTCCCTATTAAAAAAGAATTACGTTTATACAAGACGGATGTTCTATTTCCTACAGAAAATAAGTGTACTAAATTATCTGCTACAAAGTCTTTTGAAAAATCCCTTGATGCTATCAAGTATGAAATATAGCTAGAATCAAAAGAAAATTCTTTTGCATTTATCTCTCATATTTTTCCCTTTTCCTCAAAATGGGATACTACTTAAATTCCAAGAAGCTATTGTAAGAAAATATGACAGTGATTTATAGAACTCATACATTAGAATAAGGACATAAAGGAAAAGTCATTTATTTCAAACAAGTTTTTTAAAAATGAGTATGCCATCTTCAAAAAAATGAGTATGCTATACAATGTAAAATATGCTCTTGATATAATAAAGTAGCAATGAAACATAATAAAATGAGAAGACAACAGCATCATATATAACATCACTGGGTACTTACTATGTACTGGATACTTCACTAAGTTCTTTACAAACCTAGTTTTATTCAACATTCTTTGCAGTTCCATGGCACAGGTACTCTTATCCCCATTTTATGGATGAGGACGTGAAGTTATACACTTAGCTAGCAAGTAGTGGAAGAGAGGCTTGAACCTGTAATCTAGAGTTCTAGACACAGCGCAACGAACACTAAGAAGAGTCAGAAGACACAGATTGCTATTCTGCTCATCTAGCAACTAAGTCTATGACTGAGGATTTGCTCCTATTTATTCAGTTTTGAAGTTGATGACCTCAAAGTCTCTAACAGTTGGAATGTCTCTGATCAGTAGATCAGTATTTGTAGGGTTAAATCAGGGGGCCCTAGGGAGGACGTAATGATTGCTTTCAATACTACTCCCTTATTCCTTTCCAGTCTGTCTTCTTCCTTTTAAATGCCCTCAAAGTGTCAGGAGGTGGGCAAGCAGGACAGTCTTCTCCTAGACAGAGTTGAATAAAGGGAGAGGAACAGACCATAATTAGGTTTAGAGGGAAGACATTGCTGTGCTTCTTTCCTGCCCTCTAGCCCCGTCTTCCTACATTAGTAAAAAGTGAGTGTCAGGCTCACTCTTTCAGACCTCTTGGTAAACTATTGGTAGAAGCTAAAGCATCTAATTTAATGAATTCGCACTGCCTTGAAGAGACTCACTAGGGAGAACCCAGCCCACTGCACTGCACTTTGACTCTTAAGATACTTAACACTGCAGAAGTACATCCAGCTATTCCTGAATATATATAACATATAAACATATTACATATAAATATGTATTTTTACATATTAAAATATATTTAAGGCAGGGAAGAATACTGCATGTACTTTTAATAGGTAGTTAAAATTTAAAAAATCTTATTTTTGAAGTGCTAAATTTCATTTGCTTTAAAACTAATGAAGTTGCTTATCATGATTGACAAATGATACAAGTAAAATTTAAACAATAATTTTGATATATTATGCTAAATAGTTTGTACAAATTATCTCAATTAATTAAGTGGTTAAACAATTCAAGGTAAATATGATAAGGAAATACTAAACCATTGATGGAAATGATTTGCACAAGAAAAGCCCATGTCTTGCAAGTATATGCATGGTATGTTATTAAAAAGTAGCATACAGAGCATGCTCTCATTTTGTGGGTACCTGATTGTGTATATGTGTACCAATACTTTAAAAACTTTAGTTAATACTTAATTTCAAAGGAATAACAATGGCTATTTATGGGTGATATTGCAAGAAAAAAAGTCTCCCTTTAGAAACATTTGTATTCTCTACATTTTCTATAATAAACATAACTTTTTTTCTAATCATAGGTAGATAGTTAATAGAATTTTTTAAAGAAATGGACAAATTACTAAGCACATGCAAGTATGGATTATCTTTCAGTCTTTTTTGCATCTCTTATGAGTGTTAAATTATAAATGGTATCTGGTATCTAATCATCTGATAGCACCAGAAATTCTTATAGCCGAACATGGAGAAACACAGTTCCTTATTCTCAAATGTTCTACTAGTTTTCTTCACTCATAGTAAAACCCAATTCAACCCAGACCAGGAAAATGTGGGCAGCAAAAGAAAAGCATTGTTTCCACTAAAACTACATGATTCAAGTAACAAGTATGTCAGCATCACAAGCGATGTAGCTTCTCCCATCATCTGTAAACCAGTATTAATGATACCGGTGAGGTTCAAGCGTTCCAAGCAATGAGATGCTTAATTCTAAGCATTTACTTAGTTATCTTTTCTGTGTTACTTATCTATGTATAACTTTTAAAAAATCACACATAAATCATACAACTTACTCTCTTGGCTTTGTGCTCACAAGAACTCTTAGAGGTTTTCTGCTGTTTAAACACGATTTCAGGAAGCAATCCACTTCATTGAAAGGTCTCATAAAAACTAGGTCACCATTAATAGCAAAAATCTTTTTCCCGACTTCCATGCCAGCCATCTAAGAGAGAAATTACAAAAAATAAGTCAAAGTATATTTTAATAAGAAATTTTGAGTTTTTCACAAAATTGGAATATGAAAAGTTTCAGAGCTTATAGATATTGACATTTTAACACACCTGCCGTGTTTTTATACAAATTCACAAAGCAGAACTGTAGATAACACAGTTATCATTCTCTTTGGCATAGTTTTAAATTTGAACACAGAACTTTACCAAAATTATCCCCATTTCCCTCCCTGACTTAACATCCTACTCCCCTCTTCTGTTATATTTTACTGTTCTTTAGCTTATTTCATCCTTTTAACTATAATCAAATCCAAAGTTAATTTTTTTTACTGTGTTTTCCACCTATAGCCAATTAACTCAGAAAGTGTCAACTTCTGTATCTACATCAATGACACCCAAATATGTATCTCTAGCCTGACATAGCTCAAGCGGCTCCAGTGCAGGAGACAGAGGGAGCCTGGAATCCAAAGAAGAGAGCTCCAACCAGCATAGAGTTGTCAACAGTGCAAGCTGCTGAAAAGAGGACAAGGAAGATATTATCCCTCCACGCCAACCAGCATGCACTTCTCAACCAGCCTTACTGCCTATAAACTACCGCTGTTTTGACTGTCAGCTAAATGATGAAAGCCTGAGAGAGGGCATTTTATTAGTGGCATAGTCAGATGCAGCTGTGCTCTAAGACCATCCTCTGAAAATGCCTGGGAGAAACTATTTCCTTCTCATTGACAATTACTAAAAATGGTCATTCGTTGGCCAGGTCCACTAAACAGTGCATACGTTGATCAGAGTTATTTTGTTTGAAATTAGTGTGCTGTACAGAAAGCTTTGTCTTGCATGAACCTGTGTTTTGATAAAACAGAGACCTTGGGCATTAGCAGATAGGAGGATGGGTGACAGTTTACCACTAACTTTAAACAGGTTCAAAGGTAAATACCATATTTTGTTAATTTTCATATTCATTAAAGATCTAAATATTGAGAAGTTTGCTTGAGGATTAAGTATCTTCCAACCAGGGGCACCAAGGTGAGGACACTTTAAACTAGATATACCTGGGCTACAGCACTGAAAAGTAGGGCCTATGAGGGTGGGGGATTTTGTGTCTTGTTTGTTGCTGTATTCCCAGAGCCTGGAACACTGCTGAGTATATAACAGGCACTAAATAAATACTTCTAAATGAATGAATGAATGAATGAATGAATGATCAGAAGTTTTTTTTGTTTGAAAGGCTGGTAAAGTTGCTGGGTGCAGTGTCTCATGCCTGTAATCCCAGAACTTTGGGAGGCTGAGGTGGGCAGATCACTTAAGGTCAGGAGTTTGAGACCAGCCTGGCCAACATGGTAAAACCTGTCTCTATTAAAAAAAAAAAAAAAATCAGCTGGGCCTGGTGGCATGGGCCTGTAATCCCAGCTACTCTGGAGGCTGAGGCAGGAGAATCACTTGAACCCAGAAGGCAGAGGTTGCAGTGAGCCGAGATCATGCCACTGGACTCTAGCCTGGGCAACAGAGGGAGACTTTGTCTCAAAAAGGCTGATGAAGTGAGAGAACATCAGGAGCATTAATCCAATGAGAAAATAGTTAAAGCATGTCCTTTGGTGATGAAAGTTATACTCATATAAAACACTATCAACGGTGATGGGAAAACAGAAGACACAGCTCTTGACAGAAAGGAAGAACCATCTGCCGTGCATAATACAGTGCTACCCTATGCAGTCTCCACGGGGCTCCAGGTTGCAGTCTGTGATTAGTGAAGCTCCAGGGACAAAGAATGAGCCACTTGGCCTCCCAGAAGGTCAAGAAGTTCACAGTTGAAGGACTCTAGGACAGGGGTCCCCAATCCCAGGCTGCGGACCAGTATGGGTCCAAGGCCTGACAGGAACCAGACGCACAAAAGGAGGTGAGCGGCGGGCGAGTGAGCACAAACCCTGAGCTCCACCTCCTGTCAAGTCAGCCGTGGCATTACATTCTCATAGGAGCGCGAACCCAATTGTGAACCGAGCATGCGGGGGATCTATGTTGACCATACCTTATGACACTCTAATGCCTGATGATCTGAGGTGGTACAGTTTCATCCCAAAACCATCCCCCACCCTCCGCCTGTGGAAAAATTGTCTTCCACAAAACCAGTCCCTGGTACCAAGAAGGTTGGGGACGGCTGCTATAGAATACCCACCACCTCCCGGCCCCTATTATCCCTGAGTGGCCAGACAGGACTCAGCTGCTGCTAATCCCAAAGGTATTCAGTAGAACCTGTGAGTAAGATTATCCAGAGACATTATGTTTGATAAAGATAATTTCAAGGCTGATTATCTTTAAAGGCAGATTTCAGTTTGTTTAGAATTTCTCTATTTTTATGTCATGATAACAAATTTAAATTAAAACGCTAATTTACATTACCTCAGCATTAGATCCCTTTTCTACCAACTTTATTATTGGAACTTTATTTTTGTCTTCTAATCCAAAGCCATAGCTGCCTTCATTGGATTTAATCTGAAATGCAAAATATTAACATTATTGATAAAGCAACTATGAAAAAAATTACAAGTCAAACAGAACGAAGTAATGTGCATCACCGTCAAACATGTTTAACGCAGTCTTCTGCTAGTGTCTAATCAAGAAGAAAACTTATATAACATATCAATAAACTTACCAATAATGACTTAGCTATAACATTTTCCACAACTTTTAAGTCATGTTTCATAAGTCGATGTTTCATATTTGATCCCTCCATTTCCTCATCCGAAAAAAAACGGAAAAGTAGGGGTTCATCTTTGAATTCGCTTTTTTCAAGGACTACAGAAAAAGACAGATGCAAATTATTTCAGCTAATTCAAAAATCGCACTCATTTTCAATAGCAGTGACATTTACAAATTAATACCTGCACCCATAACCTCAACTTTATACTCCTAGGACTAGTTACATTCACAAGTAGCCCCGGGTTTTGTTTTTTTTCTCTTTCTATAATTTCGAGCCAATGTCTCCTTTCAATTACTTTTACCCACAGGATTTTGAATTTTTTAAAACAAATAGTATTTCTTCTAAGGCTAACTTTTTAAAATTTAACCAAGTCCTTCGCTTTCCAGATTAAAATCCAAATTTAAATAAAAGATTATAATGAATCCAAAAATGCGTGCCTCCAAAACATAGAAATTTATGGTGTTTTCAATTTGTAGTAAACACTTTAAACATGTTTTTAATATCCCACACAATTATGGGAAAATTCAAATGGGTTAAGTGTTGCCTTCTTGTGTGAACAACTCTCATTGTGTTCACTTTTGTTCCAATACTTCAAACCAGAAATATGCCTTCTGGGTTAAATGTGATTTCAGTTTCCACGAATTCCTGTTTCTTTTCTGTTTAAAAGCAATATTCTCAAATAACCTTATTTCTAGAAAGGTCTGTTTCTTCCCCCTTATCTGAACATTAGCATTTCCCCCCAAATCCCCTAAGATTCTTGGAATGCACTGATGAAATAAAGTTTATGTTTTGTTAGTATTTTTAAAAATAAGGCTAAATACTGATATGAAGAATTTGTATTCAGTGAGATCCTGACAGCTGTCAAAATACTTTACAAAAAAAAGTTATCTATTTCTTATTTCTCTGTCCTTAATACCTTGAAGGTTGATTCATTAAGCCAGAGACTAAAAGAAAGTGATCCCAGGGCACAGCAGAAAAAGTTAGGTTTTGTGATGAGACAGGCCTGAATTTAACTTCCAGGTCTGGAAATGAGATAAGAAAGTTACTTAATCCCTCTGAGTTTCAGTTTCCTCATCTGTAAAGTGGGGGCAATAAAACCTTCTACATATTGTTGCTTAAAACCAAAATGAGGTAATAAATATAAATAACTTGGCATATAGTAAGCAGTCAAAAGGGATAGCTATTTGGTTTCATTATTTTTACAGAGCTCCAACAAATAATTGTTGACTGGATGAATGGCTTTATTGATCTTTGGTTGAAAGACTGGATGGCAACTTGAGTTAACAAACGAAACTATCAACCACAAATTTGAAAAACAACGGAAGCCATAATTAGCAACAGAAGTGAGAATCTATTTTATTGTTACTATTTTAAATTTCTGTAGAGACGGGGTCTTGCTATGTTGTCCAGGCTGGTCTCGAACTCCTAGGCTCAAGCAATACCTCCCACCTTGGCCTCTCGAAGTGCTGGGATTACAGGCATGAGCCACTGCGCCTAGCTCAGAACCTATTTTAGATTGACTTAATGATCTAAGCAGTTTCCCAAAGTTCACACAATATTTCTGCTACAGCTGTTTCCCTCCACCAAATTGTCTTTTAAAAGGAGCATGATAGGGCATCAATAAAGCCAGGCATGAGCTACACTGTTCATGCTTTACTGTCAGACTTTGGTATGAAAAACTTTTGATGTAACTCAATATTTTATAATAAACGCTTAGATAAAATTACTGTGTTGGTGCTTTACTTTAAAGAAAAAAAATTGAAACTTTTGAAGGTTTTCAGCTTTATATTACAGGTTTAATCCCCTAACATGATGTAATTTCTTCCGTTCATAGTTTGTTCTTCAAGGACCAATATTTCTCCACGACAACTCACAGAGTGATCTGGAGATAGGGAAACAGGATGGAATTTCCCCCAAAAAAATGATAACCAAGGACCTTCTCAAAATCACTGTAACCTTTGCTGTACTTCCTTCTTCATAAAAATGTAAAGATATTCTGAAAAAGTAACTGACAAACAGGTATAAGTGCTATCAAATATATGTTTATAAGCATATTATATTAATAATTAAAAAGAGGCCAGGCATAGTGGCTCACGCCTATAATCCCAGCACTTTGGGAGGCTGGGGCAGGCAAATTACTTGAGGTCAGGAGTTCGAGATCAGCCTAGCTTGGTGAAACTCCATCTCTACCAAGAAAAGCAAAAGTTAGTTAGACGTGGTGGCATGCACTTGTAGTCCCAGCTACTCCGGAGGCTGAGGTGGGAGAATCGCTTCAACCCACGAGGCAAAGGTTGTGGTGAGCTGAGATCATGCCACTGCACTCTAGCCTGGGTGACAGAGTGAGACCCTGTCTCAAAAAATAAATAAATAAATAAAAAGAGAGAGACTACTGTTTGGGTTTATGGATTCTATATGATGTTACGAACAGGAAAAGCTTGCTATCATTACCCTGATAAATCTAAGAACTTTATTTAAAAATTATTGTTTGATGACTTACTTGAAGTCATCCCAGGGCACAGCAGAAAGAGGTTTTGTGGTGACTTACTTGAAATCATCAGACAAGAAAAAAAATTAACATTTAATGATTAAAAATAATTTTTTTCTAGAGATCTATAATTTTGTTCTCTGAGGTAATTTTAAAAACATTTTTCTTAAAAATAACAGTAGTCAACCACATATGCTGTCATTTATTCATTCTAATATATACTGGCATTCAAAATAAAACCATAAGTCTAATCTGAAATAGTCTCAAAGAGGTTTATGAGCTTAAAAACAAGACAAAACAGAAAAACTTCTAGCTCAAGCCATTGTTCTTCTAGAATCAGCATAGTCTAGAAAAATAGGATAGTAGTCATGGCAATTGGTAGGTAACAGCAATTAGACATAGGGATGGCACCAGCAGTAAAACTGAATGCAGTTGTGGTGACCCAACCTGAACCCATGGCAAGACCCAGACAGTCTTGCTGGCTCATCCCTAAATGACCTCACTGCAGCACTGGGTGTTGCAGTATCCTAAGAACCAACGTGATGAAATACATCTGTAAGCTCCCAGGGTAAAAAATCCCTACCATGGTGCATAAATCCATTGTCACAGAGTCCAACGCCAAATATCATTGCCTCTTCTCTGGTGCGGCAATCTCCCTGTTAACCAAAAAAGCACTGTGGGAGTTAATAGGCAACTAAAGGCTTTGTGGCAGCTTTGCTCCATTTAACATTCCCAGCACCAAATTCAGACAAAGCTTCGCTTATAAAGCATGCATTGCTTTATAAGACAGAATGCATCTAATTGTTACAAAACATTCAGTTGATTATGAAAACATTTTCTTTTGGCATTAAGTAAAACAAAGATTTAATATTTCTTGAGAAACAAACATACTTTATTGTACACAAAACTATGTAACAAAAATTTATTGCTACCATAAATGATGCCTGTTATTTCTTAGATTAGATTTCTTAGATTTTATATTCCAATTATGCAACAGGGAAATATCCTGTAAATTGACAACACTCTAATTAAACAATCATTATGTATGACCTCAGTCACTAACTATTCCCTTCCACCAAATGGCCTTGCCCTGTGAGGACCCCTGAAGAAACCTATTAATCTACGATGACTTGTAAGACCTTACAAGTAAATCGTTTGGCTGAGCTAGCAAATACAAGCTTCTCTTTCATTATTTTGCCAAAAAAAAAAATCAGATCATTTAACTGAATCCAACAAAAGCGCCCAAAGCAACCTTTTTCTTTTGGTTTTCATTTAGAAAACACCTATTTTATGCCTTTAAGTATGGATCCATGTATATGAACATGCATGTGTGTGTGTGTGTGTGTGTGTGTGTGTGTGTGTGTGTGACCTTAGAGTTGTATTGTTACAGTTCAAGCAGCTTTTTTCTCACATATTATCTCATTTTTCCCCAGTCCTATCTTTTAGCACTTAGGTATGTTACCAAATCTACTCTCTCCTCTCTGGCTTCTATTCCATTTCTACTGTCAATACCTTCATATGGTGTTTCTTCTTCTCCCTTCTAAATTACCATAATTTTTTCTGGACTCTTTCTAACAATTAAGCTATTTTTTTTTTAAGATGGAGTCTCACTCTGTCGCTCAGGCTGGAATGCAGTGGCTTGATCTCAGCTCACCGCAACGTCCGCCTCCCTGGTTCAAGCGATTCTCCCACCTCAGCCTCCCGAGTAGCTGAGACTGCAGGTGCATGCCAACACACCCGGCTAATTTTTGTATTTTTAGTAGAGACGGGCTTTCATCATGTTGGCCAGGCTGGTCTCAAACTCCTAACCTCAGGTGATCCACTCGCCTCAACCTCCCAAAGTGCTGGGATTACAGGCGTGAACCACTGTGCCTGGCCAGAATTAAACTTTCTTACACAGAAACTCGGTTCCAAAACTAAACAGACTGTTCTTTTAGAATCATAATGTATCAAAATTCTCTGTTGGGCTTTTGAAACTTTCCATATCTTGGTTTTATGCTATCTCTCCAGCTTCACTCTCCAAAGCTCAATACCATACCTCTTGCTGTAGGCAACTTGGCCTCCCTGCTGTTGCCTGAAGTCTGTGCTCGTTCTTCTCCTGCTTTCACTCATGTAATTGTTCATAGCTGCAATGCCCTTCTCTTTACCCTCCACTCACTCACATTCTACCTGTCTATAAAGGAGCAAAATAAGGGTCCTACCTCATGCTGTGACAAATCCAACCCTCATTAATCCTCCTAAGAACTACTAAACACATAATCTGTAACTTCAGACTCTGCATCTGGCCCTCTTCAAAAATCGAGCTGTTTTGTAATTTTTATGCATTCATTCAAAAGATACTTATTTTTTCTACATATTGTGCCAAGTGATAGAAAAAATATATTAAACCACTCAAGCACAAAATAATTCCCTGCTCTGAGGTAATGCAAATCTAGGGTAGGATTTGGTCATTAAAAGGTAAGTACTTTACCAATAACCAATTTAATCCATATTCCCAATGAGGCAGATATACCTGGGGATCTGGGACCACAGAAGGTGACCCTGAGCCTAGGCTAGAGGATCTGGCGAGGCTTCCTGGGGGTGATGACGCTGCAGCAGAGCTTTAGAGGGTACATGAAAATTAGCCCAATTGACCAACATCACTTCAAGGCAGAAATCATGATTGCTTCCTGCTTTGTTTGTGTATTCTATCATCAAAGCACTTGCTTGAACATTAAGCTTACAAGAAAAGCTTGTTTAATAATCACTGACATTTGATTGCTTTATTTGATTGATTATTCAAATGAAACACTGGCCAGACTAATATTATTGAACATAATGGTGTAAAAAACATAGCCTAACATGTTCTGGGTTTCCTATGCTCTTTTAAAATCCTCCTTGTGCCATATGCACCTGGTGAGCATTTAGAAAAAGCACAGTAAGACCGCATGGATGTGAAGAAGCAAGGCATTATTTAATTATGAACTATGAGTGATCCATACCCAAATCACAACGTACAGGAATTGAATGATGTTTTAAAGGTATATTACTGCACATGCCAAATAAGAATTTAACTTTGTGAAACAGGGTATTTTATTACAAACCATTATACTATAATAGAAGCAGCACAACAACAGTGAATGAAAAATGTACTCAGAAGAACACAACACTCATTTTGTCTTCCAAGATGACATCGCACAATATATTGCAGAATAAGAGAAAAACTATAGGCTCTAGAATATACTCCAATCATAGTAGAGCCAGTTTTTTTACTCTGTGTTCTAAAACCGTCCAAATCAATTCAGTGTCTCAGTCCATACTGGACATTCAATATTATCATTTCAGAGTCTTGGAAGAAAGAGACCCTTACATGAAAAACAAAAAACAAACAAACAAACAAAAACCTCTTCTTCATGTTAGATTAAGAACTTTAACTTGTTGTTCTCTTATCCTTCCATTACTATTTCTGCCTTTTCCAAGGCAGCCTATGTGGTCCTAATCAGAAGTTAAGCAATCAGAGTTGATTATGTTGATACTTACATTAGGATGTTTTACAATATCAGAATCATAAAGTTTCGGTGATAGAAAAGAGACGGCATGTACAGCTATTGCAGTAAGCAGTAAACAGTTGTAAAAACTAAAATCTATAGAGATTGAGTGACTTGTCTAAGTTTATATAACTAGTTACTAGCACAGCTGGCATCAGACACTAGGTTGTGAGTCCCAGCCAATGCAATTCCTATTATGTACAATTTCTGCAGACATTGTCATAATAAACCACGAAGAAAAACTGAAGAAAAAAAAATTGCGGCTGGGCGTGGTAGCTCACACCTGTAATCCGAGCCCTTTGGGAGGCTGAGGCAGGTGGATCACTTGAGGTCAGAGGTTCGAGCTGCCTGGCCAACACAGTGAAACCCTGTCTCTACTGAAAATACAAAAATTAGCCAGGTGTAGCGGTGCACACCTGTAATCCCAGGTACTTGAGAAGCTGAGGCAGGAGAATTACTTGAACCCCAGAGGCGAAAGTTGCAGTGAGCCGAGATTGAGCCACTGCACTCCAGCCCAGGCAACCAAGTGAGACTCGTCTAAAAAAAAAAAGGCAACTTGGCCGTTTTTGAGCACCTTAATATATTCTTCTAATGTTAACCCTTGGAAAGTAAAAGTGCCAAAAAAAAAAGTTGATACCTGATTTCCTGAGCTAGAACTTTAAAGGTTTACTCAGCATCAGTTTTTGCTTCAGATAAATTTTCTTTAAGTTTCTCACGTAATCAACACATCATACAAGTTCACATGAATTCTAGAACTGTATAATTTCTATGTGAAAGTCCAACTCCAATAATGAACATAGAAATCAGCTCGAATGACACACATTGCCCACAGTGTTATGAAAGGCTCTGATGCTAGAAAAGCCACTGAAAATATAAATTGATGTTTTATCTAAAGGTAATTGTTTAGTTTCATCTAAAAACTTCTAAATGTAATAAATGTAAGTGCTATGAAATATAAAAATAGGTGTTCTTGAACAGCCTAAAAATAATATTAACTAATATAAATTATCAAAATATGTGTGTACAGATGAACCAAATGTGGATTAAGTATTAACAACTGAAACAAAAAATAAACATTTTATGACAAACTATCAACTATTATCTACTTGAAACAAAGAAAGCAAGCCACCCTTAAGAAAAAGTAAAGGTGTGTATGAAATTGACTCACATAGCTAAACATAGTGACTTGCATTTCAACCAAGCAATATCCCCTCCCCCAAAATAGTAAGTTCAGTTACAGTGGGTATCAGTTTTCTTCATCTTTTCTTTAATCAGTGAAACACATTTTATCATTTACTAGTTGATCTAGTATGATAAAACATTTAAATATTTGAATACCAATACTTAAACTTTTGAATATTGGAATAATTTATGGTTGAATGTCTCTTATGATGGAAAGGATGCCCTAATTTTTTTTACTTATAAGCGAATGACATTTTCTCAATTCTAGCAGTCAGCATCTAAATCTTGAGAAGCAGGTCAACAATAACAACAATAAATTCCTTTCTTTTTTAAAATGGACACAGGCAGACATTAAAGCTCATTATCAAAACACAATTATTTTCTAAAAGGGAAAAAGGCACAGGGAGATTAGAATAACTTGCTAGCATTAATAAACAGATACTTTAAAACAAAGTGTAAAAAACATAAAAATATTTTAGTAAATGAGCATAGCTATTCTTCAGATTCTCAAATTAGTGTTTTTTGATGGATCATCTGATATTTTAAAAATAGGAACATCTTCCTTTTGAGAAACAGGATAACACAAAAGTGAAGTTTGAGGACTCTAAAATTGATCATCTAGGTTCAAATCCTAACTCTGCTTCCTATTAGTTGTATGTACTTCTTTTTTTAAATGCCTGCTACAGATGAAAAAGAATAAAGGTCCTAATTCACACACTCAGAGTTTAAAGCAGCAGCAAGTGAAACTCAGCAACTTCTATTTGTCTATTTACCTGTGCAATTAACCAGTCTATCAGTTTGTTGGCCATGACCACAGATTTGTAGGTCCTTAAATGGTAATCTTTATCTCTATAAAGGAAAAAATAAAAACAAACAAACAAAAAACAAAAATTAAGCAAGAGGGTAGGTAAGCACAAGAAAATATTTTCATTTAGTATCAATATGCAACAGAGAAGTTTACCACTGTAACCTGAGTTAGTTGCCCAAATTACATGCAAATAAGAGAAGTTTATTATGCATGTAAAACACCTGAAAAATCCTCCACCAGCTTATACCAAGGGAAGAGACTCACAATGTTACCAAAACAGGACATCTCTTCTTTCACATTGTCTTATATCCAAATAGATTATTACTGCTATATTAGCTGGAAATATAGTAAGTCCACACTTAACATTGTGGATAGGTTCTTGGAAACTGCGACTTTAAGTGAAATGAAATACTGGATGCTGTTGGAACTTAACTCTTATTTATGTCAATTAGCCTATGGCAAAATTGGTTTCATTATATGTCATTTCATTTAAAGTTGCAGGTTCCAGGAACCTATTGATGACATTAAGTGAGAACTTACTGTACATCGTATTAATAAAATAATAAAATAGAATTTCTTCTCTTTAAATCACAATAGATTATACTAAAAATCTCAAAATCTGTAGAGTAAAGAAATGCCTTTTATTCCTGCTCCTGAATGCTCCAGGAAGGCTGGATTTGCACTACAGTATTATTCTCACAGCTCTGCCCTAGTGGAAAACAAGCAGGTCTGTCCTGAAGTAGACACACTAAGAACCTGTTATTCTTTTTGCCTGATTAGATCATGGACATAGTGATACTACATCCCCAGAGAACCAAGAGGATCAACTGGCTCTCCACCTCAGACTCTCCGTTCAGTAGATTTCCCAGAACTGAGAAACCATTCAAAGTTCTGTTGGATACCAACCAAATTTCATGATCAGAACTGAATACCCAAGGGCAGAAACCTATAATTCATTTATTTTCCAAACCTGGATCATAAAAAAATGAAAAAGTGGCAGTCTTTATAAAATGTCAAAAATTCTAAACTGCAAAAGACTTGAAGTGACTAATAATTACTAGCTATATTCATTGTTCTTTAAATCTATCTCCATGTTTCTGACACCTCATCACCCATTTCATCTTGTTTTCCATAAGCATCGTAAGAAGAAAAAGCGTAGTCTATTACAGACCATATGCAAGTCTACGGCTCTTCATGCTAAGTAACTTTTCTTTTTATAAGCTGAGTTCACACATATTAAAAGCCTGACTATCATACATTCCTTCTGTTTTATGGTTTTTTCCCATAAATTCTCTCTTGACAACTCAAAAACAATTGTCATTTTTAGCCAAAGAAAAATTCCTTATCAGCTCTTACAGATGCAGCTTTCTTGATAAGAAACCTCACATGACTAAAATATATTTTCAGAACACATTTTTGCCCATATAAAACCTACATATACACAGGTTACATGGTACATTAAACATTATTGTTTTATCTTAGTTTAGCAGAAAAGAATATTTAAGTACCCAATTGCTATTAAGTACTTAATATCAAGTTATCCAAAATATTTATGGGTATCTGTGAAAGAATTATGGCAGAGTCAACAAATATTTATTCTTTTTCATCTTTTTCCACTTTGTGAAGTCTACTTGTGAAAGTAAATAGGGCACTTTCAGGATTGTGGGTAAGATCCTGCTTTCTCCTCCAGGACCTGCAAACAGTGTGTTCTCTTTGCAGTATAAGTGGGCATTCCAATATACTTAGCAATATCTGCAATCTTTATTTTTTTAAGCTTCGCATTTTCTTGGAATTACAAACCAAAGTGAAAAATAGAAACACTAAACATTTGGATTTTATAGCCAAGATTGAAAAGCATTTTTATTTATTTTGAAAATGGTACAGGCATATTTTGTTGCGGACTATGATTTAGTCAGTAAATTCCAAATAATATCTGACCATTTCAAATTAGTTTAACATTCTATCAGTTAAGGTATATCAGTGTATATTGCAAAAGTACAATTTCCTGAAGATCTACTCTGTTAGTAATCATAATACAAACCTCAAAGTTTTCTATTGCCTTTCTAAAGAGATAAACTAAAAATTAATCCTGATTCCTCTTTTAAAACAAGTGTGCCTCTTCAGAAGGAAAAACATGATAAAGAATAAAATTATAAAATTATACTTATTAACTTCAAAATAATTCTTAATTTCCAAGTACAAAATCTTTTCTTGGGAAAAAAGATTATGAGAAGAAAAATTATAAAATAAAATACATATTCAATATTTGATTATACAATTTAATGTAGAAAGTTAATATACAAGTAATAATAATGGCAAATATGTAAACAGTATTTCCAAATCCTCTCCCAATCAATCAACTATAATTTATTAAATATTAACTGAAAGTGGATTATTTCAAGTGTATAATTTACTATGAACTAATGGCAAAATAATTTTAGAAATCATAATAAAGAGTGGAAAACACTATATAATTAGAATCTTAAGAAAATGTAGGGATATTTTACAATAAATTATTCCTTAAAATAATATTTTAAAGTAAAGTGAAAAAAAACAAAATAAGCCAACAAGTTCTGGCTGAATAATATTTACCTAAAACATAGTACAAATATTTCCATTTAAGTTTCCCAGAACTTAAAAACCAGACTCACCTTATCACTGGAGTAAAAAGGCTATGAAGACGACAATATAATCTTACACCCTACGTAAAATAGAGATATATCAAAAACAAGTGAGATTACCCAAGGGACATTTCAATGAAATTTTGAAGTAACAAATTAATTCACTGTCAATATTTTAGAATCATCACAAAATCTAAACCAATTTAAAAATTATTCAAATATCATGATATATCATAAAAATAATATGATTTAAATCATTAAAGAATAGGATTAAAATTGTGCTATAAATTCCTCATATATGACATACACACATACAAAGATTTTTCTAAATTATGTTTCTTAAAATATAAAATTTCTAACGTAAATTAAACAAAATATACCAATACAGTAATACATCTATAATACTTGTTCATCATATATCAACAAAGTATTGTCAACTGTACAAAATCTGACATTACATTTATTTTACACATTTGTATTTTTTTTAATTCAAGTATTTTGACAACATGTTGCTACATGTAAAAGGGTTTTCCATGGATATAACCTGGTGAGTGATGCAGCAGTACTACTACCATTTAGAATTAGGTAAGAGAATGAGAAAACAATTGAACGTTAGAATTCTTGAAATACCAAAAATAAATAAAGAGGCTTGCTTGTATATATAGTCGAAGAATTTTCTAAACTAGAAAAATCTTTTATGTTTCTCAACTACCTTTTATCTTCTGAAGAATGACAACATGCATTCTACTATTGGAGAGGTTGTGGGAGAGGTCGTTACCTTTGAAATCACGTCCTGCATCTCATTTCTTGGATAAAATGTTCCATCATCATAGCGAAATCTATATAACATCTGTTCTGGTTTGAATTGATGTTTATCAGTAACTAAGAACATAGAAATACTATATTAAAATAACGATACTCTAAAAGGGGGCAGATAAACAGCAAATAAATTTATTAAATACTTATTCCCAAATACTAAAACTTTTAGTTTTACAAAAGGCATTTGCTTTTCTAACACAGCAATACCAATTGAGTATTTTAACAGCAAGATTCATGATAATATTTTATTTAAAAATATTACAGTTTCCATATAACGATTTGAGAAATAAACTGACGTTTGCAACATTCAGCTAGCATAATATATGTATTTATATATGTACATGAGTATATAGTATGTATAAAGGTATACACAATGTGTACATTTATATAAATATATGATTTTGTGTTTTCTGTTTCTTCACAATGCTACAAAGCTGAGCAAAAAGTGCCCCTCAAAGAGCAGATACTCAAACTAGTGCATTGTGATTTGATTCTCGGTCTTGGAAATGAATTTTACCACGTATCTGTTTTATCACACTGTGATCAGGCCAAGACCACACATACACCAATCTTGACCACTTATCCTGTGTTTGGACCTCCAGAGTAGCTTAAATCAATTTAGTATCTAACTGATGCCAAAATTGTAACTGTTCTTACATTAAGAATTGCTTTTTTACATGTCAGTTAATTTTTTTTCTTATTGGAAAACAAGACCGTTCATTCTTTATTACCATCCTCAAGATAAGACTTTCATATTAATAAAGACTCCTATTCCCAGGACCTGATGCCTTCACTGATGAATTCTACCAAATATTTAAAGAAGAATTAATGCCAATCCTTCTCAGACTCTTCCAAAAATAAAAGATAAAGGAACACTTCCAAAACTTATTTTACAAGGCCAGATATGAATACTACAAGAAAAGAAAATTACAGACCAATATCACTGATGAACATGGATGCCAAAATCCTAAACAAAATACTACCAAATCAAGTTCAATATCACAATAAAATGATCATATGCCATGATCAAGTGGGATTTATCCTTGAGAACTAAGGGTGGTTCAACACATGCAAATGAAAAATTATGATGCATCACATTAACAGAATAAAAGACAAAAATCATACGATGATCTCAATAGAAGCAGAAAAAGCATTAGTCAAAATTCAACATCCTTTCATAATGAAAGCTCTCAACAAATTTGGCATAGACAAAATGCACCTCAACATAATAAAGATCATATATGACAAGCCCACAGCTAACATAATACTCAATGGTCAAAAGCTGAAAGCTTTTTCTCTAGAATAAGACAAAGATGCCTACTTTCTCTACTTCTGTTCAACATAGTACAAGAAGTCCTAACCAGAGCAATTAGGGGAGAAAAAGAAATAAAAGACATTCAATTGGAAAGAAGTAAAATTGTCTCTATTTGTAGATGGCATGAACTTATATATAGAAAACCATATAACTTCCACCAAAAACTAATTCAGTAAACTTGCAGGATACAAAGTCAACATTAAAAAAATCAGTAGTGTCTCCATATACTAACAATGCACTATGGAAAAAAGAAATGTTAAAAATGATCACATTTAAAATAGAATAAAAAAATAAGATGTAACACTTAGGAATAACACAAGAAGGTGAACGATCTGTACACTGAAAACTATAAACCATGAAAGAAATAATAAACTACAAACTATGAAAGAAATTAAAGAAAACACAAATAAATGGTAAGAAATCCCATGTTCATGGAAGGGAAGAATTAATATTGTTAAAATGTCCCTGCTACTCAAAGCTGTCTACAGATTCAATGTGATTTCTATCAAGATTCCAAAGGCATTTTTCACAGAAATAGAAAAAACAATCCTAAAATCTGTGTAGAAGCACAAAAGACCCACAATAGCCAAAGCAACCTTGAACAAAAGGAACAAAGCTGAAGGCATGACATTACTGACTTCAGACTCTACTACAAAGCCACACTGATAAAAACAGCATGGTACTGGACATATAGACCAATGGAACAGAATAGAGATCAGATCCCAGAAATAAATTCACAGATTTATGGTCATTGCTCTTCCACAAAGGTGCCAAGAACACACAATGGAGGAAGATAGTCTCTTCAATAAATGATGCTGGGAAAACTGGATATCTACATGCAAAATAATTAAATGGGACCCTTTATCTCACACCACATATAAAAATAAACTCAAGTAGACTAAAGATTTAAACATATGATGTAACACTATAAAACTACTGGAAGAAAAGATTAGGGAACAGCTACTTGACATTTGTCTTGGCAATAATTTTTGGAGAGGACCCCAAAAGTACGGGCAACAAAGGCAAAAATAGACAAATAAAAATAGACAAATGCAATTGCATCAAACTAAAAAGTGTATGCACAGCAACTGAAAGAATCAATAAAATTAAAAGACAATCTATGGAATAGGAAAAATATTTACAAACCATATATTCAGTAGGAGGCAAATATTCAAAACATATAAGAAATTAATTCAATGCAATACCAAAAATACAAATAACCCAATTAAAAATGGGTGAAGAACCTAAATAAATACTTCTCAAAAAAAGAAATAAAGATGGCCAACAGGCATATGAAAAGTTGTTCAACATCTCTAATCATCAGGGAAATGCAAATCGAAACTATAATCAGATATAATCTCACACCTCTTAGGATGGCTATTATCAAAAAGACAGAAGTGTTGGTGAGGATGTGGAGAAAAGGAAACCCTTGTACACTGTTGGTGGAGATGTAAATTCATATAGCCATTTTGGAAAACAGTATGAAAGTTCCTCAAAAAGCTAAAAATAGAACTACCATATGATCCAGCAATTTTACTTCTGGGTGTGTAACTCAAAGGAAATAAAATCAATATGTCAAAGAGATATCTGTACCCCCATGTTCACTGCAGCATTACTCACAATAGCAAGATAAGAAATCAGCCTAAGTTTCCATGGATGGATGAATGGATAGGTACAGAAAATATGATATAATGTATTCCATACTTGAAAATTGCTAAGAGAGTAGATCTTAAATGTTCTCACCACAAAAAAGTGATAACTATGTGAAGCGATTAATACACTAATTAGCTTGATTGTGGTGATCATTTCACAATTTACACATATTTCAAAACATGTTGTATACCATAAATATTTGTCAATTATACCTCCATAAAGCTGGAGGGAAGGGGAGGGAATCTCCTACTAAATCTCTACGCTTTCTCTTTTTCAGGCTAAGTTGTTTTATACACAGTCTAATAAAAAATGTCTGTTTTAGAAAGTAAAAACCTCAAAGTAAAAGTCAAAGAGTTTATATTTAAATATTTTCTTTACAGGGAATGCAACATTTGTAGAAGAGATAATTTGCTGCAAAGAGCTATATTTTTATGATTAGATGAAAGACTTTGACCTTTATTTTTTTGCTAGAAATGTTGAAAGAGGAAAGAAAGTTGTCAGAATTCTCATTAACTACATTTGATGCATCCAGAAGAAAGTCAAAAGACTTGTTAATACACATAAACACACACATACATATGTGAAGTTTCAGCTCTTTTACCCCAGCCTATTCAAACGTTCTACATGGCTTATGACCAAAAATTGTTCTTTTTAAAAAAAGATAGACAATACAGCTTTTTGGTATCTTTTCCCCAAGCCAAGTCATACGTAAAAAAGCCTGTATGAAAGAAATATAAAATCAAGAGAAATAACGTGAAACTCTACAACTTGTTTTAAGATGACAATTTTTTTCTCCTATGCAATCTACCTATTCCCATTTTTATACCTTAATAATCATTGAAATAGATTGTCTTGATATTCCAAAACTCAAGAAGTTGAGCCCAAATGTTTTTGCCACAATGAAACAAGTGGTAGTCTAACCTATTCGACAGGGAGAGCCTAGCTGTAAGGCAAATGCTTCTGCCTTTGATAATGAACCTTGGGTTAATCTGCAACTCTTAGCTGTTGCCTTAGAAAAACGCTGAACTGTTCTGCATTCAAATTTGCTCTCCCAATTTATCTAGCATGGAAAATGGGTGTATAAACTACAGTTCGGGTCCTCTAGTGAAGAAAGCTGCTTAATGCAATCTTTTAAATAACTGTGTGAGAGAACCAGGAACATAGTGCAAATGTTTAACAACTGGCTCTCTAGGTGGTGAAGGTAGGGGGTGTAGAGGAGAAGTTCTGATTTGTAGCATTTGCCCATTTCTGTTGTATAAATATTCCCACTCTGGCCAATTTCAAGTTTCCAACCTAAAGTCACTGAACACGGAGTTAAAGGTGCGGTGGCACTCATTACACAGTATTTCCACTATACACAAGCAATAGATACAAATAACCTCGACAGCATAGATAATAGTAAAACATTGTAAAATAATGAGAAGGTGACACATTTTAAGAATGTTTTACAGGTCCGGCATGGTGGCTCATGCCTGTAATCCCAGCACTTTGGGAGGTTGAGGTGGAAGGACTGCTTGAGCCCAGGAGTTCAAGACCAACCTGGTCAACATAACAAGACCTCATTTCTACAAATTAAAAAAAAAAAAAACAAATTAGCTGGGTATGGTGGCGTGCACCTGTGGTCCCAACTACTCACAAGGCTAAGGTAGGAGGATCGCTTGAGCCCAGGAGGTTGAAGCTACAGTGAGCCATGATCGCACCACTGGCTGGGTACTCTAGCCCGGGCAACAGAGCAAGACCCTGCCCCCCAACCCCCCAAAAGAGTGTTTTACCCTTTTTGCAACATAATTTATGCACTTACATGTTTATATAATTGAATTAATAATAATTGTGTTTAAAAACTAATCAGCCTACAAAATGTATTTAATTATCAGCTCTCAGGAGCTTGTATGAGCCAACTTCAGCACACCATGGGATATAATATTAATAAGATATGAGGTCTCTGAATTCTCACATAAGCATTCCTACTACAAAAAGTAGCACTAGACAACATGTATATTGTCAGCATACCACAGAGAAAGCATACGCTGCTTTCTCTCAACCTAGAGTTCCTCAACGCTAGAGTTCCTGCTATAGCAAGGCTTTGCTGATGGTGAAGTTCTCAATCATATTTGCAATGTCAATAATAGCAATAATAGCCAACTTCTTTTTTGCTTGCTCTGTTTAAAACAGATGGTTCATTCAACTTTATTTTAGGAATTCTATTTTCACCAAAATGCAGCTGGAACCTCATACTAATGATACTAGCACATTTGGCTCATACCTCTTCATTCTAATAGAATTATTCTATTAATGTGAAATTGCATAATATGTTCTCTCACCCCTAGTTTGTATGTCAACATGAACCAGCAACCTTTATTTCTTGGTAGTTTAAGTCTGTCTTTTTACGCTGTCCATCAAGAAACCCAGCTGCTCTCATACTTCCTTCTAGAAAGGCAGAAATACGCTAGGATAGGATGGGATAAGTCATTTTTGCAGGAAATATTGGGAAGAAAACCTAGCTGGTTTTCCACTAGTTAACACTAGCTACTGTAACAAACAAACCTCCCTAATATAGTGACTTGTGTTGTAGAAGCTAATTTTTCACTGAGGTAAAATCCAATCCGTGGCAGAGGATGAGTGATGGTGCTCTCCTCATGCAGGGTCTAGGGTCTGACAGAGGCTCAGCCATCCTTAATGCATGGCTCCCAGGGTCACCTTGTGTTTTGTGTTTTTTTAATAGCCTGTACACTTCCCTTGTGCACCACTTTTGTGTACATGTCCTTGGCTGCAACTCAGTTTCACAGCCTCCCCTTGACTGCAAGGAAAACTAAGAAATGCCATGTATGCACACCCACGAAAAACAAAAGCTAAACCAATTTGGTAAACAACTACTCAATTTCTGCCACTGAGGCACAGTTCCCTGGTCAATATAAGATCTATGCGATCCTATTAAAGACAGGGTAATTATTATATATGCTTGTTAGCATTTTATGATGTTAGTATATAATAGTCATAATGTTATTTTTACTTTTAAGTTTTTAAATGATGCTTTTAGCCTACCAGATGCTAAAAGCAGCCGTATAATGCTTTTAGATGTTTTAATGATGCTAATGAAACAAGCGCAAAATCATATACAATTTATAAGTATCATCTGTTCACTCAAAATATAATTATTCATTCATTCAGCAAATATTTATTGAGCACCTGTATGGGATGGGAATGCCAGGCATTTGCTATATAATAACAAGTGAGGCTCTTGTTTGGATGGTGCTTATATTTTTATTGGAGGCCAGGGAAGGGATAGGGAGATAAAGAGGTAATAAACAAAGACACAAGTAAAACAACATAATAATTTCAGAGTGATAAATACATGAAGAAAGATTTCAAAGTAAAAAAAAAAAATAGGACATTGGAATCACAGGACAGGATGGGCTTCTAAAAGTCAAAGGGTCATGGAAGACATGAGTAATGAATACAAAGATTTTTGTCTTTTCATTCACAGCTCTGTCTCTACCACTTAGAAAGGCTCCTGGCATGTATTAGGGATTAATAAATAACTGTTGAATGAGAAGAGCAAAAGCTAAGGTCCTAAATAGGAAGTCATCTTGGAGCGTTGAAGAAAGAGACAGATGGTCAGGGTGGCCACAGTGCAACAAGTTAGGTACAATGCGAGGTGTCAGGCTCTGAGAGGAAGTCAGGGGCCTTATCTCATCGGATGTTGTAGGTCATGGTAAGAAGTTTAGGGCATGTAATAGGTCTGAACTTTTCTTTAAGTTTGATTGTAAGCAATTAGATGGTTATAAACAGAAGGATGCTTTGATCATATCCCCGTTTTAAAAGGTCTCTTTAGCTGTGACCCGGAGAGTGTACTACAGGAGTGGAGAACAAAAGTGGAAGCAAAGGAGGAGATGACGGCGACTAGAAAAAAGGTAAGGATGCTGAAAGGGACAGAATTCATTGTTTAGGGACTTAATTTGGTGGTAGAGCTCACAGGGCTTGACGGCATGAGGGAGAGAAAGGAATTAAAGATGATTCCTAGCTGGGTGGATGGTGGTACCATCACGTAGGCAACACCCAGTGTGATAAGAAAAGATGGGAAATATCTGGTTTGTTTGCACAGTATCTAAGAAAGGAAATGAACATCAAAATACCATAGCCAAACATCCATATTTATTAATAATTCCCTGGCTTTTTCTCCTCCCCCACAATTTACCATAGAAATTCTTTAAACCTTTGTCCTGAGTCCCATTAACACTGCTTTCTTGGTTTTTGTCTGTCTGTTCATTGTCAGTGTTCCCAGGAGTCTAGTACTCCCTTGAAATGATTCCAAATGTGTTTCTCACCTTATTTCTATCCTGAGCTTCACCCCAAACTCTCAACCGCTTGCTGGCCACTCCCCACTGGCTGGCCTACACGGTCCACAGCAAAGCCTGCATCTTCTCTTTCAACCCTGATCCTCCTCCTGAATTAGCTATCTCAGTCATTCAGAGAAGAAGGCTCAGAATACTTTAATCTCTCTCTTCATTCTTCATCACCCACATCCAGAGAGTTATAAAATATGGTATTGTAGCTTTGCCAGCATCTCCCCATGGGTTTTTTCATGCCCACGGAGGCAGACCTGCTGAAGACCTTGTCCCGCCACTCCTGGGTGCAGCAGGGCCCCCTGAGGGGCCTAGTGCTCGCAGTCTTGAACCTCTCCACTTCAGGCTCCGTGCTGCTGCACCTCACAGCTGTGGACCTGAGTTCTGATCATGGCTCTGCTTAAAAGCATTCATCAGCTCCTGGCCCCCCTCGGAATAAGCCCACATGCCACAGCAGGAGACTTCATATGTTCTGGAATCCAGGCTCTGCCTGCCTTTTTGCCACACCTCCCCTCGCCAGTATGTTCATCCATGGACCCACGTGAGGCTCTGTGCCGGTGCCCAAAGAAGCCACCACAAACTCACCCGCCACCGTGCCGGAGTGCTGTTATTTCCTCCGGGTGGAATGCCCTTCTGCCCTGCGGTCCCTGGCAGAGTTCTATTCATTCTGCAATGCCCAGCATCACTTGTCATGTCCCGTCCTCCATGAAGCACTCCCAAATACTCTAATTACTATAGAACTAACCATCCCTTCCTCCACAATCCCACTTCTCTATTTTCTAACACTTGCCTGTATTGAAGCTCTTCATTTTAAGGTTAACAAATATAGCCCTATAAACCCACACTCCCTGAGACACTGTTCTACACTTATTAGGTACTGAAAATATTGTTAAAAACAACAAGCATCCTATAATGTGGGGAATTGTAAACTAAACTGATAAATGGGATTAAGATACATATGGCCAATAAATGCATTAAATAAGTAATTAATAATAAAGTAATTACCATGGTGAATGATTCCATTTTCTAATAATGCTTGTCCCAAGTGCACGCCTTCCTCAGGCCTGTGAATCTCTCCAATTTCCAACAGCCATGACACAAATTCGCTGCAAGAGAAAGTCAGTGAAAAAGCTAAACGGTTAATTTTTTCCCCAGCAAGTCTTTCTATACCATCCAGTCATGAAGCAATGATGAAAGGAATCTCAAAATATAAAGGAATATTTGCAACACATTTCAACAGATTATTTTTTCACATATGTAAGGCCTACAGCCATTTAAGTTGAACTCTATTCTAGAAAACCCATGTCTGTACATTCTGACATTACTAAACTATACTTAGTTTTAAACTATTCAACTTGTTGAGGCCTCTAATAAACACAAAGTGAAAATTTTAGAGTAGCTTTAATTAAAAGGTTACCATTAACATAAAGGCAAATGTGGGACTAAAGGATTGCAACAGATCCTAAAGATAGCTAAAGTCAGAACTGAATAGAGTAGTAATAACTTAATATAAAGAGCTAAACTGTCTTTAATGTGGTTCCCAGGCACAGAGAACCAGTGAGTTTAAAGATCCAGGAAGGAAGAACAAAACAAAACCACATGTACCATGTGGTAGGTAGGATTCTACAGAAATCTTCTCACTGCCCTCCCACCACACCAAGATTCCCTCCCCTTGGTTTTTCAATTAAATTCTAATCTAGGTATTGCTCTGAAGGGAGTTTTGCATATGTAATTAAAACTCCAAGTCAGTAGACTTTAAAATATGTAAATTATCCCAGTGGGCCTGATTCAGGGAGTGGAACCCTTTGAAGCAGAGTTTTCTCAGGCTAGTGGCATGACAGGAAGTCAGAGAAATTAAAAGCATTAGAAGGATTCAATGTGCAACTGCCAGCTCTGAAGATGGAGAGGACCTGGTACCAAGACATGCAGCCTGCAGAAGCTGAGAGCAACCCTTGGCTGACAGCAAGGAAACAAGGACTTCATTCTTGCAGCCTCAATGAGGAGCTGATTCCTGACAACCACCTGAATAAGCTTGGCACTGAACTTTTCCCCAGAGCCTCAATCTAAGAGCCCCGTCTGGCCAGCACCTTGATTTTGGGGTCGTGAAACCCTAAGCAGAGAACCCACTTGAGCTCTCCTGGACTTCTGACTGGTGTTGTTTTAAGCTGCTAAGTATATGTTCATTTGTTATACAGCAATAGAAAACTACTGTACACCAAAAGACATAGAAAAGTTCTACTACATTGTTTTGAAAATGTTAAATTACTTGGTAAATTCATTATTGTATCTCATCTGTCATCCATAAGGAATACTCCAGCACAGAACCATCCATCAGAACTGTCTACCACACACTGCTGTGGCTGTGAAGGCCACAGTGGATTATAGGTTACATCTGTCACCACTGCAGGGCAGCCCCAGGCATCATAGATAATAAGGATGATGTTTTGTATCACTTAGGAGAGCCTCAGCTATGTAGCGATTTAAAAAAAAAGGTCACGTGGTATCATTAAGAGAACACTAAATACAGAGACATTTTACAAATAAAAAATATTATATTGCTCATGTTTTAAAAGTCTAACATTTGAACTTTTATATAAACTATTGAATTTGTTGTAGACTAGTTTTCTTTTTTTGGCTAGAGAAACAAAGCTATGGACTGCATCAGGAAATTATTTCTTCATTAATTTCAAAAACAAAAGCAAGAAAAATGGCTAATGTCAAATAATTGAGGTTAAAATTCTAAAAATGGGTTGTCTAGACTACAAAAATACTTTAAGGCAGAAAAAGTTGTTAATTTTTTTTTATTCTTTTATTAAATGAGAACCATTCAAAACCATTCGTTTTCTATTGCTGCATAACAAATTCAGAAGAAAAATATAAGAAAAGGTGAAACAAAGTGTAGCAGTTAATATCATGTACTTTGCCATAAGACAACGGGGACTCAAATCCTGTTTCTGTTTCCACTACGTGCATGACCATGAGTTCATGAATTTAGCTCTTTAAACTCCAGCTTCTTCATCATTAACACAGAGATAATATTAAGAATGTCGGGCCGGGCAAAGTGGCTCATGCCTATAATCCCAGCATTTTGGGAGGCGGAGGCAGATGGATCATTTGAGGTCAGGAGTTGGAGACTAGCCTGGCCAATATGGTGAAACTCTGTCTCTACTAAAAATTTAAAAAATCAGCCGGGTGTGGTGGCATGCACCTGTAATCCCAGCCACTAGGGAGGCTGAGACAGGAGAATAACTTGAACCCGGGAGGCAGAGTTTGCAGTGAGCTGAGATCGTGCCACTGCACTCCAGCCTGGGCGACAGAGTGAGACTCCATCTCAAAAAAAAAAAAGAATGTCAATGTCATAGTGCAACCAAAGGATTAAATGAGATGACAGATGTCAGGAACTCAGCACGGGGCCTGGCACATAGTGAGATTTACTAACTCAGTGGTTGACAAGTGGGTTGAGATAGTTGTTATGTAACTAAGACATAATTCTCTAGTCTGATGGCACTAGATTCCTGAAAATGTCATATTACAATGAGGGAAAGAGCCAATTTAAACATTGCTATAAATTGGAAATATTTTTAAGAGTGAGAGGTCGAGAATAAAGGAACCCAATGAGTGGCTTTATCATTGGGCCTACTCAGGGAATGAGGAAATTCCATCAACACTCTGCTAACGGACAAGGATCCACTCAGAAATGATCTCAAACTTGCGCTGTAAGCGGCAGTAGTGTGCTGTTATGGAAAAGGCCGCAGTAATCTAACATTTACTGAGTCTCTCCTACCTATCAGGTGCTCTGGGAGAAGCTTCATATAGCATCACAATGAACTTGCACTATTCCCATATGACACAGTGTAAGTGAAGGGTTAGCAAAACCTATTCTTCTTCAATAAGAACAAACTTGACCCTGGGCTAACTTTCTATAATAGCTATGCTCCCCTAGACACCTGAAGAAGGCAGGGTGTCAACTGCTAAACTAGGCAGCATTGCAATGGTAAAAATGACCCCTGGTGGCTAATTTGCATACCTATTAAAACCTACTGGGAAGCCATAACTTGAAGTCACTCTCTTGCAAATGGGCATATCCCAGTGAGGACCCTGAAAGTTATGCCCATGGGGTGGGTACAAGAGATACTGTCGTTTTGCTGCACAGGGCTTCTTTGCCAAGATAAACTCACATCTTCTCTTTCCCTTGCACAAGAGCTGCTACCAGCTAAGAGGTACCTACAAGCAACAGTATAGCTCACTGGCAGATGTGTAGCCTGGTGGGAGGATCACTCTTAGTGAAGAAGAAAGCCAGATGCTGCTCTGCAGGCAGAGGGTTTCCTGGCCTATAGATTTCTGAGTTGGGGGTTGGGGAGCGTATTCGCCCTTTTTCATACTGCTGTAAAGAACTTCCCTGAGACTGGGTGTATTAGTCCATTCCCACACTACTATAAATAAGTACCCACGACTGGGTAATTTATAAAGAAAAGAAGTTTAATTGATGCACAGTTCTGCATGGCTGGGAAAGCTCCAGGAAACTTACAATCATGGCAGAAGGGGATGCAGGCACACCTTACACGGCAGCAGGTGAGAGAAGGCGAGTGAAGGAGGAAGAGCCCCTTATAAAACCATCAGATGTCATGAGAATTCACTCACCATCATGAGACCAGCAAGGTGGAAGCCACCCCCATGATCCCATCACTTCCCACTAGTTGCCTCCCCTGACACGTGGGGATTACAATTTGGATTATAACTCAAGATGAGATTTGGGTGGGGACACAGCCAAACCATATGAGGGAGGCAGAGGTAGCCTATGATTATGTTGTGTGTTCCCATCGCTGGTTAAAAAGGCATCCCAGTGAGCACTGTAGGTAAACTCTACCATCATCTCCATGTTTTCAAAGCAAATGGAAACTTAGCTATCCCAAATCACACAACAAATTGGTGGTACTACTAGGAAGTGAATAGATAAGTTTGATTGCAGTCTAGACTGTAAACTATGACTCCAGTCTACTTTATAAACTTGGGCATTGGTATTCACTAACCATATGAAATTGTTAAGCTCCCTGATCCAGAGTTTCTGTATCTTTAAAAAAGTATAATGGTATTTAACTCCTACCTAAGTATGTATTCCAGCATTAGAAATAATGTATAGGAAGAAGCCAGCAGAGTCTGGCCTAAAAAAGAGCTACCTGAAGGCAGCTAACCTTCCTTCTGGCCCTGCACTAATTAAACCAGCCAGGGAATCCCACTTAATGTTGTCCAAAGGAACCAAACAACACTCAGTCACTCTGTTCTACTCCAAAAACCAAAGTGACCTCTCTGCCTATTGCTTGCTGCCTGTCTCTTCACATGACCCACATTTTCAGACTCTTTACCTACACCCTTTATCCTGAGCCCAGCTGCCTAAATTCTAAATTAACTGGTAGTTCAGACTGTCTCTTATCTTTCCTTTCTTTCTGATTCTGACTTTCAGGCCCATGTGTATACATGTCTGTGCCCAACCAGTCATCCTGTCCCCTGCAGGCAAACCTACCTGCCTGCCACTCCCTGCCTGGCCCCAACCTCACTTTCCCCCGGGATCATGACATATCAGAAATCTCAGAAGTCATGAATGAATGGACGGATGCCTTAAGTTTCCTGGTCATGATCCTGGCTCTCTGTCCATTCCTTCATCCTGCTACCGCCCAGGAAATGGCAACTGTAAAGAAGTTTTCAAAAGTGCCTAAGGGAATATTTTTAAAGGAAAACTAATTGAAGGAAAGTTAACAGGTGAGACAATGAGAATGTAAAAGAAAGTCATGCACCCAAACTCCCAACCCTACCTTCCAAGAAAGCATTTAGGGAACGTAGTCAGTTTTCTCTTTCGGTCTTTGATCAGATTTCCTTGTCTGCACATCATTTTATAAAGTTTCTCACCCTGTTCAGAGATCATGACCCAGGTATCTTGCTCCATTCCTAATTTTAAACCTATCAAAAATGAAAGAAAGGAGAGGTAACTGAAAATTCTCTTCATTCATTCATTCAGTTATGGCTTCATTAAGCAAGCATTTGTTGCAGGTCTACCATGTGCTGGGGGTTGTGGATACAGATCTCTGTATAATAGTGCCCTGGTGTTCAAGAAGCTCAGGGGCTAGGGAGACCTGCAAGGCAAGATCCCCAGGGTATATGTCACCTTTGTGCAAACTGTGCCCCAAAGGCATAAAGCTTTAGCCAGGGGAGTAAGAAGAGCAGCTGAGTCTCAGCTTCCATTGAGCCCTGGACCAGGCACCCTTGCTCAGAGTTAGATCCGCAGAACTGGACAGAGTAGCCCTAGAGACAGTTCTGGTAGAAAAAAAATAATGCAATATAATAGAGGCATACTCAGCCTACCTCACCTCTCCCTGAGAAATGTTAAGAAAGGTTTCACAGAAGGGACCTGTCTTGAATGCACAGGTGTGAATGGAGATTTCTAGAGAAAGCAGAGCTAACTCATTTGAAGCAACTTGGAGGCCCGGAGCCATGGGTTTTAAGAGAAAAGATAGGAGATGAGCTGGTAGGATAGCCAAGATCCTTGCTCAACCTGCAGTTTCAATTTATTTCATTCCTTAGGTATTGGGCATGCAGCTAAGTGTTTTAACCAGTGGGAGGAGAAAGGTAGGGTAGTGCAGGAAAGAAAGTTGTGTTGCTTTGGAAACAAAGCTCAGAGGACAGTGCGGGGAACAAACTGAAGAGGGGAAGATTTTAAAAGAGTGACACTGTTAGGAGAAACCTCAAAAGTTCAAACAAGTTCAACTCACTGCAAATAAGGGTAGGGCCATAGGGCAAAGAGGATGAAGTTGAGAAATAGTTAGGAGGCACTATTGATAAGATATTGGTTAAATGTGGGCATGGAAGAAAGAGAAGAAATCAGATGCCTTCCGGGCCTCTGATGAGAGTGACTGAATGGAAGCAGGGAGGTGTATTGGGCAAAGGCATCCAAGTAACCAGGAGTCCGGTGGGCACCAAGTATGCCTAGTGTGGACATTCAGGTGGGAGTCCAGGACTCAGGTGAAAACACGAGCATGCTCAGGGGAGAGGGCAAGGCTGGACATAAAGTTGAACAAATCGGCAGTGTAAAAGTGGGAGTTAATCTGATGGAATAGATAACCCAGGCAAGGAATCTAGTTAGAGAAAAACAGTGCCAAGCTAAAATCCTACGAACACTGGCACTTAATCAGGACTGATGACGAACTGTTGAAGGAGCAACATTGTATTATTTTTAGTCATCTAGCTGCAAAATTTCCTACCAGATTTTTATTTTTGACAATGCTGGAGCCATTATCATTTGTCTTTATTCATAAATAATCCCTTAAGACTGCAGTCTAATAAAGATAAATATAAAGATAAAGATCATAAGCAGTTTTAGAGAATGTGCTTCTTCTCGTTTGGGGGTTTTTATTTTGTTTTGTTTTTTTCTCTTGGGTGCTTAAGAAAAAGGTTCAATTTGATTGAAAGTTTGATTCACCTTTTAACTATTTGTTTGCTATTCGAATTGACTGCTACATTCAACAAAACTTAGTCAGTCATATATTCATAAACTTTGTTTTAAAATTTTCTATCTGGTTCTTCATCCAAGATCAACCAAAGGAGTATTTGAAAATGTTTTGGAAATTCTACAAGTATGTACCATGAATATTTCAATCAAGGTAGCAATGTTGCATATTCTTCAGGGGAAAACATCTGAAGATGGAAGAAAGAGTTCTTTGTGTTCTGAAATTTCATTACCAATGAGGTGTTTTATTCTTGGGTCTCCAGAAGTAATCAACAATGTCATGCTTCTTAATTAAGAAATCAATTGTTAATTAGTAGAAATACAAGCATTTCTATTTCTGAGCTGAATTATAGAAATATGCCTTTTTGCAGATAAACTTCACACAAGTGAATACAGCCAGGCCAAATTCCTTTTGCAAATTTTTCTAAAAGCATAAAACAAATTGGAGCTAGGCCTCCTCATATGAACAAGCAACTAATTGGGTTACATTATACTATATTCAAAGACCTAACAATTTTTAAAAGTTTGTATAAATCCAAAGTGCTTTAATCTATAATTAGGAAGCTAACATATTGGGTCTAAGAAATTTTAGTGTTCTGTTAAGTATACTGAGAACAATTGGAGGCTTTACAACACTGCATTATGTTATTGAAGCTTGTCACTTAAAGAAAAATTTGGCAATGCTGCTTTAGAAATAGCAAGAATAAAATGCAAAGAAAATTGAACAAATTTTCTATTTAAAAAAATTATTTAAAAGACACTACCAGCCATAACATAATTATTTTGCTAACTATATAAGTATTACATAACAATTTTGTAAGTATCAAATAAGTCTTTTAGTATGAGGCTCACGTCACATAGTATTAGGTTGGTGGAGAAGTAATTGCTTTCAATGTCAAAACTGCAATAACTTTTGCACCAACCTAATAAATCAAGTGACCATCATATACCTTTCCATTTTCTCATGTTTTCCCATTATCTGCTCCTATGCTAAGTTAGAGTCTTCACAAAGTGTAACAGCGCCCAATTCATACACCCACCTTTCCGCCGTTCTCTTTCTTTCAAAATAGCTTCAAACCATTCATGCTTCTCTTCAGGTGTTTTTGCCATACAAACAAACCATTTATTTTTTGCTGTGTTATGTATCTTCCATCCATTAACAACAATGTGTCCACTGCTATGGAAATCAGCTGTAAATTAATGGGTAAAGGCAAATGAACAAAATGTAATACACAATATTATTATATCCACACTATCATTCAATACACAAAAGTTCCAAAACCACTGAATTGTTCAACATCTCTTTGCTTTACATATGTATATTGAAAAACATAAACATTTAAAAACTTTAAGAATGCTTTCATATTGGATGCTGTCAGTGCTCAATAATGGACATTTCTAGCTCAGAGTGTTAATACATTACATGAAACTAAACACTACAAACTAATTAACACTTACATGCTCTATGCACAAAAATATTGTCAAAGTTTCTAAAGCAATAAAAGAATAACATGCAAGGTGTTTTCTTCTCAAACATTCAAGATGTCTTATTTATTTTATCTTTCTAATGTTTCTTTGAAATAGCATTCTAGGTTTCAGAGACAGTCTATGCCCCATGGAAAAATCTTCTATTAGTTAATGAACTGCACACTAAGGATTGACCAATGGAACACACAAAGAGTGCAATTACCTAAAATTGCAATAAATGGAAACATACAAATGCCAAAGCATTATCATCGTAGATTGTCAAGACATACACTCTTTAAAGCCACTTCATTCCATTTAAGTCACATAAATAGAAACTTATAAAAAAATTTTTGAAGATAAATTGACATTTAATTGTCTTTTTTGATACCTCACTATAATTTTAGGTAAACTGTCATGCTGGGTTTGAAAATGTCAACAGCAAACCCTATACAGTAGCTGTCTGCCTAACAGCGGGTAGAGAATAGTGACATAACTTGCAAACGACCTTTACTGGCATGACAGTCCCTGCAAAGCAAAGATCCCAAGATGGAAAAACCTACGACAGAGGCCTGAGTCAGCACCTGTACCAATTAAAGTGACCCTTTTCATGTGTCTCTCCTGAAAGTCATTCAGCAGCAAAGGCCAGTGTTGAGGAGGTAAGCCACAAGAAAGTTAAAGGTGGTTTAGAAAATGACTTTGTGGCACTTTGCTTGTTTTGTTCTTTTTTTTCTCAGATGATCTATTTTATTAAGTTTTTGAGTAGAAACAGATGTGCTTGGCACTCATTCTCCCAAAATCTGGTTTCCATAGTCTTTTTCGTTAGCTCCAAAATCACTACACATTATATGAGGTCAGACTAATAATACCACAAATCCATTATCAAATGATGCTGTTCAGTTGTGGAGTCTTTAAAGCTTCCAGATTACTTTTGAGTCAAAATAGAATGACATTAGACATTAGTCTGTATTTTATATAGGTGCCATAATCCATGAATAATCAAAAATGACTTCTGATAATATAGAGATTTAAACTGGCCAATACTTCCCTCCCAAAAAATTACAAGCAATTTTTAAAAAGATTTTTTGTACTTTTATTACCTTTATGTGTTTAATTCATGTTCCCATCCTACACAAAGTAAGAGAACTTCATAATTCATGTCAGATAAGTATTCATGGGCATTAGTAGGAAAATAAGAATATTACTTCATAATTACAGTGCAATCCCTCCTTAATATCTATAAAAATAACCAACTGAGAAATTACAATAAACTGGGGGAAAAAATTCAGAAATTCTCAAATTCTACACGTTTAAAACTCTTCCCCCAACCCTAACCACTTGTAACCTAACAAGACCAGAGTCACATACAAGCCCAAGCTTTTTTTCAGGCTGTCTTCTCTCTGTTCAAGTCAGGCCATGATTAGCTAAGTGAACCTTGCACCTGCAGCTTAAAAGATCCCACATGGCCACTCATGTTATTATACCTTTAACCATTACTCTGGATAAAGAAAACCAGAGTAGCCAAATGTAGCCTACAGTCATAAACACTGGACTTACTCTAAAATGAACACAGTGTAGCCCTCCCACAGAGCACAGGGAACACAAGTTCATGTGCCAAAATCATTCAAGTCATGCTCCTGCCACCGCATAAGTGTACCCCGGGGCCAGCCATCTCTATAACAGGGAGTTTTCCTTCCTTTCTTTCCTGGATTGAGTCTGGTCACTGGCCTCTTCACACCCTGCTGGCCCTCCCTCAAACAGGCCACTTCTTAGCTCAAAAGCCACCCATTGGGTGTCTCACCACTGAATCAAGTCAAAACTACATGTAGACTTCGCTTTAAAGATTCTTCCCAAAATAACTCAACTCTGTCTAAACACTCGTTCTATTTTCCACTATGTTCTAATATGTTCCCACCATGCTTTTCTTGTCTGCTGCTCTCCTGGCTGTCCTGTGAATACTTATATATTCCCCAGACTGAGTTTCTCATCAAGCTACCCCACTCTCCTCTCTGCCTCACAGATTCTTACTCCTCTTGAAAGTGGACCCATCCCCTCCATGAAGCCTGGCCTGACCAATTGAGCCTGTGCATACAAATCTCTTTTGGAAAGCACATAATTCAACTCAGAATCAGATAAGTGAGCATGTGATTGATCACATGTGGCTATTGTTTCAATGTACAGAAACCAAGATCATTAGCTGACTGTCAAATCTACTAATATGGTTTGGGTCTGTGTTCCTGCACAAATCTCATGTCAAATTGTAATCCCCAAAGTTGGAGGTGGAGCCTGGTGGGAGGAGATTGGATAACGGGGAAGAATTTCCCCTTTGGTGCTGTTCTCATGATAGTGAGTGAGTTATCGTGAGATCTGGTTGTTTAAAATGTATAGAACCTCCCCCACCCCTCTCTCATGCTCCGGCCAGGAAGACATGCCAGTTCTCCTTCACCTTCCACCATGATTTTAAGTATCCTGGGGCCTCCCCAGCCACATGAACTAAACAGCCCACAGAACCGTCATCCAGTTAAACCTCTTTTCTTTATAAATTACCCAGTCTCGGGTAGTGATAGCAGTGCAAGAATGGACTAATACCTCCACTGTCTCAAATAACAGCTTAATTGCTGCACTAGTATTTTAAAAGAACAGCTTGTGTCAAATAATTTTAAATGAAGAAATAATGTTCCCTTTTAAAGTTTATATGCTAGCTAATTTCTATCACACCAATTTAAAAATAATAAGTAATTATAAACATATATATATATACACACATACATAAACACACATATACAATTGAATATACATACCACAGGCCTCAAAATGTAGTATACATACTTCATAATAGCATCAAAATTACCAAATATTATACAAAATAAGCAATTGCTTCTCATTTTTTTCAAAAGATACAGTGACATATAATAGCTTCACAATTTTAATCATAGCACATTGTTCAATATCTTCATATATCAAAATAAAAATTAAACTTATCCCTAAAGAACACCCTCACTAAAGCCATTAAAAAGTCCAACACTGCTTTGTGCTTAGTCAGAATTTTGTTTAAAAAATTTAAATGGAAAAATAATTTATTAAATGGCAAACGCAGGAATTTCCAAGTTTCAATGGATCTAAAATGTTAATTTTATAGGAAGAATAGGTTTTAAATTGCCATTCTTTAAATGTGGAATATCCAAATTCAACAGTCTTTAGTCACTGATTTCTTCCAAAAACAGAAAAATCCAAGGGACAGACCTGAACAAGTCACTAATTACTTGAAGCTATACAGTTTGCAAATTCCTTGCTCTTATTTCAGTACAGTTTCATATAATGAGATGGGATTTTTCCAAAACTGATACACTGTAAATCTCAGTGGATGTGCCAGTATTCTTTCAATAAATTTGCATTTCAATAAGATGGAAAATATCCAAGTATTATAAACAGGCTAAGAAACAGAAGAAATTGCCAGACTATATTACTGAAAACATCAAGAAACTGATGTCTAAATAATGTATTCAATCCTTGTCCTGGAGATCAACACTGTGGATGCATAAATTTCTAAGGGAAACTTTAAAACTTATAATTTCTTCATAAATATTTAACATTGAGAAAAATTTTTTGAATAAATCTTTGATTTTTATCAAATAATAGAAGAAAAATTTCCAGCATCCCAAATAGCATATGATATTATTTTTGGCAAAAAAAAAAAAAAAAAAAGATTCTAATTGACTTTTCCTTTTAAAAATCTAAAAAGTAGTTCATCCCTTGACCTTTCTGAACTCCCAAATATACTCCCTTAAATTAAAAACATTGAAAATGTATTAGAAAAAAAAACTATTACATTCTTATATTCTTTTCAACATTGTTAAGCCATTGTTACGTTTTAATTAAGAACATACTCAATCCAGCTTATGCAACAATACTACAGTTGTGAAAGTAACTGGTTTATCTAGTCAGTCGACTGGTATGCAACAATAAATGCTATTTTTGGTGATAAGGCATGAAGATAAAGATGACGATCATTGAGATAATACAGGTACTTGATTTAAGTGAAAAAGGATACAAAATTATAAAGTTCACATTTTCAAGCATTTTTAAATCTATGCATTAAAAGGAAAATTGCAGGAAATAGTTTTTATATAGTCTTATGTGTTTGCCTTTGTATGACATTATTATCTACTGTTTTTTGCCTTTCTATTTTTCTGCAATGTCCAAAGTTTCTTTAATAAGCACAATTTAATTTTATAAAAAAAATGTATTCAACATATTAGAATAGTTTCAAATATTTATATATAAAGGGAGAGCTAAATTTTTTTAATTGACTTACTTTTAAAGAACACCTTAAGAATAAAAATTTTTCATCTTATCCAGTTCGAATTTGACGAATATATTGAAATCTATGGTATGCCCAACACTGAACTACAGACCACATTTTCTAAAGGTCAACATTCTTGCCCTCTGTCCTACCATAGAAATAAACTAGTGCATAAGAGAGAATACTAATGATCTGATACTACTTTCCGAATGGCTTTCCAGTCATGCACTATAAAAATTACCATGAAAATTAATTCTAGGAAGTTCAATAGCTTTCCAACTATTGCCTTTAAGCTGAATTTTCTTTATAGCATCATGATCAAACTAGTAGACCCAGAAAGAATCTTCAAAGAATAACTTAGATTCACTGAGAGTTGAAATCTGAAGAATGGTTGAATGGAAATTTGGCCACAAATGCAAAGGTCAACATCTGCCTTGAATATAGGAATTAATTAATAACATGGACAGACTTAAATAAATATATATACAAATTTTTGCACTTTTGCACATCATACCATCATTTAAATTTCTTTCTATACTAAGATATAACTATGATATAAACCAAGTCATTAAGTATTATGAATAAAATTACAATAATATTATTTATCAAAAGATTTAAGATGTTTACATGTTGGCTGAAAACTTTTGTCTCATCCCAAGTGCAATTATTTTTTCTGCAAGTTTTGAGCTATATCAATGAAATTAGTCATCTGATAGAGCTTCTTCCTTAGAAAACTATTTTATCATACATAGAGTATAGAAAAATACTCAGGATTTGCATAATTCAAATGGAAGAAAAACTTTTCCATTCCATTTTCCATCACAAGTTCTAAGTGCCAGGCCCAGTGTTGCATGCCTGTAGTCCCACCTACTGAGGCTGAGTTGAGAGAATCATGGGTTCAAGTCCAGCCTAGGCAAGATAATGAGACTCCTCACCACCACCCCATCTCAATTTAAAAAAAGGAAAAAGTTCTAAGCATGCTTAAAAAAATACATATATATATATGTATGTGTATATATATATATATATATATATATATATATATATATAAATTCATCCATTTTATTATTTATAACTAAATATGGTATAGGTGCTTGTTTTTTCTTTTGGCAATGACAGATGAGCCTGATAGTATCTGTTTATCCCTCATTTAACTTATCCAGGGCCAAGTATGGGGAGTACTTGGCATAGGGACATTAATCAGCTCTGCTGAGATCCATCTGCATCAGAGCTTCATGTGTAAAGTAAAAAATATAGCAGACTTAAAACCTGAGCTCATCAAAAAGAAATGAAGATGCTGTGCTGGAAATGACCAAGGAAACAACAAAGGAAGAAAGTTCATGCAGCACCCAGATCATTTCTGGGTGCAACCAAACCCAACCTCCATACGCTGATGCCTTGTTCCTTCACTGCTCTCCACTTGGTCCTTCTCTATGTCACAAAACATGTACATGGAAGCCCAGCAAACTTAACTCTAGCTCCAGCTCTGTCCTGGTCAGCTTGGTAAACATGGACAAGTTAGTTCTTAAACCTGGCCTCATTTCGATCATCTGAAATGCTATTGGGGTACATTAATTGATCACCAAGATCCTATCCTTCTTCAAAATTTCTATTATTCAATTCCCCAGGAACCTAGTGGATATAGCCATGAGAAAACTAAATTGTACTTGCAGGAAACTAGGGTATGGTATCCAGTTGCAGGCTGAAAATTCTTTAAGTGACCTTGTAGTGACCAGGTACAGCCAAATTCCTGCTACATGCTGCTTATATACATTCAAGAAAAAGTAAAGAGGGGGAAAGCCCCAGTTGAATAATACAAGATGTAATAAATGTTTTCATCTTACTTTAAAGAAAATCAAGCCTGCGAATTTGTGTCAAGAGGTTCCATAGGACAACTAATTTATGACAACTAAATATCCTGCAATTTTGTGTCTTTCTTCTAATTCATACACAACAAGGTCTTAGGCCCTGCCTTCCACAATGCTTTTGCCCTCAGGAACTGGGGACCTGTAGGCTGGAATCTTACTAGCATCAACAAAACTTTCAGGTCGAATTGAATCCAAGAACCATCTGTGCAATTCAAGTCACCCTTCATAGGATCTCATTCCCTTACAATCTGGCCCAGATACACGGGAAGACAGCATTTTATGGCCATGCCTCCAAAGGTCCTGGGCTCTTACATCTCTTTATCTAGTTCTCCAGCTGCCCAAAAGCACAGTAATCATAGTAATCACTATCACAACTCAGTCAGATCACCAATGCAGATGGCACTAATAGTGGCACTGACATCACGGGGAGTAAAGGGAGAAAGTGGGACATAAGGGGTGGATATTCAATCTCTCAGGAAATAAGGCCAGGGACTCTATGCCCATGGGAAAGCCAAAAATGGAAGAAAATAAAGGAAGCGCCTAAGCAACAGTGGAGAGATGGTCCCATTATGGGTAATCAGGTCCAATAAAGAACAGAGTAGAAGTTTTTAGTGTTCTTCTTTTACTATCTGACTTCCTCCCAACTCAGGTTCAAAGTTGGGCATTTGGGTAGTCTCTTGAACATGCAGGTTACAGAGGCAAGACAGCTCTTAGCATGTTAGATAACATTTCTAAATGTCACTATATAGTCTTCTTAGAAAGCACAGAATAAATTACTGCTACCTTGTAAAAAATAATGTGTACATCCTGCTATGGAAAGATAGCCGACTAGGTCCCACATGTTAGCACGGGAGTATCTGCAACTGCATTACAGTCTGTAGCATAGAAAGGGATTTGAAATGAGATATCTACCTCTGCCAACTGTCTGGCAACTCCACACCACCCCACAGTTAGCCACTGAGGAACCTCTCTACTGGATGAACACAATAGCATGGCTCCAAAGCTGAGTGCTCAGTCTCAGGCACCACCTGAGTTTTGCTCATTGCATTCCTTTTTCCCTTACCTACAGCAATCACAGTTCATTATTTTAAGTACCTGACAATTTATTCGGATGCTAACAATGGTATTGAGAAATTGCCTACAGGTGAGCATTTGAAATTCTGTGCTTCTGACAGATTATAAATATTCTTCTCCCCTCTGGGACCCCAGAGTGACAATGAAGGTATGTGAGAGGTGGAGGGAGCTGATCTGTGTCCCAATCCCACATGTATAACGAATATCACTAAAATTTAGCAACAGTTAGTATACTGCATTTCATCTTGTCTTTTCTCGTAGAAGCATATTTTTTAAATTCTAACTAAAATCATTGGGGAAAAATGGAATTCACTTTACTAAGTATTTATTTTAGAGACAACTTTTTTTTTTCAAATAGAAAGTGCAATTTATTTTAACTTTACTTAATGTTTGTGACTAATCATGATTTCATAAATTAGCTTATTAAATCCCACACTTTCAAATCTATGAAGCAAAAAGTTACTACCTTTGAGTAATAAGATATTTAAAACAAGAACTTAAAATTACACAAACCACCTCCATTCACAATTTGCTTACAAGAAAATTGACAACCTGTCTATATGAAAAACAACTACATAGCTAAGACAAATCTATAGTTTGCTATATTTTACAGTGAATATATTATAGGAACAAAACATCACTGATATGCTTATAAAACAGTATAACTAAAGAAAATTCATTCATTAACTCTTTTCTGCACAGTGCTCTCTGTTTCAGTCCCGTGAATGCCATGGGACACTACTCGGCTATTTCTCTGTATCTGTGTTTCATGTTAGTGTGTTTTGGCTATATATAATTTTCCACTTTCACAGTAGTCCTCCCCTCCCTTATCTCACCTTTCTCTTTTCTCTACCCAACCACTTTACCTAACAAAGTATTTCTAAGCTCTAATACATGGCAGGTGAATTATCCAAGTGAGAAATCTGTCTTACAAAGGAGTTTTCTATTTACTATTGGCATCCCATTTAAAATCTACAAATCACTTACCGGTGCCATCATCCACATTCTCCACTTCCATCACCTCCGTGTTGATCCGGCCACGAAAAAGGTACCGATGTCCATCTGTAGATGCCTTGCTGTTCTTCAACCGTCTTAAGATGGAATTAAATCACAAAGACTTTGTTACTAAACAATGTAAAACAATGTCAAAACAATATATTTTAGGCAATTCTTTGAAAAAAGACACCAATTCAATCGACAATATCAAACATTAGACTCCTGGAGATCTTTCCATTTGTCCTCCCATTCATAACAGCACTGGTTGCTTTAATGAAGTATGCAACTTGCATACTAATTTTTAAAAATAAATTCAAGTTTTAAGCTAAGGATAGTACACAGGTGGGAGAGTGAGTATGTGCTTTTGCTCAATATAAGACATTAGCGGTGCCCAATCAGACTCTGACAGACACTAACAACTGGCCATTTTAAAATTTCATTTGAGTTTCTTTCACCTTCATGACTCATTTTTCAGTAACTAACTGGTAATTTCCAGTTATTACTTATGATCCCTCTTCAAAGAATTGGCTATGCTGGAGGTTCTTAAGCTCAGTGATATCCAGCTATAAAAATATTTCTCCTATCATATTTTTATAATATAATCACTGTATACTTGTTGAACAAGTCTCTTAATACCTTTGCAATCCTTCATGAAGGCCTTATTTATTTCTAAAATACCCAAAACATTTCAAAACTGTGTGTATATTACATCTAGTGCCAGCTTTTAATCTTAAAAAGTATGTAACACAAAGTCAAAAATCCAGCTTTACAGATGACCATTTCTAACAATGAATTAGGAAGTCATATATGTTTGTATTTGAATCATTAAGCACACAGGAAAAATATTTTTTCAATGTTTTTCTTTCATTAAATTAAACAGGAAAAATTCTAAGAAATGATTCAAGGGGATTAAAAAATACCTAGTCACTCAAGAGATTTCCATTGACCTAGACTATTCAATGGGACTCAGTGACAAAATCTGGCTAATAATTTTATATAGTCAAATAATGATTAATGTGTTGTGTTATGTAGACACACCTAGCACAAGTTAAGATGTAGCTGTACACAAACTGCAACGCCCCCTCTTCCTATCCCGTGCAGTTAGATACCTGCCCTGGTGTGGATAGGGTAGGCCAGGGACATATCTTCAGATGCTATCACACTCTCTGGGCTCCTTCCTTGGAAAAAAATTGCATATTCCTGACTTAGCTGTCCTCAAGCCTCATCCAAACTTAGTAGTCCTTCATCTCTATAAAGAAAACTAAGCAAATCGATTCATTAGTCTGACTGGACAGTTTGTCAGCCCCAGACCTTCATCACCTTGCACTCCCCATGTTCATTTTGAAAGCAACCTCTAAATGTTCTTCATTAGTAAGCATAAATCAATGCTATAAATTAGGAATTCATCCCAGGTAGCTATGAAAATTGGCCTCACAGGAGGTTGACTATAGAGAGGAATGCAGATCAGACTAATATGCAGGTAACTAATATGCAGGTATTATTTCCAGCTGGAAAATAATATCATGGTGTTTTGAAAAATAGAATTTCTTGTAAGTTGGTACATCTAACTTAAAACCAATCATATTGAAAAGACTTAATATCCTTAACAGTTTTAGTCACAGGCAAAATAATCATGGATTATATATAAGAATCCATCACTTAGTTCTATTTTCAATATATCAATTTTTTATGATCTTACTGTGAACTCTGTATGGGTTTTGTATATTTCTCTTAGGCTGCAGATATTAATATTCAACACAAAATTCCAGTAAGTGTTTGATCAATTCTATAATTCTTAGCTCAGATAGATTTTGATCTCTTCAGAAAATGACTCTACTGAAGCTTAAAGACTGAAAAGCCTATAGTTTGAAAATAATTATGCTGCATATTATAATATTGCAAATTTAAATGTATTGATTCTATTATTTAATTCCTAATTATGTGTTGCAATGGTCACCAGGACACATATACAAGAATGTATACAATAGTAGAAAAATTCAGGACAACCCTAAAGCCCATTGATGAGGATGAATAATTAAATTGTGATACATTCAACTAATGAAATATTATGCAGCAGGTAAAATGAATAAATTTTTGCTACACACAAAATGGATATATATTTTTAGAAACTATGTTGAATACAAATTATAAATTGCAAGAAACTAAAAACGCTATGATACTATTTTTTAAAACTCCTAAACAAGCCAAACTAAGCAATATCATGTTATACGTATCAAATACTACATCATAACTTTTTAAAAAACTAGTTTCTCCTGAGATTAATAATATTAGAAATATCCAGAGCAAGGATGCCTAATCTAGCACTCTGTTATTTAAAGAATGTAATTCTAGAATTAAATTCATCAAGTCTCTAGTTCATATAATTACAACATTATGGAAGTTTGTAAAAGGCTCCCTTTACTCATATTTTCTGAAAGATCTCTATATCTTAGAAAGCATATGCTGAGGTGAAGTTCATAAAGGAGTGAAGTATTCTAAGTGAAGGGAACAGATGGAGAAGCAGCTTCTCCAGTCCTGGAAGGGAATGGACATGTTGAACTATTTTGTTATTTCCATTTCTAACCACTCTGTATTTGATCCACATAATACATTCATTAAGGGCATTTGCTAAATAGCAGGATTTTAATTTTGTTAAACTTTTCCTGTGTTTAATGTGCAATTCCAGTCATAAGACCATATAATATCATGATTTGTCCACTAATGTTAATTTTGCAAAAGATTTGGGTCTTGATGGCAGGCATAGATAAAGATGGGATCAATTTTAATGAAAAAAGATTTCATTCTCAAATGGGGACCTTTAATAATTGCACTAAAACACCTTGATTCACATTACAGTTTCTTAACGAGTAACACACAAGTAAAATAACAACCTCTCCTACATCTTCCAAAAGCCAATTTCTATCAATCTCAATCTTGCTATCAAACACAGAGAACCTAGAAGAGCATAATAAAAGATTCATTTTCACATGTGGTAAAAAGGAATTTTAAAAAACTCATTAGAATAGAGATGTCAACAATTTAATTATTTTTTGGCTCTAATCCTAATCTGTTCCCTCTCATGAAGATACATGTTGTATTCCTATGTTTTCTCGGCTTATATAATTGCATTTTTGAATTAGTGTCTCTTACTAGGGAATTCTAATACTACAATCCACATGGCAGAATTACCATATATCATCATCATAGCTACCAAATGTTTGCTAACTTGCTCTGGGCATCTTGATAACTGATTTAAGAAGACTCATTATAAGAGACGAAGAATAACTCTCCCTTAAGTCTGTCTTATAAATCAATCGGTTTTGTGTCTCTAATTCTCACTCTACCAGAAAATATTTGACTATAGTTTTCTAAATGCTGAACCTGGAATAAACAGTCATTTAAAATCCTGTACTTTCAACTACTGCTTTACCTTTAAATTGAATGAACCCATTGGTACCATTTCACTAAAACAAATGTGTCCTATATATGGTTAGGGTGAAGTACATAAAGGCTCAGGAAACTTCTCAATTAAATGTCACTCTACTATTTTGCTTAAAATCAACATGCAAAAAAATTTTCCCAAGAGTTTAAGGAAACATCCCATAAAGTAAGAACATTCTCAAGAAAAAAGTATATTCATGCTTTAAAACAAATAGTATTATGTCAATAACATTAAACACAAATTATTTACATTAATGATGGCTAAGCTCTACAGGGGACTAGTTTGTGTTCCATTCACTCATTCATTGATTCTGTGTTTCTTAGCTGTCTATCACAGGTCTGCTCCAATTTCCAGAGAAATTGCATTGAAGGAGCAGTAAGGCCCCTGTTCTCATGAACCTTGCAGTCTAATCTAGTAAAGGTGGCAGGAAGTAAACAAACAAATAATGAAAGAAATAGCAAGTGACAAGTGCTTTCCCGATATTGATAGTGACTGGGAGGCCACATTAGATGGGATGGTCAGGGAAGACACTACAGAGGGAGTGATTTTTAAGTGAGATCTGAAAGCCACAGAGAATCTGGCCATGGAAATCTCAAAGGACAGGGCACACTGGGAAGGGAAACAGCCAGTACAAAGGCCCTGAGAAGGGAGCACATGTGGCATAATCAAGGGATGGGAGAAAGAGAAGGCTAAAGGAAGGAGGGAGGTATTGTGTTTGGAGAAATGGGATGTGATGATGTGAGAGGCAGGCAGGAGCTGGACCAGGCAGAATTTTGTAAACTAGGGTAAGGAGTGTGAATTTTATTCTAGGTGGGGCCAAGCACGGTGGCTCACGCCTATAGTCCCAGCACTTTGGGAGGCTGAGATGGGAGGATTCTTGTGGCCCAGAGTTCAAAACCAGCCTGGGAAATACAGTGAGACCTTGTCTGTACTGAAAAACAAAATCAACTGCATGTGGCAGCATGCGCCTATAGTGCCAATTACTTGGGAGCCTGAGGCAGGAAAATTGCTTGAGCCCAGAAGTTCAAGGTTGTAGAGAGCTATGATCATACCATTGCACTCTATCCTGCCTGGTCAACAGAGCAAGACCCTGTCTCAAAACAAAACAAACAAACAAAAAGAACTTTATTCTAGGAAGCCAATGAGGGCTTTGAGCAAGGTGACAACATGATCTGATTTGTTTTATAAAAGGTGCTCTGGTTTCTGTGGAGAGCATAAATTGTGGAGGCATAAGAAAAGATATGGTGGGTCAGTTAGGAGACAACTGTTGTCACCAAAGAGGGATCCTGGTGGCCTGGAGCAGAGTAGTAATGATGATGGAGAGATGTGGAGAGATGTTTGTAAGTTTTCAATGCAGATGCAGGAAGATTTTCTAATGGATTGGATGTGGGATGTTGAGGGAAAAACAGGAACCAAGGCTAACTCGTAATTTTTGGAATTGAGAAAACAATAGAAAGGGAAAGCTGGGAGAGGAGTGACTTTAGGAAGGGGAACCCAGAATCCCATTTCTTCCATGCTGTGGTTGAGACTCCTCATGGCCATCACAACAGGCAGGATGTAGGAGTCCAGAATGTTGGGCTAAGGATAGAGATTTGAGAGCAACTGACACAGATGTGGGACATGAGTGATGGGACTGGATAAAATCAGCTGGGAAGAGTCTATGAATATGAAGAGGGAAAACGAGTCAAATGCAGAGCCCCACAGCACTCCAATATCCAGCCAAGAGAGTGGGGTATAATAACATTAAAGAGAAGAGAGTGTTTTGGGAAGGTAGGATTGCTCAGCTAAGTTACAGGCTGCTACAAAAACAAACAAAACCTTAAAGAGCAGAAAAGTGACCACTGGAGTAAGAAGCACAGTAGTGCTTCTTATGGAGATTCTGATAGGAGTAGCTCAGTGGAGGAGAGTGAACAAAGATCTTGTTGAATGCTGCTCATGCCAGAATAGCAAGTGAGAAAGTAGAAAAAGTGACAACATAAAACTCCTGCAAGAAAGTCTGCTATGAAGGGTGACAGTGTGACACAAGATAAAGGACTTTTAAAATTTGAGATAAGAGATCTTCGACAATGTTTGGAGTCAGAATAACTGAAGTGACAATACCAGAGGAATACAGCTAGGAGGATAGAGGATGATATTCAGAGTAGAATGCCTGAAATGGAGATTTCAATTTTATGACTGTTGGTATTGACAAGGTAAAAGTATGGCCCTAGGACAGGAGACTCAGGTGTAATGGCAGAAAGACTCATTGCAGGTGAAGAGAAAGTGGGCTTTCAGGTCCAAAATTCTGGATAGATCATCCATGTGAGTTTTGAACACCCCCAAAATGGCAACAGGAGTAAGGTAGAAAGAAAATGATGCAAGAGCTAGAGAAATCACTAAATTCATGTGTGACAGTGAGATATTACGTGTTCTATAAAGGGGAGATGAGGGAAAGGTAGTGGAGAGGAAAGACTCATGGCATGAACTTCACATGTGCTGGGATTCTTGAAGGAAGAGGGGGAAATGATTGGGAAACAAGATTAGGAAGCAAAGAAGACACACCACCCTCTCCTCCAGGGCCTGAGATATGTGGGTTAGGAACAAACCGCACCTCTCCTCAAGAGGGCTCTGAGGACCCAGCATCATCAGATGACAGTGACATTTCAGTTTAGGTTTTACAAGAAGGTGAAGTGAACAACCAGTGAGCAGACTGAATATATGTGAAGAAATGCACTGATGGATGATGGGCTCTGGGAAGCACAGAGAGAAAGGTAGAAACTGTGAGCTGGATAGATGAGTTCTGGGAAGCACAGAGGGAAAGGTAGAAACTGTGACCACTTCTGAAGTGTGTCCTGCTTAGGATCTTACCTGTGTTTTCTTTTGCAGTACACCAAAAGATTATCGAAAAGAAAAAACACCCGTTCTTGAATATTTCCAGAAGAAATTTTCAGTAAGACTCCACACATTAGCATTTCAGTGCAGGTGTCAGTGATGTTGGACCCCTAAGTCAGGAGAAATGCAATTAATGTCTGCTTACTTGGTTGACACTTCTGTAAATAATTATTTTTCGACTTACAATTATGGTTGTTTTTATTTTAAGAAGCAAGCTATGCACAGGCTAAAGTGCAAGCAGTAGAGATAGTTATACACTGATTGGAGGGCCCCTAACCCCCCAGTTTCCCCCGATCAGTCTGAGCAGACAGAACCACTGTTAAGAGATTCTGTGTCTCCTTCCAGGTGTGTTGTGTACATACACAAGCGTATAGAATACATGTCACCTATGTCATGTTGAAAGGAGATGACTTCAAATTAATTCATAATGTTAACAATTATAATTTCTCTTTCTTTGTTCTCTTTTTCCTCAGTATGTGGGAAAAACAGCCTCCACAGGCACAAAGTACATGAAATTGTCTAAATTTTTAGCAGGTCTCAATTTATATATCCACCCCTAGGATGGAGAAAAGAAAAGAAATAAAAAGAGAAAAATTATTTAAAGGGAGCAACTTTCCACAGAGCCTTTCACCCTATTTATTAGAAGTTGGCAAAGGCACTCTAGCTAATTAAATAAGTGTTTATAGCATGCCCATCAAGATTATACAACTAGTGACAAAGGCAATTCTTAACACAAGCACTGGCCACTAGAACTGAAGAGGAGCCACAAGATGGGAGGAGCCTGGGCCCTGAATCATCAACAGAGGAAAGCTGCCCCCTGAGTTGGACACGAGTATCGGACTGTGGTGGGAGATGCACAGAAATGTCTATTTTGAGCCATTATAAATATTATAGTCTATTTGTTTTTACAACCTAATCTATCATAACTAATGCACTGAGTTGGACCAAAAAAAGAAAAAAATGAAAAAGGACGTTTTCCATAAAGATCTATATGTGTGCTCTGCAAGAGACTTTCAGTTTCAATTATATCAAGATTCTTTAAATCTGGAGTAAATTTCTAATTTTTGTTTAACTCAATGCTTCTAGTTTTAATGTTTCATATTTAAAATTTAGAACATTAATTTTAAATTTCATATTTCCACAATAATCACTGATAATAGTTTCTCTGGTCAATTGTAAAAATTTAAATTAAAATGACAACTAACACCTACAACGACAACTCAAACTTCCAAAATGGGGAATTATTCAGAAAGTTTTTTTATATTAATTTGATTATCTTTGTATTGCAAATTTTAGACATTTTCCTTTATTATTTCTTCTTTTTTTTTGAAATGGAGTTTCACTCTTCTTGCCCAGCCTGGAGTGCAATGGCACGATATTGGCTCGCCACAACCTCCGCCTCCTGGAAAGCGATTCTCCTGCCTCAGCCTCCCGAGTAGCTAGGATTACAGGCATGCCACCACGCCCAGCTAATTTTATATTTTTAGAAGAGACGGGGTTTCTCCATGTCGGTCAGGCAGGTCTCAAACTCCCGACCTCAGGTGATCCACCCACCTCAGCCTCCCAAAGTGCTGGGATTACAGGCATAAGCCACCACACCTGGCTGTTCCTTTATTATTTCTTTTTATCCTGAAAGTGGATATACAAATGAAGATTTGGAGAAAAAAAAAATTACAGAATTTCATGTACTTTATCATGTGTTCATTAAGCAAAGTGGTATTAATTTATAGCAATTTCACAAAATGTACAGAATAGCCCTCCCTTAGACCATTTCTTATCATGACCCATATAAGCCAACCCTGGATGATAAGTTGTTGCATTATGAAAGGGTTACTGCAGATATCATCTTAATTTTCACATTAAATAAATCACCCGAGTACCTCAAATTAACATACACAGATATTAGTAGATGCATTCTTAACAAAACATTTCCTGACTTCTTGATAATTATCTTTCTTAATAAATGCAAGGAGTATTTTGTATAAAATTGAGCTAACTATTATGACATCGTTATCTTACAACTGATTGAAAGTGCTGCTACAATCAATCAAACCGCTAGGTCTTTTTCCTCCATCCTGTTCGTTCGTTTGACTTTTTGAATCACCTGTCCAAATTGATACAAGAAACTCTCAAGCCCCTTGCTAATATACAGACCTATTCTATCTAAGGCATTATTATAAGTCCCCATCAGCTCCTCACTCCTGATCAAAAAAGAGTACGATTGACTGACCTCTTTAAGGTCAACATTTCTTTTCATAAGCAACCCAAACCATCAGTTTAGTCAATTATTAATCAAATTTTTAGTAAACAAGGACAAGCACAACCACTGACAGCTTCTAGAATTCATGGTTATGCCGCAAAGTGTATCTCACAATATACATATAACTTCGGTCAGATTGTGTTTTACTGAATCTGACTGAAATGCTTCTGTCACTGAGATGATGTACCTTTAACACTTAAAGCAGGCTTCAAGAATTAGTGCAATATCACCTTTCACCATCTTCTACCACAGTAATCTACCATCATGGCATGAAATATCTTCCTTGAGTAATTAAATAATTCCCTAAGAATTGTTAATGTACTAAAGGATTCTATGTCAAAATGTGCAGATTTGTCTAAAAATATTATCCTAACACAGCAGCTTACAGCATTTTCCTTTATACTGCATTTATCTTTTAAACTCTGAAGAACACCCACCATGCTGCTGATTTCCCATGATTTAAATCTGTGCATTATCTCTAGGATAATGGCAGGCAAAAATCATTAAGAACTGTTTAACCACATATATGTATGAACTGACTGCAGAGAGAAATTACAATCTTGGAAAAGATGAAAGATGACAGGAGGCCTTGAAACATCCCCACTCGTATACAATGCATCAGCAGACAAAGATCTAACCGAGCTAGATGCATTCACAGTGGAAGAAAAGAAAATTGACAAGACTGACAACTAGAATGTGCTTCAAAGAGAATAGTTTTGATATCAAAGGAGTCTCTTAAAAAATTGATGAAGCATTTGAACATTCTTACAAAGATAAATCTTTAAAAAATACTATGAAAACAAACATAAGATAAAGAATATTATATTGTCTTATCATAAAATGTTTGACCCTCCCCAAAAAAGACTCAGGATTTGATTTGCTCTTTTTGAGGTTAAAACTATTAACTAAAATTATAATCTGATTTCTGTGACATACAAAACAAATAACATAAATTTTCATTTTACTAAGATAAAGTCCCATCAAACCTTCCCCCCTTCCACTTCATTGAAATTTTGCGCCTCTTTTAAACTGGATTCATTTTCAGTGGTCTTTTTCCAGAACCACTTATCCTCAAATAACAAAGACTATATGACTATATATAAATCAATTCTATCTCAAGGTAGAAGATGAATTTGTATCTGCCAAATCACCTCGTACAGAGGACAAAAAGAAACAAGTCCCAGCACTAAGCTCTGGAAGACTCACATCCATGAAATAACAAGAAACATGACTTGAAGTCAATACACTGTCAGGCACAAACTCAATCAAATGGAAGCAGCAAACAGATTCCAAAACCAACAAGAAGTAATTTTTAAATGGTCCCGTAGCACTGTATTTTTCCATGTAAAAAGGTAGTAAAGAAATGTCCAATTTCTTTCTGTGTCTCTTTACTTTCTAAAACACAATGCTTATCTTGAATCTCATTTATCCCAACACCTTCATATATTAATAATTCCTTCTCTTATCTTTTATCGTAATAGTGTTTTCCATATTTGAGAGATCAATTCCAAACAAGCGTATCAAGGACTTAAAGCTGAATTAATGACAACGTAATGTTTATTGATACTCCCTTTTCAAAATACTTCAGTATAGCTCCAAAGGCTACAGTTATCATTACAACATAATCAATCAGCCAACACACAGACAGAGCATGATCCTGTTCTATGAAATGAATCAGTGACTCTGATTAAACAGCTAATAAACTTCTCTTCCAAGGCATATTAATCAGTGCTCCACAATTACCTTCAGTAGACTATCTTGTAGAATGTTCTGAATGTTGCATAACTTATATGACCGAGATATAATAAATTATACTAATAAAAGGCATAACTTCAAAAATGAACAAATAAAACATACACTATAGATTTTCTGTGGTGGCAGTTACCACATAAATGCTGACAAAAACCTAATTTCGATAATCAACTTACTTTTAAAACACAAGCAGGAAAACAAACTTAATCCAAAGAATTTGCCAAATTTGTATCTGAGTGGATATAATAGCACGTAGTAAGGAATATAAGCTTTAGAATCAAGCTGCCTGTTTTCAGCTAAATGTTTTCAGCTAAATGTTGTCACCTGTTATTTATAAGAACTCGTGTAGGTTAAATAGCCTTCATTTTTTAAATCTGTTCAATGGAGAGTACAGCATCTCAGCCAACTGTGGAGATGATTATAACTCATTGTATGTGATTATAACGCATACAATGGAGAATCAGTATTTCCCCAAAAAGAAACTGGAGGACTGGCAGTCAAGATCCTCTGCCCTTCCCTTAGCAAATTTACCCAAGCAAGATTAGTTGAATCTTGGATTTTGATCTTCAGTCTTGAGTGTAGTCATATAAAGACGGAAAAAATTATTTGAGCTTATTCACTTTAGCTAGGGCATGGATGAGACTGTCAAATAGTTTCAGCTGCCTAGACACCCTTCTCAGGTCTGACACTGTAGCTTTTGTATTGACTCTGCAAGCTACCCAATCTTTTAAACTAATTTTTCTTTTAGTTTCTGTTGCTTAGAACCATATAACCCTAAGTACTATACTACCTTCAGTAGACAGGTGCATATATTAGACAAACGAGGGAAATTTCTTAAAGCTTTAAAATACCACTTCATATTTGCATAGCATTTTACAGTATTCAAAGCACTTTTACTTATTTCATTTGACTTCTGCAATAATCTGCACTCTGTGTAGGAGAGGTATTATATATCATCCCCAAACAAAGGGTTAGAGTCCAGACTAAAAACCAACTCTGCTCAAAAGCCACCCTTTTCTCACTGTCATATGTTTTGCAAACAAGAAATTTCAATTGCTTGTTTACCTAAATTCAACATTCAGGAATGTAAATAATTTAGTAGAACAAAATACTAGATAGGCACATTGTGCTTAAGAGATTTTATTGTTTAAAACAAAAGCTTTCATTTGATTAACAGTGAAGCAAGTCCCCAGATAATTAAGTGAGAGAATAATCCACCCATAATAGAAACAATGCAAATTCACGGTGTATCAGACTTGGATTCCATCAAATAGAATTTTAGTTACTGAAGGAACAATGTCCTCCCTAAGGAGGCCCTGAAGGTGGTCTGCAGGAGGCTGTGGAAGGAGCTGGAGAGGGAGCTGTTTCCTAGCATAAGCCCAAGACTCCTAACGTCAAAAACTTGTCAGGGAACTCTGCATTCTGTAACTGTCATGCCACCCTACGTCTGAACTTCTCCCTGTCCTAACGCTAAGGTAGCCTCTCCACAGACACACAAAGCTTCTGCAGGCTGAGCAAGGATCACCATCAGCAAGTCAAAGACAGCTCTTTAACTCATTACAGCTTCCTCCCAGGGCCTGAATTCAGCCTGTGTGACTCTGCGTCCTTACAGAGAGTCCTATGAGACTAGCAATTTCTCCTGAACTCCCCAGAAGGGACCAGGCCTGAAAACCAAGTTCCCCCCTCGATGGGGTGGTGGGCTGGGACAGGCAATGGGGTTCTTATCACAAATTGCCAAACCCACTGACTGGGCCCTGCTCCAAGCTGCACTCCCTCAAAGTCCCAAAACTCCCAATCTCTGTATGGCTGTCTTTCGCAATCATTGTCAATTCCTACTCAAGTAGAATTTATGTTGCCACTTCTTCTTAGAACCACTTTCTTGGAACCCAACTTTCATATTATCTCCCCTGTGCCTCCTGGAACTCTGACTGTAGAATTTAAAAACGACAGCTATTTAACTTACCCAAGTTCTTATACCTAACAAGTGGCAAAATTCCTCTCTAATTTCTCTGAATACACAACAGAATTCCTTAACTCCATCCAGTTTTCTCTGTCTCAATGCCCCATTTTCTCTTGCACTCAGAATTTTGTAAAACCACGAAAGCTGGTGAAGTCAGGCACCCTCGGTTGTGGGCTACATATGATATAGTTCCACCTACATTCATTCTTCCTTTGAGTAACTGGTGTATACTGTATAAACAATATCAATAACTTTTAAGGAATCTCTCATTTCTGCAGTACACTCAATTTTTAGGATATACACCAGGATGAAACAAAATTATGACAGATTCCATTTCCCTAGAGTGCTGAAAAAAATCTCTGAAGTTTTTGTTTTAGTAAAAGGCCTGGCACATTTCACTGACAAATTCTGCAATTTAAAGCAAGTTCGGTTTTTCTTCCAGTGTTTGAGTGACAACAGAATTCCAAAAGCAAACTTGAGTCCATTCTTCTCATCACAGCAAGACAACAGCTCCCCAGGAAAGAAATTATCATCATGAATCAACTGTAAAACACACAACCATTTTAGCCGCCTGAAAGAGGCAGCATTCATGCTGAATATGAGGGCACTCCGGACACTTGAAATGGAAAGAGTTGGACAAAGAAGCAGCTAGGTCAACCCCAGTTAGCATTTTAAAAGATTCACAGGAGAGAAGGGACAAACGGAAGAATTCTTTAAGGTCAATGTTTGAGGTTTCTTTGCATATCTGGGTGAACATAATTTTAGGTCCAAATGAAAAATACCATATCAAAGGTAAGAAACAAATTCATCTAAAGCCTTAAAGATAAAAGCAATCCACTTGGTTTTATGTGATACAGTATTTGGCTAGGAGCATTTTCAATCTTTCCTACACTTAAAAATTATCTTAATTGCTTACTTTATAAAAAGAAAAAATTTAACCTAGTCCAAAGCTTATACTCATATAAATTAAGGCAATGTAATGACAGAATTTTAGTTCATTCTTTGCATAGTGGTAAAGTAACATAGGACTCCAACCGCATGAAATAACTGGGAATCAAAGTTACCATTAGCTGAAAACATTTTACAGATTTTGAACTATACTCTTTTTTTGGCATAAAAAAATTTCCTTAGTGACTCAGGAAGCCATAACATTTTCATCTTGAATAAACCTTAAAAATAAGATCATAGCCAGTTCCTTCAGTTTATAAATGAAGAAATCAAAACAAAGAGGTTAAGTGAACACCTAATTTAGAGTCTGAAAGTAATATCACAGCACACCTACTGAACTTTCCTTCCCTTCTTCACTCTCCCAGGATTCAGGCTATGTACTTATGGCCAAAGTTGAGAGAGGAACAGGATCATCATGATGCATAAATGCTAAAATATTAAAGCTTATAGCCCACATAGTATCTATTGGCTCCATCACAAACTTATTGGGTCAAGGTTAACTCAATTAACCACCACCTTAAAGATACTTTAAAATAATGATGAAAGTGAGCACTTTTCAGAATTGACTACAGTCCTCAAGTAATATCTGAGAAAATGACCATTTATGGTTCCATCCAACGCCAGTAATTCTGCACGAGGCCTGCAACATAAAACTATCTTAAGCTCGATTGTCAAGCAAAGTGAATGTACCTCCCAGCCTTCAATGTGAGACTGCCATTCCTCTAAAACTTCTAACTTCTCCATCTGTCTCTTGGCCTCGTTTATGTTGGAACAGACAGCTTTCATGGCTTGGAGGGCTTCCATCACTGCTGCATAGTCACTGTGTTTCCGTGGAGTCCGCTTCAGCAACTCCTGTTTATACACAAAAAAACAAATCGCCCTTTGATCTTCAGCTTTCTGGTACAGCAGGTTCAGACTGACCAGGAAATGAAAACTGCAAAGATCATGAGAGCCACTTCCATAAGTGACATCACAAATTCCTCTAAGATCAAAAATAAAAGTTTGAATCAATGAGTAAGTATAACCCAAATGCACATTTTTGCAGTCACTTTAATTTTTCCTCAAACTTACTTTGTTTTTAAAAATTAAGTTAGGTTCCTCCTTTCGAATGGTCAAATATCTTACTGGGAGGATAAATTTTTATGTTTTTAATAATTTGACTTTTGTTCTAACAGAAGCACATCTTTATATGTTAATTTCATTTTTCTAGGGTCTTTAACAGAATAACAAATCTTTAAGTATGTCATAATTTCAAAAATAATTTAGAAATCCTATTTTCTAATATTTTTGAGAAACTATAAAACTATGTCATAAACAAAGTAAAATTTTAAAATAATGTCTTATACTACAACAAGGTAATTTAAAACTTCTACAATACTCCATCATTAAAGGAGCTATTTATGCTGTTTTCCCCAATTACTCAGGCTTATTCTATGTGACAAATGAACTGCCATATACCCCTCAATAGCTTCCTTTTTTGTTTTTGGTATTTAGGGGATTTGGAGGGTCTTTTTATTTATATTTTTCCCATTCATCAAAACTAGAATAATCCTTAATCTCTTAAACATATTGAAAGCCCTTGTTAGTTGTTTAAAAGCACAAAATTAAACATCTTCACCCACTGTCTAGACAGTTGGGACCACATTGCTTTTTAATTAGTCATGTGTTTCCTTACTATGGTTGCCATCATCACGTAACTAACACAATTACAGAAATCCTGAGGCAAGTCTTGAAAAGAATTTTCTAAATTCTCAACAAACAGTGGGAAAATATGCAGTTGTTATATTCTTTTGAGTTCTGTTATTGTTGAAAACTCTGCCATAAACTCGGACCCTAAATTCATTATGTTCACACCTTGTTCTGCAGAGCTAACACCAGAGGAATACATATTATATCACTCCCAAGACAAGGTTTAAAAGTTATGCTGGATCACAAATCCATAAGTGAGACATGCAGGCTTCTCCAGAAACTCTAAAGAGTAGAGGCACCACAGGTGCCTCTATGTCAAGTGGTCAAGTCAGTCTGCAGGCCATAATTTGGAGTCCAATTATCTAAGGAGTTGAATATGAATTTACATAATGTGAAATAGTGAGAGAAAACCATCACTCACAATCCCTTGGCCATTACTTGCTAAGAACCCAATGTTGATTGACCAACTCAATAATTTCAAGCTCCACAAATAACATCAATGTATCTTTTCCTAACACTACAACCTAATCCATATAATATCTTTTCTGAATAAACAAAACCACCCTAAATCAAAGAAAATCCCAGCAGAATTTTTCAGCTGATGGTACAACACAGACAAATATCAATGCCAATGTATCTACTACATGAGTTAACAGTTTTTTCATGTTGCTTTGTGGAGATAATCTACCAGAAAACGGAAAGGAGGTCATCCATCCACTGCTTGAAGGGGCTCTAAACTGACCTTCTGGCTAAGAAAGGATAAATCCACGATGCTTTCTTTTGGGAGGTCAGTTCAAATACCTGAGTTCATCCCTAATCAGAAATGAGTAATTTAGAATAACCACTTTGTCATGATGTAACCTTTTAATCTCCCTATCCCTTCTTAAATCCCCTGGGATTCCAAAATCAGGGTCAGGAATAACTGCAGTTATGAGTACACATGCAAACTGAGTCAAGTCAGAGGTCTGTAGGGATTCTCAGAAAAAAAGGAGACACATTTGCAACAATACTCCCTCTGCAGAGCTGGGGACTCCTGTGTCAGCCTCTCTGTGGCTTTTTATGGCTTAAGCAAGCAATGCTAGACTCTTATTTCTTTAATAAGGAACAAATATTTTCAAATAAAATTTACGCAGATACCCAATTTATGGAATTGACAAGAGTTGTATTAAACTATATTTTTAGTTCAAATTCAACATTTATTTCTTAAAAAGCAAATCAATAAAAATACTAGTTAATATGCCTCTAGTATTTCTGAGTATTTTGTGAAGTTTAGATGCCAAGTAGTAATTTATATATTAAAATAAGTCGGAATCAAATAGATATGAATAATAATGGCTAATACTTATAAAGCACAGACTATGCTAATTGATTTATATAAAATAGTTAAATTAATCATTATCATTATATAATCCTATATATATGCATATATATATATATGTATTCAGAATACACATGCATACATACATACACACATTCCCATAGGTCTGTGCTATAAATTCATCATCATCATAATCATCATCTCTATTTCATAAATGAAAAACCAAGGCATTAAGAGGTTCGATTACATGCCCTGTAAGCACAATACTTGGGATTTAAACTCAGAGTTCATGTGCTTAACCACTATCCCAGGCTGCCCATCCTGATGTTATGGTTCCAAAAAACGCAGTTTCAAAAATTGCCATCTTGACCTATTCATAGGTCCCTTGCAGTAAGGGCAGTAGTTGGCACCTTACAGTGTATTTTTCATAATAAAAATTGTGGTTACTATAATGAGGCAACAAACCTACAACCATTAGTAGGATGTTTTACATCTTCTAAAGGCAATGTTTTCTTAGCAATCTCATTCCACATTCTATCATTTATTGTCTCATGTGACCCACACTATTCCCTTGAATAATAATTTTAAATCCTAGTTATGCAATTATATAATTTTGACCTTAATTTCATTAGCATCACAAAGTCATCAAAGTTTAAGGAAATCAAAAATATACCAGCAGTGGATTTATTTAAAATAAAAGGCTCTGCAAAATGCTATATAAACTAGTCATAATGAACTTAATGGGATCTATCTTGAAGCTAATGCATTTCCTCTAAATGAAACTTAAACAAGTATGTTTTATACAAAGAGCACCAAAAGCTCTTTCAGTGGCTTTTCCACTGAACATCTGTTTCCTACACTATATATAAATTTGTGACAAAATGGCCACTTTTTTCCAATACTTATGGTCTACGCTTCCTTTAGAATATCAGACTCATTAAAATAATTTTTTAAAAAGATCATCAGCAAAATATGTAGATACAAGAAAATGGCTACAATGAGGTAGCACATAAAATACCTTCAAAATAAGAGGGTACTTGCATATTCTTTGTATTGGTGTTACTAAATATCCTTCCAAGGGAACATCTGTGTTCTTCCGTCCTCCAAGCAGCATGCAGTTCTGGGGTGAAAATAATCAAAATTAATTACATCTTTAATAATCTCACGCTGTGAAACTTTCTTCCACCATAAAATGCTAAAAACTAGTGAAAGCATATGTCTTCATATACTTTCTTTCTCTAAGAAGAGCATATTCAGTCACAAACACTCACAGAGAGACAAAGAGAAACACTAGTTACAGAACTGTGTTTTGAATCTGTATCTTAAAAATTAATGCACCTATATTCTCCTGAGTATGAAGTCTGAGGAAAAAGAGATGGGAAAGAGATGGAGAGATGAATGAATGGATGGATTAATGGATGGATAAGTGGTGGATAAACAGATGGTTGACACATAAATAGATAGATTGATTTTGCTTATAAAGAAAGGTATATTATGTTGTAGAAGGGCAAGTATCAAGACAGTTGGGTTCTAACTCAGGCTCTGCAACTGACAAGTGATACAACTTGGGTTGATTTCAGAATTCTAGTTTTCCTCTCCATAAATAGGACAGGTTTTAAGCAAGTGATCTCTGAGTCGCTTTTTTGCTATCACACTGCACCAGACACTGGAAAGCCAGTGTCAGAGAAGGAGGTCAGATAGGATTTCCACAGAGGCAAGATGAATGAGGAAATCTCAAAATCAGGAATCAGAGTGGGGTGAAACTGAAGCAGCTTTCATTGATGATAAAGTGGTGGTCAAGAGAAAACTGACTCTGATAAAAAAAAAGCCTTTACCTTCATAAACAACATGCAATGAAACAGACTTGAAACTTGCCCAAACCTTCTTTCTGCAGTGCCTACAACAGACAAACTATTTAATAAATATCTAACAGAGGGAAGAGAGAGCCCCTCAAATATCAAACTAAGTTAGCAACTTTCATACTACAATTTTTAAAATACTGTTTCAGGTTCACTGAGAGGAGAGGCTGAGTGTTGATCAGTAAAGGATGCAAAAGGAAGACTGATAGTAGCAGAACAATTTTCTGCTGTCCTGAGCAACTGCATATCAGCCTCAATATGTGTGTCCAAGTCAGCAAAGTCAGCAAAATCAGCACTCTGAATGTAACTTCACCCAGACACCTCAGAAAGCATAGCAGCAAATGCATGCTCTTACGCAAGCATGCTCTTTGGGGGTTTCACTCCCTACTGCAATCGGGTTATCAAAATATTCTTTCAAACTATATATGGTATTTTCCCCCAGAGGAATCCTATGAAACACAACTATCTACATCTCATTATATTTCCAGTGATATTTCCATTCCAGTATGTTAGCATCTCTGTAAAGCAGCCATCCCCTCACCTACCTCTGGACTGAAGTGTCCTAAAATCACTCAGGGCTGTCTAGCCCACTTTTATTGCCTTGTGTATTAGTACTGTATAGATTGCGAACTCAATTCATAATACCACAGGTTGGCTACCACTTTAGACTGGCTGACGAGAGCCAGCTCCTTATACATACATGAAGAATATGTTTCCTGACCAGGCACAGTGGCTCACACCTGTAGTCTCAGCACTTTGGGAGGCTGAGGTAAGAGGATCGCTTGAGCCCAGGAGATTGTAGAAAAATGAAAGCACATCAGGAACCAAGAGGAAACATTAAGCTTACCAATATGTGTGTAACTTGGGGTCACTGAAGAAGAAAACAAAGGGTCAGATAAATATTTCTAAAATAATGGCTAAAAACTTCCCAGATTTGATGAAAAATTAATCTATAGATTCAAACAGCTCAACTATAAATAAGAAATGTACAATCATCCCCACACATAAACACATCATTGAACTACTGAAAGAAAAACACAAAGAGAAAATCTAGAAAGCAGCAAAAAAGAGAAAAATGACCCATCATATAAAGTATAACAACCATACAATTATAGCAGATGCCTTATCATCAGAAACAATGGAAGCCATAAGGTAGTAGAATGACATATTCAAAGCGCTGACTGAGAAAAAAATCTACCAGTCAAAAAGTTCTATGTCCAAGTAAAACTATCCTTCAAAAATGAAGGCAAAATAAAGACATTCGCAGATTTAAAAAAAATAAAAAAAAAGACTGAGCAAAGTTATTGCTAGTAGAACTGACTTACAAGAAGAAGAAGTACTAAGGGCTGAAAAACCTAATATCAGAGTCAAATACACAGGAAGAAATAAGAGCACCAGAGATGGTAAATGTGTACATAACTATAAAAGACTGTAGAAAAATATAGAAAGCAATAATTGTAACACTGTGTTGTGAAGTTTATAACATATATAATGTAATATATATGGCAATAATAGCACAGTAGAGGAGAGATGAAATGGAACATTTTCCATTTCTACTCAGGAAATATTATAGCCAAATGTCCCCTACTTTTAACTGGAATTAGGTCAGCATTAACCTAATATGGATTTGATATGTTAAGATGCATATTGTAGTTCCTAGAGCAATCACCAAAAACACTCCTAATGATATAGTTTAAAAATTGAGAGGAATCAAAATGGTACATAAAAAATGCTTGATTGACACAAAAGTAGGTGGTAAAACAGGAACAGAGAAACAAACAAAAAAGACATGTAGGAAAAAGTAATAAAATGGCACATGTAAATACCATCATATCAATAATTACATTAAAAACAAACAAACTGAGGACCCCAGAGACTGTCAGACTGGACAAAAAGTAGACCCAACAATATGCCATCTTCTAGAGACATTTTAAAGATCATAAATAGCTTGTAAGTAAAATGACAGAAAAAGATATACAAATAGTAAGAGAGCTATCATAGCTATAATATTATTAGGAAAAATAGACTTTAACAAAAGAAATGCCACAAGGACAAAGAAGACCATTTCATGATGATAAACAGAAATATGAATCTAACAATTATGAATGCGTGCATATCTAACAGAGTCCCAAAATACAGCAAACAAAAATGGACAGAGTTAAAGGGTAAAATAGATAATTTAATTATACATGGAGATTTCAATATCTCATTCTCAATAATTGAATCATTAAACAATATGAATAATATGAATAGTAATTCATAGCATTGTCAATGCATGTAATTCATAGCATTGTCAATATATATGAATATTATTCACATCATATCATATGAACTAGAAATATAATAAGTTACTAAACATAAGAAAGAACATCTACTAAAAAAATCAATAGCAAACATCATACTTAATGCGGAAGGACTAAATGTTTTCCTACTGAGATCAGAAACACGGCAGGTGTGCCCACTCTTACCACTTTTATTCAACACTATACTGAAGGTTCTAGCCAGTGCAATAAGGCAAGAAAAAAAATAAGTTATCCACAATGGAAAAGAAGAAGTAAAATCATCTTTATTATCAGATAATTGATCCTATATGCAAAATACCCTAAGAAGCTACAAAAGAACTACTTACCAAATACATAAATTTAGATCACAGGACACAAGATCAATAAACAAAAGCCAGTTAAATTTCCATATATTAGCAATGAACAATTTTAAAATGCCATAAGATAATTTCAATCACAATAGCATCAAAAGTGGGAAAACAAAGGAATAAAAAGTAAGTACAAGACCTGAATACAGATTTCTTATATATGACCAAAAAAACACGGTCATAACAGAGAAAAATGTAATAAATTAGACTTCATCAAAATTTAAAACTTCTGATTTTAAAAGATGATACTTTAAAAATGAACAGACAAACAACACTGAGAGGAAATATTTGCATATTGTATACCTGATATAGGACTTATATCTGAAATAACAAACATTTACAGCTCAATATACAATAAACATCCCAATTTTTAAATGGGTAAAAGATTTGAATAAACATTTCACTAAAGGAGACATGAAGAGTTAATAAGCACATGAAAGCATGCTTAATGTAATTAGTCACTGGCAAAATACAAATTTAAACCACCATGAGATAGCACTACACACCCACTAGCATGGCTATAATCAGAAAAACTGAAAATGCCAAGTGTTGGCAAAGATATAGAGAAACTGGAATCCTCATGCATTGCCAGTAAATATGGCACAGCCACAGTGACAAATAGTTTGGCAGTTTCTTAATTAGTTAAATATGAGCTTATCATACAACACAGGCATCAATTCCACGTTTAATGTCTACCCAAAAGAATAAAAACATTAGGTCCATTCAAAGACTTGAACATAAATGCTGATAACAGCATTATTTATAGGAGCCCAAACTGGAACCAGACCCAATTTTCACTAACTGGCAAATAGATAAACAAAATACAGCATATCCATACAATGGAACAGTATTTTGCAATTAAAATGAAAGAAAATGGATACATTCTATAGCAAGAATGAACTTCGAAAACATTTTACTAAGTTAAAGAAGTCAGGCACAAAAGATTGCATTGTATGAGTCCACTTCTATAAAATATCCAGAAAAGGCAATCTATAGAGATGAAAACAAATCAGTGTATGCCTGGTGCTAACGGTGGGTACAGAGATAGGCTGTAAAGGGACATGAAGGTCTTTCTGAGGTGACAAAAATGATCTAAAAATGAATTTGGGGGATGGCTGTGCAACTCCACACTCTGCTAAATATCACTGAATCGCACAATTATAATCTGCTCCTCACTAGCGATTAGTTTGCCCGTGACAGCCAAAATATGCATTTGTTTCTGCTAACCTAAAGAAATTAAACACATATTCTTGTTGTTTTTATGAAAACAAAATAAGAAATGTATGTAGGAGAAATGTTAAATTTTACACTTATTTTCTACCATATCCACGATTTTCTTCCTTCCTGTTACTGCCCTACTTACAGCTCTGTCAGCAGAAGTAAAGGACACCCTAGGGAACTGGGGCTATAAAGCAGTGATGAACTCTGGCAGAAGCTCCTCTCTCGCTAGGAACCTGTGGGGTCTCACAGATAATTCATAATCAACCACGAGGGGGCATTAGCAGTACTTCCCCAAACACAAGCTGATCCCAGCTCTCACTTTTATTTTCATCAAAGGACTCTTGCTTCCTCGCCTGGGGATGCTAACAGAGGTATCCCACAGATTTTTACTCCATATTGATGCTATTCCTTGGCTCTCACTGGATCTAGCAACACATATCAACATACAGTAACACATAAATATACACTTACCAAAAGAAATGTCCGGATTGTTCTTATTTTGTTGAGTTCAAGAAGTAATTTTTGTGCCTTCTCATGGTTACTACAATATTCATCATAGATACGAAACTTGTCTTTCTGTGAATTCATGTAAGAATAAATTAGTCATTTTATTCACCATTCTGCAATTTTAACCTATGTGATATGCTTAAAGAAACTTCACTGAGTGTTTACTACGTTTTAAGAGCTATACTGCGTGTATACAGCTATATATAAATTTTGTTTATTTTCCCTGGCCCATGAAGAACAGCCTAAAAAGGGAGATAGACGTATATCAGTTATACTCCATTGTGATGAATTCAAGTAGACAAATGAACCAAAGGGTGGCAAAGCACAGAAAAGAGAGGGCTGAGCTTTGCCATGAGGATTCAGTTACAGCTTAAAAAGAGGAAGAAATTACATACATATTCTTGCTGTTATTTATGAAAACTGAATAAGGAATGTATGTAGAAGAAAGATCAATCAATCTGAGCAAGGTCCAGGTATATGAATCCATGATTCCTAGGCAGGGAGACGGAATAAAGTCATTTAGATGAAGGCAAAAGGAAGTGCCAGATCATATAGAAATAGAGAAACACAGGACCCTGCAGTTCATATACACCAGTCTAGACAGTTGTGCTTAAGAGAGACACTGACAACCTGAAGAATATCTAGCAACAAGCAACTAAGAGAATGAGAGACCCTGAGGACACCACATCTGAGAGGTTGTTTCAGAGAGTCATATTTGTAGGTATAGAAAAGTCAGGAAATCATGAATACTTTCAAACAGCGTTATGTTGTAAAGGACTGACAGTCCTATGTAGCTCCAAATATAAAACTAGGATCTTTAGGTGATGTCGCAAGGCAGTGGTGGATGTCGCAAGGGCAGTGATGGGCAGATTTGGGATCAACACAGAGATTTTCTAACAGTTAGAGCTGTCACTAAAGTAGGAACAAAATAAACAGCCTTCATAGATAAATAGGAGATATTCTTTTAAAACAAGAGGATTTGTACCATCATGATCTCTAAGCTCCCTTCTATTTGTAAGATTTTCTCAAAGTGCCTTATCACCAAAAGAGTACCAATAAAAGAAAGACACAAAAAATTTACTGATCAAATGTTAGAACAAAAGTGCGCCCATTGAAATTTTGAAGGCATGCATTTAGAAACATTAAGTGCTACTTTATATAACCAGCAGAAAATGTATTGAATCACTTATCTCAAGAAATGATATGAGCCAGAAAAAAAATAAACTTCAGAAATAGTTTAGCTAAATTCAGGGATGACAGATTCATAAGGTGTTACTAAGGAAATGGATGTCAGGGTGCAAGATTCCCAGGCACAGCCCTGGACTGAGATAGCAACTACTCCAGCTGGCAGAAGATTCTGATCCTTTTGATTCTTTCGTGAAATAAAGCAGGCTTAAGTGAGTGGACACAAACACCCGTGGCTTCCAGCTGTGCCCAAGAAAAACACAGCTTGATCTTCCTATACCCAATGAGACTCTCCTTTTAATATAATTATTTTTTGAAATATTTTCTGACTATAAAAAGAACACAGAGTCTGCTCACTACATAAAGACAGATTTTGAAACTACTATCAAAACCTTTCTAAAAGACTAGATGGAAAATTAAAAATATACAAAATTTTATTTCTATCACTAAATACGCTTACACATTTTTAAACAAAACATTAATTGTCTAGCATTTTGATAAATACATGGATTCATACTGGTATTCTCAAAATTAGCATCAGCGTAACGGTATACGTAGCAGCATACTTTTTTTTTTTTTTTTTTTTGGTGTGAATGCCCTTTAGTTCTGAAAACAATTTTCATTACACAGTTGTCTTTTTATTTTGCAAATTAATTGCATAAATAATTTCGGGCATCATTTATAAAGAGATGAAAATGATCATACAGGCACAGGATGTGTAATTTGAAACAACTGAGTACTGGCTGGTTATTGCATCTGCACTGCTCAGTACAATCTTCTGAGAAACCATCCTTGGGGAAAATTCCTGCTACTGGGTTTATTCAACTCCAGGTTTGTCACAAGTTGATTAACAAGGGAACATTCTGACTAATAAAAGGCTCATCGTGCCATTATAGGAATGAGGATTTTCTGTCTCAAAAGAAAAATGCTCTATGTTTGAGAGAAACATAAAAATTCATTCATTATGAACAGCCTGAATATTCATTAGAATTCAAAGCTACAGAGGATGCGAAGAACTAACTTGTCGGGGAAAAGAAAAGGCTGTTTATTCTTCAGTAAAATGGATGATGTGAGGCACTCTCCCCTTTTCTGGCTCTAAGTGGAAGATCTCATTGGCCTTAAAAGACCTTAAACTTTTGGTGTCAGATTTTACTTCTAATACTGAATTCACACATACCACTATGCCAAGAGCTAAATCTCAAAATCTAGGGGAAAAGAACTTTTAAAATAAAAAGAAATTTATCCTACAAAGTGAAGAAAGCAGGTTCCCACTTCTTGTTGAGCATTAGGTTCGGGGTGTAAGCATTCTTCCACGACTTTTAAGAATTCTTTATGTACTGCAAGGATGTCTTCAATGTTTGAGAACAACATCTGTAAATAAACAAATGTGTAAGTAAGCTCAGTAGTGAAGCAATTTTTTTAAGTCTATGATAGCATAGTATTCTCTCTCCAACCTGAAAACCATACATCCATGCCTTCCTCCCACCTTGCCGACAGAGCCTCAATTTTGTCTGGACTTCCCCTTCACGCCGCCGACACAACTCTGGGAACCAGAAGCCCATGGCTGGCTCTCAGGGCAAGGCCTCGGTTGCCCAACCCAAGCCAGGTATCCCACTCCCTTCTCAAAGCTGGGCTGCATGGAAACCAGCAGAGTTGCTGGCAGGCTTTTCTGGAAAGGGCATCTATGCTCCTAAGAAGGGCATACCAGAACGGACAGTCCTCTTTTCCCTCTGGAAGGTGCCACATGTAGAAGTAAAAGCTGGGACAGCTCTGCAGCTACAGGAAGAGCCAGCTTGAGCACAAAGCTGATAACCTGGATGGCAGTGATTAGCTGGAGAGGATGTAGCGACCTTGCTGGCCTCTCTGGGTCACAGGTGCTAAACCTTCTCCTCTGTCTGGAGTCCCTGATATGTGAGCCAAAGTGTCTTCAATTCAATTTCAGTAAGAGGATTCTTTAGCTTACAACCAAAAGCAAGCTAACTAAAATACTCTCCTGGGAGGAAAATTTTAAAGTTAGTTATTTTACTCATGGGGAAATAGAGTCAGAAGAACCTTTAAAAATCCTTAGAATGTTTTATATTTCCAGCAAAATAAAACAGTAAGTTAGCATCATAAATATCAGGAATAGTACATACAATTTAAATGACTAATCATTATAGTATAATTAATTTTCATTTACCATCCTTTTTTTTCAAGACTGTTCACAGTTTTCCTTCCTTTCAGTTTAAAAGAAACGATTATATGTCTGTTTCTGAATTAAGGATATTATGTGGAGTGAACCATTGAAATATTTGGTTCTTCAGTGATCACAGAGACTGGAAGTCACGTTTGCCCACACCCTGCCTTCCTGAGCCACCTCTAACAATCCTCTTATACGGCTCAGCTCCCTCCTTCTCCAAAACATTGAGGTTCTTAGCCTCCAATTCATTTTATTTATTTATTTATTTATTTTGAGACAGAGTCTCACTCCTGTTGCCCAGGCTGGAGTGCAATGGCGCCATCTCAGCTCACCAACACCTCTGCTTCCTGGGTTCAAGCAATTCTCCTGCCTCAGCCTCGAGAGTAGCTAGGATTACACGCATGTGCTACCATGGCTGGCTAATTTTGTATTTTTAGTAGAGACGGGGTTTCTCCATGTTGGTCAGGCTGGTCTCGAACTCCTGACCTTGGGTGATCCTCCCACCTCGGCCTCCCAAAGTGCTGGGATTACAGGCATAAGCCACCACACCTCCAATTTATTTTTCTTCCTCTGTTCAAATGTTCCCAAGGCCTTGGTTGAAAAAAAAAACAACTCTATGACTTCTCTGCCATTCTCTTAATCTTCCATCTCTTTTCCTAAGCCCTATTTCTCCTTTTTAAAATTATTACCAATACAACTGACTGGAACAGCAACTTGTAGTGGAACTGCCGATCAACTGAAGGGCTGTGAAGTACCATGGCACCAGCAAAATTTATCTATAGGAAACTCATGCTCAGGTTGAAGGCCAGTTGTACCTCCTCACCTTCACTGTTTCTTCTGTCACATTTTTGTCAACTTTTGATGCTGCACACTGGTTCATTCTGTGTAAGAATGCCTGCATGAAACAAGAAGACATTATGAAGGTAACATTAGGTTAATAAAATGACTGGGTGTTGAGTAGAATTAAACTAATTTCTTTACAACAAACCAAAGTGTAAAACTCCATTTGTTGAGTATAATAGTTTTGTTGTAACACAGAAACCCTTGTGCATTGCTGTTCCTCTCTGGGAATTATACTTCCATTACCATGTTGGGGTAGAGCCAGAAATCATCAAGTATATGTAAGTTAAATTTATCCACCAGGATCTCAAAGTTGTGAAGTAAGCATTTAGAGTCAGATGTTTCCTAAACTTCTAAGACTTGCAAAGCACAAGACCAAAATTTAATGGAAAATGGCATTTCTAATAAAACAACAAAAGGGCCAGAGATTCTGAAGTGATCCTCTTCGAAATTAGAGATAGATAAATAGATAGAAGATAGGTAGGTAGGTTGAGTGATTGATAAAATAGATGATAGATAGATAGATAGATAGCTATCCCTGCCACTATGTCCCAGGAAGACATTTCAAGAAGGAATGAAAGAATTTCCTTTCCCCTCTATTGCCCACCCCCAGCCTTTTAAGAAGCCAGAATTTAAATTTCTGGGTTCAGGTCCGGGCTCTCCATACCTCTATGGTAGGCAAATAAGCCCTTTAGTAATTCAAAGATTTGGACTCTTCTCAGTGGTCATTAAGTTTTGACCAATGGCTAAACAGGCTATTATTTTCACAAATTAAAAAAGAGTAGAATAATTTCATTATATTGAGCCTTGAAAAAGAAAGTTTAGGGGAGAAAAAGGAGAAGAGAATTTCCATCTAGCAAATTTCATTTATGTCCTCAAGACACCATCCATTATCACCCTCAGGACATGGCTAATAAGAGTATAAAATGGTACAACATTTCAGAGGGCAAATTGACAATATATCTCAAATTTTTAAATGGGTATTTCCAGCCAGTATGGTGGCTCATGTCTATACTCCTAGCGCTTTGGGAGTCCCAGGCAGGATCCCTTAAGGCCAGGAGTTTGAGGTCAGCCTCGGCAACATAGCAAGACCTTGTCTTTACAAAGATTTTTAAAGTTTGCTGGGCGTGGTGGCACACACCTGTACTCCTAGTTACTTAAGAGGCTGAGGTGGGAGGATCACTTGAGCCCAGAAGTTTGAGGCTGCAGGGAGCCATAGTCACACGCACCACTATACTCCAGTCTGGGTGACAGAGTAAGATCCTATCTCAAAAGATAAAAATAAAAATAAATGGGCATTTTCTTGAACCCAGAGATACTACTTCTAGGACTTTATTCTAAGAAAAATATTCAAACAAGGGGATTCATTGTATTGATTACCAAAATGGAAAAATTGGAAACAATCTAAATGACCATCAATAAAAGAATCACTAAGCATATTATGATATATTCAAATTATAGACTACTATAGCAAAAGTGCAACCATAAATGGAATGTAATGAAAACTATATATACACATACATGTGTATACGAGATGTCTATAAAATACTGTCTGGTGAAAAAATTTATTAAGTGGCATATTTGCTACATACATACATATATGCAGATGCATAAGAATATATACAGATATACAAATGGATAATATTGGTGTGTGCTAATGTTGAAAAAAAAGTAGGCGGCATTTACCAAAACGCAATGGGTAGTTCCTTTTAGGTAATAGGAAATTGACCTTTGTACACTTTCTAATTTTTGTAATATTTAGCTATAAGCATGTTATAACTTATATCAAAAGAGGAACAAGACTATTTAAAATAAAACTAATGAGCCACAAGATCTCGCTCCTAGCATGACCTTCAGAACCACATTTATTCCTGATTCAACCAGTTCATGTTTCAGATTCTGTAACTACAATGTCAGATCAGAAGGAATAGCCTCAACTCTTCAACATCAGCTGAAATAAATAAAATGAACATGTATTGGATATCAATCTAATTTGTCTATTGGGAACAAGTGATATAATTTTTGAACTCTTATCTAAAGTTAAGGATAATTGGTGAAAAAAATTAGAATTTTCTAACTTTTTAAGTACTCAATTTATTAGTATTATTCTGTTTAATTTTTTGCTTTAGTTTTGTTTTTCTTGAATATTTTCCACATACTCATCGCAAAAATGTTCTTTAATCTCATTCCATTTGCTCTTAAAATAACATGGTGGTTTATTTGCCTAGTTTACATAGTTTACATTTCATATTGACCACATAGTAAACAGGTAACCTCTCGTGCAAGCAAAGCTTAAACTTCACCTCTACATTTATAAACCTTTTCTTCATAAACTGAACTCAGTCACATTCTGAAATGGATAAATTAAAGTGAGGAAGTAGTAACAATGCATCAAAATATGAGTTAGAATGGAACATACAAACTAAGAAAGTAAACCATGTCTTTATCTGACTTTTTATCTTCTTATCCTCCGTGACAATATGGAACTTTTTGTTTAATTGTATATGAAAGGAAATCTGGAACTTGTTAGCATTTCTGACCAAGCATTTCTTTTTCCCAAGGTCCTCATTTTATACAACAGTGAAGGCAGATTTTAGATGTTTGCTGAGAACGCAAAATCGTGAAAACGATTTGACATTTTTTATGAGAGGTTTAAATCTTCCTTCCTAAAGCTAGGAATAAATAGGTAATTTCAAAATCATCCTTTAACAACCAGCATCTATAGTGTCCTTTCAGACTCTGTTGTCATATTTAATCCTTCTTATATCAATCAAGGAAGCATTAGTAGCCTAGTCACAAAAATACATGAAGGATTCTACACATTGTTTTATCTCTGTATTCATTCCCACTTGTCCAAAATTTCATCAGAATCAGATAATCTTCATCTTGACACACATATATTTGAAATCAAGCAGTGGAAAATAGCTTTTTTATGCTAGTGGGTTTCAAACTTTTTCTTGTGTTTAAGACTTGGAGAGTTACTTCCAAATGCAGATTCCTATCCCCAGAGGTCTGACTCAGCAGATTAATTTAGGACCCAGAAATCTACATTTTGAGCAGGACCTCTATGCGATTCTGATGTAGTTGGTCCAGAGATCATCTTCTGATGAACAATTCTTTATGTTTATTCTTTCAAAGACTAAAACAAAAAGCAGACTTTGAGAAATAAATGAGTCTTAACAGGAAAATCGAGTTTACTTATTTCACTTTGACTTTCAATTCAGTGTTAAACAGTGGTTGTTTCTATACAACACCCTCTCACCCAACCACTTGGGGATGCTGGCACCCCGCAGAGGACGTGCCTCCCACCCATGAAAATCACAATCAAAGCTGCATATAACAGGTCACAATAATCTCTGAAGGGTAGGGAGATGCAGACACTACACAGGTGAGTCAAAGACAGGCTAAGTTGCATTCAGAGGAAGTGAGGCTCTCACATATGCCGCCCCCCCCGCACCCCGAGGATCTTTCAGCTTGCATGTGTGTGAACATGTGCTCCACTCACCAGCATTCCCCTAACAATGGCTCCACAAAAAATATTCCTAGATATCACTCTAGTTATGGGCTTTTTCCCAGAGTACTCTTTATTTTCTCTTTAACTTGCTCCATATTATCTTGTATTTTTGGTAAATGCATATGATAAATATTATCCACTAATTAAAGTTTAATAAAGCTAAAAATGTCACAAATTTGCTATCAAGAATCAAAAGGAAGAAACTCATTAAGATGAAATAAGATGACAGCAATCTCCTTTATCCGTGTCTGCCCATTTATGCTGTTGCTAGTTCAAAAGTAAAGCAAAGCTCACCATGGGCTTCATTCTCAGAATGCATTTTCTTATTTTATAATTTCAACATACAAAATGATCTCTTTCAACATATTTTTGCCCTTCCCACTCTTTTCATCAGTCCAGGCACACATAGTAGATCGTTCTCAAAAGTCCGGCAGATTTTAACAATTTATACTTTTAATTCTAGATACCCGATGCCAATCTGAATTTTGTATCATACAGCACTAAACCTTATTACTCCAACAAATATTCTACATTCAAAATTCTGAAAGTAGACTATTTAGCAGCACCCTGTCACCTTAAAGATTTGGCTATTTAATATGGTTACAGATAGGTAAATTGTATATATAAAGGCAAAATAGGAAAAATTTAAGACAGACTCCACTGTTGCAGGAAAAAAGACTGTGCTAATTTCATGAAAATAAATGAGAAAAAAACAATAAGGGTAAATATTTTCCTTTTACCCTTTAACTTAAAACAATAATATCACATCACAATTCTTTGGAAGATAAGGGCTTCGTTTGGTCCTAATAAATGAAAGAAGTTTGTCATTTGGGTTTGCATGAACACCTGGTTGGTAGTGGCATCACTGGAATGGAGAAGACTGAAAGTGAAGAAGGTTTTGGGGTGGGAGAATCAGAGTTTGTTCTGGACCTGTTGGGTCTCAGATTTCTATTGGGCACCAGTGTGGAAATCATGAGCAGGGAGTTAGCCATTCCAATCTGAGGTTCTAAGGGAGGGATCAGGACTTACAGTAAAAAGTTGATTGTCACTGGCACAAAGATGTAACTTAGGGAAAGCATATATATAGAGAAAAAATGACCAGCCCCAGTCCATTGGAGACAGTGTAGAGATGGGGAAGACAAAAGGCACAAGGACAGAATCATTTTATCTATTTGTTTACTGTCCGTCTCCCACATTTGGATAGGAGCTTCATGAATGCAGAGCCTACCTGCTTTGTTCACTGGGATATCCCCAGCACCTACAGCAATATCTGGCACTTGGTAAGTGCTCAATAAACTTCTGCAAAGACTAACGACTTTTGTTCTTAACTCAATGGTTTTCATTTATGAAGACCACCAGACTGCACTGCATTAATTTCCCTAGTGTATTAGCTTCCCAAATATTCATTAGCAACTTGGAATATAGGATAGCACATACTCTTTTCCTCTTCTATCACCATATGACATGGTTTATCAGTCTTGACATTATTGACATTTGGAGCTGGATTAAACCTTTGTTTAAAATAAACCTTTGTAGTGAAGGACTGTCCGGTGCTCACAGGATGTTTAGTAATCTCTTTCCCACTCGGATACAATGAACAATAATTATAAAATGATGTTACTTTGTTCCTACAGAATATGAGCAGCATCTTTTCATCTTTGAAATAGATCGTGGTTTTTCCTAAACTTCCATGACAACATTCAATCCACACAAAACTCCAGAAACTGACAGAATAATAAATCATTTGTTAGTAGTCCAGTAGTATCTAAGACTCAGCCTCGTGGGCATTGATCACTCTACAAATCATTAAAATATCCCACACCTGAATTACTCAAATAAATGTCTAAAGAGATTGCAGTGATTCCCAAACAGCATGTCTAAATCCTCAGTGAAAGCCTCTTGATTGTTGCTGTTTCCTTGTGATTCAGAAACAAAAGGATTTTTTGTGTCAGTTATTGAGAGTCTTTTAATATCTGCCTAATTTCCCAACAAAAGATGTTTTACTCTTTTTCAGACCAATTATTAATTCAAAATGAACATCACTATCATCTCAGAGCTTAGGTGAAGATAATTTGTCATTATACCATCCAAATCAAAAAATAAAAATAAAAACCTCCCTTGGCTGGAACTTGACCAAGATGTGACGATAATTACCACATTGTTATAGTGTATTCTATTTGACCTCAAAATAACAAAAAATAAATATGAAAGAACTGCGTTCTTCAGGAATTTTCAGGGGAAAGAATTCATCATTTGTCAGCATACGATTGGTATGTTACATACAAGGCACAGAGTTTTGAAGATATTTAATACTTGGGTGACAGGAAAGTCAAGAGTAAAACTGGACAGAAGATGAAGCAGAAATCAGGACCATTATTGACAGAATTACAATTATGCGTAAAATTACTAAAATTAAAGGTGAAAGTTACAAAATTTATTGAGATGACTGCAGTGAAATACTATAATAAATGCCATCTTTTCTTAAGTGTGTTTTTGTGAATTTCTTAAATGTTTAATTTTTTTGTTGCATTTAACTTCTAGTTTGTTTCTGCAGTCTTGATTCCCACAAACTCATCTCACAGCTCAGCCTACAAAATTATTATTTTAACAGGATATTTAGCTTCCATTGGCCTAAGGCAATGAGTTGGTCTAAAGCAGAGGTCAAAAACAGTAGAGGTAGGTTTTAACACAACACTATGTGGTTAAAACATTGACTCAATTGCTAACATTAAAAAAAATAAGAGTATTCATATAAAAGTCAATAATTACAGCCTCTCTTCAAACACTTGGAGAAAATTAACACAGGGCCTATCTACCTGAATAACAGTAAGTTAGAGCTGAAGAAGCCACATGTTCCCTTCATTTTGCCACAGTCACCACTACTCCCTATCATCATGTACACCAAAGCTGAATGTTAATTGCCATGTATTCTAATAGTAATGTTGTTTTTTTTTAAATACAAAGCCCATTTTACTCATTTTTTTTGACTTGGGAATCTTTGTAGCCGTAGCCATTTCCATTTCCAGCCACACTCTTAAGGTTTTGTCAAGGTCCTTTTGACTCACAACTTTTTAATACTGATCATTCCAGAGTTCTAAGTTTTAAAATAGCATTTGTTCTTGAAGTGTTTGAGCGAAAATGTACTCCCATGATCAGAGAAAAAAAAAGCTAAAACAAAAATACTTAAAAATAAACCTAAGAAAATTGGAGCATGTTTTACTTAACTCTTAGTTCCCCAAGGAATCTAAAATTAAGCGAGATATTTACTCTTAGAAGTGATATCTTTTGTTAGAGATAGCTCTGGCAGGCATGTATACAGCTAGTTTTCTCAAGGATTGAAACAACTCCATGTTCTTTATTTAAAATTTGTTTTAATAAAGTAACTTTTTGGCAATAAATTCTTATTGGTGTATTCATTCCAAGTATCATTTGATTCATGAAGATCTTGTGTTCCTTGTATTGTTTCGGGTCATTGATGTCTCTTTCCTGAATGGTCAGGGATACACCAAACCCTAGGGAGAAATCAGTTTCAAAAAGAACGAAGATTAGGAAATGTATGATGTTTATAGTGGGCTGTTTGGAAGCCTTCAAAATTAACCCACCACCTTCCTCCCCTACACACCTAGAAATACGCACTCAAACACATACAGATACAGGATGTCTCCTCAGGGTGGAGTTCAGCTCTGTGGTGAGCATTTATGAGAGGCCAGCTGCTTTTAAGTCTCAGTTTCCTCACCCATTAAATCAGGTTAATAATCATATGTGCCTCACAGAGAGGTGGAGAAGATTACATGCAGGTAATGAAAGCCCTTTGCAAAGTGCTAGCACACAAATAAGGCCCAGTAAATGTTATCTGATATTTCTGCCACTGCGCCTATTATCACTATCCACTATTACTACATCCACAGCCTAGTCCCATTACTTCTACTGTGGTTATGATTATTATTAACACTAGAGAGAACAGAACTAAAGGGTAAGTTAAGGGCCCTTTCTCCTCCTCTCTGCTCCTATATTAACAGTAAATCAATCCAACAGACTCTACTTTCTGGAGAAGTCCTTGATATCAGAACAAGTATTATAATTCAAGGTATCGAGGCAAAAATTCTGTTTATTTTTTAACTATTGGATCTTCCACAATGTAGTGGATCTTTTCTGCTCAGGATCCCAGGCTAGCTCCCAGTTGTTTGGTATACATGTCAATCTCTCTAATCATACATTTATCTTCCACCCATTGCAGAAATTTGGAGATTCACAAAGAGTAGAAGATAGAAAAAGTTTATTGAGGATCAAACTCTAAGGTGCTAATAGGGATTGTTGTCTATGTCCTCAATCCTTGAAACAACTTAGAGCACGAGGTATTAATAAAAATGGAACAATGCAAGTGAAGTTTGGTCAGACCACAGCTTTAATTTCAATGAGATGTCACAAGATCAGGGCATGGACCAGAAGCACACAGGCTGGAAGTAAAATGACAGGCTGATCTGACAAGACCTCTACAGAAAAGCCAGGTTCAGAAAAGAAGACTGTTCCTTTGGAAGCTGCCTTCTTCTAGGTGCTACCAACTCTTTACAGCACCAATGGAACACTTAAACAAAAACAATTCATAAGACTAGTTTATAAAATTTAAATTAAAATGTATTTATGTATCATAAGTCATTATATTTGTAAACAAACTTAATGTCAGATGGAAATAAACTTTTAATGAGGTTCAGAATTACAACAAAGAAAGACATTTCAAATATCCCACCATTTTTCTGGTATCATTTCATATAAAAGTATGTTTCATGGTGTCAGCTGGTGAAAAACACGAAATAAAACGGATTTCTAAATGCAGTTCAGAAGCTTACATGAATATATTTGTCAACTTTTTTCTTAATGTCTCTATTAAATTGCCTTATTTTTAATATTATACAAATACTTATATAGAGATGCCAGTAGACTATTATGTCTCCCACATAATAATACTTCATATTGTGCTGGTCAGGAATTTACGTTGATATCAGATCACTTGAACAACACAGCACAATGAAAGAAAAGGGTAAGTGGGAAGTACAAAGTACATTGTATAGATAATATTCTCAAGCACATATTTTTCTCTGGCACAGGAAACTGGTCATTTCCCGAATTTAAAGTGCAGAACACTATTCCTGTTTTAGTCGTTATTCAAGAATGCAGTTCCGATGAAAAGGAAATGTAAGCAGTGTAGAAGGAAACGTATTTAGTGCTGGAAAACCCAGAGAAATGAATGAAGATCCCAACCTGAAGATCTGTCGCTGCCCGACGGCTACTCCCCTCCTTCATCTCATACTCTGATCTAACTCACTGTGCAATCCATGAGGTATAAAAGAAAGATTTATAAATTGGTTTCATATTTATTTCAATTAACATGAACTTGTTTTATTCTTTAAACACATTTATTTTGCATGTCAGTCCGTTTTCATACTGCTATAAAGACATACCGGAGAAAAGGTAATTTACAAAGAAAAATAGGTTTAATGGATTCACAGTTCCACACAGCTGGGGAGGGCTCACAATCATGGCAGAAGGCGAAGGAGAAGCAAAGACACATCTTACATGGCAGCAGGCAAGACAGCATGTGCAGGGGAATTCCCCTTTATAAAACCATCAGATCTCATGAGATTTATTCACTATCACAAAAACAGTACAGAAAAGACATGCCCCCATGATTCTATCACCTCTCACCAGGTCCCTCCCATAACACATGGGGATTATGTGAGCTACAATTCAAGATGAGGTTTGGGTGGGGACACAGCCAAACCATATTAACTTGTCTCCAACTTTTATACCTCAGAAACGTAGGCACTTACTTTACCTTTTCTTTAAAACTGACTTCTAAAATTGTCCACCATCATCCTTAAAACACACATGACTTAAAATACATGTCAGTATCCTATGGCCCTTTCTGACTCACCATATTCTCTCCTTCTCTCATGACCAAATATTGTCTTTACCCTCTTCATTCAACATATCACCCCTTCCTTAGTCTGCAATTTGTTTCCTTTCCTTTTCCATTTGACTCATACTCTATTCCTAAAGGGAATTCGTATAAAGTAACTAAAACGGTTAGTGCTGGGCTGATACGGACAAGTATTAATATATCAGTGGCACAGAAACAGTCCAGAAAATATCCTGAGTATTTAGAATTTACTATTTGAAACAGGTGGCACTTCAAATCAGTGGGGAAAGAATGCCAGGTTTTGGGACAACAGGCAGTCCAGTTTCTAGTCTTTACCAAAATATGACAGAAGTCAGCAACATGAAGTGGTGAACAGCTTTCTGGAGCCACTCTGCCTGGATTTGAAACCCAACTCTGCCAACTACTAGATGTGTGACCATACAAGTAACTTTACCTCTCTGAGGCAGAGCTTCCATATTTGTAAGATAAGAGTAATATGGTATCTACTCCTATAGACTTGCTATAAGCATTAAACAAATTAATATATGTGAAGTAACTGAGGGCCGGGCGCGGTGGCTCATGCCTGTAATCCCAGCACTTTGGGAGGCCGAGGTGGGCGGATCATGAGGTCAGGAGATCGAGACCATCTTGGCTAACACAGTGAAACCCCGTCTCTACTAAAAATACAAAAAATGAGCCAGGCGTGGTGGCGGGCACCTGTAGTCCCAGCTACTCAGGAGGCTGAGGCAGGAGAATGGTATGAACCTAGGAGGCGGAGCTTGCAGTGAGCCAAGATGGCGCCACTGCACTCCAGCCTGGGCGACAAAGCGAGACTCCGTCTCAAAAATAAAAAAAAAGTAACTGGTACATCGAGTGTCAATGTCTACGTTTGCTGTTATTACTATTTTTTCTATTTCTTATAACCAAATATACTTCTTCAATGCTGTTTTCATTAAATAACAGCAAAACTTCTGAAGGAAGACCTTCAAAAAGGAGAACCATTCTATTTTACATCACCCACATAGCAAGCTATATCAATGACAATAACCAACTAGGAGGAACAAGTATTGCATATGTATAAATATGTAAAACATTTTTGAACTGCTTTTAAGTCATTCATGACTTTTTATTTATAATTTACTTTGTAAAAATCTGTGTAAGTGGTCAAATATCTGAAAGCATTTTCTTACAAATTCAAGAAATATGAGAAAAACTAAATAAGCTCAACTGTGAAAACCTAGGATAACAATTATTATCAATAATCCTTTTATGTTTCAAAAATCAAGAAAAAATAAAATATGAAATATCATAAATACTTCTACATACTTCACGAATCAAATAGCTGCCAACAAAATGCTCCTAATGAGTTCATTTCTATGGATATTGGCTTGCAGCTCCATCGACAGCTGAATATTCATGAGGCAAATTAGCTGCAAATAAACAAGGAAACTTTCCTTCCACAGGACAAAGAAAAGCTATGATAATTAAAAAATATTTTAAGAAGTTTTTTTCTGACCTGGGTTATGAAAATTAACCATCAAAAAAATATAGTGTCTGTCTATATAGCTTTGTCTATGAGTTTTGTTACATAACCACAAAGATGCATATTTGTTCAACTACTGCAAAATCCCAAATATCCCCTAACATCAATAGTTTTCTTGTTTCACGGGATCTGAATAACCTTAGGTCCTCAAGAACCAACATTTTGGGGATGTAAATGAAACTGTCCTAGGCTGGGTGTGATAATTAATCTGGTTTAGGGCAATTATTTGCAGAGCTTAAAGCTTGAACGTGCACATAATATGTAAAAGGTCATGGTAAATTGAAATCTGAACTAGGTCCAATATTGGGGGGTGTAGTCTGGAGGCCCCAAGTGGCTCAGCAAGTAGACTCCAGGCAACAGTGACAGGATTCACTCTAGGGAGATGACATATAGTAGCTGATCACTGGTCTAAAGGTGACCCTGACGGATGCTGCTTGAGGTGGAGTAGGAATAAAAATGGTTGTGAAGAAAGGTTAGCATCTAATAGGATATAACTGACTTCTTCCAAATGCAGTGGGATTTAGGTTTCAGCCCCAGGCCTAATAAAAAATGGAATAAAAATCAAGACTGAGGATAGAATCTAATTGTATAGAGTGGATGTACACTGTTGAGACAGGTTATACTGCATCTCAGCGGGGAAACTGGTGCCTCCCTTCATCCCAGGATACCTAATTTAGGACAGCAAAACTAATTCCAGACCATGCCTGCTGGGGAAGAGGAGGCTCCTCTTACCCTCCAGCTCAGCCAGGGCTGCACCAGGGCAGTTGGGGAGGCTGAACATACAGGAGCTTAGGGGACCAGCAAACTGCTAATGAGCTGCTCTCTGCAGGTCAACTGTAAAATTGTACATTTTGGTCAAAGAATAATGGCAGGAATTGAATTTCAAAACACATATTCAACAATATATCCCAAAATCAACTGAGGGCAAGTGTCCCACTGGGAAACTAATGCATATGTCCTGAAATTATCTGTATATTTTTACCTCTTGTCATTAGACAAAAAGGAATAATATCCTTATTGCATGAGACAGTCACTGTGAACCAACCCACTCTATGACAGGCTCTGTTCTCAGCGCTAGGTGAATAACAATGGAAAGGCCAGTTCCTTGCCCTCAATGAGTGTGCATTCTAGGGAATGGATGTGCCAAAGATGAATAAACCACTAAATAGACAAAGCAAGTTCAGATGGTGGTACATACTACGAAGAAAAATAAAACAAATGAATGGAAAGGCTTCTTAGAAGACACATCACTTCAGGAGAGACTTTAAGGAAGTGAGAGTACGATGCATGGGAATATCTAGGAAGGATCTGTGGACAAATGCACCAACAATTGGAGTGAAAGAGGGGTATGTACGACCCAAAGGAAGGAGAGACTGTGTGTGGCAAAAGGGAGGAAAAGAGCCATTTGAGAAGTGGTTGTTAGGTGAGGGCAGGTCATGGATGGCCTGGGTGATGGCAGTGGAGAGTTCATTTTATTCTTAGTCTGATGGGCAGCCATTGAAAGTTTGTAAGCAGAGTTGGTGTGAAGCTCACTCCAGCTACTTCGTGGAGAACTGGCTATGGAGGGGCCACCTAGGTTTCCACTGAAATAAGACAAGTGAAAGACGATGGTGCTGTGGGTAAGGTGGTGAGGAGCAGTCAGAATCTGCCTACGTTATGAAGTTATTGCTGGCAGGGTTTGTTCATGGATTGACTGTGAATTGTGAGCGGAAGAGAGAAATCAAGGTTGCTGCCTACATTTTGGGCCCGAGCAACTGCATGAATATCAGTGCATTTACCGGTATGGGAGAGACCCTGGGGAGGACAGGGTTGAAGGAAACACAGCAAAGGACCTTATCAAAGCAATACATAAAGCAACAGGACAGGTTCAATCAACACAAAAGCAATTTCAATCAATAAGGAATCCCCTCTTATCCAAAGAATTCTTTTCCATTTCTCAAAATTATTTAAAACACCATTTACGGGAGAGCTGCATGGCTATTTCTTCCATTTCCTGTTACTTCATTAAAATCTCCCCTTCTGTGGGCTGAATTAGGAAAGCCGTCAAAAAATATTAGCAGGAAATAATGTCAATTGATTTTTTATTATGTTCTATTTAATAAATTGAGAATAAATGAGATGTGGCCATGCTTGGTTTCTAATTCTTTTTTATTCCAATGTGACACAAATAAATGAAAACCTCTCAATGTCAAATGCCCATACCTGACGGAATATGGATTCAGACATTAAAAGCATTATATATTTTTAGAGATGACAAATGTTTAAGAAAAATATTAAAAAGTATTTTAAGCAAGAAATTACTTGCATCAATACTAAGCTTATCTAAAGTAAGGAGAATGTTTCGTATCATTTGACATGGTCCTTTTATCAGTGGCAAGAAATACAAACAGTTTTGATTTTTCAAGAGTCTAATTCAATAAGGATGCACACAGGTGTGATGCCCATTGACTAAATAGTAAATGAAAGCACACAAGAAAGAATGAACTTGAAATAACTACCCATTGCCAGAAGGTCAGTGAAATCAAGAAAGGCAGAGAGAGAATAATGAAGGTCACCATTCAAACTTACTTTTTCTATCATAAATAGTCATAGCAAAGATGATAAAGTATTCATTTTTTCACCAGCCATACAAATTAACTCAATTCATGCTTCAGTAATCCTGTGAGGCTGGGAGTAATCTTAGCTTCATTTTGGTAATGGAGAAACTGAGTCTGAAGGAGATTAAGTAGCTTCTCCAAGGTGGAACAGTCAGGAAATGAAGGAGCCTGGATTTAATCCTCACTTGACTCAGCTCCAGCTCTCTCACTGCCAAGCTGCATATATTCTGCCCACACTTCCCCACAGGTGAGTTAAAAGAGTCAGGCCAAACATGGTGAAGCCCTGTCTCTATTAAAAATACAAAAATTAGCCAGGTGTAGTGGCACGTGCCACACGCCTGTAGTCCCAGCTACTTGGGAGGCTGAGGCAGGAGAATCGCTGGAACGGGGGAGGCAGACGTTGCAGTGAGCCGAGATTGCGCCACTGCACTCCAGCCTGGCGAGAGGGTGAGACTCTGTCTCAAAAAAAAAAAAAAAAAAAAAAAAAGGTCAGGCCAGAAGACCTCCTGTGGAGGCTGATATAGGAACCAAATTAGTCAGTTTCTAAATCTGATATCCAAAGTTTCCATTCTTGCCTTGGAAAAGGATTATTTCATATCTTTTAGCAAAGAAATTCTCTTCTCTTTAACGTTAACTCGGCTAATGGTACTGACTTTTTCCCAACTGAATAAAAATCACAGAATTTGAGTAATCTTATATCTCTGTAACAGAATATTGCTCCTTGAAGAAAACTCTCCAGAACTCGTTTCCTCTCATCCTAATTACAGCAAGTAACTTAAGATGACCACATTACAGAACAGGATACAATTGAGCACCCACTTTCAGTTAACAAGTTCCAGGTGTTACCAGGGCCCAGCTAAAGTCTTCCTGGTCTATAGTACTCACTAGCTCCACCCAAGAAAGGTGGCCCCAGACCCTTAACCTCCAATAATCTTTTGCCGTCTGAGATATTTAGATACTGAAAGAGTCACATTGTTTTAATCAGAAAATACTATACTAAGAAACTATTATACAAGCCAGGCTCAGCAGCATTCACCTATAATCCCAGCCACTCAGGAGGCTGAGGTGGGAGGATCACTTGAGCCCAGGAGTTTGAGTCCAGCCTGGGCAACAAAGAGATACATCACCACCTTAAAAAAAACAAAGAAACTATTACATGGAGAAATACAGGGACTTATAAAAGTTTAGGATTTAGTTAGAATAAATCCCAAACCCTGAAACAGTCTTCAGAAATCTTTTAAAAATAATGTACAAATCAATAAAAAGTAGCATAAAAATCTCCCTTGAAACTGTCCAATGAAGTTAATGATAAAAATTAACTGTAATTATTATAGTAAGCACCAATCCTCCAGAGAGCTTTCTGTCCCCTGTACAATATTGAAATATGAGTTCCTCAAACAGCACAACTTCCCTACTACCACAGCTCCAAAGTTCATGATTCAAACAGCCATATAACTTGATTTAACCAGTCTGCAAACTACAATATCTATACTTTTCTGAAGCTCCTGGGTCAACAAACTCTGTTTTCCACCATGTAGTAGGCATTATAATTTTAAATGCATTAATGATGTTTCCCAAACCTCTTAAATTTAGGAAGAACCACTCACATTTTGCAGCTTGAACCACTCACATTTTTAAGGAAATGCTGCTCTGAAAAAAAAAATGATTAAGAAGCAAATAAAATTAATTTGGATGATGTAAGCATCAACCTAAGAATATCATCTGAATTTCTTAAGTTCCCATATTACAAAAAATTACCAATAAGTTCACATACTACAAGGGGTACACTGAACGCTTCTATTAGGACAAAGAACTACAGGGACAATCATATTAAGAAAATTAGTATCTTCCAGCCAGGCACAGTGGCTCACGCCTTTGGGAGAGCACTTTGTGAGATGGAGGTGGGAGTAATCCCAGCACTTTGGGAGACCGAGGCAGGAGTATCAGTTGAGGTCAGGAGTTAAAGACCAGCCTGGCCAACATGGCAAAACACTATCTCTACTAAAATACAAAAATTAGCCGGGTGTGATGGCACACACCTATAATCCCAGCTACTCAGGAGGCTGAGGCATGAGAATCACTTGAACCTAGGAGGTGCAAGTTGCAGAGAACCAAGATCATGCCACTGCATTCCAGCCTAGATGGCACAGCGAGACTCCACCTCAAAAAAAAAAGAAAGAAAGAAAGAAAAAGAAAAAAAGGCAAAATTAATATCTTCTCCATGCACTTTCTTTTTTTTTTAAGTTTATTTTACATTCAAGGGTACATATGCAGGTTTGTTACATAGGGAAACTTGTGTCACAGGATTTGTTTTACAGATTATTTCATCACCCAGGTGCTAAGCCTAGTATTTTTTCTGCCCCTCTTCCTCCTCCCACCCTCCGCCCTCAAGTAGACTCCAGTGTCTGTTCTTCCCCTCTTCGTGTCCAAGTGTTCTCATCATTTAGCTCCCACTTGTAAGTGAGAACATGCGGTATTTGGTTTTCTGTTCCTGCATTAGTTTGCTAAGGACAATGGCCTTCAGCTCTATCTATGTTCCTGAAAAGGACATAATCTCATTCTTTATGGCTGTATAGTATTCTGTGGTATGTGTGTACTACATTTTCTTTATCCAGTCTACACTTGATGGGCATTTAGGTTGATTCCATGTCTTTGCTATTGTGAATAGTGATGCAGTGAACATACATGTGCACGTATCTTTATGGTAGAATGCTTTATATTCCTTTGGATACATACCCAGTAATGAGATTGCTGGGTTGAACAATGGCTGTGTTTTTAGCTCTTTGAGGAACTGCCACACTGCTTTTCATAAGGGTTGAACTAATTCACACTCCCACCAACAGTGTGTAAATATTCCCTTTTCTCTGCAACCACAACAGCATCTGTTATTTTTTGACATTTTAATAAGAGCTATTCTGACTGGAGTAAGATGGTAACTCCATTGTGGTTTTGATTTGCATTTCTGTAATGATTGGTGATGTTGAGCTTTTTTTCACATGCTGGTTGACTGCATGCATGTCTTTCTTCTTTTGAAAAGTGTATTTTCATGTCCTTTGCCCAGTTTTTAATGGGTTTGTTCATTTTTATTGTAAATTTAAGTTCCTTATAGATGCTGGATATTAGACCTTTGCCAGATGCAGAGTTTACAAATATTTTCTCCTATTGGGTACGTTGTCTGTTTGCTGATAATTTCTTTGGCTGTGAAGAAGCTCTTAAGTTTAATTACATCCTATTTGTCAATTTTTGCTTTTGTTATGATTGCTTTGGCATCTTTATCATGAAATATTTGTGAGTTCCTATGTCCAGAATGGTATTGCCTAGGTTGTCTTCCAAGGTTTCTACAGTTTTGGATTTTACATTTAAGCCTTTTATCTATCTTGAGTTAATTTTTGTATATGGTGTAAGGAAGGGATCTAGTTTCAATCTTCTGCAGATGGCTAGCCAGTTATCCTAGCACCATTTATTGAATAGGGAGTTTTTTCTCCCATTGCTTGTTTTTGTCATCTTTGTCAATGATCACATGGTTATACGTATGTGGCCTTATTTCTGGGCTCTTTATTCTGTTCCATTGGTCTATGTGTCTGCTTTTGTACCAGTACCATACTGTTTTGATTACTGTAGCCCTGTAACATAGTTTGAGGTTGGGAACTGTGATGCGTCCAGCTTTGTTCTTTTTGCTTAGTATTGCCTTGGCTATTCAAGCTTGTTTTTTGGTTCCACGTAAATTTTAAAATCATTTTTTCTAGTTCTGTGAACAATATCATTGGTAGTTTAAAAGGAATAACATTGAATTTGTAAATTGTTTTGGGCAGTATGGACGTTTAAATGATATGGATTCTTCCTATCCATGAGCATGGAATGTTTTTCCATTTGTTTGTGTCATCTCTGATTTTTTTGAGCAGTGGTTTGTAATTCCCATTGTAGAGATCTTTCAACTCCCTGGGTAGGTGTATACCTACGTTTGTTTGTTTTGTGGCAACTGCAAGTGGAATTGCATTCCTGATTTGGCTCTCTCTCGCCTAACTGTTGTTGATATATGGGCATGTTAACAATTTTTGCACATTAATTTTGTATTCAGAGACTTTGCTAAAATTGTTTATCCGCTTAAGGAGCTTCAGGGCTAAGACGATACGCTTTTATAGATATAGGATCATGTCATCTGCAAATAGGGATAGTTTGACTTCCTCTCTTGCTATTTCTCTTGCCTAATTGCCCTGACCAGGACTTCCAATACTGTGTTGAGTAGGAGTGGTGAGAGAGGGCATCCTTGTCTTGTGCCAGTTTTCAAGGCAAATGCTTCCAGCTTTTGCCCATTCAGTATAATGTTGGCTGTGGGTTTGTCACAGGTGGTTTTATTATTTTGAGGCATGTTCCTTCAATACTTAGTTTATTGAGAGTTTTTTAACATGAAGCAGTCTTGAATTTTATCAAAAGCCTTTTCTGAATCTATTGAGATAATCATGTGGTTTTGGTCTTTAGTTCTGTTTTATGTGATGAATCACATTTATTGATGTGCATATGTTGAACCAACCTTGCATCCTAGGGATAAAGCCTACTTAATCATAGTGGATAAGCTTTTTGATGTACTGCTGGATTCAGTTTGTAAGTATTTTGTTGAGGATTTTTGCATCAATGTTCATCAAGAATATGCGCCTGAAGTTTTCTTTTTTTGTTGTCTCTCTGCCAGGTTTTGTTAGGATGATGCTGGCCTCATAGAATGAGTTGTGTAAATGTCTCTCCTCCTCGATTTTTTTGGAATAGTTTCAGTAGAATGCTACCAGCTCTTCTTTGTATGTCTAGTAGAATTTGGCTATGAATCTGTCTGGTTCTGGGCTTTTTTTTTTTTTTTTTGGTTTGTTGGCTATTTATTACTGATTCAATTTTGGAGCTCATTATTGGTCTGTTTAGGGAATCGATTTCTTCATGGTTCAGTCTTGGGAGAATAGGTGTGTCCAAGAATTTATCCATCTCTTCTAGTTTTTCTAGTTCACATTCACAGTAGTCTTTGATGGTTGTTTGTATTTCTCTAGGTCAGAGGTAACATCCTGTTGTTTCTAATTCTGTTTCTTTGAATCTTCTCTCTTTCCTTCTTTATTAGTGTACCCAGCAGCCTATCTATCCTACTAATTTTTTCAAAAACCCAACTACTGGGTTTGTTGATCTTTTGAATGGTTTTTGTATCTCAATCTCCTTCAGTTTAGCTCTGATTTTTCCTCCATGCATCTTAAGTGAATATTTTTAAAAGCTTTACCCAGAATTTATGTATTTCAATTGAGATGTAGAAAGTTGCAAGAGACCATTGCTCCCACTCTAACAAGCAGAACAAGCTACATAAGTTACAAAATCGCTCTCTTTCAGAAAGCTAATGATGCAAAGAAACCTAAAGGAAATAAATTCCAGAAAGTGTCAAGCCCTTCATAAGTGAAAAAGGACCTATGGCTCTTCTCAAACCTGCAGCAGTAGCTGCAGTAGGAGTGTGAATTCACCATAGATCAGAGCACAGAGAAATCAGCTAAAGTTTTCGGGAATTTTAAATTTTTGTTTGTTTGTTTTTGTTTTAGAGTCAGGGTCTCAATCTGTCACCCAGGCTGGAGAACAATGGCATGGTCATAGCTCACTGCAGCCTCAAACTCCTGGGCTCAAGCAACCCTCCCACCTCGTCACCACCTGAGTACTTAGTACTATAGGTATGCACCACCGTGCCTAGCTAATTTTTTGTTTTTTTTCTAGAGACACTGTCTCACTATGTTGCTCAGGCTGGTCTTGAACTCACCTCAAGCGATCTTCCTGCCTTGGCCTCCCAAAGTATTGGGATTACAGGCATGAGTCAACATACCTGGATTCAGGAACTTATAGAGGCTGCATATGAAATTAGAATTCCAAAGAGTCCTAGATATAAGCCAAGCTTACATGTACCAGCCAGTAAGCCTTCACCAAGTGCTAAAGCACGCTGAAGGTTGGGGACAGGGCAGGAGAAATAAGAAAGGTCCCCCATGGGGCACACAGAACTTTCCCCACTATAAGGCAGGACTCACTAAAAACTGGAGGCCAGGCAGAGGAGCTTAGAGGCATCCTTCTGAGACCTTCCAGCATTCAGGGTGGCAGGATAGAAAGAGAACTTCTGAAGTGTAGAAAGCCAGGATGGGACTAAGGCACTAAGAAAACTCCTCAGCAATGCAAAAATTTAACAACACAGCTGCAGAGCCAATGAGATCTCTCACAGTTTGACAACTAGGCTATAAAATATAAAAAAGATTTCCTGATCCTCAGCAGTACTCCAATCCCAAGCCCAGCAGAAGGGTAAGTCCTGCTCCCTCATTCAAACATTTGAAGCTAGTGGTGAACAAATGAATAGAAGGTAAAACTTTTTAAAAATACCACGATAAAAATCTTAAAATAATAATATTATCATTTATAATAGCATCTAAATGGAGAGCTACCACGTTCATGGATTGAAGAGCTCAATATTTTTAAGATATCAGAAAGAAATGATAGAAAAATATATCATGATCTTGGGAGAAGTAAATGTTTTTTATGACAATATATATTTTAAGATATTGAGAACTGATATCAATTAAGATATCTTAAAATACTGAGAACTGATATCTTAAAAATATTGAGTTTTCCAAAATTGATCTATAGATTCACCACAAGCCCAATCAAATATCAGTATTACATTCTTTTGAAAAATCTAACAAGCTGGTTCTAAATTTTATAGAGAAAAACAAAAGATTTAGAATGGGCAAAACAATCTTGGGGGAAAAAAAGGAAAGTTAGACAACTTATATTCCCTGATTTCAAGACCTGTTATAAAGGTACAGTAATCAAAACAAATAGAATGAGCATAAAATGGACAAATACAGTAGTCCCCCTTTATCCCTAGTATAACTGTTCTATTTTCTTAGTTATTGTTATTAGTCTCCTACTGTACCTAATTTATAAACTAAACAATCACAGTATGTATGCACAGGGACAGGGGGAAACAGCATATAGGGTTCAGTACTATCTGCAGTTTCAGAAATCTGCTGGGGGTCTTGGGACGTTTCCTCCATGGTTAAGGGGGGACTATTGTAGAGCTAAAAAAAAAGAAGAGAGAAACAGACTCAAACATGAGGGTTAACTGAATTATTACTATTAGGTTGGTGCAAAAGTAATTGCAGTTTTTCCCATCAAAAGTAATGGCAAAAACCACAATTAGGAGCTCATTAGGAGCTATAAACACAATGGGCATAGCAATACTTCCCATAAATACCACCCATTAAGATGTATTTTCAGTTAAAAATGATGAAGTAAATATTTACATATCTGATGAAACAACTCAATAGTTTTTCACTCACGTTGACTGCAGTTTTTGCCATCAAAAGTAATGGCAAAAATCATAATTACTTTTGCACCAAACTAATAAGATGCCAGTTGAATTCAACAGAGAAGGAAATATCATTTTAACTATGTTGCCAGAACCATCCATCCCTATGGAGAAAATAAAACAAACCTCAACTCCTATTTCACTCCTTACAGAAAAATTAATCCTAGTTTTATCAATAGACATATATGTATAAGGTAGAAATAGAGAACTTCTAGAAAGAAATGATAGAAAATTATATCATGATCTTGGGAGAGGCAAATATTTTTTAAGATAAAATGATATATTAACCATAAAAGTAAAAAATGTAAAATAGATTTTATCGAAATTGAAGACTTTTGTCCCCATCAAAAATACAATTAAGGAAATTAATAGGTGAGCCAAAGACAGGGAAGCAATATCTACAATACATACACCTGACAAAAGGCCCTTATGTAGAATATATGAAGAACACCTATAAAACAATACTAAAAGGCCAGGTGTGGTGGCTCATGCCTATAATAGCAGCACTTTGAGGGGCCAAGGCAGGAGGATCACTTGAGGCCAGGAATTTGAGACCAACTTGGGCAACATAGTGAGACTCCATTTATTTAAAAAAAAAAAATTAGCCAGGCATGGTGGTGCATGACTGTGGTCCCAGCTACTCAGCAGGCAAAGGAAGGAAGATCATTTGAACCTGGGAGGTTGAGGCTGCAGTGAGCTGTGATCACACCACTGCACTCCAGTATGGCTGACAGAGCAAGACCCTGTCTCCAAAAAAATAAATAAAAAATTAATACTGAAAAAAGAAAAACTACCCAATATTTTCAAATGGGTAAAAACTTGGACATAACAGAGATAAAGAAATGTCCATTAGTACATAAAAGGGTACTTAGATCTTTAGTTATCAGGAAAATACAAATTAAAATTAGAATAAAATACTATTAACTAAATATCATGAACTAAAATTATAAATTCATAATTTATAATGACAATACCAAGTATTGGTGAGGCTATGAAACAGCTGGAACCCTTATGCATTGCTGAAGAGAATGTAAAATTGCAAGCACAGCTACTTTGAAAAATAGTTTCTCATAAAGTTAAACATACATTTGCCATATGACCCAACTATCCCAAACCTTGGAATTTGACCAAGAAAAATGGAAACATATGTCAACCCAAAGACTCATGTTGGAACATTCATGGCCACTTCATTCATAATAGATACAAATTGGAAACAACCTAAATGACTATCAAGTAGTGAATGGATAAACAAATTACGTTCTCATTAGGAGCTATAAACACAACGAGCATATCAATGCTTCCCATAAATACCATCCATTAAGATGTATTTTCAGTTAAAAATGATGAAGTAAATATTTACATAGCTGATGAAACAACTCAATAGTTTTTCACTCACGTTGACAATATGAAAGTTTTCAACGTAAATATAGTTTTTTCAAAATAAATAAGTTCAACATGGTGTGGTATCTTGATTAATGAAGTACACTAAAAGGATGAACTAATTCTGTCTCTCTGTTGGGCAAAGAAAACTATTTTCAAATTACAGCATTACATAATCAAGTACATATATCTGGCTTTATTTAGGACTACAAATGATAATTTAAAAGTAAGTTAAAGTGCCCATCACTTATCTTCAAAACAGGGATTGATATCATATGTTGTTTGTGATAACATACTAGTGAAAATAAAAAATTAAAACCAGTAATAAAAAGATATAAGAAAATGCTATTATCACAAAAAATGTAATCATGAAAACTCAAGTGATTCTATTATGTGGCTTTACAATAACTCTAAAACGTATACTTTCATTATTAATAGAACAGTTATTATTTACCAGTATGTATGAAGGGCAGTGAATATAAAGGTACACCATGTAGTCTTAAAAAAGAAAAGGAAAGTAGAGAACAATACTGTGGAAGAGAGAAAAAGAAAATAGGAAAGAAAAGAATAAAAGGAAATAGAACTTCTCTCCTAAAAATGCTTAAAATTTGGTTTTAGAATAGAAATATAAACGTCCTGAATTATACTAAAACCATGTAGAACTCCTTAGCATAAAATGTCTTATAGGATCTAACCCCTGCCTCCTCTCCAAGTATATTTCTTGGATTTCATATTTCCCCTGGATTTTACACTTCCTGGCATACAGCACTAGGTCAATAAATATGTGTTAACTCATTGCCTGGACCTCATGGTGAAGTCATTCTGAAAATTTAGTCAGGAAAGCTGGTTGTTGATAAAATTCTTGAAGACCAGGTCAAATATGTTTCTCTGATTCTCCCATGGAATCTAGCAAAGGACTAGATTCATTACATATTATATAGATGCTTAACAAGGCCTGTTTAATTCTTAGGATATAACTTTCTTTTCTCCACTGTTCTTTTATGAATTCATTTTTTTCCAACAATTGTTTATTATTATGGGAGAATAAATCAGCAGCTATATCATTGTCTTCAAGTACAAGGAATCTATTTAAGATTTAACAAAACAGTTGACATCAAAAGGCTGCAATCATTGAAAGAACCCCCGTCTTCTCTTCTCTATCCCCAAAGTTAGAATACACAGTAACAATACAATATTAAGGTGATTCCAACTGAGGTTTTGTTATACTGTCCATGCCAGTGTGAAATGCCTGTCAAACGCAAACAAGGTGACTCTTGGGCTGGACTAATATAAGCTGTCTCTTCTTAAGCGTTAGCTGTGATCTCAGCCAGCCCACCAGCTGATGACCAGTGGGACACGTTTCTGAGAATTAAGTTTAGCCTATGACCTTGGACTGGAACAAAACATAGCCTGGCTTCCATTAGACGTGTGCTTTAACCAATGGAATCTCCTAGGACCAGATAACAGTAGACAGGTAACAATCATTTTAAAGTTACATATAATTATTATGCATCATTCCTGCAGAATTTACTTTTTAAAATATTATCTCTCAGCTATTTATCTTCCTATAGTTGCTCCAATTATTGACTCCAATCACTTCTCTCTTCAATTATCAGTGTTATTAATGATGAGAACTTCATCTGCCTGTTTACAAACATTCAACCTATCCTTCGAATCCTAGATCAAAGCCCACTTTCTCTATGAAGATTTCTTCCAATCCTTTGGCTCATATATTTTTTTCCTAATTAGATTGCCGATAGAACGTATTGGATAGAATGCTTGACATTTAATATGTATATGTGGTGGGTATTCCCATGGTGATTGGCCCTGGATAAAATACTCAATAAATAGTTAATGGACTGAAGTAATATTGTAAGGCTAGGGGCTGTGGCTCATGCCTGTAACCCCAGCACTTTGGGAGGCCGAGGCAGGTAGATCACCTGAGGTTAGGAGTTCGATACCAGCCTGGCCAACATGGTGAAACCCCATCTCTACCAAAAATACAAAAATTAGCTGGGCAGTAGCAGCAGGCACCTGTAATCCCTGCTACTTAGGAGGCTGAGGCAGGAGAATTGCTTGAGCCTGGGAGGCGGAGGTTGTGGTGAGCTGACACCACACCACTGTACTCCAGTCTGGGCGACAGAGTGAGACCCTGTCTCAAAAAAAAAAAAGAAAAAAAAAAAGACTGAAGTAATACTGTAAAATTTTTAAAAGTAGTTGCAAGACATAGTATTCTCTCAAAGAAACTAGAATTATAACTACAAATTTGACATTTCTTCTTCAGTCATCTTATGATTTCCAAATGGATGCTATTATCTGGAAAAGAGACACAGTTTAATAAAACATCCTGTGAGTATAGTCAGATGATACAATTGAAGCAAGGTTTTAACTTGAGAAAACTATTTATATTTAAAAGAAACAGACACAAATTCTTAGAAAATAGAATACCACCTATAAATACATCTAAATCTACAGCCGTTTAAAATAACCATTTCTTCCTCATTTAAAAAATAAGAACATTTTGAAATCTGCTTACAAACGTAAGCCAAGGATAGTTTCAAGTGGTTCAAGTTATAAAATAAGCAGTTTGTAATCTTCAAATATCTAGTTTTAAGTAAAAACTGCAATTTCTAATAATCTTAGAATTTCCCATTGAATTATGTTCAGCTGAAGTTTTTCCTTAAAAATTACTAACTACATTTTCCCTGTTTTTGTTGGGTACTAGTTATGACCCCCTACGCCCTCTGAAAGAACAAAGCTTGGTTCCTCTAACAAGAAGACAGTTCCCATTATGTTCAGATGAATAACTCAAACTAAAGGAATCTGCACCGTTGCTACAGAGGCTATAGAAATTAAGCTTTTGGCTGCTTCTAAGTCACAGTGCCAATATTCAGATCCTACAGTCATAGTGCCATTGACAATGATGTTTCTCGCAACACACTGCACTGTTTTAAGAATGCCTAAACCACTGTATGCTGTACTAGAACATCAAAGGAGAAATCTGTGTCTTAAAAATCACTTATAATTCCTTAGTCTCACTTTTTTTAAAAGGTTCAATATCTGATCAAGTCAGATTTTAAGTAATATCCCATAGAATTATAAAATGCTCTATTTCTCTAAGTTCTTAAATGGTTCTCAGCCTAAATGCTTGTTGAATGAGTAAATACTAAAGAAATGTTAATTACACTTCTCAACTGAGACTAATTAATACATACAAATTAGACATTTATCCATGAAAATAGAGAAAAACCAGAATGTTAAGTTGATTAGGGGGTTGTGTCTTAACAAATGGTCAATCTATGACATCATACTACCCATATCCTTGCAGAACCACAGAGATAGCAAGAAAAGTGAGCAGACATCCTTGATTGAACCTTAAGACCAATATGGCATTCCAGCACTCGTATCTTAGCTTTGGCTTCACAGAAGAGCGGTATATACTAGACAAAGAGCAAGTGTAGGCCAACACAGGACTGTCCAAGGGAAAGACCAGAGTCCTTCACTGAGGGAATCTACACGCTCCCTCTTCAGTACTTAATGCATTGCTTGGGCTATCTTTTCAGTACCTCTGTCCTGACTAGAGCTCACGTGAACAAGGATGAAAAACAGTGAAGATAGTATAATTTGTAATGAAGGTTAAATGACTTCTATGATTTAAAAATCGAGAAGGATTCCTGTTTAAAAATATAGCTTTATTAGGTTATTTTTTGAAACATCAAATATCCTGACTGTACTGGGCCCACATTCCTGGCTGGCACCAATTGGCTAAAGTTGAGTGTCAGTGGTCATCTGTGTTCCTCAGTCATCGCCACTCCCTAATGTTTACCCCTGAACAGCTCTGCTCATTGATATGGTTAGACTTTGTGTCACCAGCCAAATCTCGTCTTGAATTGTAATCCCCATAATCCTCATGCTCCCCACGTGTCAAGGGAGAGACCAGGTGGAGGTAATTGAATCATGGGGGTGGTTTCCCCCATGCTATTCTCATGATAGTTAGCGAATTCTGATGAGATCTGATGATTTTATACGCGGCTCTTCCCACTTCGCTGGGCACTTCTCCTTCCTCCCACCTTGTAAAGAAGGTGTTTGCTTCCCCTTTACCTTCCGCCATGATTGTAAGTTTCCTGAGGCCTCCCTAGCTATGCTGAACTGTGAGTCAATTAAACCTCTTTCCTTTATAAATTACCTAGTCTTGGGTATTTCCTTATAGCAATGTGCGTATGGACTAATGTACTCATTTTTGCTCTCTACCTTGCCCCATGAGTGTTTTATTTGAACCTCCAGGTATGAAGATGAAGCATATGAACTCTGGAGTCTGAGTGCTTGGGTTTAAATTCTACCACTTACTTAAGAGTTGTATGAGCTTGGGTGTATTCTTTCCTTCTTCTTACTGCTCTTTTGTTTTCTCCTAATAAAAGTATAATAACTAGTTTATGGGGTTTCAGGGAGAATTAAACATGATTCTAAAATCAAGCATATAGCCCAGTGCCTCCATAAATATTACTATGATTAATGAAAACTCACCGACACATACAAATCGGGTTAGCTGAGAATCCCTCCATGGCATTGTGTGTATTGAGCTGTGACCTCTGGGAAGCTCTCAAATCAAGTGGATGGCCCAAGGGCCCAGTAGCATGATCTAGGTAGGCTGCTGGGGATCTTGGGTGAGGTGAGCTTAGTGCTGAAACTGACACTGTATCACTAATGTCTAACATTCTCCTTTAAGGCTAATTATGGGTCTTATCCCTGGCGGCACATCAAAACCACCTGGGAGGCCGGGCACGGTGGCTCACGCCTGTAATCAGCACTTCAGGAGACTGAGGTGGGCAGATCACCTGAGGTCAAGAGTTTGAGACCAGCCTGGCTAATTTGGTGAAACCCTATCTCTACTAAAAATACTATAAAATACCACCTGGCATGGTGGCGGGCACCTGTAATCTCAGTTACTCGGGAGGCTGAGGCAGGAGAATTGCTTGAACCCGGGAGGCGGAGGTTGCAGTGAGCTGAGATCATGCCACTGCATTCCAGCCTGAGTGACACAGCAAGAATCAGACTCAAAAAAAATTAAAAATTAAAAAAAAAAAAACCACCTGGGAGCACGTTTTTAAAAGGCAAAATGATTCCCAGGCCCTATCCAAGACCATGTAAATCAGAATCCATTGGAGTTGACCTAAGTTCTTTTTTTTTTTAATCTCCCATGGTGATTCTAATACACAGACAGGCTTGAGAGCCACTGACCTATGGCACAGACAGCATCACCCATATCCAGCAACACCAGGACTCTTAAGATTCACTCCAGGCCTGGGGCAGTGGCTCACACTTGTAATCTCAGCACTTTGGGAGGCCAAGATGGGCAGATCACTTGAGGGCAGGAGTTCAAGACCAGCCTGGGCCACATGGTGAAACCCCATTTCTACTAAAAGTACAAAAATTAGCTGGGTGTGGTGGTGCATGCCTGTAATCCCAGCTACCTGGGAGGCTGAGGCACAAGACTCGCTTTAACCCAGGAGGGAGAGGGTGCAGTGAGCCAAGATGGTGCCACTGCACTCCAGCCTGAGCAACACAGCGAGACTGTCTTGAAAAAAAAAAGATTCACTCCAGAGGTTTACATTTTTACAGATGAGCAGTTTACAAAGCCTTAAAACTCAGAAATTATTGGTCCATCTAGCAGAAAATATTTTGTTTGTAAACATGCCTGCATTTTGAATCTATCAGCTGCATATTTAAAAACATATGGAGACAATTGTTTACAGAAATGTGACATTTCTTCAAGTGTGTCTCTAGACAGGTTATTTTAAATGCTTATTTAGATACACTTCCACAGCCTAGAGGATAATTTTGAGTCTTCAGAAGGTCACTGAATTTAGCAATAACACATTGAATAATTAAAGAATAACAAAGCTATTTTTACGTAATACTGAGACAACTTTAAATCGCTAAGGTAAAGTCATAAACTTTCTACTTAAAGTGGCAAAATCATCAATAGTTTTGTATAAGTATAGAGAAACATTATTAAAAAACACTACATATATGTAATCTCGGCTAATTTGGCTAAACAGTTCAAATACTTATCAAATTATAGTAATGTATCAAGAATGACAAAGTAACAAAAACACAAGTCATTCATTCAATGTTGAGAAGATAAATGGTATTATTATTTAGTAACCTAATATTTCATTTAACCAGATCTGAAAATTTTAAATTCTTAGAATAGTTAAGATTTAGAAGTTTTAAAAATACATTTAAAACCATTCTTAAGCAAAATTTAGGTAGAAAAAAAGAACTATTTAATTCGAAAAAACTATTATAAGGAAATCTATTATTCTTTCTAGTCACTAAATTATAATGTCTTTTGTATTTAAATATAAATTTGGAACTTTTTCTACTTATTTTAGCATCACTTTTTTCTATTAAATATTAGCTTTCTTTTCCTATCTTTTTTTTCACATCCATTCCTCATTAATTTTTCTCTCCTTCTCCTAAACTGGGGGTCACATACTCAGATGGCTCCAGAGCAGACAGACACAATGAGCAAAGTGACAGCAGGTACTCATGTCCCCAGGCAGAGGTCACAAAACAGTGGCCTGTGAATCTGGCCAATACACGTGCTTGGTTTGCTTTTAAAAACATTTAGAAAACTCTGATGAAAATATAGAATTCCAACTTACTCTGGAAAATCAGGTGTTCTAGGATCACTACGGCCATGCTGCCTCTTGGCGATAGTTGGCTGGAGCTGAGTCTCACAGTCCATGGGGTGGGGCACAGGCTCTCTCCACCTTGTCACCTTCCCCACCACCTTCTTGTCATGTACGCGTGACCTGTCAAGCTTCTGGGAGCTTCCCAACTTTCTCACAAAAGGCTGAGCTGGTCAAGGAGAAGGCCCCTAACTTACGCCCAAGACTCCACAGGTAGGGTGGGGGCCTGCAAGGTGAAAGTGAGCAGTGGGCACCAGCCTTGGGAAACAGAGAAGATGGGAAAAGTCTCCTGTGTCCATTTCAGGCATTCAGGAGCCAGTGTTCTATTATGAAAGAGAAGAGTCAGGTAGACCTGAGCTTCCATCAGGGGCTCAGCCATGGGACTCTCAGTTGTAGGACCTCGGTGGATGCCTGGCTTCCCTGTGAACAATGGCACTTTCATTCATCTCTGGTGAGGACTGTGAGGAGGACTAAGTAAAGTGATGGATGCATTGTGCCAGGCACATGGCAGAGCTCACCTGACTCAGGGAGCAATAGGGACTTTGGTTAGAGAAATTGGTTTCAAAGTCCAGTTCATAAAGGTTTCAGCAGAGCTTCAGCCGTGGTGTGCAGTCACACTCAACTTCTTACCACTATCAATTCTACTGTTCTAAGCCTGGTTCCATGCCAGAGTGAGGGAAGAGGCTGACCAGAATTTAGGAGAGGCAGATAGTAAGGTAACTGTGGGCTCTGGCATATTTTAAAAACTAAAAGAATAGGAAGAGAGGCAATCCAAAAGTCTATGACTAGAAGGTAGAGGTGTTCAGATATTTTCTATGGTACAAGGATGAGGCATTCATTTTGCGAGGGAACAAAAATGAAACGGGTTATTCACACTGAAAAACTATCTTTGCATACCTGCTCTTCTACCTATGGGGACTGCAAAGACACTGCGTGTATTGCATGTGTGTTCACACACACACACACACACACACACTCCCTGGCTGCCACAATTCCTGAGGAAGACAGACACATCCACAAATACCTGATGTGGGGCTTGTCTTAGCAAGTGAAAGTCTAGAAATGGGAATTTACAGAGCACAGAGAAGGAAGATATTAAATGGAACTGGAGGGTATCCTAGACAGATGCTTAGAGAAGATGGAGTGTGAGCATTACAGACCGAGAACGGCTTCAGCAGGCAGGCGAGGTTGCAGGGGAAAAGGCGCTTCTAGCAAAGGGAACCACTTGAGGCCAGATCCAGAGGCAGAAGCTACCAGATCTGTGTGAGGACAGATGATCAGTCCAGCGCACGTGATGGGGACATGGGGGAACAAGGTAGGAGATGAATCTGAAATGTACCTGGAGAGGAATGGTGGATGCCTTTCAATGCCAGCTGCAACTTCATGCTGGACACACTTGGTAACTGAAATTTTGCCCCAGTGCACATCAATCTCCCCACAGAAAGACAACCCCTGGACCTGTGCAGAAATCCAGCCGATTGAAGAGGAATAAGAATTATTCTAAAGGTGACCAGACAGTACAAAGAAAAAGAATTAAGCTTTATGGTGCTAATAGTGGTTCTGAATTGATTTATTTAGCGTTGATAGCCAAATACCTTGCTAGCTTAACTTTAAAAAAGAGTTGACTGGCCTTATATAGCTCCAAAAAAATGAAAACAATGACTTGAAAAAGGAGCAAAGAAATACATCAGAAATTAGTTAGTGGTGTTCTTTTTTTTTTTTTTTTTTTTTTTTTTGAGATGAAGTCTCACTCTGTCGCCCAGGCTGGAGTGCAGTGGCGTGATCTCTGCTCACTGCAAGCTCCGCCTCCCAGGTTCACACCATTCTCCTGCCTCAGCTTCCCAAGTAGCTGGGACTACAGGCACCTGACACCGTGCCCGGCTAATTTTTTGTATTTTTAGTACAGACAGGGTTTCACCATGGTCTCCATCTCTTGACCTCATGATCCACCCACCTCAGTCTCCCGAAGTGCTAGGATTACAGCTGTGAGCCACCATCCCTGGCCAGTGATGTTCTTTTTTAAAACATCTTTAAGTTTGGTTTTCGTGAATTCCAAATTGCAACACAAGACATTATCTCTATTAGTACTGACAAGAGCCAAAAAGAGTCCTAGAGATCACTTGAAGCTCTTGGCCTTACTGTTACTCTCTGCCCCAGGTTGTTGGCACTGTGTTCTTCAACTCCATAAGGTTCTCGAAAGAAAGGCACCATGCTGGGTGCCAGCAACTCATAATCAAGCCCCTGCCATTAGAAGTTCACTATATGATAGAAGTGATACACATGTAAATCTATGACTTAAACCCAATGAGATAAATCTCCATGAAAGTATTACAGAGGACTCAGAGGCCAATCCAGCTAAGATGTCTACATGTAGCAAGCAAGCACGTCATTTGCACGTAGACAAGCCACCTGTAGTCAAGCCACCTGCAGACAGGATGCCTGTAGACAGGATGCCTGCATGGATGGAGCAGCCCTACGCTCCCGGCATGCCCAGGCAATGTAGTGTACTGGCCAAGAGCAGGAACTCCATCACAAGACTTCTTCAGTTCAAATCCAAGCTCTGCTACTTCCGAGCTGGGTGATTCTGGGAATTTCTCTAATTTCTCTGTACCTGAGTTCCCCATCTATAAGAGTGCCTACTCTCTGGGATTACGGTGGAGATTAAAAGAATTTATATACACACACTGTGCCTTGTACATAAAATCATTTTCATCAATATAACCTGGTTATCCCAAAAGAGATAGTAGAAAGGCATATTAATTTTTCCCCCATTTTTCCTGTCTCCAACCAAAAGAAAGATTACGAAAACCAACTTTTCTCTCAAAACGCTTTTGCCAGTCAAGTGAAATTAACCTTGAACTTCCATCTCCCAAGTGACAGCTGGCCTGAGATCTTTCTACAACTATGTGTGGCTTCCTATTCATAAAGTTTCCTTAAAGCTTCAATTAGATCTGTGTTCCCTGCTAGAAACCACATGGTCTGATAATAGAATTAAAGGGACACCACTCTGGATAGCTCTGGTGGGGAACACAGGTCGCTTGCATGGATGGAGCAGCCCCATCGCCCACAGGGAAACAGTTGCCCCTAGGACCAGCCAAGCCCAATGGCCTGCCCAACATCACCCTGAAACTGTCCTCTGCAACTGTGTTTGGCCATGCAGGGAAGAGTATCCTTCTTAGTTCCCTTACAGCCTACTGTACTCAGCGGCCCTCCTGGGGAGTCTCTGCCTCTGAGTTCAGGATTCACCAGCTGCCCTACTTAACAATGAGAGCTTGGTGTCCCAGAAGAAATGATCATTTTCCTATCTCCGACAATAAGAAAAATTAAGTGCACGGTAAATCATCACACTCACAGCTCTAATATTGACATTTAGACCAAAGAGAACTACCTTTTCCATATTTCATTAGGTTTTTAAAAAGAAAACTTGGGTAAAATCCACTGCAACTATATTAGCATCAATGTTAAGTATAATCTAAAAACTGCTTGTGTTAAAATTAAGACAAATATGGTCATTGAAATTAAATATTATATTATATCAAAAAAATTATAAGAAACAATCCTTAGAGAAAAATCAAATTTCCCACGAAGCTACTACTTTACCAAAAGCATCCCCTTTATTCTCATCCCTCTAAACTGAAATCTGTTAATTAGGTTGGCAGCAAAGCCTACCAAATGCTGATGAGTATTCACGATGCTATTGTGTTTGGCTTTCAAAACAAGTCATGGTTAGGAAATCAACATAGGAAGCATACTTCAAACATCCAAAAGCGTTTTTCTCTGCCTAGCAACTGGCAAGAACTTGGTATGTTTTCTCTGCTTCTATGTCATGTTGCTCTGGTCACTGGAACAACGTAGTCGCTACAAAAGGCAAGAAAAAAAAAAAAAACTTGTGTACTTAAGCACAGCCCAAAGTCCTAACAGGGACCCGTGCGACTGGGCTGGGTGCCTGGGCTGGCTTCCTTGCCAAGGAAAGGGGAGGTGGTGAGGCCCCCTCTCCCTCTCCGTCCTGGTTTCCTCCTCACCCCACATCGCAGCTAGGACCTTCAGCATTTCCTCTTCTGGGAAGGCTGGGAATTGGCTGTTTTTATGAAATGAACATGACCCAGAAAAGCATTCAGCATGATCAGCTTGTGCATTCGAGAGTCCTCAGCTGTACTTCCCATCATGAAGTGTTTGAGCTCCTGTTTATTAAAGCACAGCTGGAACCGGCAGACCTGCAGTCTTCCAGGCTAACAGTAACAGATCTTTGGCACTGAATTGCCACAAGTCCTGGCTTGCATTTCTACCTAGGAAGTTGAAGAAATTCCTTTCTTATAAACTACCAGAAGTAGTTAAATAAATGAACAACTCACAGTAATTATTTTCCTTAATCAGGCATGTACTAATCAAACCACAGACACATACATACACATGCATGTATGTATGCACATCACCATGACACTGCGATAACATACTCTGGATTTCATGCCTAAAACATTAAGTGATAAAGTGCTTTCCTGTTCAATTCAAAAAGCACAGTTCAACAATTATTTATTGAATACTATGTGCCAGGCACTGAGCTAGCTTCTAAGAAATCAATGTTGAATAAATCATACTCTTCGTTCTTAATGAGTTCATGATCCAGTAGGGGACACGGATGTGTATATGAATACTTGCATGAAAGTGTGCTGCACAAATATTTATTTTCAAGGTTCAGAAGTAGAAGAGAAGATGGAGTGATCAGTTCTTTCTGAAGGTGGAAAGGGTGATGTGGAAAAGCTTTACTAAGAAGCTGACACCTTAGAACGATTCTAAAGAATGGACAGAAATTCAAGTTGGGGAGGAAATGCGGGGAACACTCAACATAGGGAGAATAGCAGGATCAGAGGCATGAGAATACAAATTCCCAGAGCAGTACCAAGCACGGCATTAGATTGATGTGCACTACTATGTGCCAGGCACTGTCCTACACTCTTTACAGGTATCACCTCAATCTTCACAGCAACCCTATGATGCTGGGACCAATATCATCCCCATCTTACAGATGTGAAAATGGAAGGAGACAGAGATTAAGAACTTCTAGGATCACACAGCTTTGATCCCAGCCATGTGGACCCAGAGCTCACGAAGAGCTCACAACCCTAATCACTACTAAGGAAGCACTCAATAATAACAATAGCTAATGGAGAATCAAAGAGTGGTCAATAAATGAAGAAAACTAAACACTCAATTCTGGAGCAAAAATTTCATGAAGTCTGGCAGAAGGAAGAGGGCAGGAAGAGGATACTGCTGGAAATTTGGGATCCTGGAGGCCCTCATGGGCAGCTTAACTGCTTGGAACTTGCCCTGTGGCCATTGTGGGTGACTGAACTATATAGGAAGTTCACTATCATGGCACAGTTGGGAACTTATCTGAGTCAAGAATGAATGGAGGCAGGAACCTCAATTAGGAGGCTATTCTGATAACTCAGGTGAGAATCTTAGCATAAAAACTAAGTAACAGGAGGATGGAGAGATGAAGGAAATGAAAAAGTGCTTACATATTCGAACATCACTCAGCCAGCACAGCTGGGCAATGCAGGGAACAACCTGCATCTGCAGGTCTCTTTTCATGAATGCCTTGTGGGGCAGGGCCAAGGTAAAACATAGTTTGTTTCTTTCACCATTGATCCATCATCATCAGTATGCAGATACCAAACAAAGGTTCAAAATCTGTTTTCATCACAGTAATGTTGGCTTTTGAGGAAGCACACAAACTTAAAATTTTAGAAATTAGCATATCTGCTTAAAAAAATACCACCACCACTATGGCCCATATAAAGTAAATGTTCTGCCAATGTCTTTCAATATTGTGTAAAGGAATCAGGAAAAAGAGATAAAAACTAAAGCTTAACAATGTGGTTCAACTAAATCAAATAAAGATTTGAGGACCTGCATACCGAAATTGAGGTATTCCAAGACATACCACAAAGAAGATGCTAAAGGCCATGCCAGAATGAGCATGAGGTCTATTGGAGAGGGTCAGACAATTGAACAAGTAAATATAATGTTAAGGCGGGAAATCATTAATGTCATAGACAAGTCAGAATATTCTATGACAGTTTAAAAGAAACTGTAATCCCATTCCATCTTGAGGGTCAGAAAAATTTTATAAAGTAGGCAGCATTTTAGATTGGCTTTGAGAGGCTGTATGCATAAAGAAGGAAATATAAAGGCAAAATACTATCAGCTGTTCTTATACATAAAAATACATCTATGCAAGTGATCAGCAGCTCTCATTAGGCTCTCTACCAAATTCCCAAATGAAATACATATATTTTTTAAATATTTTACCCATAAACAATGACAATTCTAATACATGTCAATGTATCTTTTATTAGTGATCAAATTCCCTCCCATCCCTTACTACCTGAGGGGGAATCCAGGTATTACAATTGCAAACAGCATGGCAGGCATTATTATTTTCCACACTTTTAATTTTTTTTTAGAGACAGGGTCTTGCTCTGTTGCCCAGGCTGGAGTGCAATGGCATGGATCATAGCTCACTGCAGTCTCAACCTCCTGGGCTCAAGCTATCCTCCCACTTCAGCATCCCAAGTAGCTGGGACTATAGGCACACACCACTATACCAGCTTTTTTTTAAATTTTTATAGAGACAGGGTCTCACCATGTTGCACAAGCTGCTCTCAAACTCCTGGCCTCAGTGATCCTCCTGCCTCCCAAAGTGTTGGGATTACAGGTGTGAGCCACCGCATGCAGAGGCTATCCACACTTCTAAATCAGGGAATTGGGACAAAGCTATTACATAACTTTCCTGAGGTCACACAGCTAGAAAATGTTGCAGCTGGACTCAAGTTATTTAAGTTCTACTTGTTCACTGGTAAAAGGAGACAGGGGATTAAAACAATCCAACTATCCAAGTCTGTTGTGATGATTAAACCAGATAGAGTATATAGAGTGCACAGCTGAGCATCAGGCACTAACAAGCACTCAATCCCTGATAGCTGCGATTCTTATGGAAGCCTCTCAATTGAGCAACCAAGTCACTTCCCAGTAGTAAAACCACTAAGAAAACCTCACAGCACATAGTTCTTACCTCATGCCCAGGGCTCACTGGCTTCAGAGCTCCTAAGTGCATGCAGCTCAGGCTGCCTGATTAATATATATTTTAAGGATATCAAGAGTATCTGTATTTTACACTCAGATGTCTTCTAGTGGTGTTAAAGTTCATTGAAGTAAAACTCTGACAGCTCACGGTATCCCTAACAAGGTAGCACCACCCTTAGCTGAAACACTCCCAGTTACACAGCGAACTTGTCACTTAGACATATTTATTTGGTCTTGTTTAGTTTCCTGTTCACAAGGAAAAGCATTAGAAGGATCATCTCATCACAGAGCTAAACCTACCTCCCTGGACTTCTATCTAGTGGTTATTGTCTCCCCTCTTGCTCTCAACAACTGTGATGTCTCCTTTACTCAATTAGAGGGTAAATAGCCTGTTTCATTACCTGTTTTGCCTGCAATATTGTTCTCAGACTTCCACTACATTGGTTTCCTTCCTCTGGCCATTCTTTTCTCTGTAACTGTCTCTTTTAAAAGATGGCATCCAGAACAAATTGCAATCCCTTGACAGAGTGTGGAGCAGTGCTATCACCCTCCTTTATCCAGGTCTTCCTGACAAGACATTCGCTTCTTTTATCAATGTCATAAGGCTGTTCCCTTATATTAGGCATTTGTTGGAAACACCCAACATCTTTTTCCCAATAACTGTGAACTATAGGACACTGTATTTATGCTTTAAATTGTACTTTCCTATTTTCAGGCTATTACACTTCCTATCAAAAATAATTATGTTGTTTGCTCCTGTTATTTACCACATTTGCTGCTATTCCATCCAATTGCCCCCTAGATTACTTACACCAGGTTGTTGAATGGACAAAGTGATGAAGAAAGCCACGCGCAGTTGTATTAGTCCATTCTCACACTGCTATGAAGAAATACCCAAGACTGAGTAATTTAAAAGGAAACAGGCTTAACTGACTCACAGTTCAGCATGGCTGAGGAGGCCTCAGGAAACTTACGATCATGACAGAAGGCAAAGCAAACAGGTCCTTCTTCACATAGCAGCAGCAAGAAATTCAGACTGAAACAAAGGGGGAAGCCCCTTATAAACCATCAGATCTAGTGAGAGCTCACTCACTATCATGAGAACAGTATGGGGGAACCACCCCCATGATTCAATTATCTCCACTTGGTCCCACCCTTGACACATGGGGATTATGACAATTCAAGATGATATTTGGGTGGAGGCACAGCCAAACCGTATCAGCAATGTTCTGCAGTACTCTAATGGAGGTTCCCTCCAAACACTGTTCCCACTTAAACTGTAGCTTCTCTCCTTTAGGAATGGCCAACTGAACTACTTTTTGTTCTGAGAACATGTTGCCGGCCCTTCCCCCTCCATTTTGCATATCCTTTTTGTTTATTTTTGGAACATCCAATCCTATTCTTTGTGCTGCTCAAAAGTCTACCTTTTCTTCAACTCCTATCAATTCCACAAAGGGTTACCAGTCCCAGGTTACTGCAATATTCCAAGTTAAAAAGTAGAGTGGAGACCCTGGGGGAAGGCTAGGCTCTTAGTTTCTCACAGTGAAAATGGTAACCTACTTCATCCCCACTCTTCCCCTCTCCTCTTTACCCAACATGCCCTAAGTTCTGAGCAAAGGGAACTTGCCACTGATTTCTGAATATGCCAAACCTTTCTCAGCTCTGTGCCTTTGTATCACGCTACTCTTTTGCATAGAAAAACTTTTTCACCTCTTTGCTCAAATTCCTATACTTCTTTCAAGTCTCAATTCAAGTTTTATCTGTGCTGTAAAACTTCCTGGACTCCCCTAAGCAGAAGGAGTTGCTCTGAACCTAGTTTGCTTGTCTGTCTATGAGATGGCATATTGTAAGTGTCTGTCTACATGTCTGGTATTGCAGTAGACCATGATCTCCTCCAGGGAAGAGTTAGGTCTATGAAACTTGAAGTACTCAGAGTAGTATCTGCTCCACGGAAAACACTCAATAAATATTTACTGCATAAATAAATGAATGGGAAGATGTAAAAGACATCATAGTATTTTTTTTAAAAGCATGCTAGTAACTAAAGAAGTAAGGATAAATCAAGATAGAAAGTGTATGGCATTTGTTTGTAAACATACATATTTTAAGCTTAGTAGCTGAAAGACTCTTTAATCTTTTATATGTCCTGATTCTTCAGAGTTAACAACCACAAACACAAACCACAAACCATAAAACCATCTGACATTAATTTGAATTTCCATGTCATTTATTTTTGTCCAAGAGCTACACTTTACCAGAAAAGAGAAAAAAAGAGTCTGGCGTTTTGGAGTCAAACTTTTCCATATGATATTGGCATTTAAGTAAGTGTGCTGGGATTGAAAATAATCAGACCTGGCTTATTTGGAACAGTTTTTTCATTGCGATTTTTAAAGTAAATAGCCCCAGTGATACACCAAAAAAGCAACAAAAAGGGAAATTCCTCAAGTTGATTAGATGTGAAGAAAATGTAATTTTAGTACTCATTAATTTACCTTACAGTAAATGATATGATAGAGCTCTAAGGACATAACTCAACAAAAGAAGAATAGTGCCCTAAGATGCTTTTCAGTTGTACACACCAACATAATTTGTTACTTCTATCCTAACAAGTGATTCACTGAAGCTTAAACCCCTTCAGTATAACAGTACACAGAAACTTCAGCTGTTTATTAGTATCCTGTCTTTTATCACTGTAAGAAACAAAGTGATTTTCTTTCTCACGCTATTTGCAAAACAATAGCTCTGAGCAGATGAAATGTTTTCCAATAAGCTGTTATTAATTCAACAAGAATGTCTAATTGAAAGGACATTTCCTATTTTTTATACTTACATACTGTAGTGTAAAGTGCATGATTAATTTAGAACTTCTTTTTAGAGAACCAAGCATATGTGCTGTAAAACTTCTAAGTGATCAATCAGCATATATTTCTTGAATAACTACTCTAAGCTATAAACTCTGTTTACTAGGCATTATCATAAGAATAAATATAGATATATATGTATAAAACCTAGCCATTATACTCTAGAGTGGCTTATAGGCTACTTACAGATATAAAACTAACAAGTTCAAAGGCAATCATAAAACCATTGAAAAACCACCCAAGAGAAAAGTGTGCATACATTTACCAAAGACATTTAGAAGACTGAACTATCCACAATAGTCGACAACTGGAAACTACCCAAATATCCACCAAGAGTAGAATGGATGAAGCGTATTACATTCATATAATGGGATACTACATAGCAATGCTAATGTTTTAACCACAGCTCCAGTCAATAATACGGATAATCCCACAAACATAGTAAGTGAAAAGAGTATATAATGGATTATATAATGGATAAGTCTATTCATACAAAATTTTAAAACCAGACAAAACAATCTATGGTGCTGGAAGTCAAAGTGGTTGCTACCCTTGGAGATGGCTGTTGCTGAAAGGGAACACAAGGATGGCTTTTGAGGTGCTGGCAATATTCTGTCCCTTGCTCTGGATGTTAGTTACACAGGTGTAAGGATATGGGGAAAAAAAACTCAGTTTCTCCTATGATACTCTCACAACACAGAAGGCTTCTGTAGCCAAAGGTGTATGTGCGGGGGGAGAGGAGGGGGGAGATTTCCCCACACACCAAGTAAGCAATCAATTCTGCAGTGGACACCAGGTGGACAGATAGCGTCAGATTCCACAGGTTGAGGGCTCGGTCCCACAAGACTAACCCCCACTTCAGATGCCAATCACATGCCCCGGGTTGTGACCTGTGTTTCTGATCAACCAGCTAAAAACCGGGGTTCCCCTCACCCTTCCTTGGGTATGATTAGTTTGTGAGAGCAGCTAACAGAACTCAGGGAAACACCTACGCTTACCGATTTCTTATAAAGAATATTACAAAAGATACAGGTAAACAGTCAGAAAGAGATGCATAGGGCAGGTTTGTGCGAGGGGATGCAGAGCTTCCATGCCTTTTCTAGGCATGCCACCCTCCAGGAAACTCTACATGTTCAGCTATTCAGAAGCCCCCCAAACCTAGTACTTTGGGGTTTTTATGGAAGCTTCATTATGTAGACACAATTGATTAAATCATTGGCCACTGGTGATTAGCTTAACCTTCAATTTCTCTCCCCTCCCCAGAGGTTGAGTGTGGGGCTGAAAAGTCCCAACCCTCTAATCATGCTTTGGCCTTTCCTTTCCTCATTCTACCTAGGGGATTCCAGCCATCAGTCAAACCAACAGCATACAAAGGTCACTCTGTCACTCCTGGGATTCCAAAAACTGTAGGAGTTGTATGTGAGGAAATGGGGATGAAGGCCAAATACATCTATGTTATTATAAGAAAAAAAATCACAATATCACGACAGGTGTGTTTAACTGGTGAAATTTATTAATAATTTACACATGTTCCTGTATGTTGTTTCAGTTATCTGTCACTGCATGTCATAGTTCAGGCTGCTAAAACAAATTACCATCAACTGAGTGGTTTGTAAACAACAGAAATTTATTTCTCACGGTTATGCAAGCTGAAAAGTCCAAGACTGGGGTGCCAGCAGGCTATGGTGAGGACCCTCTTCTGATGATTTCTCCTTATATCCTACTGTAAATGAAAGACGGGGAGAGAGCTCTGTGGAGTTCTTTTTATAAGCGTACTAATCCTATTCATAAGGCCCTACCCTCATGACCCAATGGCTTCCCAAGGCCACATCTCCTAATCCCATCACATTGCGGGGTTAGAATTTCAACATATACATTTAGGGGGGAGACAAACATTCAATCCATTATATTGCATAACAAACTATGCCACACTTAGTGGCTTACAATAACCATTTATTTTGCTCACAATTTTGTGAATTAAGAATTTGAGAAGTGTTCAGCTAGACATTCTGCTACATGTGCTACCAGCTGGGGTGGCTGGAGGATCCATTTTTAAGATGGCTCCATCACTTCATCCCTCACATGTCTAGTGCTTTGGTGTTACCTTGGCTTCTCTCTCTCTGTCTCACTCTCTCTCTCTCTCTCCCCTCTCGCTCTGTCTCTGTCTCTGTCTCTCTCTCTCTGTCTCTCTCGCATCTCTCTCTCTCTCTCTGTCTCTCTCTCTGTCTCTCTCCCGTCTCTCTCTCTCTGTCTCTCTCCTGTCTCTCTCTCTGTCTCTCTCCCGTCTCTCTCTCTCTGTCTCTCTCCCGTCTCTCTCTCTCTGTCTCTGTCTCTCTCTCTCTGTCTCTCTCCCATCTCTCTCTCTGTCTCTGTCTCTGTCTCTCTCTCTCTGTCTCTCTCCCGTCTCTCTCTCTCTGTCTCTGTCTCTGTCTGTCCCTCTCTCTGTCTCTCTCCCCTCTCTCTCTCTCTGTCTCTGTCTCTCTCTCTCTCTCTGTCTCTCTCCCATCTCTCTCTCTGTCTCTCTCCTGTCTCTCTCTCTCTCTCTCTGTCTCTCTCCCTCTTTCTCTCAGTGTTTCATATTCCAGGGTCTCTCCACATGGCTGAGGCATCTCACAGCAAGTTGGTCTCAGAATAGTGGCACTGCTTCTATGGCAGCTATCTTCGAGAGAGCTATTCTAAAAGCACATTTTCCAAGAGATCCAGGGATAAAATTTCAAGAGCCCTTAAGACCTAGTCTTGGGAGACATTGGTCAATTGCAAGTTTCAGAGCTAGCTCAGAATCAAAGAAAGGGTGCTGCTGGGGGTTTGGTTCATTACGAAGACAACTTTGGGGACTAGTTGCAACCGTGTGTTATAACTTCATCAAAAGCCTAAAAGTATAGAAGAATCTATGCATTTTTTTAAATCAAAAATCAGTTACTATCCTGGCCAGGCATAGTGACTCACGCCTGTAATCCCAGCACTTTGGGAGGCCAAGGTAGGTGGATCACCTGAGGTCAGGAGTTTGAGACCAGCCTGGCCATCATGGTGAAACCCCGTCTCTACCAAAAATACAAAAAAAAAAAAAAAAATTAGCCGGGCATGGTGGCACACGCCTGTAGTCCCAGCTACTCGGGAGGCTGAGGCAGGAGAATCACTTGAACCCGAGAAGCGGAGATTCCAGTGAGCTGAGATTGTGCCACTGCACTCCAGTCTTGGCGACAGAGCCAGACTCCATCTCAAAAAAAAAAAAAAAAAAAAAAAAAAAGAAAGAGAAATCAGTTACTATCCTGATAAATATTAAGTATACTAGCTGAAAAAGACATGCTAACATAGAATACTTAGGCACTGCTTCCCTGCCACACTAGCTATTCATAGTAATATTTGTTTGCTGAATTCTGTTGCTCTCGTTTTCTTCTTTGTTCAATGTATTAAGATATTACTACATACTTGGAAAGGTAGGCAATAAAAAAAGATACATAGTAACATTTGTTTCACTTTAAAAGCATGTATTCACTCATTCATTCTTTAGGTTCACTATAGGCCTGGCACTGCATTAGAAATTAGTTATAGAGAATAAAAATGTGAAAAAGGCCCAGTTCCTGCCTACAGGTACTTATATAGCAACACAATGAATAGGACACACACACACAGACACACACCAAAAAAAAAAAAAAAAAAAAAAAAAAACAGGCCGTGTGCAGGTAACATCAGCCAGATCCATTGGTTCATTATAATTTCAAAAGACTGAGAGGCCCCGACTAGAGGAGACCATGAACTTTGGTTGGTTTTCAGTAGGTCAGGGTGAGCTACAGTTTTGAGAAAGCGAGGGACAAAATAAAAATCATCCATTCATTGGGAAAACTAGTTTCTTAGCAGTGCAGGAAGGCTTGAGAAGAAGAATAATAAAGGCAGAAGCCAGAGCTCTCCAGAGAGAGGTGCACAAGCCCACACTGAGAAGTGGTATGAGGAACACACAGCAAGGATGGATTCCGGAGCTAATTCTGAGTCACCACAGTCAGGATGCAGCAGAGACTGGATGTGCACACAAAAACTGTCCATTTTCCTACATGGTCTTACAACTAACTTAATATCCAATTGTTTATATCCTTACATGAAGAAGGTAATAAAACTGCAAGAGACCAAAGCAATAAATGAATTTGAAACAAAATTATTTCTAAAATGATATCACTGCATCATCTCTAGGTTAGGAGGATCATCATAACTATTCATTCCAGTAAAAGTTAAGTAACTTTTTCTTAATATTAGCTTTGTACAATGAGTTCCAAATAAATTCTCAGAATTTGCATGATAAATAGTAGGAAAATGTTCTCACCCTCATACTTGGCCAACCCAATTATTTTAATCTACCAAAAACAATAAAAATGTCAACTCCCTTTCACGCATCCTTTGTTATCCCTTACATGGAAAAGTTAGCTCCAAAATGTAATGAACTAGCATATTTCTAGGTAGGATTTTAGCTAATTGATGTCATGTTATAATATATAATACCTATTAAAATATATTTTCAGAACATGAAGAATGTTCATCAATTTTCACTTTTAAAATCAAGTTTATGAGAATGCTTTTTAAAAACTCCATAGATTTTTCTTTTACTTTTTTTCTCTCTTTTCTTTTTTCATGGCAATCATGTTGTTTCTTCTCAACCAAGATACTGGCAAATTGTATCTTGTTAGTCTAAGTCCAAAGTAGTACACCAAGGCACCACTGAAAGAAAAGCTTTCAAACACGAGGTTCCTATAATTCACATTATCTTAAAAAAGCTGTTTATCAGAACACATCAAAGCAATTTTTAGTAATAATTCACTCTTTCTCCAATTTTCAATCTAAGTGAAGAAAGGTATATAGCACATTTTTATAATTCATAGAATATTTTCTTATTTATAGCATATACTAATCTACTTCAGCCAATAAGATACTTAACACCTAGTATGTAATAGACATATGCTAGGTTCTATAGAATATATGAAGGAAAAAAATGTGCATTAAGTTTTGCAATAAGTGAAAGGACCTTGAAAGTTAGAACAGTTGAACTAGCACTGTTCTTGATGTTAACTCTTAGATTCCACTTTCACATTTTACATTTAACTCTTGGTATCCATGTGTTCTGGGGCTACTACTAATACAACTGCTCCCAGCTGTAAAATGTCTGACTTGCTTTACTATCAGGCCCAAATATGATAATGTTTTATAAACTGTGATATACCACACAAAAAAATTATCACAAAACCCACATACATAGTAATGCAAGACCAATAACACTGAAGTGCTAAGATATGCGTTACCAACAATAAAACCTATAGTTAGTAGTGACAAGAACCTATATAGGAAGTGACAAGAAGATAAAAGTGGTATGAAACAGACTAGGAAGAGATGTCATTACAAAAAGGTGATGTTTGAATTGGATCCTGAGTATGGATATTCAAGAAGAAAGAAGAAAAGATATTCAAGTATGGATATTCAAGAAGAAAGAAGAGCATACATAAGTAGAGGCAGAAAGGCAGATCAGCAAGATGTTTGATGGATCACTTGAGAACCCTATCGGAGAGATTCTTCAGGAGTAGCTACAGCAAGTTAATTTGACAGATATGCCAAAGGCCCTTTTTTGTAAAAAGGCTCTAGAATGACAAGTTGATAAATTAGGATGTTTGAGCATCAAGGAGGCAAAGTTTATGATAAAATGAAATAAAAAGATGAAAACATTCTTTTAGGAAGATTAATCTGAGAATGTTTGTTGGACGGATATCAGTCTGCCCATACTTTTATTGCCGTATCACCCCTAAAGTAAAGGAGACTACTTCAGAGAAGAAGCAGGGGAGGCCTGGAGAAAGGGGTATATCTAGTGACACTTAGAAACAGAAATCAACACGGCATTGAGAGTGGCTGAACAAGGGATGAAAGATATGGAGACAAAGATGACACTGAGCCTTCCAGTCCAGGGAGACCAGAGAAGACCAATTACAGAAAAATAGGGGAGGGACAAAGAGGAGTTACATGTCCTCTAAGGGAAAATGATGAATTTAGTTTTGCACATGTTGAGTTTGAGGCAAAAGTGAGACATACAATGGAATGTCCTTATATAGAAGACATGATTTTGGGATTCAAAATCTTCACTGGAGCAATATAATTTAATCTGGTTTATGTAAAGGTAATTGCAGAGGCCATGGTCAGTTGATAAGCTTACTGGAAGGGATTAAAGTAGGTAGAAAGGGATGCAAAGGTAAGAAATGAAAGTTAGAAAAAAAGTGGGTAACTGTAGAGTTTCATCAGGGAACCTAAGGGAGGCCCTACAGGGAGGGAATTTCAAACAAGTAACACTGATGAACAATGCCGGGGAAGTGAAGGGAGCTCAAAACTGGTGACAGAACTAAGAGGTATGGTTAAAAGATAGTCACGGGGAACCTTCAGGAGCCTAGCTTCTTAAAAAAAGGGTCTGAAAGGCAGGTTGGGAAGCAGTTGAAAGAGGAAGAGAATGCAGTAAATTCAGCAGTAAATACAACGATGTAGTCAGGGAACCTGAAAGCTTTGGGACAGAATTTACACAGGAGCTGCAAGAGGCAATGAGATTCAGAAGAGGTTTCACATACTTTCAACACAGAATACATGACTATATCTGATGGCATAAACAGGAAGAAATCAAAGTTACACTTTTGTTCCTTACTCATATGTAGAGGTAATAAGTTTTATGGAGATCACCAATGGGCTTTATTACAGAAATTACTGCAATCAGAAATCAAGGGCGATTACTCATTCAGCCAAAAGTAAAGACACCTGAGCCCCTCACGGCAGTGAACTTTAATTATATCTTTAGACATAAGGGAAAATATGAAAACAAAACAAAACCATTAAGGACATCACATCAAACAAGTGGCTTTACAGAAATCAGTTTCTTGCACTTCAAATCTCCCTTGGCATGCATATGCTTATGTTCACAAATTGGCACTTAGAAAATAATTCTCCATATCTCATCACAACAAAGAACTTTGGAAAATACATCAGTCCTCCATGGGAATTCTCCAAAGACTTTAAAATATTAATTTCTACAACATCCTTATTTCCCAAAGTAGCATACTTCCTTTCCCACGTCAGGAGTACTTCCCACTAATCACTGTTGTCTTATTGCCTTGCTCAGACACATGGAAAATGATTTGTTGACTGCTTTCTACCTAAGTTAAATCAAAACTTTAACTATATCTTTTCCACTAACAGTATTTCTCATTACTATTGCAAAGTATTAATGGATAACTATATCTCCAATAAATGCAGCCTCCTAGCTAATTTCATTTCTTTTTAGTTTCCTCTTCGATGTTGAGTTACTTCTTAGTTTTATAAGTGGATTTTGTCAGTGCATCTCTTCTCATCATTCATTCTATTATGATATTACCTATTTTTTAGGGGCAGTTTGGAAAGCATGTATCTCAATCCTTGATTAATATATATATTAATGTCATGTATTCATTTCCTTGTATTTCTGAACCCTACTCCCACATTAGAATCACCTGGGGAGCTTTTTAAAAATAGCAATTCTTGACTTCCACCCTCTCTCCCCGCACCCTGAGATTCTAATTAAGCTGGTCTGGACCGAGGTCCAAGCATCAGCAATATTCCTCACCGATTTAGTCTTTCTGACTTTTGTTGAGCTTAATGAATTGATCTCTCTCAGGTCTCACCTGTGCCCAACAGAGCCATTCCTGCACTCTGGCTAGAAGCCGGCCTCCCAGACGACGCTTTCTGAACCAAGGCCCATTGTTTTGACTTCCTTGCTCAAAAATCTCCCCTAGCTCCCACACTGTCTACTAATTAGTCCTAAACTACCTCTACTGTTATTCACCATCTGGCCCCAAGCTACCTTTATCACCCCCTATACCACTCTACACCCCTGCACCTACTCTTCAATGGGACCACTTTAATCACTGTTCCACAAAAGCAACACCATGAAATGGGACAACCTTTTCAACAGTTCCTGTGAAAAGTAAAATCTAGCCAAAAGCCTCAGGCATTTACTCTTTGTTACTAGAACGACAGATGAAAGGGAATCTGTTTGCATTGGGTAAATAAATATAAGAATAATAATTGCAAAACAGCTGCACATAGCACCTTTCTGCTGCTATGTTAGCAGGTGGATGAAGTGAGCCCTGCATCCCCAGTCTCTGTCCTGACCCTCAAGCCTCCTGACATGCACTTGGAATAGGCTCCTGTATGATAATCAGTTGTTTCACAATCACAGAAGAGGAAAATGATTTTCTCCTGATTTATTTCATATTTCTTACTCTGAAGTTGAAAGAGGATTACCTCTTGATCAAGAAAACATGAGTCTGTAGCTATTAGTGTGAGAACTCTAACTCCAAGTTATGTTTGGTATATTTTCCCAAACTAGCAGCCCAACAGAATCTCTGTAGGAGGTTGTTGGAGCTGAGAACTGCCAAGTAAGTGATTAGGCTTTATTTGAAAATTAGTTCCATCAGAGACATAGGACCATAAAAATAGATTAGGGGTATGGTTATTTTTGCTGGCATAATTAATACCATGTTGTTGAAAGGCTGATGGTCATTACACTATTTCTTCATATGAATAGGAATAGTTCTCATTTTAGGTTTGGTGGTTTGGGCCTTTTTATTTATTATATTTTTTAGTGTGGGGCGGTAGTTTGATGATTAAACTGTATCTGAACTTTACACTGCTTTACATGAAATTTAGAGGCTATGACTCCAAGGAATAGATTTCGATCTGTTTAGATTAACAGATCGAGATTAACTCACCTTCAACAACTGTTACACAAATATACACCATCAGGTCAATAAACAAAACAACTTCACACTTTGACTTCCCAAAATGGAGATAGCTGATTTCCCTCTTACTATTTCCCATACTTACGGAATCTCTAAGCAGATTATAACTACAGCATAAACAACCAAGAGGAAAAAATATGGAAGGTACTAGGAATTAGAGCAAATTGAGCTATAGAAATTTTAGAAATTATAGAAATTTTCAGACCGGAGTGAGACTCAGATGATGGGCATAAGATTCTCTAACTCTCTTCCTTTTGTTTGTAGCAACACATTTCACCTGTGCTCACCTGGGAATGTATGTGAGCTGAAGGAAGAGACTTCCCATTTTTACACAGCGGTAGCAAAATGAACCCACTCACCAAAATAAATGGCAACCTTCGAACAAGCTGTCAGGAAGAATTTCAAGTTTTTCCTGAGGGTTCCATCTCCAGAAGAGACCAGACTTGATGTATGAGGAAGGTCCCAGCAGCTGGTAAATATTCTTCTAAATTATACAATAATCATAAAACATTAATAAACCTTCCTAGGTGGAAAATGGACTTGAGGGAGTAACTACAAACCAACTGTCTCAAATGTTACTCTAATCATCTCAGGAAGTAAGTTTAAAAGCAATCAAAATCTACCTCTCCTTGGGTTATAATTTTGGTCCTAATCCTTATTATTATGGGATGGTCCATCCCTCAGAGTCATCACAAGCCTAAAGGCCACACTCAAAGCTACACAGTCAGTGCCAGAGGCTCCTGCATGAGAAAAGATACAGGGGGTGATGAGACCAGAATACCTGAGAGTGGGCTCAGCAACAGCAACGACATTTCTCTAAAAGGTAGCAGAGATCTCTGAAGCTGCTGCTTTGGCTGTGGCATTCATAGACCACAGAGAGAGAACTGAGCTGGGTTAACCCTTGTCCCCGGTTCCTTTATGACCCCCTGCCACATTCAGACATTGTCTTAGACCAAACTCTAAACGCGGCCTCACTCCCCAGTGATAACCCCAACCAAACACTGTGCTCTTGATAAATGAGCACTGTCAGCACTCAGGGCCTCCAGGTCAGGCTCTGGCATGGTGACCCCAGCCACACGACAACCTGATGACTGGCATGAGCATTAAGACGCTGAGCAGAGTGCGGCAGAAAATCTCAAAGCCTCCAAGTAAGAGCTACTGATGGATTGAAAATTCTGTTACAGAGTTCAAGGAGTTTTACATATCTGATTTCCTTCCTAGGCACTGTATCTTGCATTATTTCCTTAGGCAAGTCTTGCCTTTAAAGTTCACCCGTATCCTTTGCATTCTTGTGGGTTAGTTTGGTACAACGGCTATTAGGTTAAGGCTGATTGTCTCCATTTTGTCAGATTCAAACCACAGTCAAAACCAGTTCCCCTGAAAAGCATAGATAAGAAACCCAGGATTTTCCTTACTTTGAAACAATCAGGCAGACAGGTCACAAATAGCACAAAAGAGAAGTGGATGCGAAAGATTTCAACTTTCTGTGGTAATTGTGTTTGCACTTCCTTTTAACTTTTATGATGTATGAGCCACAGAAAGGTCTCCTTAAAGAGAAACAGGAAGAAGAAAGCACATAACCTTATCAAAAAAATACAGACAGCTAAATTCCTTCCCTTTGGTTATACTTTTTAAAAGCCCAATATAATTATTCACCCATTCCTATTCTGAAGTTGGTAATGATGATGGTAATAAAGCTATTTCCTTTTCTTTGTGCTGCGAATTCAGTGAACCAAAGAATGAAGCTCCGCAAAAGGCTGCTTAAGAAATATCATTTCTAGAACTAACCCTGAAAAAAATGTCAGCACCAGAATCCGAGCTCCCAGATTCTATTAACAATTTAGTCAAGAGCCGACGTTCCAGGATGCTAAGGAGAAAGGGAATATTTTCCACAGTCCTCAAGTGACCTTTCCCCTCCCCAGTCGCTGGCAGATGCTTCCAATAGCACTTTACAGGCCACATAGGGGCCTCTTCCAGCTGTCCACAAGCCTCAAGGGAGTCATTTCTATAGGGCAATCAGAGAGACAATACCACAGGAAGAAAGCCGGGGAGGGTTTGCAAGGTACTCTTTTTTTTTTTTTTATACTTTAAGTTCTAGGGTACATGTGCACAACATGCAGGTTTGTTACATATGCATACCTGTGCCGTGTTGGTGTGCTGCATCCATTAACTCGTCATTTACATTAGGTATATCTCCTAATGCTATCCCTCCCCCAACCCCACGACAGGCTCAGGTGTGTGATGTTCCCCACCCTGTGTCCAAGTGTTCTCATTGTTCAATTCCCACCTATGAGTGAGAACATGTGGTGTTTGGTTTTCTGTCCTTGCAACAGTTTGCTCAGAATGCAAGGTACTCTTGATCCTTCCCATCCCCTTTCAGGGAAAGGCCTTAAATAAGAAAAATGTATGAAAGCACCTCATACCTTAGCTTTTAACTCACGTCTGGGATTATCTAAGGCAATGGTCATAAAATGGCTTTTAGAGCCTGCTGCACATTCAAGATCTCCAATTCCCACCCCTGCCCCACTTGTTCAATGCTTCCATCCCCTCGCTGCTAAAGGATACTTCATTTCCAGCAGAAGCTTTTCAGCCTATGGTGCCCCAACTGCACAGCGTGCTGGGTTCCCATCCATGATGAATTTGAATGTTGGCTGCAGTTCCACTAGACATGGAGCTGCTGGGCATGAAACCTTATTGACAAAACACTCCACAAAATAAGCTCCTCAATGGTATAAACACAGAACAGAGTGAGGCAGTGGATTTTAAAGATTGCACCTTTAAAAAATATATGCCTATTATATTAAAGTCAATAGACTGAAAAATGACAACTAAAGAATGACACTAGTTAAAGCCTTAAGTCTTAGTGTCACCATGCTTTTTCTAATCTGTTCTATTAACTTTATTTATTAGCAATGTACATCTGGGTTTAATCTCACCTCTGAATTATCACTACACTGAAGATTTAAACAAGAAATCAATTGGCACTTTCCTCCTGGATATTGCCTGTTAAGGTTAACAGTAAAAAATAAAAATTCTTTCAAATATTTTTAGAGATTTACAAAAAAGAAGAGTGACAGAAAAGAGTGAATGCCTGCTTTTTCATCTTACATAAAATGTCAAAACACATGCACACTTATTCCTCTTCTCTGCTTCACTTATTCTCCCAGGCACTTAGACTAGCTAATACATCATATATTTTACTCATTTATCTTGTAGCTCCTAGGTTAGAGTCAGAGCTCCATGAAAGCAGGAATTTGTAATGCTTGTCAGTGCTATATCCTCTGAACCTTGAATAGTGATTGGCAGACAGTAGGTGCTCAAGAAATATGCCTTGGACCATGAAGAATAAAAATATCTGGATTTTGAAAGCAATCATTGGAGAGAATCAATCACAATGCTTAGCATATTAGGGGTTATTTTTTAGGTTGCCTGATTCATTGCTGAAAATAAGTTTTTTCACTTAATAAAGTTGGTTTTGCACATTAATTTATAAATAGCTCTGGTTGCATTTTCTTTTTGTTGTTGTTGTTGTTTTTTGTTGTTTGTTTGTTTTTTAGAGACAGAGGTCTCACCATGTTGCCCAGGCTAGATTTGAACTCCTGAGCTTAAAAGATGCTCCCACTTCAGCCTTCCAAGCTCTGCCCAGATTGATGCATTTTATGGTAATTCCTTTTTTCTCTTTTACAGATTTTTTAGTTCTGTATTATTTGGAAAAAAAAAAACCTGTAGATTTTACTTAACACATATTCAGTACTAAGGGAAATTACAGAATATCATAGAGGAGTTGGAACTTTGAATTGTGACATACTGGAAAAGAAATAATTTGTAGGAAGGATATATAGTACAACATAGTAAAACTATAGGCAATTTATTTTCTTTAAATGTTAGCAGACATTTTCTTTTTAAAAAATTTATTCAAATATCCTAGCTGACTACCTAGATCTCTCATTACGGTTTGCTTATATTTTCACAACATCATCAAAGGTGAATCTGACCCAAATCCTCATCTATAGAAATACATATATTTAAAATTGAAGATCCAGTCAAGTACTAAGCTCTCAAATTTTCTGACAATCCAACTTATCATGTTCCTCATAATGAAGTAAACCATAAGTAGAAATTTTTTAAAAATCTTAAATCACAAAGAATATTTGCTACCCTCAAAACATTTAATGATACAGAGAAGACCCAACTTACATGTGAGAATTATTAGCGCACTAAAAATTATACAGGAGAAACATCAACTTCTCCTATTTTAATTGAAAGCTATGCTCTTCCATGAATAACATGATTCCTTTTTGGACCCTAAAAATCATATGGTTGTGCTAATTGTCCTTGCTAGAAACTGAGGAAAATGTCTCTAGCTATGTAACATGACCCATTTACCAAACTTCATTCTATGACTACCAGAAGGCCGTTTACTCTCCCTCCTCTATCCTGTCAAACAAAGTAGGTCTGGCAAACAGAACACTCTCAAGAATAGTGATCATTTTTAACAATGGATTCATTTAATATATGTTTAAACTACATTAATGCTTTTCACCTAAGCAATCAATAGAACATCCACTGAATGCAGACATACACACATTTTGGACAGTGTGTGTGTATATATATACATATACACATATATATATATACACACACATATATATATACATATACACTCATAATAATTACATATGTTAATTATACAAACTAATTTTATATCTTTGCCTCAAATGTCTTGTGATTTGATCATATATAGGATAAACACGAGCTATATTTAAACACAAAGCCAAGGGTTCAAACCTGTTAGGAAGCACTGTAAATACACAGAGATCCAAAATGATCCCAGAGGACTTAAATTAAGCTGAAAATAGCATCAGTACCAACATATATTAACAGATATGCCAATGGGAGAACTAAGGTTTTCTATTTCTGAAAGTTTCATGTGTTTCCTTATTTCTGTGAGGGAAACTCCTGACTTCTGGGTAATCTTTGGCTCCTGAGTGCTTGCCTGGCTCTAACCCTGTCTTGGATTGACCATAAGCTCCTGTTGCTCTCTTGCGCTTGATGGTTTGCCTGAAATGAACTACTGTTCCTTCCTGATTTCTAGCTTCTGTGTACTTCCGGAGTCAACAAGTTCTGCGTCCCTACTCCAGCAACTGCCTTGGTTTTCCTAGTCCTGATTAATCACACCATTCCCACAATCCAGAAGAGTCCGGGCTGTGATTCATCAGCAGAACATCTTGGAAGAGCTATATAACTTTTGCAGTGGATCTTTTCAGAATCCCCACTCTCCCAAATAGGAACTGACCAAAATGTCCCCAGGTGTGAGTTTACAATGATCCGAGGCTTGAAGATAGTTCTAAGTCGTGAGTTAATGAATATGCAGTGCCTAACACATAAGAAACACATAACAAAAACAGAATTTCCATATTATCTTGGAATTTTTTTTCTGGAAACTTCCACAAAATTTTAAAATTACATAAAATCACCAAATACCCCAAAGCCTTTCTGTAGTGAAAGCCAATGGAAAAAAAAACAAAAACAACCTTGAGAGCTCTGGAGCTCTTACAAATATATCTGAAGAGAGAGATAAATGTTAGATGGATTGCTATGTGGGAAAGAATATATTATTTTAGAGGGAAATAATCCAAATTATATTTTAAATACAATAGGTTCTTACAGTAAAGGAATCCAATAATTAATATAAATGATTTTCTGAGGACAGGAGACTAAAGTATCAATGGATTCAAAATGTGGCAGAGATGACCCTTTGCCCCTCAATATTTATTCCCATGTCATTATTTCAGTGTAGAACTCCCTAAGTTTCAGCTGGGCACATGGCTGTCCAGCCAGTCAGCGTATTTCCCAGTCTCCCTTAGAGCTGGATTAGCCATGTTACAAAGATCTGGTCGTGGGGATGAGAGTGAAAGTGATGTGTGTCATTTCTGGGTCATATCCTTAAAGGGAGTGCTTGCCCTCCACTTTGTCTCCCACCCTCTGTCCCCCTAGGGCTGGAATGTGAAAAGTGTAGTGGTAAGTCAGCTTCAACCATAGGGAAAAGGACAACACCCTACTATACTGGTTCCCCCACCTTCTCTAACCCATTGGAAACACCTAGAGAATCTACATAAATACTGAGGCCTGGCTCTCACCCCCACATACTCAGATTTCATTGGTCCTAGGGGCTGGTAGAGCAATAAGATAAAAGAAGCAGGAGTCTCTGAATAACCTGATGTGGCTGAGCGGCTAACCCCACTGGAACACCACTGGGGTATATTTAATTTAAAAATTAAATAACCAGAGTTCTAAGAGAGAATGCAAAAAAGGCCATGTTGATTACATATGGCTTTCCTAGCCACAAACAATCCTTCTGCATTGTTCAAACTATTGTTATTTGGTCTCAGTTAAGGCAGCTGAACAAATATCCTTACGAATAAACACAAAATTCTGGCCTTCAGGAAAAAAAGAATATGTTAAGTACAGGTAAAAAAAAAATACTATTCTTTTTCTAAAGGAAAAACTAAAGTATAATTATTGAAAACAAAAAAGTGCAGTTTTAGCGTAATCTGGGGAAATTATGGCTGAACTAGAGATTTATTAAAGAAAAAACAAAAAATAAACTAAAAATATTAGACAAAGACAGAAAAAAGATACTAAAGTTGGCCAATTCATTAATGATTTGCATAAGTCAATGAGGCCTTGGTATCAAAATGTGATGATTTTAGGACAGAGTTAAATAAATATTGATTTCTCTTATAGGCCCATTTTTGACAGGACATAGGTTAGCCTGCTTTAAGACATGGTCTTAATAAGAAATAATAAAGATATAGTCTCCTTCTATTTTGTTGCTCTGTCACCCTGAACATGTACCTTCCATTTCATGTTCTAAAATTGCTGCCCCATCACCTGCCATCACATCCTCATACCAGCCAGGGAGAAGAGGGAAAGGAGAAAAGAGAATGCACACTCTTCACAATAAGGGCACACTGCAGAAGTTACCCAGGCCACTTCTGCTCACACCCCACTACCCAGAACCTTTACATAGGCCCACACTTATCTGCATGGGAGGCTGAGAAATGTAGTCTTAAGCTGGACCTAAAACTTTTATCACTATAGAAGAAAAGAACATTGGGTACTGGGGACACTTAGAAGTCTCTGCCAGAGGTTTCATTATGAAGTGGTACAAGAAAACTTGAGATAAAGTTGTGTCTAGAATATTCAAAATACATTTTGTAAATATATAAAATATATAAAATTGGCCAGGCATGGTAGTTCACACCTGTAATCCCAGCACTTTGGGAGGCCGAGACAGGTGGATCACCTGAGGTCAGGAGTTCGAGAGCAGCCTGGCCAACGTGGTGAAACCCCATCTCCATTAAAAATACAAAAAATTATCCAGGCGTGGTGGCAGGTGCCTGTAATCCCAGCTATTTGGGAGACAGAGGCATGAGAATCACTTGAACCCAGGAGGCAGAGGTTGCAGTGAGCCGAGATCATGCCACTGCACTCTAGCCTGGGCAACAGAGCAAGACTCTATCTCAAAAAAATAAAAAAAAAAATAAAATATATAAATACAAATATATTTATATATAAAATTATAGAAAGCCAAATTTGACATAGTTATACAGTATAGAAAATGAAAGCCCCCTTCATCCACATACCTCTGGGAAAATAATGAATTCTTAAAATAATCTTGGAGTATGTGGGTGCGGGACTAACATTTAGGTCAATTAATAGAATATAATAATGCCTTTCCATAGATGGTCTCCTAGTGCTACTGATAGAAATAAGGCTTTGGAATGAGAGATGTTATTTCTGGAATCCTAAAATTTCTTTCTTTGGGGCAACAGTCTCAAATAAGAAAAGGCTGGAACTCCTAGGAAGCATGAAAGCAAGGCCAAGCTGAGGCATTACAAGGCACCAAGGGAAAACATTAGCATTTCTTGCACAATCTCTGAAAATGTGTCACCATCTATAAAGCCTCTCCTACTGGCAAGAAGGCAACTTAAATAGATAATTAAAATAACAAAAGTGGCAAGCCAAAATCAAACATAGATATCAATCCATATTTGACTCTTTCCGAGAAACAAAGTTTTCAGATGAATAAAAATGTTTATCCATCTATATTCTATATTGTGATATTTTCACTGTAAGACCAGAGAATATTTTTATATCAGTATTCTAAATTTAATCAGATGGAGTCATTTCTTAAGTACTATACAATTTAACCTTTCAAATGAAGGGCTTGCCTTTTAATGGAAAATATGCATTTCACATTAATAACAAAACACAATGTCCTTGGCTAAGATACTCTCGAGCAAAATAGATCCCTTTTTGTACACTATGCTCCGTTATATGTAAGGCTATACAACAAATTTATTCAATAAATCAAAGTCTGAAATCACCGATACTAATTAGAAGTGCTTAAAAATCATAACTTCAAATTAACATATCATTTTCTTAAAATTTCAATCATTGAACTCTTGGATCAAATGCAATAGTTTATGAAAATGGGGGAATATTTTTTTAAGCAGTTATTATTAGATGTATCATCATGTGAATAGTTATGTTCAATACCAGGGAAAAAGTGACCCAGCCACACTTTTAATCAATGAAACATTTACTACAGGATGCTTTTCCTGAATTTTTGATTGTTTGAGGCAACTACAATGTTATAAATCAAAGATGATTTTAATATAGCTAATATAATTTTAATAAATTGTAAATTCTTCAATTTACAATTATAATTAAATCAAAGATCTTGATTTTAACATAGCTAATAATATAATTCTAATAAATTCACATTTGAAAATTTTTAATAAATTTAATAACACTTTTAATGAAGAACAAAAAATCTATCTCATGAAAAGTAAATATAAATAAAATGTTTAAAGAAATAATGCAAACTAAAACAATTATTTTTAGGTCAAACCAATAGTGCTGAAAACACAGACATAATAATTTTATTTGGTATGAAAATATAATACCAGGTATATACTAAAAGAATTGTTAAGAAAATGCTGTTTAAAACAAGTGCTGAGGAAACTATAATCACACTAAAATGTCAGATAAATCATTTTCTTTTTTTTACATGGCTAATGACTGATATGTGCATCAAATGTAAAATAGAAGTTTTATACTATTTGCACCATGGTTTAAAAAATGGTTGTCATTATCTCTGAGATTTGAACCTATTCATACTAGATGTAATAAACCAGAAGTGCTTACGTCTCTACTTGAGCTCCTAAATTTGTATGTTGTGTTTAAGAAAATCACATTTAAAAGAATAATTGAACAAAGCCTATCATACATCCACCCTCAGATGTCCAAGCTCAATTCCCTTTTCTATTCCTGAAAGTGTGTGTCCAAATCATTACGGTTCTCTTCAGGGCACTGCCCTCTCAGCAACAACAAACAACAAAACAAGAGCAAAACAAAACAGAACATCAGACAGAAAACCAGAGTTCAACTTCATAGAGGAAGAACGACCATCGGATAGCAAGCAACCTCCATACTTGCCTCTCCCCTAAAGTGGCCCTTGTCCTTACTCATAAGTTCCTTCTGGAGGAAAGCCATCCCTCCCTGGTGGCTCCCGGAACACTCCCTCTCCTGCATTCCCTAGGCCCCGCTGGAGTTCTCAGAACCTTCTTCTATTAAACTTGTCCTTATGCCTCCAGGCTTGGAAAAGACAGGGTGACTGACAGACCAGGCTGGTGACTCTCAAGCTGGTCTGAGCACGTGCCAAGCTCAGTCTGTGGATAGACAAGACAGAGGAGAGGGAGATAAGCTTGGAGTTTATGGAGGGGAAAAAAAAACCACTTCCGGCCGGGCACCGTGGCTCACGCCTGTAATCGTAGCACTTTGGGAGGCTGAGGTGGGGGAACTTCCGTAGCTCAGGAGTTTGAGACCAGCCTGGACAACACGGTGAAACCCCGTCTCTACTAAATTAGAAAAAGTTAGCTGGGCATTGTGGCATGTGCCTGTAGTCCCAGCTACTCAGGAGGCTGAGGCAGGAGAATCGCTTGAACCCGGAAGAGGGAAGGTTGCAGTGAGCCAAGATCGCGCCACTGCACTCCAGCCTGGGCGATAGAGTGAGATCAATAAATTAATTAATTAATTAATTAATTAAAAAGAAAAGAAAAGGAAGAAACACTTCCTACCTATCAGGACTTTACCTACAGAAGCTGATTTGAATTTCAGGCCAGCCCTGTGAGGTATTATCAAATGTGTTTTCCAAATATGAAACTGAGACATACAGAGGCTGTGTTGTTTGCCCAAAGAGAGAGTTTGTAAGTTTCAGTGCGAGGATTTTAAACCAGTTCATCAGATTCTGTGCCATGCAGTTCACCTCACTGTCCCAGTGTGGGAGGGAGAGCCTCTGGTATGTGTTCACAAGGGGCCACAAAGACCATCCCAGGCAGTTCCACTAGCTGTACACTGGAGAAGCAGCAGAATTTGTAAAATACACAAGTGACAGCTTGCCCATTCTTAGTTTTACTATGTTTTACTATGGGTATGTTACACAGCAAGATGGCTCAGAAAATTTCAGAAAATTTTGCCTTGTCTTATCTCCCAGTGCCATGGGGGTGCTTGCTATGCTTCCCCCAAAGATGCCATTTGCCTTCTGCCACTTTCTGTTTTCACTGCTTTAGTTCCCTTTTTATTGTCTCTCTACCCTTGGCTAGGCTCATCTGCCTTACCCATCCCTAGACAAAATCATCCCCTTCTCTCCTCGCAGTTACCACCAAACTCCTTGAATAGTTTATCCATCATCCTTCACATCCTCAGCTTCCACTCGTGTCTCAACTGGTTCTGACAGTCTGGCTTTTGCTCACACGCTCTACTGAAGCTAAAACCCCAATGACATTCTAACTGCCAGATCCAGCGACCTCTTCAGTCTTCACACACCCCACTTCCCTCAAGTCCTGCCACTTTAAAGAGACCTTTCTTTGAAAACTAGATCCTTCCTTGGCTTTCAAAGTATCAACTTCTCCTAGTTCTTTGTTTCAGCCTTTGATAGCTCAAAGTCACCTGCACACTCTACTCTTCCTCTATCCTTTAAACATTGACTCTCCAACATCCTACCTTTTGTTTGTGTATTTTCTTCCTCTAATTGCTCTCCTTATGCCATCTCACTCAATTGATGGTTTCAAAATACATGATTAGTTAATTTTTAGATCTCTCACTTTTGGCCCAAATTATTTCTCAAGTTCCACATTCTTATCTTCAAAAATCATAGTAGTATTTGTGGCTCAGCTCAACATGTCCAAAAGCAAATTCATTTTCCTTTTCCTCCTAGTGCTGTTCTGTCCCCTGCATTCCAATTCTCAGTCAATGACACTACCCATCTAGTCTTCAAAACTAGAGACTTAGCCCCATCCTATGTTCTCCATTCTACTTAAACCTCCACTTCTGAGAGTATACAAAATATTAAAGCTTCTACCCAAAAAAGCCCTCATAGTTGGGCGTTTGATTTGTTTGTGGTTTGGTTTGGGTTTTCTGCTGTTACTGTTCTTTTATATTTTCCAATGCTTCTACCCCAGATCAGACTTTCCACATTTCTTACCTGGACTAATGCAATGACAGACTCTTAATGGGTAACTAGACTTCAATCTTTGTTCCTCAACCTTGTCAACAGAATTCTCTTGCTAAGAAACAAATCTAATCGCAATAGCTACTATTTTTATATTAAAGTAATTGGTATTATAATAGGGTATAATTACAAGACTGTTTCAGACCCCTAAATGTGAGGATCTGCCACGCTGAGGTCACATAACACATGCAGCACTTTGGGGATGGATAATTCTCCCAGTATAGCACATTCCTCCTCCTCCTTTAGGAGCCAGCTCTATCATCACCTCTTTCCAAAACTTTCCTTGACTCCCCAACTGAAAGAATCTCTACTGCCTCCACGTGACTTTGCTTATGGCTCTAGTGTCGCAGCTCCCATAGAGTATTGTGATGACCCAGCACCTAATATAAGCTGCGTTTGTCTGCACAGGCTGCCATAATAAAATACCACAGATTGATGGCTTAAGCAGAAATTGATTTTCTCACAACTCTGAAAGCTTAGAAATCTAAGATCAAGGTGTCAGTAGGTTTGGTTTCTCCTGAAGCTTCCCTCCTTAGCTTGCAGAGGGCTGCCTTTTCCCCATGTCCTCCCAAGGCCTTTCCTCTGTACACCACAGTATCTCTCTGTGTGTCCAAATCTCCTCTTCTTTGAAGGACTTTAGTCAAACTGAATTAAGGTCTACCCTATGACCTCATTTTAACTCTATCACCTATTTAAAGGCCCTATCTACAAATACAGTCCTATTCTTAAGTATTGGGGATTAGGACTTCAACATATGACTCCTGAGGAGGGAAACAATTCAGTCCATAACATAAACCTTAAGCATAATGTGCTGAATCAATCATCTTTGCCTGGAAGAGTCAGGTCATGACTTAAAGAGTTTGATTTCAGATGCATTCAAATTCTGCTTTGTTTGCTTTTGCTTTGTTTGCCTGTTTGTCTGTTTTCTTGAGCACCTGCTATTTACAAAGCCCTGTGTTTAGGCCAAGAAAAGCATACATAGGAAGTAAATGCAAACCCCCTTTTCTCTGGGAATTTGCCATGTAGACAAATGTTTTTTCTAACTGCTTTTACGAAAGCTCAAATCTGAGAAAGGTTGAGCCATGCACAGAGAAGCCAGGGTGACAATCCTGAAGCCATAAAATCTAGCTCTCCAGCAGCCCTTGCAAGGGCCTCTGGAGCTCCAGGGAGCACAATTTGAAAGAGCTAAGAGACATGCATATATTAAGCTGAATAATAGAGTGAGGATGCAATTGTTTAAACTCCAAGGCGCCATACTAACTGTGGTTGTTACCTGGAATATAAAGTTTTCTCACTGTCTTAAAATCAACTAATGAGCATTTATAAGAATATCATTAAGAAGACTACACTAACAAAAGGAAAACAAAGAAGGAGGAAACGAAGAGAAGTGGGGACATACAGAAAGGGTAGAAAAGGAATATAACAGAAACAAAAATTCTATCTAATGATGATCATAGGCATGGCTCTTTATAACAACTGTAGCATCAGCAAAATAACAGTAACTACTTATAGGACCCTCTTATGAGCCAGATGGGCCAAGCCCAATGCATATATCTCATCATCCTTACAATACCCCTGAGAAATGCTATTGTTCTCCCTTCTACGAATGAAGAAAAAGGGGCATGAAAAGTTAGGAATGTGTTTAAAATCACAAAGCAAATTAGAGATGGGACTCAAATACCAAGGTATCCAAGATCAAAGCCTGGACAGGCAACAAACTTGAAAATATTTGGTTTATGACAAGACACATAGCTTGAAGTCATTGTTTTAATATGCCCACAATGTGGACTAGCCATGCATTCTGGTTTGCCAGGAACAATCCCAGTTTCCATCTGTTTCCCAGTGTCATTATTAATAGCACTCCCTTTCACCCTCAGAAGTGTCCCAGTTTAGACAGTAAATTATATGGTCATCCTGCCTCATTGCCACTGACCCACAGTTAAATGGCCTACACAATTTTCCAGGCCCAGTGCAAAATAAAAATGTGAGGTTTCTTGTTCAAAAAGCAGGGGGCTGTGGGGGAATGCTATTAAAGGTACTGAAATATAAAGCTTTTTTCTTTCATGTATCTGCTCTGCTCATGTCCACCGTCCCATCAGACTTCATTTGCAAAACACAAGGTCAAAGATAAAATTGGCAAGAATTTCAAGATGGCAATAGCAGAGCATTAAAACAAGCTGGGCATCCTTCTCAGCTCAGAACCCTGGGCCACTGCACAGGATGTGCATCCATGAAGCCAGCCCTGGGTCTTCCTTTTCTCTGTCCACTCACATGAGTCTGTCATCTCGGCAGGCTCTGTCACAGGTTTGCAAACAGGAAACAGGTTGTAACTTACTATTGTCCAGACTTTGGATGTTAAATACTGGATGTCAGGTTCATGTAATCATTTATTTAGAAGAAATGTTTGAAAATATTTTAATAAAGCACAAAATTTCATTTCCCAAGCAAAACAAGAACATAAATTCAAGCAAATTATGTCACTCTCTACCATTTTATCTGTGACCTAAAAATAATTAATCTAGATAGTGTAACCTATCCATGATCTCAAACAAAAATTTAAAATATATGAAACAATAGTGCATGCAAAGTCTTTAATACCTCAATACCTGATTTAAATCATGTTTCTGTTTTAAAGGCAGGTACCACATGTTTAATTTGAAATTTTTGACTGCATAAATTCATATGTGCCTGAGCAAAACTGAAAATTCTACTATCTATTTTGACCAAATGGAAGAAAACAGGAAATCAAAATGTTCAGGATGATTGAGGCACTATCCTTAAAAATGGAGTGGGAGGATAGAAGATGGGTCAACTCATTGATTCATGCATGCACTCAGCAAGCATTTATTGAGGACCTACAATGTCACAAGCACTGCACACAATTATGGAAAGCACAGGCACACAAGGTGGTATGTCCCTGTCCTCAAGGAGGTCTAACAGAATGAGGACCAAAGTAAACAAATGCACACATCAACTACTTTGGGTACTATGGAAGAAGGAAATGCAGGGTAGAGTGGATACAAAGCAAGGAGCACCTGGGAAGAAGGGGCTAACTGAGCCTTGAAAGCCCAGTAGGAATCCACCAGGTACAAAAGGAAGGCCCCAGGAAGAACAAAGGCAGAGGCCTGAGGAAGCACAGCCCACCATGGAAAGAGTAGCCAGCTGAAGACACAGAGCTTTGTTCAAACAGCGGTGTGTGCCTGGGGGCAACTACAGAGAAGATGCAGATAGACCCATACCTTAGCTTAGAGAAGAAAGGCAATGCTCATGGGCTGTCTTGGGGATGGCAGTGGGGGAAGATGCTCTTTCCTTAAAGGCCAAAGTGTGGGAATTGAGGAGAGAGAGGGCTCAGAAATAGGAAAGATTTTAGAAAAGCTTTTCCCTCTAGCCATATGATTTCTTTTTTTTTTTTTTTTTTTTTTTTGAGATGGAGTCTCGCTCTGTCATCCAGGCAGGCTGGAGTGCAGTGGCATTATCTCGGCTCACTGCAACCTCCACCTCCCAGGTTCAAGTGATTCTCCTGCCTCAGCCTCCTGAGTAACTGGGATTAAAGGTGTCCACCACCACGCCCGGCTAATTTTTTGTATTTTTAGTAGAGACGGGGTTTCACCATGTTGGCCAGGCTTGTCTTGAACTCCTGACCTCAGGTGATCCACCCGCCTCGGCCCCCAAAAGTGCTAGGACATATGATCTTTTTATAAAGCTAGTAATACCATTTTGTTTGCTTATTTATAGGGCAGTTAAGTAAAAATATGTTCTTAGTAGAACTAAAAATATGTTTTCTACCTCTTCTTCCTCTTCCTAATAAAGATTAGTCATCCTTCATCCATGTTAATGGCTTAAAGCAATAATAGAAATGATTAATGACTAATCTAACAAATATTTAATTTGACTTAGGAGTAAACTATCAATTTTTGGCAACAAATTTACCACTCGACTTATTTAATACTATGGCTAACTTTTAAAAATAACTTCTATTGCTTGTTTCCATCTCTGATCATTCCCTTAGGATAGGTTCCTAGAAGAGGAATTACCAGGCCAAAGGGTTTGCATAGATTAAAAGCTCTTGGTACATATTAGCATAGTCTAATATCAAAACCAGAGTGACTACATCAACTTCAGGTAACCAAGAAAACTCCATGGGGAGTAAATGTTGCTATAAATAACACCCTAAAAAGAAAATCTAATAATCTATTATAAATAGATCTTAGGCTTTGTAAGCCAGAGTAAACTTTTATTTAGGATGGCATTCAGACTAATTAGTGCATTTGTGCATATAAACATAAACAGGCACAAATGATGCACAAAGAAAATGAAAAGTGGAAGAGCCCATAAATTCTGAAAGAGATAAAAAGAAATCATGAAATGATGTTCTCCTTATAAAAGGGGAAAATTTATTTTATACTTTCCACACTTTCTTACCTAACTCTATATACTAACAGTAAGTTTTCTGTTGTAATGATCAGGTTTAAGATTAGAAGAAAAACTGATATTTTAAATAAAGATCAACAAATTGGTTTTTAATATAATTAGATTAACTGTCTCTGCAAATTAGCATTCTGCACAGTACTTTGTTCACAGATCTTCAGAAAGAGTAATTATGTAAGAAATGACTCAGATTCTTCAAAAGACAAAGAACTTTGTTACCAAAAAAGTTTCATGAAAGCCAAATTTAAAGCTATTAAAAATCAAATCTTAAAAACATACTTTTTTGACAATCTTTGTTACAAGGAAGTATATAATAATTCTATAAACCACCAGTTACCAGGATATTCTCAAATACCTGTATATTTGCAGAGAATGTGGCCCCTGGAAGTCAAGTATATTGATTTTGAGAAGTCAACCATAACGCAGCCTGTACATTTTACATCACTTGAGACATTTTTCTTTCCTTCTTGCCACAGCCAAGAAGTGAATTTTATCTGTCATGATTATAAGCAGAAAGTTGACAGATTTCAGAACACTAAGCAGGAAGTTTGGCACCTGAAATATTTTCCTTCAGACCAAGGGGGCATGGAATTGGTTGTTGGAAGGAGAAGGATTTGGATGAGATCACAAAAACTAAAGCTCCTGGTTCTTTGAATGATGCTCTCCCAGGAATCTGGGTGGAAAGAAGCCAAGGCTCAAATTCTTTGTCTTTTCAGCAATGAATAGGAAAAATTCAACTTTTGAGTGTTATCTCAGCAGTTACTTTCACTCAGTTTTGCCCCTTCGGCCCTAAAATGAATGAGACGTTTTCAAAGCAGATGGCAGTGAGTCAAGCAGAAACGTGGAATATAAGTACATCCCCACTTCCACGAAGTCCCGAAGCTTGATTACAGCACTCTCATGGGCCATGTAAACAGGGGACCAGAAACTGAGCAGAAGACAGATTTAAGCCGGGGCGGGGGGCGGGGGGGAGGGAATTGTAAGACTAGGACAGGGTGAGCGCCACATGTGGCTTTAATATCCAACAGCTGCTAGAGATCATCACCCCGCTGCTCTCTCTGTACCCCTACACCAGAATCCTCTGTCTCAAAGACCATAACTAAAGCGGCCACTGCCATGTTATCTGAGTAACGAACTCAAGCTCGAGCACATTCAAGGATTTTTTTTAACTTAGTGTACCTGGATGTAGCCGACTGGACCTTTAATCACAAAACCAAAGCTTTAAAACAAAGTCTCCAGGAAAGAACAAGAAGGAAAATCAATTACACAGTGCACTTGAGCAGACTGGGGAGGCGGGTAAAAGAAAAGTGAGGGAAGATAGGGCAGCCGGGATTCCCTGGACTGGAGCTCTCTTCTCTAGAGCTAACTTTTCAGACCTGGAGGTCTCCAAGGCCCCCGCAACTCAGTGAGTCTCGGGGCACCAACAAATCCCCGCGGGGGTCACCGCGCCCGCGAACGCAGAGTCCACACGTGGATTCCCGCGCCTGTGATGCCCCGACCCGTCCCGGGTCCCCGCACAGACAATGCCGCGCGTCCTTCCCGCAGCCACTCCGGGACCCGCGCCCCGCGCCGCCCGGACGTCCCCCTGCGTCTGCCGGGGACACTCACCGACACCAGGAACTCCAGCGTGCCCACATAGTCCCGCTCGGTCTTCTGGAGCTCGCTGAGCACGCACACGCGCAGGCGAAGCTGCTTCTCCAGGTCCTTGGCGCTCTCGGCGCGGCTGTCTCCGCGGCTGTCCTCGCTCATGGTCGGCGGCGGTGCGCAGCGCGGCGCTGCCCGCCGTGCTGAGCGCTGACCCGCGCGCCCGCTGCTGCCCGGCCCCCGGCGGCGAGAATGGAAAGTTGCCGCCTCCGCCAACTCCGAGGAGAGACAGAAGACTTTACATGCTGGGGAGAGGCTGGGCGCAGGGAGAGGAGGGGATCGGGCTGAAATCCCGGCGCGGGGGGCGCGGGGCTCTGCAGAGGAAACTCCTGGGAGTGGGGGCTCCGGCCAGGCCCTGCGCGCCCGGCCCCGCTGCTCTGGCCTCACACGGCCGGGGCTGGAGGGGAAGCGGCTTCGGCAGCCACAGCAGTGACTTGGACATTAATCAAAAGCTTTGTATCCATGTGACTCCGACCCTTTACCCTTCGCCAAATCTCAGGAAAAAGGAAACACAACCCTGGGGAAGTACTGCGTACTGGCTAATCACACACACGCGCGCGCGCGCACACACACACACACACGCACACACACACACACACACACACACAGCAGCACTTGATATGGAACTCACAGGAGGTTCCCAATCCCAGGGACACACACTCCAAGGCGCAGCTCGAGGGTTACTCCTAAGCCTCCGCTATTGTTTAACTTTAATGTGTTTCGTACAAATCCTGAAAGCAAAGAAACAAGTCCCCACGGTTACATAACTGGATGGGAACAAAAACAACCACGGTATTGACCCTCCCTCTTTGAAAAGAAACACATTGATTTTTTGTTTCATTCAGGCACAAAACAGGTTTGCTTTTAAAACCCTCCAACTGAGAATAGTTCACAGGGCAGACACCCTCCAGTCTGAGCTTGGAAAGTCAATTAGCATAATAAATGAAGACACTATGGGAAAATGACAGCCTCTGCCCATGCAATAAACCCCAGATAAAATAAGCATCACCCTTGTACTGTGCTGTTTTCCATGTCTACAACTTTTTTCAACATCAAGATAGTATGTAAATCCATTGAGAGGCGAGGGTATTTGTGCCAGTTTTGTTTCTAAGAGCTGCTGTGATTTAAGACGGTGTCACTAATTGAAAAGATAAAGCTGTTGTTGAATGCTCATCAGAAGATAGAAAGCTAGATAGATAACGGAAATAATCTTAGATTTTTGAAGATAGACACACAGAACATTCTTGATTTTAAAGTTAAAGTTTATTGCCTTTTCTCACTTGGAAACTAAGCCTTAAATATTTCCAATACATTTAACAAACAAAACAATTTATATATTTTTTTGAATTGGTATTATACACATATATTTTCCACAGATCAACTTCAGTCTAAAACTAATGGCATTTAAATAAACTGAAGAGTGAATAGAGTTGTTGCAAGAAAGTGGTATGTTAATTTGTTGCAGTCACTGAAAGCATTAGCAAAACTCTAAAACATAAAGATGCTTTTCACTATATTTACATTAAAATAATTACCTATTGGTTTTCCAGATGATGTCTTTCCAGAGCATAGTGTGACCATTCCCCTCTGTAACCACACAAAGAAGGATTGTACTTTCTTTGTATATTAAAGATAAAATTTTCGAATGATGTACACAAAGCTGATGGGCAAGATGTGATTTTCCTCTTTCTTTTACAAATGACTATTTAGAGGTAGCCAAGAGCAAAGGGCAAACAACATAGATGGCTTCACACCCTGTGGCAGAAGAACAAAGGGCAAAGCATATTAAAGAGCAGACCTCACAGCACCTAGTAAACAATAAACAAAAGAAGCGGAAGACATAGGAAGCACACATCCAGAAATGAATGGGAAATGCAAGCATGACTGAACCTTCTCCCCATGTACTACAGGCAGCATTTCTTCCTCCCCAGGTCTGCACCTTTCCCTAGGGAAAAAAGCAAATAAATAAAGCAACTTTCTATCAGTTGTTCTCCTACATAAAATAGAATCTCTTGTACTAATTGTCCCCAGTAAAGAACTGCTTATGCAACTTCCTTCTATCAAAAAATTAGTCTATGGACAATCCGTTAGGGCTGCAAGCTCATCTCTGAAAGCAGGACACTTGAGTTTGAATCATTAATGGGGTTTTACCCATCCAAATCATTTACCTCAATTCCACAAACATGCACTGAGGATCTCTACGAGCAGTGCATACTGCGAAGGCCCAAGAGCCACAGAGACCCTGATCTGCAGACACATATTTCTCAAGGTGGCTCACAGACCATTGAATTACAATCACCCGAGGTCTTGTTAAAATGAACATTGCTGGACCCCACCACAAATTTGTTGAATGAGAATCCCACAGATATCTGCCCTAAATTCTCTTACCAAGGTCCTCAGATTGTTCTTAAACTCACTAACGTTTGAGAACCACCATCTAAAGACTTACAGTTGAGTCAGGAAGAGGGTCAAAGTGACATGTAACTGTTTAAAAGGTAAGATGCAATGAATGCTTTGCAAAAAAAAAAATTGGTGTGATGGAAGCTAGCAGAAAAATATTCATTTTTAACTGTGTAAATTCAAATTTCTCTCAGAAATGCTTGTGTAGAAATTCTTAAGATATTTAAAGTTTCTGAACACACTTCTACCCCTTGGTCTACTCCTCAATATCATTTATAATTAATGAACAACTTCAGGACACCATGTAGTGCTTTCTGCCAGCCAGCTCTCAATGTCTTCTATTGTGCTGGCTAGAGTTCTTAATTCCTCATCAAAGACATAAGAGCATAAGAAAACAGGGCTGGAGTATCTGGAAACCTTCACTTTGATGGTAAATAAGGTCTTTCATAAACTCTGAATGTGCTGTATCCCTCCCCACTTCCTCTATTGAAACTTTAGGCCCTGTCTGCCAGGAAAAGGAAAGCAACAACCAAAATGATGGACAGGATCCAGTTTTTTTCCTCAAATACTAATGAGGTTGAAGCATCCAGTGAAAAGGAGATGGGAGAAAAGAAAATAGAGGGGAGACTAAGTAGGAAACTAGCTCAGCCATTGAATGTATTCCATATGCATGAACTTGGTGTGGTTAGAATCCATTATCATATGGGAGGTTAAGGCTGGAGAATCACTTGTGCCCAGGACATCAAGGCCACAGTGAGCTATGATCACACCACTGCACTCTAGCCTGGGTGACAGAGCAAGACCTTGTCTCCAAAGAGAAAATAATAATAATTTGTTATCATAAGGTTCAAAGAGTCAAAGCACAGGGCACAGTAAGCTTCCTTTGGTCAGGCCCAGAGAAGGGCTATTCCTACACTAAAAGCCTAAAAAATACAAAGCTGCCTTTTTGGAAAAAGAGAACTCCTTGGTCATATTTCAGATAGAGGTCATTTTAGCCTTTCTGCCATTTCACTAGATCAAATTTGATGCTAAACTTCAGTAGAAGATACAGCACAGAAAATAGAAGGTTGCTTTATTGCATGCCTGTCTTGTTAAATAGGGAACTCTGAGTCAGACTGCTCTTTATCGGTAAATTACACAGTAAAGCTCTTTATACAGTAAAATTGATTCTGTCATTTTGTTTACTATTCTGGCCTATAATAGACAACTCTAGATCATATATATATACACACACATATGTAAATTTATATTTTCCATACATATTTTATATGTGATATATGATACATGTTTATATATGTATGTATACATATATGTGTGTATATATAATGTATATATATTATATACATATAATTATATAGAGAAGACTATCATAGACACATTGGAACTATATTAATACACATTTAAGGCTCTTAGACAATAAGTAATTCTAAAAATATTTATTAATTTATTTTACAGTTCATGCTTAAATCCCTGGTAACTTCCACTTAATTTTTTTGGCAATTTACTCATAACAAGCACAGGATGTTCTAGAACATGTAATTAATTCTACGATACCAGTATAACAAGTTTAGAATATGTATTGTTTAAAAGATGAAATGCAGTTTTCATAAACCATATTTTATTCTCCAATACAATGTTTTATGGCAAACTAAATCAATGTTTGGATAGTATTACTTTAGCACGAATCTATAGTTCTTAAAGATGCAATCATTTTCAGATCAGACTAGCTTTAGACCAAATCATCATCATAGCCATCATCTAACATGTAATGGATAATCACTTTCTCATTAGGACAACTTAATCTACAATCATCCCAGTAAAATAAACAGCCAATTTTTGTCTGTGAGTTGTCTCCGAAGAATATCATCCTTGCAGTGTCCATCTGACTTCTAAGCCTTCCCTCCCCATCACTTCCTAAAAAAAAGTGCAACTGCACATGCCTTCAAGCTATGCTACATTACTCTTCTTCCTGGAAAAATTTCTAAAGAGTTCTGCTCATTGCCTGTGGTAGGCAGAATAATGGCAGCCCAAAGATATTTGCATCTTCAGCCCCAGAAATATAAATGTCACTTTACATGGCAAAAGGCAATTACCTGCTGATATAACTAAGTTAGGGAACTTGAGAAGGAAAGATTTTTCTGAATCATGTGGGAGTTGGGGGTGGGCAGTATAAGCACATGAATCCTTAAAAGCAGAGAAGCTTTTCAGGTATGATTATAGAGGGAGATGTGACTGAAGGAATGGTCAGAGAGATGCAACATTGCTGACTTTGAAGATGGAGGAAGGGGCCACAAGCCAAGGATCATGGGTAGCCTCTAGAACCTGGAAAGTGTCCTCCAGAGCCCCCAGAAGGAACACAGCCCTACTAACACTTTGATTTTAGTCCAGTAAGAACCTACAAGACAATAAGATAAGTGTGTGTTGTTTTATACTATTGTTTGTTATAATTTGTTACTACAGCAATAAAAAACTAATACATTGTCCTAACTTCTTTACCTCCAAATCTTTTCTCAATCCCTATAATGTGGCTACTCTCCCACTGCTGCAATGACACTCATCTGATACAGATCACTAATGTCTTCATGTTTTTAATTCCAATGCATGCTTTTCATTTCTTGTCTTATTTGACCTTCCTGCAGCATTTGACAGTGTTGGTTCTCTCTCATCCTAGGAAAACTTTCTTCCTCTGCCTTCTAAGATGTCAATGTTCTCTCGTTCTTCGGATCCCTATACCCTTTCCTTGCGGAGTTCTCTTCCTGGACCCATCTCTAAATCTTTAAATTCTTAAATTGTTTTCTACAAGTTGATGTTCTTTGGAGCTTGGTCCTCAGCCTTCTTTTTCTTAGTCTCTCTGGGTCATTTATTCATCATTTCCTATTCCTATTCCCAATTAGTCAAGGATTGCCCCGTGGGGCATTAATTGACTCCTGTACTTCTTTGTTGCCCATGCATGAGTGCCAAGAGGCTTACACAGATAAGATTTGAGTCAGGAAGCAAGAAGGGTGAAACACTCTTTTCTTGTTGCTGTATGCAGTTGTGAAAGCACCTGTGGAACTGGTCTCATGGTCATCAGGAATAAGAAAAGAGGTCAAGAGAGTTTTTCCTGGAATACAAGAGGGTTCTGACCCTGCTCCAAATCCTTCAGAATACAGGCAAATGTCATGTATCACATGAGGACTCTCTGGCCTCATTCCATGCCACTTTCCACTTTGCAATGTGCACCCCTGCCACCGTAGAGTACTTTGACAATTCTTACAATGCCAAGCTCCATAGTGTAGTCTTTTTCTCTTAACAAAGCACTGAGTACACTTTATCATAATTGCAGATCAATTGACAAGATTCTCTACAGACAGACAACGGTGTCTTGAAGGAAAGGACCCAGAGCCTTCCCAGAACCTGGCATGCAATTGTAATTCAATAAACACTTGCTAATTGGATATATGAATGAATTGATGGAAGAATAGAACACAATAGAACTCTGTTGGCCTTCTAGAGCTTAATCACTCTATCTCTAAACAAGATAGGTCTGACTTGGTTTTTTGTTTCTCCTTTATCCATTCTTTAATAAGAGAAGCCAACATAAATATTTGTGTAGTTTCCTCAGAGAAAAATGTTCTCACAGTAAACAATCTTTGCTGTGGATTGTGAGCCTGTGTAGAGGAAAAGAGGAAACTACAAATATCACATTTATTTTATCATATTCTCAAGGAAGTATCACTCATCTTACCTGAAATGTGCTAATCACATAATCAAATCCATCTATCCTGCACCCAGACGAACCATAAAAAACAGAGTGAAAGGGCCAGGCGCGGTGGCTCATGCCTGTAATCCCAGCACTTTGGGAGGCCGAGGCAGGCGGCTCACGAGGTCAGGAGATCGAGACCATCCTGGCTAACACAGTGAAACCCCATCTCTACCAAAAATACAAAAAATAGCCGGGCGGGTGGTGTGTGCCTGTAGTCCCAGCTACTCGGAGGCTGAGGCAGGAGAACGGCGTGAACCCGGGAGGCGGAGCTTGCAGTGAGCCGAGATCGCGCCGCTGCACTCCAGCCTGGGCGACGGAGCAAGACTCCTCAAAAAAAAAAAAAAAAAAAAAGAGTGTGAAAGAAGTGTATGATAATAAGTTCAGGAGAGAAATCACGATTACCAAAGTACAAAAACAAGTTTACTGAAAACAGATATTTAATGTATTAGGCCTCTTTTAGTAATGGAGAAGAATCTCTCTCTTCTGGAATACTTCAAGAGTCATGTAAATATAAAATAGAACCACGTAAAATAGCTTTCTTCTACCATTTTTAAAAAATAGACTTTATTTTTTGAACAGTTTTAGGTTTACAGAACAATGGAGTGGAAAATACAGAGGTTCCATATGGACCCTCATACGTCTCCCCCTAGTTTCCCCTATTAATATATTGCATTAATGTGATAAATTTGTTGCAGTTGATGAGCCAACATTTATATAGTATTATTAACTAAAGTCTGTAGTTTACGTTAGGATTCACTCTTTATGTTGTACATTCTATGGGTTTTGACAAATGTATAATGGCATGTTTCCACCATCATAGTATCTTACAGAATGGTTACACTGTCCTAAAAATCTCCTATGTTCCACCTACTCAATGTTACCTCCCCCACTGCAAGCCCCTGGCAACCACCGACCTTTTTATTGTCTCCTTAATCTTGTCCTTTTCAGAATGTCATGTAGTTGGAATCATACAGTATGCAGCCTTTTGTGAAAGATATAATGTATGTGTCTAGATTCTCCTTTTTATGTATGGGGATATCTAGTTTTCTAGCGCCACTGGTTGAAAAAATTATCCTCTCTCTATTGAATTGTCTTTGCTACTTTTCCCAAGATCTATTGACCATATTTGTATGTGTCAATTTCTGGCTCTCTATTCTATTCCATTGATCTAATTTATTCTTTTGCCAGTACCACACTGTCTTGACTACTGTACATCTCTATAGAAAGCTTTCTAGTAAGTCTTAAGGCCAGGTAGTGTCAGTGCTCTGACTTTGCTTTTCTCCTTCAATATCGTGTTGGCTATAATAAGCCTTTTGCCTCTCCATATGAACTTTGGAATCAGTTTGCTGACATCCACAAAATAACTTGCTGGGATTCGGATTGGGATTGCATTGAATCTATAGATCAAATTGGGAGGAACTGACATCTTGACAATAGTGAGTCTTCCTATGTATGTACATGGAATATCTCTCCATTTATTTAGATCTTTTTTATTTCATCAAAGTTTTGTATTTTTCCTCTTATATAACTTATACATATTTTCTTGGTTCTCTACCTAAAGTATTTTTTTCTTTCTTTTTTGGTGCTAATGCAAACAGTCTCATGTTTTTAATTCTAAATTCCAATTGTTCATTGCTGGTATGGAAGAAAGCAATTGATTTTCTTATATTAACTTTGTATCCCACAACCTTGCTGTAATTACTCATTAGTTCCAGGAGTCTTTTTTGTTAATTTAGGGGATTTTCTACATGGACCATCATGTCATTGGCAAACAAAGACAGTTTTATTTATGTCTTCTTTTCCAATCTTTTATTTTCATTTTATTTCTTTTCTTGTCTTATTTGGTTAGTTAGCACTTGCTGTATGATGCTGAGAAGGAGTTGTGAAAGCTGACATTATTACCTTATTCCTGGTCTTAGTGAGAAAGCATCTAGTTTCTCTCAATTAAGTATGATGTTAGCTGTAGGGTTTTTGCAAATGTTCCTTAGCAAGTTGAGGAAGTTTGTGTCCACTTTTAGTTATAATTTTAATTCTGATATTGATAACCTTGTGCCAATGTATAATACACTTAAGCTACTATTTCTTGTTTTTGAAAGTTTGGGCAATGTCTCTGGCCTGCACACCACACCCAATGAGACGATTAGCAATTCTGCCCGTCTCTCTGCCTCTCGCCACCTTCTACTTCTACCTTCTGAGCTGTATCTTTAGTAAAAGGTTTGGTAATATTTAACTTGTAACCACATGTAAGTCACCCATATTTCTTTCTAAAAGCTTAAAATTAATAAACAGGGTATATATTATACAATTATTTTAATAATGCTAACTGCAGAAACAAATCATATAAGATTGCATCTCATTCTCTCTGTGACCAAAGTCATAACCTTCATGACACTCAAGGATCACTTCTAGGTTAAATGGTTTCTGTGTCATAACACACCATCATTGCTGAAAGGCATGCATGACATCTTTTAGTTTCCTTCATATTTGAACCATGACTTTGTTACACAGCCTGTTTGTTCATTTTCTGTTTTTGTTTTCTATTTTTGGTGGGGATCCTAAGTGGAAAGAAGAAATATATATTCTTTCTTGACATACTCATTAATATTATCTAGCTCCTTAGGCTAGATTTTGTTTTGGTTCTTCTGTTCTTCATTTTCCTCAGAGCCCTCTGATTCTATTCCCAGTCTGGAATGATTGCTTCAGAACCTGACAGATAACTGTCACCCGGGGATTGTTTTCCCAAGGCTTCTAGGTGAAATCTATTATTTTTTCCATCAGAAATCTTCTCTCTGAGGCCGGGCACGGTGGCTCATGACTGTAATCCCAACACTTTGGGAGGCCAAGGTGGGAAGATCACCTGAGGTCAGGAGTTCGAGACCAGCCTGGCCAACATGGTGAAACCCCGTCTCTACTAAAAATACAAAAATTAGCCGGGCTTGGTGGTGAGCGCCTGTGATCCCAGCTACTCAGGATACCGAGGCAGGAGAATTGCTGGATCCCTGGGGGTGGAGGTTGCTGTGAGCCAAGATTGCACCACTGCACTCCAGCCTGGGTGACTCCTTCTCAAAAATACAAAAGAAAGAAAAGAAAAAAAAGAGAAATCTCTCTGGATGTATTAATTTCCTGGGGCTGCTGTAACAAAATATCAATATCTTACAGTTCTGGAAGCTAGAGATTCAAGATCAAGCTGTCCACAGCATGGGGGAGAATTCATTCATGCCTCTTTCCTACTTTCTAATAGCCTCATACACTCCTTATCTCATAGACAGTGTTCTCCCTGGGTCTTCACATCATCTTTCCTCTATGCTGTCTGTCTGTGTGTTCAAATTTTCCCTTTTTATGAAGATACCATCATATTAAACTAGGGCTTACCCGAATGACTTCATTTTAACTTGATAACCCACAAAGACCTTATTTTCAAATAAGGTGACATGCACAGGCACTGGGGGTTAGGACTTCAACATCTTTTGGGAAGACAATTGACCAACATCACTTGATATCTGCATTCATTTTGTTGAGTTATATCTCAAGTAACTTCCTTAAAAAGGGTACAAGAGATATAAATTGTCTGAGCCCTGGTGTGTCCAAAATATAATCATTTTGCCATCATGCTTTGTTGATATTCTGTGTAAGAATGCTAGGTTCAGAATTATTGCCTGTTAGAATTTTGAATTTTGAATGCATTGCTCATTTTTCTACCATTCAGTGTTGGTGATGAGAGTTAATGCTAGCCTGACTCTCTATCCTTTGTAGAGGATCTGTTTTATCTATCTGGAAGTGTTCAGGAGTCTTTTCTTTATCTTTCGTGTAAAAAAAAAAATTCAGGACTATGTTTACATGAGTGTTCTTTCAATTATTTAAATCTTTCCAACAGAAAAGTGATCTCTTTTGACCTTTGGGCAAATTTTTGTATTATTTCTTGAAAATTTCTTCCCTTCTGTTATTGTATGTCTAGTTCCCTGAATTCCTATTAGTTGAGTTGCACTTCCTAGAAATATTCTCTGCATCTCTTATCTAACTCAAGCGTTCAACCTTTTTATTTTATTTTGTTGTTGTCTCTGTTTTCTCCAATCTCTTTTCTGTTTTCTCTCTATGTCTTGAGAGACTTACTTTATATTCAAACTCTTATTTGAAATTTTAATTTGGGATATGACTATATGTATAACAAATGTTCTAATTTGATCCCCAATTGTTTCTTTCTCACAGCACTGCTTTTGTACTTTGGAGACACTACCTTCTTAAATTTTTCTCCAAAATGTCTTTGTTTCTTCTAGAGACAGTTTTGTTTCTTAATCTTATCCTTTCTTTAATGGGTTGAAGGTCTTCAGACATCCATTCTATTTAAGAAAGAGGAATGGAATAATTTCTCTCTGTAGCAGAGATGTTTCCTCTATTGTTTTATGTGGGACTGTTTTCATGCTTAGTCTCTCTCATTGACAGGAAGGCTAAACGGGGACTTTATGTATGTGTCCAGGGCTTGTCTAGATGAAGTGAAGCCTTCAGGAGGAACAGGCAGCAAGCAGATCATTAGCTGTGGAAGTTCCAACTGCCAAAATGGGAGAACTTTACTCTGAGGTATGGCATGAAGTTCTAATGCTGCCTATGTAGATATTCACATTTCAGTAGAGGAGAAGCCTTAGGTATTTTTGGAGATTGATGCTTCGTTCCTATGCTAAAGATCAGAGAACACAGAGAAGAGAAGCAAAGAAATGGACATGTCAGGAAGAGAGCAGTAAGTTGCTCTGCAGATAAGTTTCTCAATTGATCCACCCACCAACAATCCCCGCTGCAGCCCCCTCCTGTCACTCTGTTCTATCACTTCCTTGCTCTCTTTTCTTTGTCAGAAAGGCTCCATTGTCTTTTTATCTTGCAGATATTTGTAGACATTTCTTTGCTGCACAAGTTTCTCTTTCTTTCTCTTTATGGCAATGGGTTTTCTCCTTTTATCTATTGGTGGTGGAGGGATGGTTTGAAGAGATTGAGGAAAAACACATAACCTCAGCCAAGTATCTTGAACCATCCTTAACTAGAAATTTCAAATGTCATATAATACAGCTGCCAGTGAAACATATAAATACCAGGATTTATGATTGCCAGAAAACAGGACCAGTCGTGTCTTCATATCTTAATGACAGGTGCACGTACTCTTAAATGCAGGTACACGTGGAGAAACGTGATAGAACAGAACACCAGTTCTGAAGGGAAAGTAATGAAAACTGGAATACACTCTAGACCGGGGTATCCAATCTTTTGGCTTCCCTGGGCCACAATGGCAGAAGAAGAATTGTCTTGGGCCACAAATAAAATAGACTAACACTAATAGCTAATGAATTAAAAAAAATCACAAACAAATCTCGTAACATTTTAAGAAAGTTTATGAATTTGTGTTGGGTCACATTCAAAGCCATCCTGGGCTGCATGTGGCCCATGGCCATGGGTTTGGACAAGCTTGCTCTAGATGAAGGAATCTACGTGATAATTTTTAAAAGGTAATAGTGGATAATATGTTGTGCAATGTATGTTAATTTCACTGCAGAACTTACCTCGATCAAACATTGTAGATAGCAGGTAATGTCCAGTAATAAATTATGGCACCTTGTGTCCTCACCCCTTTGTAATTTGACAATCCTGCTGTTTCCATTAAGAGACAAGGTCTATTTTTCCATTCTCTTACATCTTAGCTGGCCTTGGGAATTGCCTTTACTAACAGAATATAATAGAAGTGATGACATAAAAGTTCCAGAGATTAAACCTTAAAACAAGTTGTAACTTTCACTTTTCCTCTCTAGAAAACCTGAGACCACCAAGCTATGCAAAAAGCCTAGTGAAGACTACTAAAGGATAAGAAGCCACATAGAGGAAGACCAAGATACTCTAACCAGCAGTCACCATCAATTGCCAGACATGGGAATGAGGCCACTGGGACCCTCCAGTTCCAACTGAGCTGTCAGATGACTGCAACTACGTGAATGACCTCAGGCTAGACCAGAAGAACCACTCACATGGCCAACTCAAAAAACTGAGAGAAATAATAAATCATGGATGTTTTAAGACACTAAGTTTTGAGGACTTTGTTCTTGAGCAATGGTTTACTGAAACAACATCTAACAGAAGTTCTGAATTTTTGTTTCTATTTAGACAATTTTAATGGTATGTGCTGATCCATTGAGCAATCACTGTGGCTAAATTCCATGCCCTTATTGGCAAAGGCCTGAGTTTTTCTGTATCCTTGAACAAATTGTTGTAGCAAAAGATTGCCATGAGGGGCTTAGGTCAAATCGGGTCCGATTCCTAGAGCTGAAAGTGAATTTAATCCCACCCAAAATTAGGAGGGAGTGAAATGGATACTAGAGAGGCACAGGTTGGGGAGGGTAGCGACTGACCATGGAAAAGTCCCTTTCCCTGAGCATTATTCATCCCTGCTTCTACTGTGGCCAACGCTGTCACCATGGAAGCAGCTTCTACCTTTGTCTCACCTGCCACCATGAGAATTCCCACCTCTGACTCTGCTATAGTTGTGGCCAATGTTTCAAGCTCCTTGCTGCCACATTACAAAGCTATTCCACATTTGAGTGACCATAACTTTTAACATGAGCTGCAGCTACTGCCAAAGTGCTGGACTGCTTTCAGTCTAAACTGAGCTGGGAACAGTGTGTCAAGAGGGTCTAACCAAAAAATAAATAAATAAATAAAGTTGGAAAGACAGAAGATATGACGCAGAAATAAGGGACAAAATGAGGAAGAGGAAGGAAGTACTCAATCCTAGCTTGGTTGCGAAGGTGGAGGTCTCATGAATGGTCTGGGAAAGGCTACATGTTCCTTCCATTAAAACCAACGGCAGTTTTGGAGGTGGCAAGAAGAGCTTTGACTGCAAAATCAGCTATAAATAAGAGAAATGTTGATGCACGGGGAAGACCCAGGGTTTTGGAAGTTTCAAACTTCCAAAGTTCCAGGACAACCACCACAGCTGCCACACAGAATAATGTGTGGGCTTGTGTTACAGGTCACACATCTGGGTCTCTAAAGAGTGTCTCTTTAGACATAAGGATGTCCTTATCCCCTGGCATTCATGCATACCTTGACGGAGTGCAGAGAAGTACTGCTCATTTTAACAACTGCTAAGCCCTAAGAGACTCTGTATATTCCAGTTGCTTAGATTTGGCTGCAACAAAAGTACAGCACTGATCTGTAACTGCAGTCCAGCTCAGGTTAACATGTGGACAGTGAGAAGAGTATCAGGGATGAGGGAAAGGGAGGGCATGCTCTCGGCAAGAAAATGGAAAAATATGCATATCATGGACGGGATTCTCTCAGCGCTCACATCCTTTCCTCACACATTTCTATGTGTTCAAGCCATACAATACCAACTTAATGGATTCCACTTGATATTTCGCTTTTTAGGATATTGCATCTATATTCATAAGAGCAGTGGCTAAGTAGTTCTCTGGGCTCCCTTTAACAAATTCTGCCTGTAAGGTTAAACTGAATTGTTAACGTCAACAAAGAGATGTCTAGAAAAATCTATGGTCTGGATCAGGTTAAATAACATTGAAATTACCTCTTTTGAAATGCTAGCTAGGAGTCAGTGATTAAGCCATCCCAACCACACAAAGTAGCCTGGCACCTTTAAATAGTAGAGATTTAACGTAATTTACAACCCCTTTTGATATTTTGTCCTTTTTCCTGTAAAGATTTTGGTAACTATACTACAAGGCTACAGTAACCAAAACAGCATGGTACTGGTACCAAAACGGAGATATAGACCAATGGAACAGAACAGACCCCTCAGAAATAATGCCACATATCTACAACTATCTGATCTTTGACAAACCTGACAAAAACAAGAAATGGGGAAAGGATTCCCTATTTAATAAATGGTGCTGGGAAAACTGGCTAGCCATAAGTAGAAAGCTGAAACTGGATCCCTTCCTTACACCTTATACAAAAATTAATTCAAGATGGATTAAAGACTTAAATGTTAGACCTAAAATCATAAAAACCCTAGAAGAAAACCTAGGCAATACCATTCAGGACATAGGCATGGGCAAGGACTTTATGTCTAAAACACCAAAAGCAATGGCAACAAAAGCCAAAATTGACAAATGGGATCTAATTCAACTAAAGAGCTTCTGCACAGCAAAAGAAACTACCATCAGAGTGAACAGACAACCTACAGAATGGGAGAAAATTTTGCAATCTACTCATCTGACAAAGGGCTAATATCCAGAATCTACAATGAACTCAGACAAATCTACAAGAAAAAAACAAACAAGCCCATCAAAAGTGGACAAAAGATATGAACAGACACTTCTCAAAAGAAGACATTTATGCAGCCAAAAGACACATAAAAAAATGCTCATCATCACTGGCCATCAGAGAACTGCAAATCAAAACCACAATGAGATACCATCTCACACCAGTTAGAATGGTGATCATTAAAAAATCAGGAAACAACAGGTGCTCATTCATCTTATTCATCTCTTTAATATTTATTTCTAATTTAAAAAATTATAATCAATAATATATACTTTGAAAAATATGTTAAGTATTTATTTGTGGGTGCCTCTATGATCACTTTTTATAAATGTGCATGATCATTTAGTGGGAAAATAGTATATTCTCAATTTTAAAAATGTAATATTATACATGAATAAAATTGAGGTTTTGTTGAATTGTGTAATTCCATCATATTCTTAATTAATTTTTGTCTTCCAAACTTATCCAGTTCTGAAAGAGCTATATTAAAATATTCACTATAATTAGTTATATTTTTACCATGATCTTGTTAAATTTATAATTCTTTGTATTTTATGTATTTAACTGCTACATTTTAGGTACGTGAAAGTTTACTGCTGTTTTATATTCTTCATAAATTATGTCCTTAATTATAACATTATAATTGTAATCCTATATTTTATAAGTATTTATGACATTTAATATTTTTCATTTTAAATTCTACCAATCTGATATCAGCATTATCACTCCCATGGTCTTTTATTTCTGTTTTTCTGATCTCTCTTTGCCCATCTGTTTATCTTCATTATTTTTTATTACTAGTTTTAAGAGTTCTTGAAATAAACAAGCTCTGGGTTTGCTATCTAATACAATCTAACAGAATCTGACTTTTAATAACAGAATTCAATCCTGTCATACACAGTATATCAAAGTAATCAAGTAGAATTTACTTTATGAATGGAAGCGTGGTTCAAAACCAAAATATTCCAATTAACATAACTCACTAGTTAACAAATTAAAGAAGAAAAACTTTTTGATTATTTCAATAGATCCTGAAATGGCACTTGATAAAATGTAGGAACGATTTATAATAAAAACTCTCAGAAGGCATTGAAAGAAGTGGCTTAAATATGATAAAGGATGTGGGCTCCAACCCACCCACAAATATTATTCCAAATGGTAAAACATTAAAGCCATTTTCATCAAGACAGGAACAAGAAATGAATGCTCTCTGTTATCATAATTAAGCAATATTGATTTAGCGGTTCTCGGGAATATATAATATTAAGATAAGGTAACTGCTGTGGTCTATTTGTAGTCCCCCCAAATTCACATGTTGAAACCTAAGCCCCAAGGTCATGGTAATAAGGGTTGGGGCCTTTGGGAGGTGACTAGGTTGTGAGGGAGCTCATGAATGGGATTAGTGCCCTTATGAAAGAGGCATGAGGGAGCTTGTTTGCCTCCCAGCCCCACTCTGTGAGGACACAGGGAGAAGGCACCATCTGTGAGGAACAGGACCTCACCAGACACCAAATCTGCTGGCACATTGATCTTGAAATTCCCAGCCTCCAGAACAGTGAGCAATAAATTTATGCTGTTTATAAATTACCCACTCAAAGGTATTTTGTTAATAGCAGCCCAAAGGGACTAAGACAGAAATAAAATATCAGTAGCCATTAGGAAGGGATGAAGAGATTAAATTATCTTTCTGCTGATATGATTGTATGCTATAATAAGGAGATTACTTTTTAAAAGACAAATATGCAAAAATATAGCTTTATTGTATACTAGGAGTAAAGAGCAAGAAACAGAAATAGAAAATACACTTTATAATATGGTTAAAAATACATAATATGCAAAATTTATTTCTAGCAAAATACTTATTTGAATATAATCATAAGTAGGCCAGAAGCGATGGCTCACACCTGTAATCCCAGCACTTTGGGAGGCCAAGGTGGGTGGATCACTTGAGGTTGGGAGTTCAAGACCAGCCTGGCCAACATGGTGAACCTCCATCTCTACTAAAAATACAAAAATTAGCCAGGCGTGGTGGCACACACCTGCAATCCCAGGTACTTGTGAGGCTGAGGCAGGAGAATTGCTTGAACCCAGAAGGCAGAGTCCGCAGTGAGCCAAGATCATACCACTGCACTCCAGCCTGGGTGACAGAGCAAGACTCTGTCTCAAAAAGAAAAAAAAAAGAATATAATCATAAGCTATTATTAATGATCACATAACAAAATCTTAAAAGAGAGTCTTTATATCATAAAATACGTGATGGAAAGGGCAAAAGAGATTTGCCTTGCAAACACTACAACTTAATACAAAGCCACCCTAATCAAAAGAATATGACATTAGCAATAGGCAACCATATCAGAGTAATAGAATAAACAGCCAATAAAAATGTCTATGTAGAAATTTAATACCTAGCAATTGCAGTATTCAAAGACAGTGCGGAAATGAGACTTCCACTTCAGGCTATGATGGAATAATATGGACTGGATTTAGTGTCTCATCTTAAACAACCAGATAAGCAGACCTGGTATATGAAATAACAGTTCTTAGACATGTGATTCCCATGAAGGGAGAAATAAACAATATAAGACCTATGAGTTGAGGAAGCTTGGCACTCAAGTGCAACAATTCAGAAAAACTTAGGTTTAGATGGCTCCTACCACCAAACCACACCTGTAATCCCAGCACTTTGGGAGGCCAAGGCAGGCGGGTCACCTGAGATCAGGAGTTCAAGACCAGCCTGACCAACACGGAGGAACCTTGTCTCTACTAAAAATACAAAATTAGCCAGGTGTGGTGGCGCATGGCTGTAATCCCAGCTATTCAGGAGGCTGAGGCAGGAGAATCGCTTGAACCCGGGAGACGGAGGTTGCGGTGAGCCGAGATTGCGCCATTGTACTCCAGCCTAGGCAACAAGAGTGAAACTCTGTCTCAAAACAAACAAACAAAAACAGTCTGAGGGAGCTAAGCACAGAGTACTGTGAATACAGTACTGGTCATCTCACTCCGACTTGGAAGCAGTTAAAGAAAGCTTCATAGAAGACATTTCTAAAAGTGTCCTGGATCATAAGAAAGGTTTCAATAAGGAAGGAAAAGGAAATGAAAGGGAAGAATGGCCCACTCAGGAACAACATCATGAGAAAAGGCCTGCAGACAAGAAAGTGTGCTGTGTACTGAGACAAAAAGTAGTTTGCCGTATGTGGAGAATGGGAGCTAGAGGGAAGGAAGATAAAGAGACTGAAGGTAAAGAGAGAAAGAAAAACTGATAGAAAAGGTTTCCTGAGAAGAAATGAGATATAGAATCCAAAACACAGAGGGAGGAATTAGCAGATGATGAACACCTTTTCTGTTGTACCAGAAGAAAACAGTAGGCACAAACGTGGTGCAGGTGAGTCTGGGCATGTTTGGGCAAAAGGGAGTTTCTTCTGATGCCTGCTCTATGAGGTAAAATGCGAATTCATCTGTTGGGTTGTAGCATCAGAGCTGACGAAGGAGAGAATTGAGGATCCAGACAAGACTAGAAATCATAGCTTCATGGAGGCGCCAGCCTGGCTTGTGTGTGATTTGCTCCAGCAATATTCCTGTGTTAGTCTGTTCTCGTATTGCTATAAAGAGATGCCTGAGACTGGGTAATTTATAGAGAAGAGAGGTTTAATTGGCTCATGGTTCTGCAGGCTAGACAGGAAGCATGGTGCCGGCATCTGCTCGGCCTCTGATGACACCTCAGGAAGCTTACAATCATGGCAGAATATGAAGGGGGAGCAGGTGTCTCACACAGCAGAGCGAGAGCAAGTGAAAGAGGAGGAGTTGCTATACATTCTTAAACAATCAGATCCCACAAGAACTTACTAGCATGAGGACAGCAGCAAGCCATGAGGGATCTGCTCCCAGAACCCAAACACCTCACACCATGCCCCACCTTCAACATCGGGGACCACATTTCAACATGAGATTTAGCGGGGACAACATCTAAACCATATTAACTCCTGATACTCAGAGCAAATGAACCACAGAAGTGACACCTGAACAGAGTAGAAACCCCGTTCCCCACATTTCCGAATGCCACTTTCCCCCTCTTCAAGTGTCAAGCAACATCCGCTGAGTTTCCAAGCGCTCTGAGTGCTGTAATAAAGGAGGCAGAGAGACAGGTCAGTAACTCCGAAGGTTTGTACATGAAAGAGAACCTCAGATTCATTTACTGCGGTAGGCAGTGCTGGCTCAGAATGCTTCACCTCTCCCACATTGCTTTAACTTGCCTAACCCTCCTTCATGGAGAGAGATGATTTAATCTGGTGGATTCACTTTGAAAGTCATGTTCATTTGTTGCTATTGAATACATTACATAGTACCCTTCTCTCTTCTGTGTATTTTCAAACCAATTTTATACCTATTTTTATAGTTTTTAGAATGTTCCTAAGTGTTAAAGTTAATAATGTGTCTGTATTTTCCAGAACCAAACTCTCATAGTTTGACTCATTAAAAGATTTGTGTAACTTACTGTGCAGAATATTGAAGGCAAGGATTATGTTGACTTCACTAAAACTTGTATTCTACAGGAGCATAAGGCAGCCAGCAGGTTGTTAGGGAAACTCTGAAAGAGAGAAAGAACCTAAGCTGGATCTGGGCTTTTTCTAAGCATCTCACAGCATAAATGAAATAGACCAGCCGGGAGCGGTGGCTCACGCCTGTAATCCCAACACTTTGGGAGGCCGAGTCGGGGGGATCACGAGGTCAGGAGATTGAGACACCCTGGCTAACATGGAGAAACCCCATCTCTACTAAAAATACAAAAAATTAGCCGGGCTTGGTGGCGGGCGCCTGTAGTCCCAGCTACACTCAAGAGGCTGAGGCAGGAGAATGGCCTGAACCCGGGAGGCGGAGCTTGTAGTGAGCCGATATCGTGCCACTGCACTCCAGCCTGGGCGACAGAGTGAGACTCCGTCTCAAAAAAAAAAAAAAAAGAAAAAAAGAAAAGAAAAAGAAATAGACCATCCAGAAGGGTTAGACAGTATTTCACGTCTTCTATTCACACTTCACTTTTACACTGAAAAAAGAGGCGGAGAGGGATTGAGAAAACTGAAATAATAGACAAGAGGAAAACTGGAAAGGAAGTCTCCTCTTATTTTCCTGACATAAATATTTTTGTTCACCATTTGAACAACACTTTGGAGTCAAAATTACAGCAGCTTCTCAATTGTCTAACTTATTTTAAATTTTCTAAGAAGCAGAATCAGAAACTGTTCAGGCCAATGGATAAAAAGGTTATTTTTTTTTTGTATGTGCTAAAATCAAAACTGATGAGACAAACATGGGGACAAGCAACAAGAATATGTGAAATCTGGATAGTTCTGAAAAATCTGGATGGCTTGCACTCCAAATCAGTTAGGAACTACTATCTGTCGAGAATCTGTGGACATTCTCTGGAATTTTTAAGAGTTCAACTTTTTTTAAGAGTGATCAGCAAATTTGAGAACTCTCATTAGACCTATCTTACGATTTTCCTAATTGAAAAGAATAATTTATTTTCACTTTTAACTAAAGAATGATTAAATTCCATGTCCAGAGTTGTTTTCCAAGTTAAAAAAGATCCTCAAGAGAAAGAAAATACCACATCATATTTGCATACTGAAGGATGAGACAAGTAATCAGTTATTCGCAAGTCAATAATTTAAAAGTCACTGGGCTGGGAATGGTAGCTCACACCTGACTTGTAATCCCAGAACTTTGGGGGCTGAGGTGAGCAGATCCCTTGAGCCTAGAAGGTCAAGACCAGCCTGGGTAACATGGCAAAACCCTCTGCTACAAAAATTACAAAAATTAGCCAGGCATGGTGGTGCACACCTGTAGTCCCAGCTACTCGGGAGGCTGACGCAGGAGGATCACCTAAGCTGGGGGTGTTCAAGGCTGCAGTGACCTGTAATCAGCCAGTGCTCTTCAGCCTGAGCACTGAGCAAGACCATGTCTCCAAAAAAAAAAAAAAGTTACTCATTAATAGTCACTATTGTTCCTTAAAAGATTATTATTCATAAACAATATTCTTTCAAGATAGTCTTTACAGGACAATACATGTTTATTCAAAGTTTAGAGTTAATACCTCTATAGTGTTGTTAAAACAGTGCCTAGTTCATGTTTTAGCCCTATATAATGGTTGGCAAATAAAATAAAATAAATATTTCTTAATTTTATTATAGCTAAGTATCCTTTTGGCTTATTTCCATGTCTCCTCAACCACAGACTCTAAAGATTTTAAAAAATGCTGTTTTATTAAGTAAAATGTTCTTACTGTGCTTTAAAATCAAAATATACCTCAACTGTAGTCACAAAAAAGATGTTTATGTTGACTTAAATCCCTAATCTTTATGAATAGAGGAAAGCATTTTTCACTTTAAATTTCTTTTCTGTAATTCAAAAAGGAGAGACCCATTTTTAATATGACTGACATGGTCTTTGAAATTTTAGTTTAAGGCATTAGAGAATATATCTGAGAGCTTCTTTTAAGGAATCTTTAAGAAATACCTAATACTTAGTGCAAGCTTTCCTTTCTTGTAAAAAGTTTGGAGAAGCTATAGTCAGATTAGATGCCATGGAAAATTCATCCTTGATTTTGACCAGAAATTTCCAGTATACCAATTTTCACAAGGAATACTATTTTCATTAGACTCTAAGAAAAATTTGGGATGGATCAAGCGTGGGTGTTTCTAGTGTATGCTTGTTTGTTTTCAACCAAATATGAAGATGACTTATGAAGTTGCTTTAGGCATTTTTTCCTGGGCTTCTCACTAAAGCAGGGATGAAAGCGTATTTGGGAAGTCCAGATGATTCTTATTTCTCAAAAATTGAGTCAATGGGCACGCAAGTCTCCTAGCCAAGAAAAAAAAAAAGTGTTCATGACACTAAAACTTGCCATTTTATTTCTATCTCTCACTCCCTTTCTGTATCATCCTTATCACAACCGTAATCTCTATCATCCTGCAACTGCCCGAAACCCCTCATTCTTTGGTACATGCAGCTGACTTTTCCTCAGTTTTATGTAACGATTTACATAACATGCTGTATGATCACATTCTCAAGGCAGGTCCCCAAGTTTTCTCGTCCCATCTGATTCACCCTCTGTAGATTCTCCTTCACACAAATGTAAGGCCACCACTGTGGTGGTGAGTGCCTGTAGTTCCACCTACTTGGGAGGCTGAGGCAGAAGAATGTCGTAAACCCAGGAGGCGGAGCTTGCAGTGATCATATAGAACTTACCATATAGAACTTATCTATATGGTAAGTTCTATTATACACACACACACACACACACACACACACACACACACACGCACGCACAACTTAGGAATGTAAGCCGAGACAAATAATCTTACCTTCTAATTGGAATAAATCATAAAACATTTATGGCATTTTTTGACATAAACTTTGCAGTGTCATTCTTCTGTCTTAAACAATGACAATCATTTCACCCCCTCGTGTGAGCTTTTGCATGATTAAATCTTCATTTTAAGATGAGCCCAGTTTATTCAAACCTCAAGTGAATTGAATTATTTAGAAAAGTTGAACTTAGAAGTAAAGACTTCTTTCCTCCGGACTTGTGAATGTATACCCAGAATTAACATTAATGGGAATTCTCAGACTTTTCTTTGTTTTTTTTTATTATACTTTAAGTTTTAGGGTACATGTGCACAATGTGCAGGTTTGTTACATATGTATACATGTGCCATGTTGGTGTGCTGCACCCATTAACTCATCTTTTAACATTAGGTATTTCTCCTAATGCTATCCCTCCCTACTCCCCCCACCTCACAACAGGCCCCAGAGTGTGATGTTCCCCTTCCTGTGTCCATGTGTTCTAATTGTTCAATTCCCACCTATGAGTGAGAACATGCGGTGTTTGGTTTTTTGTCCTTGCGATAGTTTGCTGAGAATGATGGTTTCCAGCTTCATCCATGTCCCTACAAAGGACATGAACTCATCATTTGTTATGGCTGCATAGTATTCCATGGTGTATATGTGCCACATTTTCTTAATCCAGTCTATCATTGTTGGACATTTGGGTTGGTTCCAAGTCTTTGCTATTGTGAATAGTGCCGCAATAAACATACATGTGCATGTGTCTTTATAGCAGCATGATTTATAATCCTTTGGGTATATACCCAGTAATGGGATGGCTGGGTCAAATGGTATTTCTACTTCTAGATCCCTGAAGAATCGCCACACTGACTTCCACAATGGTTGAACTAGTTTACAGTCCCAGCAACAGTGTAAAAGCGTTCCTATTTCTCCACATCCTCTCCAGCACCTGTTGTTTCCTGACTTTTTAATGATCGCCATTCTAACTGGTGTGAGATGGTATCTCATTGTGGTTTTGATTTGCATTTCTCTGATGGCCAGTGATGATGAGCATTTTTTCATGTGTCTTTTGGCTGCATAAATGTCTTCTTTTGAGAAGTGTCTGTTCATATCCTTTGCCCACTTGTTGATGGGGTTGTTTGTTTTTTTCTTGTAAATTTGTTTGAGTTCACTGTAGATTCTGGATATTAGCCCTTTGTCAGATGAGTAGATTGCAAAAATTTTCTCCCATTTTGTAGGTTGCCTGTTCACTCTGATGGTAGTTTCTTTTGCTGTGCAGAAGCTCTTTAGTTGAATTAGATCCCATTTGTCAATTTTGGCTTTTGTTGCCATTGCTTTTGGTGTTTTAGACATAAAGTCCTTGCCCATGCCTATGTCCTGAATGGCATTGCCTAGGTTTTCTTCTAGGGTTTTTATGGTTTTAGGTCTAAATTTAAGTCTTTAATTCATCTTGAATTAATTTTTGTATAAGGTGTAAGGAAGGAATCCAGTTTCAGCTTTCTACATATGGTTAGCCAGTTTTCCCAGCACCATTTATTAAATAGGGAATCCTTTCCCCATTTCTTGTTTTTGTCAGGTTTGTCAAATATCAGATAGTTGTAGATATGTGGCATTATTTCCGAGGGCTCTGTTCTGTTCCATTGGTCAAGTGGAGAACAGCCCCCTGCAAAGATGGCAGGAGAATAAACTAAGAAAATCTCAGTCATAGCCACTTTATATTGTTTTCTCCAATCAAAGGCTAAAATTGCATTTCTAAAATGATGGGTGTTGGGAATAAAAACATTTACATAGAATAGCTTAAAGCAAGTAGTCTAATTTGCAGAATGTAATAAATAGAACTAAGAATAAAATCATTGTGGGTACATGCACTATAAGGGAAATAAACACATTAAAATTAAAATATCATTTTATGGAAATGAGTTTTTCTAAACTGGTAAGTTTACTGTTCAAAGAAAAATGTTTCAAAGGCATACTTCCCTACTTGATTAAGATTCTTTCCAATTAAAAACCTCTGTCTTAAAATATTCTTCAAAGACATTGCTAGTCAGGAAATCCCCCTGGACTCCTTGGTGACACTTCTTATTTTTTTCAGTCATAAGAAATTACAATAACAAAATACAACAGAGCCCACACATGTGTTAGCCACTTTTGCCGTAGGTCCTCAATTGATGCAAGATGTGCCCGTTGGAAAAAGGGGGAGGGCCAAAGGAATGCAACCTGCAGACTCAAGCACTAACTCCAGAGACAGAACGGTAAGTGGGAGCAAGAAAAGTGAAACAACTAATGTTTATTCATTTTAAAGTATATCTGTATAAGTGAGTATGTTTGTGTTATGGGTATATTTTGTCTGGGCACAAAGGTAGTCAATAAATGTTGGTTGAATGATCACTTTTTGTTTTACAAAACAAGGATCCCTCAAGAGACAGAATTGAAATAGTCACTTCTCAAAGAGTGGCTTTCCTATTAATGTAATCAGGATCAAAATAAAAGGCCCGTTTACTTAATTTTCTCAATATATGTGAAGATATAAATTAATGTATTGAGAGAAGCATAACACTTTCAATGATACCTTCATCATCAAACATTCCAAGTAGTACCAACAACTTCAAAGTATTAGATACATAATCTGTTCCAGACATTGTGGCAAGCACTGCATGGAATTCTAGCGGCAACCCCATGTATCACTCCATTTTACAGATTAAAAAATTAAAGTTGTACCCAAGTTCCCAGAGTGAATTGGTAGCAGAGATGGGTTTTATTCATGTGTGTCTGACCTGAGGGGATGTTTGCTCACCTACACAAAAAGTTTTTAGAGCAGTCCCCTGACCTGAGGCAATAGCATTATCTGGGAACTTGTGAGAAATGCAAATTCCTAGGCCCTGTCCCAGATCCACTAAACCAGAAATCTGAGGGTAGGGCCCAGCAATTGATTTCTTAACAAGATCTGTGGGTAATTTTAATGCCTGCTCAAATTTGAGAATAACTGCATATTCTATGCTACATCTAACATATACTATCATGTTATGATTGACTGAATATATACGAATGTATTAGGCATGACTCAAACTCTTTAGAAATTGCACAGCTTAGTCATGGTTTGCAAAACATTACAAATATCCTTATAAGTGGCAATACAATAATTTTAAGAGTACCAAATCTAGAAGTGATTCCAATCATTTTTATTAGCATTTTAAAAAGTGAAGAGATTGACTCAATATATTAGTCAGAATTGAACTGGAATATCCGGGATCTTTCTCTTTTTTTCTTTTTCTTTTCTTTTTTTTTTTTTTTGAGATAGAGTCTCTCTCTGTCACCCAGGTTGGAGTGCAGTGGCACAATCTCAGCACAATGCAACCTCTGTCTTCTGGGTTCAAGCGGTTTTCATGCCTCAGCCTCCCAAGTAAGTTGGAATTACATGCATGCGCCACTGCGCCCAGCTAATTTTTTGTGTTTTTAGTAGAGCTGGGGTTTCGCCATGTTGGTGAGGCTGGTCTCGAACTCCTGACCTCAGGTGATCTGCCCGCCTCGGTCTCCCAGTGCTGAGATTACAGGAGTGAGCCACCATGCCCAGCCCAGGATCTTTCTTTTTTAATGTATTATGAGATGAAAATGAAAGTTAAAAGATAATAAACATAATTCTGAAATTAAAATTTTTTGTTGACCACTGTTAATCGTTTGAACTGTTGATTGACATATAGATATCAGCTTATGTATAGATGATTAAGTTTCCTTAGATTGATTGTAATTGGCCACAGTCATTACATATAGTTAACCACTCTAAAATTTCTTAAACATATTTATCTATTTAATTTAAAATAAGCTATTTTTATATATTGTACAAAGAAATACCTATTTCTAGATTGGTAAAGAATAAACAGAAATGTATATTTACTACGAGAAAAACAAATGGTGCATTTTTAAGAAATCATGTCATCTAGGCCAATGCCAGCATTTTATAAATAAGAAACACTAGGTCCAATGAGATAACATGAACTTACTACAAATAGCCTAATTATTACCTTGTACATGATTGATACTTGTTACAGCTAGTTTCCAAGGGCACCATGCAACTAATTTCTTCTCTCCCTGAATGCACATGCCATTTCTCAAATGAAGAAGTGAGATGGATTTACTCTCCCTTTGTCTGAGGATGCCTTTATTGCTCCCGCACTTTTCAAGGATATTTCCACTAGATATAGAATTGCCCTCAAGCACATTAAAGATGCTATTCCACTGTTTTCTTTCTTGCATGGTTTTATTATTGTTTTATTATTTTATATAATAAAACTTTGTATAAGTTTTATTATTGTTACTTGGTAAATGAGTCTTCTCTGATTGCTCCCAACATTTTCTCTTTGTGATTTTCAGCAGTTTAAATATGAGGGCCTTGGCTTATTTTTGTTTGTTTGTTTGAGAGGTTTATTTACAAAGTCATTCGTCATAGATTTCTCTGAGCCTCTTAGATCTATGGTTTGATATCTGTAATTTTGAAAGTATTCCAGACACGATTTCTTTAAATATTTCTTATGCCCCATTCTCTCTTCCTTCTTCTTTTGGGATTCCAAGCATGCATATGTTATACCATTTAATATTATTACATGGCTATAAGATGCTCTGTTTGGGTCTTCACTTTTCTTTCTCTTTATGTTCCAGTTTGAATAATTTCTACTGACCATCTTCAAGTTCACTTATTCTCTTCTGGGCTATGTAAAGTCTACTAAAAAGTCCATCAAAGTCACTTTTCATCTCTTTGACTATTTTTTTGTTTTTTTTACTTCCAGAATTTCCATTTGATTCTTTCTTATAGTCTCTATCTCTCTGCTGAAATTGCGTATCTGACTTGGTATGTTTCTGTTTCATTAGAGCCTTTAATAAATTAACTTGTAGTTATTCTAAATTCTCTCTCTGGTAGCTCCAATGTTTGTCTTATATCTGAGTCTGGTTGTGAGGACTGTTAATTTTTTTTCTTTTCAGACAGGTTTTTTCCTTGCCATTTTGCATACCCCATAAGTTTCTTGTTGAAATCTGTCATGTTGTATAAGATACCAGATACCGAAGTAAATAATTTTTGAAGTTTGCAGCTAAGCATGCCTTTCCTTCTGCTAGACTTTAAGAGTGGGAGTTTGTGTAATCTAGTCAGAAGCTGGGCTACATTTGAAGTTTATTACTGTTATGGTTACCCTCAGGGAAGTAGAGCTTCAAATACCTCTAGTGGTGTCTTCTGTTTATGGCATGGGTTAATTGGCCAGTGGGTTTTCTCAACACCTGCCCCCTACTTGGTCTTGAGTCTTCTCTTTGTACTGTTTTTTCACTGTGCATTGCACTGTTATTTCTACTCAACACTTGTTAGTGTGATGATCAGGGCGGGGGTGGGGGTGGGGGGCGGGGGCGGGAGTTGTTTCTTTCTGATGCAGTGATTAAGCCTCAGTCTTAGGCAGGTGGTGTGAACCTGGGTCTCAGAAGTATGCCCTTTGAAAGTATCCCTGCATCTTCTTCAGATGTAATGCTGGGCCTAGCACATATTCTTGCCCTTCTCCATTGGTATTTTTTTCTTGTTTCCCTCTCTAACTACAGTGAGTTTTCATGTTACAGTGAGTACCCCCATGTTACAATTTTTATCACCCTTTCCCCTATAGATTAAGGACTTTGTGCCATAAAGGGTCTAGGGGAGATCTATCTGGGAAGAGCTGTGGCAGTAGTTGATACTCCCTGCATCAGCAAGCACCTGAAGGAGGTTTTTTCAGGATTCCACCTAGTCTTCCCTATGAGCGCCTGGTAGAAATCTTGGAGGGAAAGCCTGCAAGAGGATGCAATCCCTCCATGTCTGTAATCTCCAGGGTCTTCATACTTCCATTCTAGCTAATACTTGGCCTCTAGCAACTTATCAAAAGTGGCTAGCTGAATCTTCTTACCAGCTAATATGGTATTTAGTAGTGTGTGTCCCAGGTAAACAAATGCTCAAGTTTTAGTTCTCCCTGAAGGTACTCATCTCTCTCCAGATTTTAAGTAGTTGTTTTCCCAGTGACCTCAGATCTCTAAAGGGTCCACAAAAATGTCATTAGTTTGCAATTTGTCCTGCTTTTGTCTTATTATAAGAGTGGAAGTGATGTCTTATTAAGCTCTCTAACCTCTGAAAGAAAACACTCTTCTCCTTCCTTCAAAATCTTTTTTAAATGTTTTTATCCGTGATTGGCTGTGACCAATAGAATACAGTGGAAGTAATATCTTGAAGCTTTGAGACCAGACCTAAAAAAGAGTGGCAGCTTCCATTAACTGCGTCTCAAAGCCCTGAGCCACAATGTAAGAAATCTAGCCTGCCCAATGGAAAGAGAAGCCATATGTAGGAACCCTGTGGTGCCAAACATGTGAATGAAGAAGCCATCTTCAATAATTCAGCCCTACCTGCCACGTGCCTGTAACCTCATGGGTGACTCCAAGCAAGACTAGTAGAACAACTGTCCAGTGGAGCCCCAGCCAACCCACAGAATCCTGAAAAACAATAAGATTACAGTTATTTTAAGCCACTAAGTTTTGGGGTGGCTTGTTATTCAGCAATAGATAGCTGAAGCAGTGCAGAGTAAATATTTATGGAATAAAGAAATGAAAATGTTAGACATATTACCACAATCATAATTCTCTAAATACCATAGCTTTCTCCAAACAGCTTCAGGCAGCCAAGCATGTTAGGCAAAGGGCTATTGAGAGAAAAAAATCAATACTAAGGGATCTTAAAAATGAATACCATGTGGTTATTTTTTTTCCTCTAGATCTGAATGGAGATCAAGAATCACTTTAAAGGCTGGGCACGGTGGCTCTTGGCTATAATCGCAGCCCTTTGGGAGGCCAAGGTGGGTGGATCACCTGAGGTCAGGAGTTTGAGACCTAGCTGGCTAACAAGGCAAAACCCTGTCTCTACTAAAAATACAAAAATTAGCCAGGTGTGGTGGCAGGCGCCTATAGTCCCAGCTACTAGGGAGGCTAAGCAGAAGAATCACTTGAATCTGGGAGGCAGAGGTTGCAGTGAGCCGAAATCATGCCACTGCACTCCAGCCTGGGTGACAGACAGAGCGAGACTCTGTCTCAAAAAAAAAAAAAAAAAAAATCACTTTTTTTATTTTTTATTTTTTGCAGTTGCAAGATTTAATAGAGTGAAAACAGAGCCCCCATACAAAGGGAGGGGACCCAAAGAGGGTAGCCGTTGCCGGCTCGAATGCCTGGGTTTATATCCTGATCATTGTCCCTCCCACTGTGCTCTCAGGCAATAGATGATTGGCTATTTCTTTACCTCCTGTTTTTGCCTAATTAGCATTTTAGCGAGCTCTCTTTACTACCTGGTTGGTCAGGTGTGAGCTAAGTTGCAAGCCCCGTGTTTAAAGGTGGATGCGGTCACCTTCCCAGCTAGGCTTAGGGATTCTTAGTCGGCCTAGGAAATCCAGCTAGTCCTGTCTCTCAGTACCCCCTCTCAACAGGAAAACCCAAGTGCTGTTGTGGAGGTTGGCCGATGACCGCTGTAACTGCTTCCTGCTGAACTGGGGCATAGTAAGGGTTGCGCAGTTGAGATTTCCTCAGGAGGGGTGACTTCAATGTCATTAACATTGGATCATGGGCTAGCAGGCCGGTCCAGGGGTCCGTGGTAGATCTTAGTCATGGACTGCATCTGGGGTTCCATTTGAAGAACAATTTGTAGTTTTACAGCTTCGATTCTGGAAGAGACAAACTTAACAAGGAGATTAAAGATACAAGGATTGAAATGTATGGCCTATAATGTAGGGGATTATTTCTTTGGCACACTTCACAGTCCCTGACTATCTGCTTGATAGTTTTGAAAAGGCCTGGTCCAGTAAATAATAATTTGGCCATCTGATGGGTGCTATCAATGCCTAAGTGAAAGGTTTGGTGAAGGGTTTTAAGTAATTTCTATTGGTTAGCTGCAGGCAAAAGTATTTTTCCTTCTTCTGTGGCTAGCCATCCTGAGAGGAAGAAACTATGTCCTCGTGAGGTTCCGCATTCTATTTCTTCTGCTGTGTACTGGGGCTTGGTTTCCTGGAGGGGATTACCCCGTATTAGGGGTCCTTCTATAAGCATTTCTAATGGAGGGTCCTGCCTTATGGCTCTTTTTGCTTCAATATCAGCTTAGCAGTTCCCTTCTATTTCCCTTTCCTTTCTGATGACCCTGGCAGTGTAAGATTCTTTAGGTTTCTGTACCACCAATAATAATCTCCTAATGGCTTCCTGATGTTTGACAGGTGTTCCCTCAGAAGTTAGGAATTCCCTTTCTCTCCATATTGCTGCACGGGCATGGAGGACTATGTAAGCAAACTTAGAGTCTATATATATATATATATATTTACCCTTTTTCCTTCTCCTAATTCTAGTGCCCGAGTGAGGGCTATTAGTTCTGCCAGCTGAGCGCTAGTTTCTGGAGTGAGGGGATTACTTTCAAGTATTCCATTATCATTGACCATGCATAACCTGCTTTTCGAAGTCCTTTTTCTACAAAGGAACTTCCATCAGTACACAAGTTGAGGTCAGGATCAGTCAAGGGAACCTCTAGAACGTCCCCTCGAGTGACGTAGGTTTGAGCAATTACTTGTTGACAGTTATGTTCTATCTTTTCTTCATTGTCTGAAAGAAATGTGGCTGGGTTAAGAGTTGCACAAGTGCACAGTCGCAGCACTGGCCCTTCAAGGAATAGAGCCTGATATTTAAGTAAACGGTTGTGTGACAGCCACAAGTCTCCTTTAGCAGTGAGTATGCCGTTCACATCATGAGATGTCCACACAGTAAAATCTCTTAACGATGAGAGAATCTATGTGTTATCTTGACCAAAGCCTGCACTCAACAAAATGTTGTCACATTAAACTCAAAGTTAGTTTGCCTGGAACTGAGAAGCCATTCTATTTGACTAGAACAGGAAAAACCCAAAACTGTGTTACAATACAAGCTCTTTAAAAACCAATCTTTATAGATCATGATTAAAATAAGATCTAAATAAATCATAATCATACAAAGGAAATAACACCAACAGTATGTATGACATTCTGAAGATATTTCCACTTATTCCAATTGTAAATTACCCTATTTACTTAAAAAACAATTTGTTTAAAGTTTCAACCACTTTGAAGAGCGTCAAAAAAATAACTAAAAATGAAGAAAACAGAGATAATTTTACCAACTCAGAAAACAAATGATGCCACACTACAATTAGTGGTGTTCTCTAACCATAGACTCTCTTAAAACTTAATTAAAGTTTAACAAAGAAGGACTAATGAGATAAATGAGTCAAAAGCTGATCAGCACAAAGCATAAATAAATTCCAGGAATTTAGATAAATAGGACAAATTTACAATTGGGATAAATTCAGAAATCTCTCTGAAGTATTATATTAGTTCCCTTATCAAGATTCCTTTAAAACACTTCCTCTTACAAATCTTTTACTCCTGATAAGAAGAAAAATTATAATCATAATGCTATTAATTTTATAAGATGATATTCCTATCTGCCCCAGGCCTAGGTAGATAAAAGTCAATGAAGCATGCCTTCCAAGAAGGACTGATTTCTAGGGCTACACATGAGGAACTACATGCATACTTTATGACACTTGGAATAAAAAAAAATCGCTTTAAATTTAACTTTCTAAATTTAATCTTTGACTTTCCAGGTTCCCTAGCTTAATTCAACCTGGCTATCTAGGGCAAGTATTGCAATTATCAGGATTGGCATGCAGCAATAGTGCTTTGCTTTAAGGAGATAAAAATACTGTAAAACATGTCTCTGTTTGTACCACAGTTAAAACAATGGTCAAAGAAGTAACAACAAGTGAATAGAAGCGACTGTGAGAATTTGTGCTTGGAATTTCCCGTGGAAGTTGTAGATTTTTTTTTTCCTTTTTCTCTTTTTTGATGGTAGTCAATGATTAAGACTTTGTTTATGTACTATAATGCTTCCTGTACAGGTGTAGTTTGAAGTTTAGGGAGGAACTTGAAGAGAATACGAACCTACCATTTGTTTTATTGTTACAGATGTTGTAGTTGAAATTTTAAATTTTAAATTCTTTCTCAAAGAGAACAATGTAAGTGTAAATTGGATCATAGGACTCATTTTAGAGCTACAGGGGATTTTAAAAGAGGAGAAAAGATAACGTATTATTTGTTAAAATTTTACTATTTGCCAGACACCGTATATGGTTTAGCTCTTTCAATTCCATTATTCTCAAAAATAATGTTGCTCCCTTTTAAAAATGCCAAGACTGAGACTCAGAAATAAGGAATTTATTTAAGTTCCTAAAACAAAATTGGTAGCCCAATTACAATAAGAAACCAATTGCTCCGAGGATGATGTTTTATTCCAGGACACACTGTGGCAATTAGGTGGCTTACCTCATTCATTCATTCATTCATAAGATAACTATGGCATGCCCACTATATTGTAGGCACTTTGTAAAGCTTTGTGTAGGCAATAAAGAATGATCGAAATGTAGTCTTTTCCTCAGAGAGCTTATGCTCTAATTTCTGTTAGTTTGGCCCAATGAATTGTTTCTCCTTGATCAGACCATCAACATTCATTCATTCATTCAGTAAAAATGTATTGAGAACCTGATCTGAGCCAGGCCCTATTTTAAATACTTTATAAGTAGTAAATAAATTGAATTTTTAAAAAATTCCAAAACCTGCCCTCATGAACTTCACAAGAGGCAATTAACACGATAAATAAGTAAAAAATGTAGAATATTATTTCATAATAATTACTAAGGAGAAATAAATAAATGAGGGGAGGGGGAAGGCATGCAAGGGTTGCAGTAGCAAAAAGTGTAGCGGGAGTAGTCCACAATGAGGGGATGACAGTCTCATGAAGACCTTAAGAAAGTGAAGAAAGAAAGCATGAAGATATCTGGGCTAAGAAGAGCCTCGTAAGGAGATGTGGAGTGAGTGTTTGGGCCTAGAGGCAGGAGTTTGTGTGTGGGAAACCGTACAAGGAAGAGAAGGAGAGCAGGAGATGAGGCCAGGGCAAAAAACAGGGCCTGTTGTGCAGGCCTCTGTGGATCAGACTGAGGGCTTAAGTAAGGTGGGGTGCCACCGGGAGGGTTTGAGAGGTAGGATGCATGACTTGGCATTTGTTTAACCATTGATTCAATAACATATACTCATCCTGCAGCCCAAACAAAAGGCAATCTATTCCTTTACACTTGAAACATAACAAACGTAGTATGATATAGATTTTTAAGAATGATTTAGATTTGACACAGATGGTGCTGCCTGAAGAAAAGATACATTAACTTCTCTTGAATAAAGTATTTCCTGTATTATGCTCAACCTGCCCATAGCAAGTTGGAGGCTCTAGGCCAAGGGCTACAACATCAAGTACCATTTTTAACAACTGCGTTAGCGGGTGTGCCTAGAGCTGTGGAACTAAGTGTTTTTCAAACTTTGTGAAAATGTGTGCTTTCGTCTCTTCCCCTACTTGCCCCAGGCAACCTATTTTTAAAGAGTGAATCACTCAAAAAAAATAATAGCCACACACAGTAGACATTTCCCTACAGGCATAGGCCAGCCTGAAAATAGTTGATTTTCTTACCGAAGGACTCTTCACATCTCCCAAGAGCCTCACCACTGTGGTTACTGTGGAGGCTGCAGACCCCAGGTTTGGCTGGTGATAACAGCAGTTTAAGTGGCTTTCCTAAAGTTAGGCACTTAAGCATTGGCAGAGGTAGAACCATACCTAATTAATAACATCTATTGTGACCGCACATCTTCACCATATCAGGCACTTTGCCAGGAGCTCTGATATCCGGGGGCAGGAGAAGATGGATGTTCCAGCTCCAGAAGAGACCAAGAATTCATCTTTCCTCTGCCTTTTTATTCCATTTAGTGGATTGCAGGAGCCCTCCCACACTGGCGAGAGTGGATCATCTTTTCTCAGTCTACTGACTCAAATACCAATCTCTTTAGGAAACACCTCACAGACACACCCAGAAATAATGTCTCACCAGCTATGTGGGCATCCTCAGCCGATTCAATTGACATAGAAACTTCACCATTACTCCATCTCTGAAATAGAGTTTAAGAAGCTGTTTCATAAGATGGGACTCTGACTCAACTCATCCCTAAGCATTTGCCAAGTATAAACCTGGAAACTGTTATAGACCTTTCACACTTCTCTGTTTACTCTTTTAGTTACCCATGGGTGGGCTATTTGGGATAGAATATTTTTGGTAGAAATCCTTCAATGATTTAAGGGAATTTCATAGATCTTGATTATCTGTCAAGATTTTTTTTCTGGAATAAATTATTTTACTTACATAAAAAGACTATAGGCTTGGCAATGGGAGAGCATGCTTTCAAAATCCAGATAAATACGTAAGTTCAGTTTCCCAGGAAAAGTCCAAAAGACTTTGCATATTAACCATCAACATATATACATTAACTTGCATTAAGAAAAATACATAAAGGTTTCATTTAACAATACCCTAGTTGGAGACACCATCCTACCCACACCCTCATTGTCCTCCAGAGTATGCTAAGTAACCAGATGCTGGTATGCCATTTCAAATAACGCTTTGAAATAAAATCCCACATGCAGAAGACTGTGCTTTAGCAGTATTGAGAGAAAGGGAAGACATACCGAAGGAAAAAAAAAAAAAAGACTTCTGCCCTTAAGGAATTTTTTTCAATCTGAAATCAAACCAGACAAACATCATATGCATACATGAAATAATGTTGCTCATTCTAAATATCAATTAGAAGGTAATGAAAAGCAAATAGGTAACTTAATTATCCGATAAACATTTGACACTTAACTGACCTATTTTGCTCCAGGCATTTGCTCAGCTGAGATAAAAAGGGATTTTGTGAACTATATCTTACTGCCTGCTCTTAAAGTACTTGTAGTCTTGAGCGAGGATGCAGAATGACAGAGAAATGTGCGGACCTTTATGTGGCAAGGACTAGCCTATAAAGGTAACACAGGGTTTGCATGGACACACAAAGAACTGTTGGACCTAGTTTGGGGATTTAAAGAACACTCAAAGGAGGTTGTATCTCATACTGAAGGACAAGCAGGAGTTGGCCAGTGGTGACAATGTGGTGGGAAGGGTGAGAGCTATTCCGAAAGTGGGAAGAGAGAGCATGCATTAGAACTGCAAGTACTGAGATGACAGCAGTTGTTCTCAAGCTTGAGCCATACCAGAACCCCACAAAGGGCATGTTAAAACACTGATTTTTGGGCTTTATCCCAGAGTTCCTGATTCAGGTCTAGGGTAAGCCCTAAGAAATCCACATTGCTAACAAGTTCCCAGGTGTCACTGACGCTGCTAGCCAGGGGACCCCACCCTGAAGTCTCTGGATTAGAACATGGTGTGTGAAGTGAGTCATGGTAAAGGTTGTGTCTGGAGCCATAAATTGGGCTTCTGTCCTTTCCCAAAGGAGCTCCGGGCAAAGAGATGGAAAGTAGAGAATGATGGGTTGAAATTTGAGTTTTAAGAAGACCTTTCTGGATGATTGGAAGTAATGGAGAGGAGAATGGCAAGACTGAAGATTAATTTGGGCTTTTACAGTAATTCAGGAGGAAAATGCGGTCATCAGAGCAGGAGGACAGGGAATCTTCTGTTTGACATTTTCAGAGAAACTAGTCAGAGCAATATGTAAAGCTGAGTCCAGAGGGTCAGGGAGGGGACTCGAAATACACCACCAAATTATGGTTCCAAGAATAAAAAACCAGGGAGAGAAGCAAAGGGCAGATGGCACAAGTGATCCTGGAAACAACCTGAACAGCCATTTTTGTCTGCTTTATTTTGGCATCCTTAGTAGGGGCAGCCATGTTAAAAAAAAAAAAAAAAGAGGATGAGGGAGCAAAAGTTGGGGGAGAGTTTTTCTAGTATTTGGGCCCTTGGGAGTCTGACAGTTATGGGTTTATATACTAGGCTTCTTTGAGTTCCAAATAAACTATAAAACAATTCCAGATTAGTCAATGAAACTGAAATTAAGCAAAATGACAAACCGAGTAGACTCGTACTTTATTTTTTATCTCATCTCCATGGGGATACTGGTATGATCAAAACTACCATTTCCTAATTCTTTCATAGTAAAGTACAAGAAATATTTGTGTTACATCTAACTGTAGTTAGAGCATTTAGCCATAAATTGGGAGCAAAGTGAGATCTTAAACTAACAGGATATAGTGATTAAGAATGTCAAGGAACTGCTGCTCTCATTAATCATACTAAAATAATTTAAACCTCTAAAAATGAAACAATGGCCAAAGGTACTTTCCATTTAAAGAATTACTATTAGCTAGAGGAAATATGTCTTGTTACTCTGTATTGATTTCCAAACAAGGACAATTACAAATTATACTAAAATAACCCCATGAGTCTACAACAGATGCAGGGAAACACACATACACACACACACACACAAACATGGACACTTATATACACATTCAAAGAGTTTGTTGCAAATGTGTATTTTTTCTTATTGAAGGACAGATTAAGCATTCCACTAAAGAATTTACATTCTTAATACACTTTTTATCACTTACTTCCATATGTGCTCTAAGTAACTTGCACAAAGATAAAACCTGCAAATACTTGGAAGCTATGGCGGAATAGGCATTAAAAGCACATTTTTCAATCCACTTAATGCTTAAGACTGGAGATGTTTTGGGAGAGAGAGAAAAATACATCCATTTTCCAAAAGAAAAAAGCAGTTGGCAAATTGAGAGAAAAACAATGTGGAATTGTCATTAATGCTAATGAGAGCTGCCTTCTCATCAAGAGAAAAATACAAATTCCATCAGATGCTATGAGCTAAACTATCCAATCACCCTGATCATAGAAACAAACAGAACAATTTAAAAAGTCATCAAAAATGAAAAACAACATGCCTCAAATAACATAACAACAGAGGTGCCCAAAAATAGCAAATCTCCATTTTCCTTTTTCTCCCCTTTTCTGTTTGCTTGCTTTTCTCTTGGCCTGCAGTTGCAAACAAAGCCTGCTAAGTGCTAAGGAGGCTCTTTTTCCACCAGCAGCAAGCATTTGCTGGTGTTGGGCCGCCTCCCGTCATTGCATTACCAGGCCCAGTCACTGATGCTTGCTCTAATCAGAGCTTTGTTCTCTCGCTGGGCTTCAGGACAATTCTACATCCAGTCTGTGAACAGCAACGAGCAATGTGGAAATTAGAACAAATTCTTCACAAGTTCACTTCCCCTGCAAGGGCTGGAACAGTGCCCAATTCAGAGAAACCTCTCACTCAGCTTGCAAAGACTCAGACTCAGTAGATTTGGGCTGGGTTTGGTGCAAAGAAAAATCAGTTCTTTGCAATAAATTCTTAGAATTATAGTGTTAACAGATAAACTTAGGCACATTAAAATTTTAACAAATTTATCTGAACATTCAGCTATTTGTGAATGGGCAGCCCCAGACCAGGAGTAGTTCCATAATCCAGGCATGTAGCAGAGGAAACTTTAATAAGGTGTTTGTGAAGCAAGACAAGGAAAATGTAATTAACAGATTAAAGTGAAGAGATCTACTTAGAGATTAGTTTGGCATTTTTGGATTGGTTAAGTTCCATTTTACTGTTTACATTGAGTTGGGCTTTGGTTTGCTTACATGGGAACCCAAGATGCTAGAGCCATTTCAGTCTAGTGGCCTCTGAAATAATTTTAATGATAGATTTGGAAGCTACCTTAGAGATCTTCTGGCCCATATTACTAATTTGATATATTCCATGGCATTGTTAAATCATACTGTCTTGGAAGTTACCCCATGCCCATTTTCCCATGCCAATATGTAATCTCCATGAATCTTGTTCATATTCAGGTTGGCTCTAAGAAGTAAACTATGTCTGTGTCAATATCAGCTGTACTAAAACTAAAATTCACTGTATTCACTATATTCACAAGCTGACTACAATGTTTCATAGCACCCTGTACCACCATCACCTTCCAAGCCCAGAGGAAAATGTGTGCTTCAGTGGAAAGCTATGTACTGTGTAGACCTTTAGCACAGTCTTCGGGGTTATCTGCCTGATTCCATGGGGACTGTGTGGTCTTCATTACCTTTGAGCTATTTTTTTACAACTGTGAGTTGTAGAACAGTGATAGCAATGCAATAATTCTTGTCTATAGATATATAAATAAATTCAGTCCAGTGGAGGGAACTCCCTCCCCCACACCCCATTCTCAAAGGGCAGGGAAAAAAGAAGGGGAGGAAGGCTGGGTTGCATTCATTTGCACATTTACTCCAATATTTCTTATCTATAAATGGCTCTGCCTTTTGACATCTTTGGACCAGTTATAATGTCTACTCAGTCTTGCATTTGATTAATGAGATAAATAAAAATTTTTGATATGTTTATTTTATATTTGCGTAAGAATCATGCCTATACTTTAGAAAAATACATATTCTCTAACAACACTATGATTTTTAAGTAATTTCAGATCACAGTAATGGAAACTAATCAAATCCATTTTTCAACTCATTATTTTCTTTGTACTACAATAGTCTAGTTAAAAATAATAAACTAATTGGCCAAAAAGTGTTTAATTTCAGTTATGTTCTCATATTGTCTATGTGCTGAAAAAGTTTTTAAAGTGCTACCAAATAGGCTGATGAGAAACTAAACTCTGTGTGTGTGTGTGTGTGTGTGTGTGTGTGTGCGTGCACGCGCGCATGTCTATTGGGATAAAAGGAAAAAATCCATTACACACTTGACATTAAAAACACTAACACAGGAGCAGAGTGTGTATTTGCCATATTGCAATGATCAAAATTCTGAAATACTCCATCTAAAGTATTAGAAAAGCTAAATTAGAAGACTGTATTCATCACGAGAGAGAGTATAAGACTCTGTTATCTTAAAAGAAGTTACTCCAATGCTATTAAAGATGATTTCCAACTTTATAAAGATTTAGCACTATAAATATATTTCAGCTTTCTTTCAATTTGTATAACAAATAGGTTTCATGTTTAATTACTTTGACTATCAGGAATAAAAAAGTAAAAAGAGTGTTAGGCTTCTGCCCCACTTAGTAATATTCTTAGATAAATTCATTCATTTGACAAACATGGGAAATTTATTATGTATAAGGCATCATGCTGAATATTATTAGAGTTGATCTAAGATTCATTTCTATCTGCGTAGCTTTAGCCCAGTTGATACCCTGCAGGGTACTGAGAGAGCCTGCTCCAACACTCAGCTGAGGTTGAAGAAGGCCCCCAGCAATTCTCATGCTCTATCTACCTCCTTATCCAAAATAGGGGTACATCTTGTCAAGTGGATGGTTACACCAAAGATAAAACTAGATAATATATATAAAAAGAGTTGCAAAATCCTGTCCACATTTTAATTACTATTATATATAATTAGAAATGCATCCATTTTAGAAACACATCAGTACCAAGAAGAAGCTTTTGAACCTGACCTGGAATTGAATTATTATTGTTACTTTAATGGCTACCAGATATTTTCCTTATATTATTCCATTTAATGATCATAGTAATCCTATGATAAAAGCATAACCAAAACAAATTTATGGGTGATAAAGTGAGAATCAGGAAAATTCAATCACCGCCCACTATTTATTATTAATTAGCCACAATGAACAAGCAGCTGAATTAGTATTTGAATACGGGCTTGCCTAGTTTCAAAGCACATGCCTTTCTACTGTTCTACAATGTTGGTTTTTATACTAGGTGATTTTAAACTGGTTAACTGAAGAAGTCATTATTCCTCTAAGAAATCTTCTCCTATCTAGGATCAATTAAGTTGATTTCTTATGTATCCTAGTCAACTGGGACTTTCAGCCTGCTTGAGTCAGCAGCAAACAGCATTCCTTCATAACCATAAACCAGGACTCCTTCACTCTGTGGGCATTTCTCAACACTCAAACACACACAGGGATCTAAGAAATGTTATTCCTAGTTAGGAAAACGTTTCCTGAAGTAATAGAGTAGTCATGCTGTCTGAAGTTACCATCTGCTAGTCCATTCAACTACCAAGTACTAAATTGCACTAAAAGGTTTGGAGAATTTTCTAGAGTAAATATTTTAACTAGTTCTTCCAACAGAGAGCTAATCTTGAATAAATAATGCTTGGAAAGGTAAAATGGTTATCAAGTATCCTGGCAATAAAAATAAGTCATATTATCAAAAGACTAGAAATTTGTCCCCTCCTTATAAGGAAATAAGCAATGATCTGGTATAAGAAATAGCCTTTTGAAGCTAAAATAAGAACTTTATAAATAAACCAAAGATACTTCAAGTGCTAACACACTGAGTCCTGTGCAAGACTGAATTATGAATCTTTCAAAATCCCTCAAAGAGCTCATGGTCTGTTAAAGGAGCCCCCTTTTGGATTATTTGCCCATGTGAGAATGTAATGGCAAGACATTGGTCCCCTTCTGTGAATATTTCCCTGTAAAGAGGTTTCCCTGAAATAGGAGTCACCAAAACCTTCATTATATTCACTGGCATTTAAATTAATCTTTTGGGAAAAGGTGGTCAATAAAACCTCTGCAAATGTGAGTACATGAGGGAGTGTGAAATAAGGACAGGAGAGGGGACCAAGCCAGGAGCAACTGCCACCTAGAGCTTCAGTTGAAATGCAGGAGAAACATTCAGAAAAGAAGGCTGGGCAGGAGTGCCCAGAGAAGTCAGTGTGAACCCAGAGGAGTGGGGGTATTGAAGCCACAGGAGTCAGGCTCTACAGAAGGAAAGGATGGCCTACTGTGAGCAACCAGGTGAAATGAAAGCCCAGGAGTGTGCATTTATTTCAGCGAAGGTCGCTGGTGATCTTAGAGCCATTTTGGAGGAATCATGGGAATGGAATACAGATTGTGGGTGTAGAGGAAGAAACAGGATGTGACAAAACAGAAGCAGGGAACACAGAGAATGTTTTGTTAAGTTTGGCTGTGAAAAGTCAGACAAACATGGAAAGGTTGCAGGAAGGGAGTGTGAAGCTGAGGTGTTTTGGTTCTTTTTTAATAGGAAAGATTAGAGCATATTTAAATGCTGATGGGATGGGTCAAAATTGAAAACATAAGAGAAGGAGGAAAGGATGCATAGAGTAAATTGTTTTAGAAGCTGAGAGAGGATGGCATCCCAACCACACATGGAGATGCCGGCCCTGATGAGAAAAGGAGCAGGAGGACAGGAGAGGCTGCAGGCAGAGGCTGATGCGTCTGTTGCTGGTAGAGCGAAAGGAGCGAGTTTCTTCAGGTAGCTTCTGCTTTTTAATCAGGAAAGTGGAGAGTATATCTGTCAAGCATACAGGAGCTGGAAGAGAATTAATTGTTTATTTTATTTATTCTTTATCACTGATTATCCCGACTATGTGCAGATTCCAACAATTAACTATGCTATTTAACATTTTGTGGTGATGCTTTAGTGGAATTTTTGTATTCTTTTCTCTCTCTCTCTCTCTCTTTTTTTTTTTTTTTTTGCAAATGGATAAATCTTAAAATAGGGAGATTAGAAACTATGTTTGAAATAGCTCATTCTGCCTTATGAATAGATTTACTAACAGAGTTTAACTTCCAAGTCAAAAATTCAGACAGGGATCTTCAAAATAAATGGTGGGTTAGTTTAGAAAAGAGAATGTCAATTAGCATAGACATGGCCTGATAAATGCAGTGAGAAGAATCAGATCATTAAAAGAACATTCCCTAACACAGAAGATATAGAAAAGTAAAATTATGCCTTCTGGTATTTTTTTTTAGATCAGCAAATGTCAACAGACATGAGTTCTATTACGGAGACCGATTTGATCAGAAGCAGAGGGAAGCAATGTTAACTGTGGAAAATCTTTGAACTAACACAGAGGAACCTTTTAAATTAATCTATGACAGTCAATAGAAAAAAAAAAGTCCAGTAAAAAAAATGACAGTAAAGAATAAGAAGCAGGAAAAGGAAATGGCCCATCAGTTAAGGTATAATTTTGCTTCTCTGTTATGAGGGCTAGCTGCCGAGAGATGAAATTTCTAGCTATGAAGAAGAGAAACTAGATAATAAACAGGTAGAGAACAAAACATATGTATGCAAACATATACAAATAATTATATATATGAAAAGAAAAAATATAAAACTATATATAGTATGGAGTAGACAGAGGAACAAATCTAACACATATGTGTTATATAATACCAGGGTTTTTAAGTGATACTAAACATCATCACAAGTAAGGAAACAATACACATTGTGTATAATAGAATCAGATTTTTCAAAAGCCTTATTTAGTAAGGAACTGGCTTCATTTTTCAAAACATGGGAAACTCACAAAAAAAAATACCATTCATTAGATGTAATTAATTTCACACAAAGTTTCCTGAAAGTAACTAAAGGAAAACCAAGCTGTGGCTTATACTGAACATGCTTTAGGTTAAAATAATGAGAAAAAATAGCCACTAAAGAAAAAGAAAAGGCATACTCAAATATTTGTCGTGTTAGAGATGTGTTGCTAGAGGTATAATCTACACATCAGTTGTGTTCTCCTGCACTCTTGAAACCTCAACAGGTCCAGACTTGAACTCTCAGTTTGCACAGTATGGAAATCCAAAGCCTTCTCATCCTTGAAGAACAACCTTCATGAGGTCCAATTTGTTTCTGGGTTTATACCTCTGGGCCTGATGTCTCTATCTAACATCGAGCTAATTAAGATGTAAAAATCACATCTGCCTTCAAGTCCACTTGCACACGTATTTGTGAGTGTGGTATACTCTGGCATTTGGTACTGGATGGGCCATCTCATTGTAGCAATGCAGACAGTTTCCACTGAGTGTTCAACAGCCCTCCTTGCAAACTTTCAGCCACCCCATATTTTCCACTGGCTGCTCTGCCTCCTGTCATCCAGCATGTCAGAATTTCCATTTTCTAACCCCTTCTCTCCTCTTTCCCCTCTTGGCTTCCCTCTCTACTCTACCTCTCCTTCTCAGAAACAAAAGAAATTCCTTTATAATTCTCATAGGGAGCAATTTGAGCATTCTCTTTTGTGGCTTTGGCTTTGTCAAACACCACACCCCACAGGGACCCACCTTCTACCTAGTGGCTAATCAAGACATTTCCTCAAACAAAAATAGTTTCCTCCCCAAAAGCCATTCTGGTGCCAATTGTCGAAAAAATACTTTCATAACCTAAATTACACAAGTGCTTTAAAGAGTAGATTTAGCACAAAAGAAAACAATATATTGATTGAAAAATCCATTTCGTGTAATAGTAATGTACAATGTTACCTGCAATTATTGAGACTAAAATCTTTCTTAGAATAGGTAGTGCCTATAAGAATTTTTCTGTTTTAGGAAATTCTCAGTGAGATTGGCAGTCATGTACAAGAAAGCTTTCAAAAAATTAAATAAATGAAACTTGAGGGAAGACTGCATGTTGTGAGTGGGGCTAACTTCCATTGAGCATACACTTCCGTCAGCTAGGAGTCCTCCTCCATCGGCCTTAGTAGAGCTTCAGAAACAAACAGCAACTTCCCCAACACACATGGGCTAAGGCAGGACCATAGCAAATTGCCCACCTTCCTGTTGTGGTGAGTTCTTCATGCCTTTTAATCCTGTTTGTCTCAAATTTCCCAGCAGTCAAGGCACCTGACTCACTCCACATCCTGGCTTTGCTTGCTAGGTAATCAGGGCTTTCTCTTCTTCCCCTGGGAATTCTCGTCAGCTCTCCTCTGTAAGAGATGTGTTCTTCTCTAGATCCCAAGGCTTTCTAATGCTGTTTATAGTTTCCATGAATGCCATTCTGAGTCTAGCTTTTGTATATGACCTGATTTTTCTCTCTAGAATCATCTGGGATGATGATGATGATGATGATGATGATTTTTTGGGGAGGTGGGGGGGACCTTATTTGCCTTTCTTTTCATTTGTCTGGCTGAACATCCAATGGGTAATTTTAATCTGCAAACTCATGTCTTTCAATTCTAGGAATTTTTAAATGTTATTTCCTTCATATATTCTCTCTCTTTTCTTCTGGGACTACTATTATTTAGAAAATGGATATCCTACCCTGATCTTCAAAAATTGTTTTACCTTTCTTCTCCTATTTTCTGTTTCTTTTCCTTCCATTTTCAGGATTTTCTTGACTTTACCTTCCAATGTTTCTATTGATACTTTTAGTTCCCCTCCAGTTTGACTCTCCAAGAACCCACTCTTGTGCTTTGATAATTCACTTTTTATCACATTCTATTCTTGTTTTGTGGATGTGATATCTCCTAACTCTTTGAGAATATTATTAAAAGATTTTTGGAGTTTCTTTATTGCTCTTGTAGTTTCTATTTTCTCTGAGTTTTTATGTGATTTTATTTCTGTATTTTATGTGAAAAGCTCTATTTGCATGAAGAGGATTTGTCAATAGCAGATATCACTTGATGGTAAGCTAGCTTTTTCATTGAGGGATAAGCAAATATCCCAATCTTTTTGTCTTTTCCACAGACCAGTCAGTTTTCCCTGAAAGGCATCTTCTGTTCTTCAACCTGGGTAGCATGAATGAGGCTGGAAGTATTCTCATTATTATTTGGTAGAGAAATTTAACCTTTCGAGAGAATAAAATTCCAGGCTTCTGTTGGCATGAAGATGGGCTACCCATTGGCTGAAGATTGGAGGACAAGATGCAAAGACCTGTTCATAGACACATTTTCAACTGATAATCCAACGGTCCCTGACACCATCAGTTCTCAAGTCCTTCCAGGGTTCTGAGACATAAATCATCTTTCTTTTTGTCTACTTGCCCTTAACACTACAGTCTTCCCTTTTACCTTTTTCTAGACTGCTAATCAGTTACCCCTGGTACCTTCATTTTCCATCTTTCAAAAGCTTGTTGAAATCTCTCATCTACTGTTATCTTCCATTCAGTTCTTGTGAGATCCTGCATTCATCCCTTAAAAAAAACCTTCCATTACTGTCTTTTTTTTTTTTTTTTTTTGAGATGGAGTCTCGTTCTGTCGTCCAGGCTGGAGTGCAGTGGCATGATCTTGGCTCACTGCAAGCTCCGCCTCCCGGGTTCATGCCATTCTCCTGCCTCAGCCTCCCGAGTAGCTGGGACTACAGGTGCCTGTCACCACACCCGGCTAATTTTTTGTATTTTTAGTAGAGACGGGTTTTCACCGTGTTAGCCAGGATGGTCTCGATCTTCTGACCTTATGATCCGCCTGCCTTGGCCTCCCAAAGTGCTGGGATTACAGGCGTGAGCCACCACGCCCAGCCCATTACTGTCTTTTTAATGGTATTATGAAAGGAATCTGAAGTGACCACTTGTACTCAATATACGTTGTTAATCAGAAGTACAATTCTCTCTTCAATTTTTGTAATCTGGCTTCTATTCTTACTACTTCAGTGAAATTACTCCTGCCAAGGTCACAACCAAATTCCTTATTGCTAAATACATTGGAAATTGCCTTGATCCCATCCTTCTTGATGTTTTAGCATTTAATCAACTGATGACTCCTTAAAACTCTTTTTGGGGGTTGACTGATGCTTTCCTCTGACATCATCCTTTGATCCTCAGTCTTCTTTGCTAGATCATCCTCTTTTGTCTTCCCTTCGCTTTCAGTACCATTTATTAAGCTGATGATTCCCAAATGTGTAGGTCCAGCTCAGGCCTGCCTCATGGGCTCCAACTCATGTAAAACAATAGCCACCACAACTAATGACTATTATATACTTGCTATATATCAAGCACTGTTCTGATTTTGTATGAGTTATTTTAGTTGATTCTATCAATGACTTGAGTTTGAAGCCTTATTAATATCCACATTTTAGCAGATGGGGAAACGAGACATGAGGAGGTTCAATAAATGCCCAGGGTGTTTGAGTCAATGTTCAACTCCAGGATGTCTGACCCTGAAATTACCTCATTGTAACTGTACTCTGCTGCCTAACAGTCCTCTCCAACTGCCTGGTTAACAGGCATCCAAAGTGTATCTACTAAAAGTTAACTTCCTCATGCCGCCCTCTCTAAATAACTCTCTACTGCTGTTCTCTACCTTGTAGTAGCGGCTCATGCTGAAAGCCTAAGAGCCTTTTCTAATTTCTCCCTTCTTTGTCTTCATTTTCGCTGAATCCATCATACAAGTCCTACTGATTATATTCTTCAAAATGCCTCATATTGGCCCTCTCCTCTGTTTCCATAGTCATAACGCACATCCATCTACCCTGCTGCCATAGCCTTCTGACAAGTTTCTTCTCCTGCATTCTTAAATTTATTCTCTATACAACCTACAGAATTATCTTTACAACCCCAAATTAAATCACATTTTAGCTTTTCAGCGCCTTCCCAGTGCTTACAATAAAATCCCAAGCCATTACCATGACCTACAGCACTCTACACAGTCTGATTTCCACCTATATTAGAATCCTAACTGATGCAATTGTTCTTCCTTCTGGTTCATCATAGTGCAGTCACATAGCCCTTCTTCAAATAAGCTCACTCCTTTACATGCCTTCTTTCCCTTACCAGCTAATCTAAAGTTGCCCCCATCACCCACTCTGCCCCACTTCACTTTTCTAGTGTTTTATTAACACTAATTACAAATAGTAATTATCTCATTCATTTGCTTGATTACTTGACTGTCTTCCCCCACAAGAATGTAAGGACTATGAGGAAAGAGACTTTGTGTCACTCAGTCAATTCTAGAAATTGCGCTAGACTGTGTCTAGAAATATCCTAGACCATGACAAAACAAGACTTATTAGATTTTGTAGAAGTCCTCTTATCTAATATAAACTACACCAGTACATGCAGAACTAACAGATGTTTTATACAGATACAAAAATATTTGTTATAAGCAATGTGCTTACATAATTGTGAAGGCTGAGATATCCCAAGATCTGCAGTTGGCAAGCTGCAGACCCAGGAGAACTGATGATGTAGTTCCAGTCCAAAAATCAGCAGAGCTCTATTGTTTCACCTAGAGTCCAAAGGCAGGAAAAGACCAATGTCCCAGCTCAAACAGTCAGGCAAGAGGAGTCTCTTCTTACTCACAGAAGAGTCAGCCTTTATGTTCTATTCAAGCCTTGAATAAGGCCACACACATTAGGGAAGGCAATTTACTCAGTTTGATTCAGATATTCATCTCATCTAAAAACACCCTCACCAAAACACCCAGAATAATGTTTGACCAAGTATCTGGGCACCCCAAAACTCAGTCAACTTGACATGTAAAATCAACCATCACAGTTGGTTAATCAAAAAATGTCCATCATATTAGACAATCATGAAAGAGACACATAGAGACCTTTAACGTTTTATTTTACTTCAAACATTTAAATGCATATTCATTTCCCAATCATTTATAGCAGGCCCAAAGCCTTTTCTTTGAGCATGAATCTAGTAATTGGGGTTCCAGATCATCTTGCCCACAAAACTATACTCATAATTCATCTTCGACATTTCCAGTGTCTGTTTCCTTACATGAAAAAAGAACTTAGAGACAATTATAATACAATCTAAGAGCACAAGTTGTTCTAGGCTTTTAAAGTTATTTTTTCCAATTTCTTAATAGTTATTTGATTTGATTTCATTTTTAAAATGCAATTTGCTTTCTAAAGTATTTAATTTGGTTTTCACAGTAACAGCATTTTAAAAAACTTGACATAGTATGTAGTTGTTAAATTATTATAAGGACAAGGTTTGGGGTCAAACATGACTGAGTCTAGGGAATCATACAACTCAGCTTGCGGGAGCACACTGCATGGGCAGAATAGGGAGTTAGTGTACAATGGTGAAGTTTCAGTTTTCCGTGAGGAAAAACAGTTATGATTCACAGAGAGATGGGGTAGAGTCAATTAATCAGGACAGTCAGCTCAGTGGAGTCTGCTCAAAGAGCTGCTCCCAATAATAGCCAGGCTAAAAGGATGTTAAATATTAACATCTGTTTGCCTCAGATTTATTCAGGAGTCCCCAAAGGACACAGATTATCATGAAAACCAAAATAAACAAGAAGAGGAAGAGAAGCCACTTCCAGAATCTTCTAGAAGTTTTCTCTGTTCTATTTGGTTATATTTGCCACTTCCTATTTTCATGATTGCCTTCAAACATGTAATTTGAAAACTTTAACTCTTATTCTAGCCTCTCTGAGCTATACCCTTTGGCATCCCAAGAATAAACTCATATGCTATTTTATTAAAGTGTCCATGTTTATTCTAACAGTCTTTTTAAAAAAAATTAAAATTATCCTTTAATCTATTAGATGATAAAATAATCTGTGCTGAACAGTGAAAATAATTTATAAATGATCCCTTTGGTTAATAACATCATGCCAAAGCAAGTCCCATTTTTCACTTTTCTGTAATGATAAAATGTAATTTAACAATCTCATGTAATGAGATGATACTATAAAGAAATATTATTACTTTTGTTAATTACCTCCATGACATATTTGTAAATGTAAGTGACAAAAGCTTGTAAAAATTAAACTTCAAGAGATGGAAAAACATTATTTAGTAACTTTATTTCTGAATAGCTAAAACGATAATAATGTTCTGCCATTATTATCTAACTCAAGCCATCAGGGACTACACTAAACGCTCTAATGACCAAGCAGTAACATTTGTGCTGGGTAATTTGTCGCATTTTTCTTTGGAAGTTGTAGTCCATTGGAGGCAAAATAATGTGCTGTCTATGAAAGGGCTCTAGGGCCAAATTACCTGGGTTCGAATTTCAACTCTGTTTCTTTATATTTCAATGTGTGGAAATTATTTATTTAAGTTCCATAAGTATGTCTTGTCAAATGCTGGATCCTTGAAAATATCACTAGAATAATTTATAAGGTAAATCTGAGTTTATTGTTTACCTCAGTAAGGCAGAATGCTACTTTGACAATGAATTAGTGGCATCTTGGAAAGGAGACAGGAAACTTGTGATATTTATGAGGTTTTGGGGTTTAAGACAGGTCTTTCGGTGCAAGGGGTATATGCTTGATGGGAATTAAGTAAAAACCATGATAGAACGCTTTAGGATTGGTGGGTGCCACAAAATGAGGGCTTGGAGGTGAGGGTATGGAAGAGTCTTAGAGAGTGCAGAGTAGTTTGATCCTATTGTTGAAAAGTCAGCCAGGTGCGGTGGCTCATGCCTATAATCCCAGCACTTTGGGAGCTGATGTGGGACGATCACTTGAACCCAGGAGTTCAAGACCAGCCTGGGTAACATGGAGAGATCCAATCTCTACAAAAAATACAAAAATTAGCCAGACATAGTGGTGTGTCCCTGTAGTCCCAGCTACTGGGGGGGTTAAGGTGGGTGGATTGCCTGAGCTCAGGAGGTGGAGGCTGCAGTGAGCTGTGATTGAGCCACTGCATTCCAGCCTGGGTGACAGAGTGAAACCCTTTCTCAAAGAAGAAAAAAAAGAAAAGTCAACCAGTCCTGTGTTTATTAAAAATGATTTTTTTTCAGATGTTCCTGAAAGGAACATTAATGTTATTTTTAGTTTTTATCTCCCTGGACAAATACTTCCTGGAATAGGAAAGTCATAGCAGTGAAGATAGTGGTGGAATACAATCACGACAATGTGGACAGTGAGCTCTGCTTGTTGGGGGAGAGGGAGGGGGAGATGATATGATTCTCTGTTTCTCATTTGCAAATGGGAATCATACTAGTGCATTTATGGGTGATGGTACTAATGGAGAAGTACTAGCAAACCTTCCAGAAGGAAAGTACATACAGTGGAAGGAGCAAGGGTTTGGAGTCAGTCAAATCTAAATGTAAATCAGAGCTACAACTCGGCCACAAAAAAGAATGAAATTGTGTCTTTTTCAGCAATATGGATAGAACTGGAGGTGATTATCCTAAGTGAAATGATAGACACAGAAAGTGAAATACTGCATGTTCTCACTTATAAGTGGTAACCAAAGAATATGTGCATACAGACATAGAGAGTAGAATAATAGACACTGGAGACTCAGAAAGATGGGGTTGGGAAGTGGGTGAGATGAGAAATTCGTTTTGGGTCCAATGTACATTATTCAGATGATGGTTACACTGAAAGCCCAGACTTCACCATTATGCAATATATCCATGTAATAAAATTGCACTTGTACCCCCTTAAATCTATACAAATTAAAAATAAAAAAATAAATCTGAGCTACAATTTTTTAGTAAGTATGGTCCTGTTTTGTGACCTCTAGAATGATAGCTCTTTCACAGGGGTGTTGTGAAAATTAATAAATAAAATAATGAATGAGAAAATAATCTATGGGAGATATGTGTTTCAGCAAGAAACCTACAGTTCATTCCAACGGGGGACTTGAAGAGGGTTTGATGAAGGGACTAATTGCATAGGTTAAGGAACCAACAGAGAGGATGCTGGGTCAAAGCGGGAAGACCTCTTACCATTCCTAGGCCAGAAGGAGCAAGGGAAGGAACTGTCCTGGAGCCTGGTAAGAGCTGTAACACTGGATGAGAAGCACACCTGACAACCCGACAAGACCTGAGGCCGCAGGTAAAGGAATGTGCACACTGCCAAACCAGGAAGGGAGCAGCAGGAATAAATACTCTGGCCTCTTCCTCCTCCTGTTGTCCAATCGCTTGCACTGCATTTATCAAACCCAACTAAAAGCTGAGGGCAGATGAGCCTGGGTAACACACTCCTTCCGGATCAGCCTCCTGGGGCAGGCAGAATCACAAAGAATACATCAGGAGACACACACACTGAGAATGACCCCATCTTGTAAGTACTTTTAAAGTCTCAGTTCCCTACTGTGATTAATTCAAGAATGAGGATACAGTTGAAATAGAGTATGCCAGTCTAGTGCTAAGGACACCTCTATAAATCTTTTTGGAGGTGGAGGGCAGGGGGCTTTTAAGCACTAACCACGTACAGTCTGTGGTGTAATAAGAGTGGCTAATGCAAGAATGTTTACTGACTGGGCTTGTTCACTCTAAAAGAGCACCAACATTATATCTGCTTCTTGGCATATCAGGATGTAAGAATATACAATGTTCATTAGGTTCAGAAACACAAAGTCCATTCATAATGTCCATTCAGTTCTAGAAACTCCCCTTAACAAAATATGCAGATGTTTCTTTTAACTTGGAACAAAAATGAATTGGTTGACTAGAAGGTAACTCACATTGTGGAATAAATTATATATTTATATATAATTTTATTAGCTATAATATATATTTTTATTATATATAAATTATATATATTATATATAAATATATATATATATAAAATGCAAGTAATCTATGAGTACTTCTATACATGGCAGTGATGTTAACCACCAATCTGCCATCACAGGGCAAGCTGAAAGGTTTAGCCAGAAGCAGAGTAGAGGGCCTTTCTGGAGCCTCTTCTTTATGTCTGGGTTCTGCATTAGCCTCAATCTCACTTATTTTGAACCTTAACCTGGTCCCTATTGAGTGGCCATTTACTGATGCCAATGCTTATGATTGATTGCAGGCCCTTGTCAAAGACATGGAGTGGATAAGCCTTACTTCTCTTACCATCTAAACTTCTTTTGAACGTCCTAGAATGCTCACAAATGTCTTCCCCAAATGCTTGTTTTTGCTGCATAGCAAAGTATTAGACTACTTCTCACTCCCACCACCCTGACAGCTTTAAGCAGGAAGAGGAATATTTTCCAGAATGAATCCTATCTGATGGCCTTTCCCCTATTATTAAAATTCGCTTCCTTTTGTGGTTGGCTGTTTCTCATTGCAGACATATCCCACACTCTGGGATCAGAGCTTGACCTAACTCTCTGAACTGGGATGTTACTAATCAAGTGCTCCCCTTGTATCAGCTATTCTTATCCTTGTGATTGTCTCACGTAGAAAATGTTGAATGGAGGATGTTCCCTATTAAGTAGATGATGGAAAGGGTTCCTTATGGATGATCACCGCTTTTCAGAAACCAGTCACATACTTTTAGGGCATTTTACATCCCAGTGCTTCTCAGTGATACCTTTCCCATTACTTTATCCTAAAAACTCATTTTTTAATTAAACAACTTTTGAAAAATGACAATGAGTACTTTCCAGGGGACCCCTTTAAAAAGACAATACCAATTTGGGTGTATAATTTCAGATATGCTTATTTTAAAAAATAAATCCTATTTCTTTACAGTAAACCTGAGTTTCATATCCTGCACGCTCTTATGCACAAATCTTTTCATCTTCTCTAAAGGATTGCAAACTCCTTCAAGGCTGGGGCTATACCTCACTTATTCCTTTTATTCTACCAATATATTCCTTTCCTTAATAACTTTAATTCATTTGTGAAATGCTGCCACTAAGTGAAGAGCCATTACATGGGAAAAAATTTCCATTAAATTTAATGGGAAAAATTATGATGCTTGTCATCAGAGCCCAAGATATCCAGACAATTTTCTTTTTTTTTCTTTTATTATTATTATTATTATTATTATACTTTAAGTTTTAGGGTACATGTGCACAACGTGCAGGTTAGTTACATATGTATACATGTGCCATGTTGGTGTGCTGCACCCATTAACTCGTCATTTAACATTAGGTATATCTCCTAATGCTATCCCTCTCTCCTCCCCCGACCCCACAACAGGCCCCGGTGTGTGATGTTCCCCTCCCTGTGTCCATGTGTTCTCATTGTTCAATTCCCACCTATGAGTGAGAACATGCGGTGTTTGTTTTTTTATCCTTGCAATAGTTTACTGAGAATGATGGTTTCCAGCTTCATCCATGTCCCTACAAAGGACAATGAACTCATCATTTTTTATGGCTGCATAGTATTCCATGGTGTATATGTGCCACATTTTCTTAATCCAGTCTATCGTTGTTGGACATTTGGCTTGGTTCCAAGTCTTTGCTATTGTGAATAGTGCCGCAATAAACATACGTGTGCATGTGTCTTTATAGCAGCATGATTTATAATCCTTTCGGTATATACCCAGTAATGGGATGGCTGGGTCAAATGGTATTTCTAGTTCTAGATCCCTGAAGAATCACCACACCGACTTCCACAATGGTTGAACTAGTTTACAGTCCCACCAACAGTGTAAAAGTGTTCCTATTTCTCCACATCCTCTCCAGCATCTGTTGTTTCCTGACTTTTTAATGATCACCATTCCAACTGGTGTGAGATGGTATCTCATTGTGGTTTTGATTTGCATTTCTCTGATGGCCACTGATGATGAGCATTTTTTCATGTGTTTTTTGGCTGCATAAATGTCTTCTTTTGAGAAATGTCTGTTCATATCCTTTGCCCACTTGTTGATGGGGTTGTTTGTTTTTTTCTTGTAAATTTGTTTGAGTTCGTTGTAGCTTCTGGATATTAGCCCTTTGTCAGATGAGTAGATTGCAAAAATTTTCTCCCATTCTGTAGGTTGCCTGTTCACTCTGTTAGTGGTTTCTTTTGCTGTGCAGAAGCTCTTTAGTTTAATTAGATCCCATTTGTCAATTTTCGCTTTTGTTGCCATTGCTTTTGGTGTTTTAGACATGAAGTCCTTGCCCATGCCTATGTCCTGAATGGTATTGCCTAGGTTTTCTTCTAGGGTTTTTATGCTTTTAGGTTTAACATTTAAGTCTTTAATTCATCTTGAATTAATTTTTGTATAAGGTGTAAGGAAGGGATCCACTTTCAGCTTTATACATATGGTTAGCCAGTTTTCTCAGCACCATTTATTAAATAGGGAATCCTTTCCCCACTGCTTGTTTTTCTCAGGTTTGTCAAAGATCAGATAGTTGTAGATATGTGGCGTTATTTCTGAGGGCTCTGTTCTGTTCCATTGATCTATATCTCTGTTTTGGTACCAGTACCATGCTGTTTTGTTACTGTAGCCTTGTAGTATAGTTTGAAGTCAGATAGAGTGATGCCTCCAGCATTGTTCTTTTGGTTTAGGATTGACTTGGCAATGCGGGCTCTTTTTTGGTTCCATATGAACTTGAAAGTAGTTTTTTCCAATTCTGTGAAGAAAGTCACTGGTAGCTTGATGGGGATGGCATTGAATCTATAAATTACCTTGGGCAGTATGGCCATTTTCACGATATTGATTCTTCCTACCCATGAGCATGGAATGTTCTTCCATTTGTTTGTATCCTCTTTTACTTCATTGAGCAATGGTTTGTAGTTCTCCTTGAAGAGGTCCTTCACATGTTTCATAAGTTGGATTCCTAGGTATTTTATTCTCTTTGAAGCAATTGTGAATGGGAGTTCACTCATGATTTGGCTCTCTGTTTGTCTGTTGTTGGTGTATAAGAATGCTCGTGATTTTTGTACATTGATTTTGTATCCTGAGACTTGCCGAAGTTGCTTATCAGCTTAAGGAGATTTTGGGCTGAGACGATGGGGTTTTCTAGATATACAATCATGTCATCTGCAAACAGGGACAATTTGACTTCCTCTTGTCCTAATTGAATGCCCTTTATTTCCTTTTCCTGACTGATTGTCCTGGCCAGAACTTCCAACACTGTGTTGAATAGGAGTGGTGAGAGAGGGCATCCCTGTCTTGTGCCAGTTTTCAAAGGGAATGCTTCCAGTTTTTGTCCATTCAGTGTGATATTGGCTGTGGGTTTGTCATAGATAGCTCTTGTTATTTTGAGATACGTCCCGTCAATACCTAATTTATTGAGAGTTTTTAGCATGAAGGGTTGTTGAATTTTGTCAAAGGCCTTTTCTGCATCTATTGAGATAATCATGTGGTTTTTGTCTTTGGTTCTGTTTATATGCTGAATTACATTTATTGATTTGCGTATGTTGAACAAGCCTTGCATCCCAGGGATGAAGCCCACTTGATCATGGTGGATAAGCTTTTTGATGTGTTGCTGGATTTGGCTTGCCAGTATTTTATTGAGGATTTTTGCATCAATGTTCATCAAGGATATTGGTCTAAAATTCTCTTTTTTTGTTGTGTCTCTGCCAGGCTTTGGTATCAGGATGATGCTGGCCTCATAAAATGAGTTAGGGAGGATTCCCTCTTTTTCTGTTGATTGGAATGGTTTCAGAAGGAATGGTACCAGCTCCTCCTTGTACCTCTGGTAGAATTCGGCTGTGAATCCATCTGGTCCTGGATGTTTTTTGATTGGTAAGCTATTAATTATTGCCTCAATTTCAGAGCCTGTTATTGGTCTATTCAGAGATTCAACTTCTTCCTGGTTTAGTCTTGGGAGAGTGCATGTGTCGAGGAATTTATACATTTCTTCTAGATTCTCTAGCTTATTGGCGTAGAGGTGTTTATAGTATTCTCTGATGGTAGTTTGTATTTCTGTGGGATCGGTGGTGATATCCCCTTTGTAATTTTTTATTGTGTCTATTTGATTCTTCTCTCTTTTCTTCTTTATTAGTCTTGCTAGCAGTCTACCAATTTTGTTGATCTTTTCAAAAAACCATCTCCTGGATTCATTGATTTTTTGAAGGGTTTTTTGTGTCTCTATCTCCTTCAGTTCTGCTCTGATCTTAGTTATTTCTTGCCTTCTGCTAGCTTTTGAATGTGTTTACTCTTGCTTCTCTAGTTCTTTTAATTTTGATGTTAGGGTGCTAATTTTAGATCTTTCCTGCTTTCTCTTGTGGGCATTTAGTGCTATAAATTTCCCTCTACACACTGCTTTGAATGTGTCCCAGAGATTCTGGTATGTTGTGTATTTGTTCTTACTGGCTTCAAAGAACATCTTTATTTCTGCCTTCATTTTGTTATGTACCCAGTAGTCATTCAGGAGCAGGTTGTTCAGTTTCCATGTAGTTGAGCAGTTTTGAGTGAGTTTCTTAATCCTGAGTTCTAGTTTGATTGCACTGTGGTCTAAGAGACAGTTTCTTATAATTTCTGTTCTTTTACATTTGCTGAGGAGTGCTTTACTTCCAACTATGTGGTCAATTTTGGAATAGGTGCGGTGTGGTGCTGAAAAGAATGTATATTCTGTTGATTTGGGATGGAGAGTTCTGTAGATGTCTATTAGGTCCGCTTGGTGCAGAGCTGAGTTCAATTCCTGGATATCCTTGTTAACTTTCTGTCTTGTTGATCTGTCTAATGTTGACAGTGGGGTGTTAAAGTCTCCCATTATTATTGTGTGGGAGTCTAAGTCTCTTTGTAGGTCTCTAAGGACTTGCTTTATGAATCTGGGTGCTCCTGTATTGGGGCATATATATTTAGGATAGTTAGCTCTTCTTGTTGAATTGATCCCTTTACCATTATGTAATGGCCTTCTTTGTCTCTTTTGATCTTTGTTGGTTTAAAGTCTGTTTTATCAGAGACTGGGATTGCAACCCCTGGCCTTTTTTGTTTTCCATTTGCTTGGCAGATCTTCCTCCATCCCTTTATTTTGAGCCTATGTGTGTCTTTGCACGTGAGATGGGTTTCCTGAATACAGCACACTGATGGGTCTTGACTCTTTATCCAATTTGTCAGTCTGTGCCTTTTAATTGGAGCATTTAGCCCATTTACATTTTTTTTTTTTTTTTTTTGAGACAGAGTCTCGCTCTGTCGCCCAGGCCGGACTGCGGACTGCAGTGGCGCAACCTCGGCTCACTGCAAGCTCCGCTTCCCGGGTTCACGCCATTCTCCTGCCTCAGCCTCCCGAGTAGCTGGGACTACAGGCGCCCGCCACCGCGCCCGGCTAATTTTTTGTATTTTTTTTTTAGTACAGACGGGGTTTCACCTTGTTAGCCAGGATGGTCTCGATCTCCTGACCTCATGATCCACCCGCCTCGGCCTCCCAAAGTGCTGGGATTACAGGCGTGAGCCACCGCACCCGGCCCCATTTACATTTAAGGTTAGTATTGTTATGTGTGAATTTGATCCTGTCATTATGATGTTAGCTGGTTGTTTTGCCCATTAGTTGATGCAGTTTCTTCCTAGCCTCAATGGTCTTTACAATTTGGTATGTTTTTGCAGTGGCTGGTACTGGTTGTTCCTTTCCATGTTTAGTGCTTCCTTCAGGAGCTCTTTTAGGGCAGGCCTGGTGGTGACAAAATCTCTCAGCATTTGCTTGTCTGTAAAGGATTTCATTTCTCCTTCACTTATGAAGCTTAGTTTGGCTGGATATGAAATTCTGGGTTGAAAATTCCTTTCTTTAAGAATGTTGAATATTGGCCCCCACTCTCTTCTGGCTTGTAGAGTTTCTGCCGAGAGATCAGCTGTTAGTCTGATGGGCTTCCCTTTGTGGGTAACCCGACCTTTCTCTCTGGCTGCCGTTAACATTTTTTCCTTCATTTCAACTTTGGTGAATCTGACAATTATGTGTCTTGGAGTTGCTCTTCTCGAGGCGTATGTTTGTGGCATTCTCTGTATTTCCTGAATTTGAATGTTGGCCTGCCTTGGTAGATTGGGGAAGTTCTCCTGCATAATATCCTGCAGAGTGTTTTCCAACTTGGTTCCATTCTCCCTGTCACTTTCAGGTACACCAATCAGACATAGATTTGGTCTTTTCACATAGTCCCATATTTCTTGGAGGCTTTGTTTGTTTCTTTTTATTCTTTTTTCTCTAAACTTCTCTTCCCGCTTCATTTCATTCATTTCGTCTTCCATCGCTGATACCCTTTCTTCCAGTTGATCACTTCAGTTACTGAGGTTTGTCCATTCATCACGTAGCTCTCGTGCCATGGTTTTCAGCTCCATCAGGTCCTTTAAAGACTTCTCTGCATTGGTTATTCTAGTTATCCATTCATCTAATTTTTTTTCAATGTTTTTAACTTCTTTGCCATTGGTTCAAACTTCCTCCTTTAGCTCAGAGTAGTTTGATCTTCTGAAGCCTTCCTCTCTCAACTCATCAAAGTCATTCTCCGTCCAGCTTTGTTCCATTGCTGGTGAGGAGCTGCATTCCTTTGGAGGAGGAGAGGCGCTCTGATTTTTAGAGATTCCGGTTTTTCTGCTCTGGTTTCTCCCCATCTTTGTGGTTTTATCTACCTTTGGTCTTTTATGATGGTGACGTACAGATGGGTTTTTGGTGTGGATGTCCTTTCTGTTTGTTAGTTTTCCTTCTAACAGTCAGGACCCTCAGCTGCAGGTCTGTTGGAGTTTACTGGAGGTCCATTCCAGGCCCTGTTTGCCTGGGCATCAGCAGCAGTGGCTGTAGAACAGCGGATATTGGTGAACCGCAGATGCTGCTTCCAGGTCGTTCCTCTGGAAGTTTTGTCTCAGAGGAGTACCCAGCCATGCGAGGTGTCACTCCATCCCTACTGGGGGGTGCCTCCCAGTTAGGCTACTCGGGAGTCAGGAACCCACTTGAGGAGGCAGTCTGCCCATTCTCAGATCTCAAGCTGCATGCTGGGAGAACCACTACTCTCTTCAAAGCTGTCAGAGAGGGACAGTTAAATCTGCAGAGGTTATTGCTGTCTTTTGTTTGTCTGTGCCCTGCCGCCAGAGGTGGAGCCTACAGAGGCAGGCAGGCCTCCTTGAGCTGTGGTGGGCTCCACCCAGTTCGAGCTTCCCGGCCACTTTGTTTACCTACTCAAGCCTGAGCAATGTCTGGCGCCCCTCCCCTAGCCTCACTGCCACCTTGCAGTTTGATCTCAGACTGCTGTGCTAGCAATGAGCGAGGCTCCGTGGGCGTAGGACCCTCCAAGCCAGGTGCAGGATATAATCTCCTGGTGTGCCGTTTGTTAAGCCCATTGGAAGAGCGCAGTATTAGGGTGGGAGTGACCCAGTTTTCCAGGCACCGTCTGTCACCCCTTTCTTTGACTAGGAAAGGGAATTTCCTGACCCCTTGCACTTCCTGGGTGAGGTGATGCCTCACCCTGCTTCGGCTCATGCACGGTGCGCTGCACCCACTGTCCTGCACCCACTGTCCGGCACTCCCCAGTGAGATGAACCCAGTACCTCAGTTGGAAATGCAGAAATCACCCATCTTCTGCATCGCTCATGCTGGGAGCTGTAGACTGGTGCTATTCCTATTCGGCCATCTTGGCTCCACCCCCTCCAGACAATTTTCTTAGAAAAATATATGAACTGGACAATAAAAACAAAGGCTTGCAATTAATAAATATTTTAAAGTAAATAAATACACATTGTATTTAAAATGTGGTGAAGGTTATTTGCTGATATGGTTTGGCTGTGTCCCCACCCAAATCTTATCTTGAATTGTAATAATCCCCACTTGTCAAGGGCGGGGGCAGGTGGAGATAATTGAATCATGGGGGCAATTTCCCTCATACTGTTCCTGTGGTAGTGAATAAGTCTCACAAGATCTGATGGTTTTGTAAATGAGGAGTTCCCCTGCCCAAGCTCTCTTCCCTGCCACCATGTAAGACGTGACTTTGCTCCTCCTTTGCCTTCTGCCATGCTTGTGAGGCCTCCCCAGCCATGTGGAACTGTGAGTCAATTAAACCTCTCTCCTTTATAAATTACCCAATCTTGGGTCTGTCTTTATTAGCAGTGTGAAAATAGACTATACGTTTGCCAAAGAAGATAAAAGACTTACAGTGGGTGGTATGGTGATGAAGGAGGGGTGTCAGAAAGATATTCTTTGGAGGATGTATTCTTACTTACGTATCATTCCCTTCACCAATTTTTCAGCATTTTCCAGGCTCATGGTTGCCTTGCATTCAAATCTACACCTACAATTAGTTACAGCACAGAAACATATCTTTAGTGCAAACTAAAGTCTAACTAACCATGAGAATGCTTTAAAATACTTCAAAGTAGCCCACACAAACAACATGCTGTAGAAGCTGCCTTCCCATCCTGTTTGCTTGTCTCATGTACACAAAGGAAAACATTTTGGGTGCATCCATCATGGTGTGCAATGTAAATTTGTTTCATATGCTATTCACTGACTAAACTGTTGTTCTGAGTGAATTTTAAATGTGTCATTGCCTGAAATTATAATGTTGAAATACCACTTATAGCATATATATTCATTTTGCTTCAGGGTGAAAATCTCTTTATCCTGGAAAAAATAAAGTCATCGTCTGAAAAGTAGTATAACTTTTCAAGATACTTTTTGTTGAAAAGTCACTAAGCACTCATTAGGTAAAGTAAGTTGTAGCATATTATAAGCCATGTACTCAAATCAATGAATGGATGAATCAAGAATAAAACACCATTCTTTTAGATTTGTTTTTTTCTAAGACATCTTGTTAGAGCATAAAACACTATTCTTCTAATAATCTTATTAGAAGATCATTTAAATCAATAGTTTAGCCAGTCAGTTGCCTGTAATGAGGAAGTTGTTTTGGTTGCAACAGTCAAAATGTCTTCAAAATTTTTGACTTGCTCTGTAGGCTATTTATCCCCATGTATTGAGGTGTTTTAGATTTCTTAGACTAGAGTGGAGACCTCACATTGGTTTTCAGCAATTTTGAAGCAGAAACTAGAGCAACATAACATGAATACCTATAGATTTTGGAGGGTGAGGAGGGTCATTATCTTATGAAGTCAGAGCAAAGAAACAGCCTTGAAGAGCAAAAGACCCTCATAACCCAGCACACCACCATGCTCTGGCCACTTGAGATCATGTGAGAAGGGCACCTGCGCCCACTCCCACCCATTCCATGTCAATCTTCAAGGAGCCCCTACTTTTTTGTACTCATTTGTCTTTCTTTACCTGTCCTTCTTTTATGCTCACCTGTTTTGCCGAACTCCTATTAATCCCAATGGAGAAGGCACCAGGTTCAAGAGACAGAAGAAGAGACTCAGAGCCAGCAAACAAAACGTGGGGTTTCACTGGGAACTTATGTACAGAGGAGAGATTCCAGTGGCAGTGAGCTGGACAAGATACCCTCATGCCCAGTGGTAGCAAGCTGGGCAGGAAAACCACACCTGCATACAGTATACATGGCATTTTCACTTACCATCCTCCTCTGAATGACCTCCACCTGGCAACTTTCATTTGACCCAAAACACATTTGACCCATCTGCTATACAGCCTGAGTTCCATGGGACAAGCTGGGGGCTAAGATGCTCATCATAGACAAGAAACAAATCTCTAGGCTGGTCACTCCCAGATTCCCTAGCTCAGAACACACATTCAGGTGCATCTGCCATACAGCGTTATTCTCAGGGCATGCTTAAATTATTGCTATCAGGTGTGTTTACTCCATCACCCTAGCTGTTTTCCTCCTAACACTAATCAAAGTCACCTTCCTTTGTATATGCTCACCCAATTTCTCACATCATCAGTACTTTATCCTACCTGGCAGGTCTCTCTTCCTTTCTTTCCTTCAGACCCTCGTCATGCCCCTTTCCAAGACCATGGCAGGAGGACAGGCCTGTGAGACTACCCAGCATTGTGATGTGCCTATATGTGTTTCTGTGCATACACTTTTATCTCTAATGTACCACTTTATATTTATGAGGCCTTTATGTGATCACTCAGACCTGAACTTATAATTTCTTTTTTCCAGCAAGAATGTTATTGCAAATGGCAAATAAGGATTTGTTAGCACCAAGAAGCACAGTCCCAGAGATTTTTGAATGTCTGATCAATTGCCATATAGGCTGAGAAAAACCTTAGCTATTGGCTATTTCTTACTACTTCTCCCACTTCCATTACCTTCCTTATCCTCCCCCAAGGTTATGATTACAAGACAAATTGAAACAAATCCAAGGATTTCAAATTTCCCTGAGGAAAGGTATTATAGATTTATGAAGTTTTAGTCCTAATCTGAATGGTCATCCAAACACAAAGTAGTTATTTGAAAGTAGAAGTAGATCCTGTCACCGATTTTATACAGAAAGAAAAGGAAGAAAAATTGATCTAAGATTTTTGCCTCCATGAGGGCTATTATATTTTATGAATATTGACTTGTTAACAAAGACAATAAGATTTAGAATCTAATAAAAGCGTATATAAACATTTGTAAAGGGATTTAAAACTTTTCCTATAGAATAACTTACATGAAGTTAATAGAAACCTTCCATCATCCCAAGTACCCTCTGGTGTGCGTATCAACCAGATATGGTGTCCATATCAACAGGGCTCAAGTGAACCTTCTATGCCTAGTTCAAAGAAGTCTCTTCTAAGAACAGAAACCTACTAAACAAAGAATAAAATACTTCTTTCCTCTCCTGGTTCTTATAAAGTGCTGATGTTTCCATTTTGCCTATTACGATCACTCTTACTAAGTGTAGTGGCTCATGCCTGTAATCCCAGTACTTTGGGAGGCCGATGTGGGCAGATCACTTGAGGTCAGGAGTTCAAGACCAGCCTAGGCAACATGGCAAAACACCATCTCTACAAAAAATACAAAAATTTGCTGGGCATGGTGGTGCGTGCCTGTAGTCCTAGCTACTTCAGTGGCTGAGATGGGAGGATGGCTTGAGCCTGGGAGGCGGAGGTTGCAATAAGCTGAGATTGCACCACTGCACTCCAGCCTGGGCGACAGAATGAGACCCTGTCTCATAAAAAAAAAATCACTCTCAAATTATTTTTCTGGGAATGAATACTCATTTCTGCTAGGCTTAAACTAAAACTCAAACCCACTTTTCAAATCCTGCTAGTCTACTTGGTATAGGTGAATGAAGTCACCTATTTATCTAGTACTTACTGCCATTTTGCCCATTTTCAAGTGTACAATTCACTGGTGTTAATTACATCCATGATGTTGTGCAACCATCACCACTATCTACTGTATTTCCAAAACATTTTCTTTACTCCAAACAGAGATTCTGTAACCATTAAGTAATAACTCCCAATTTTTCACTCATACCAGCTCATGATAACCTCTAATGTACTTTCTGCCTCAAAGAACTTGCCTATTCTAGATATTTCATGTAAGTGGAACCATGCAATAGTTGTCCTTTTGTATCTGCCTTATTTCACTTTGCATAATATTTTTAAGGTTCATCTGTGTTGTAGCATATATCAGAACTTCATTCCTTTTTATGGCTGAATAATATTCCATTTTACATATGTACAAAATTTGGTTTATTTATCTGCTTATAGTCATTTGGGTTGTTTCTCACCTCTTGACTATTGTGAATCATGTTGCAATAAACATTGGGCATATAAGTATCTGAGTTCTTGTCTTTAATTCTTTTGGGTACATACCTAGGAGTGAAATGTGTGGGTCTTAATGTCAATTCTATGTTTAGCTTTTTGAGAAATCATCTTTTCCACAAAAGCTATGCCATTTTACATTCTCATTAGCAACATAGGGTTCAATTGTTTCACATGCTTGTCAACACTTATAATTTTCCATTTCTTTAAAGTTATAGCCATCCTAGTAGGTGTGAATTGGCATCTCATGGTGGTTTTGATTTTACGTTTTTCTAATAATTAGTGATGTTGAGGGTCTTTTTCTGCACTTATTGCCCATTTGTATATATTCTTTCAAGAAATACCTATTCAAGTCCTTTACCCATTTTTAACTGGGTTGTCATCCCATCGTTGAGTTTTGGGAGTTTTTTAAATATTCTAGATATTAAACCCTTATAAGATAAATAATTTGAAAACATTTTCTCCCATTCTGTAGGTTATAGTTTCACTTTTTTTATAATGATTTTTGATGCACAAAAGTTTTTAATTTATCTATTTTTTGTTTTGTTGCTTATGCTGTTAATGTCAGATCTAAAAATCCATAGTCAAAATCTAAGGTCATGAAGATTTATTTACTCCTATGTTTTCTTCTAAGAGTTTCTGGTTTTAGCTGTTATATTTCCATTGTTGGTCCATTGTTTGTTAACTTCATGTAAGTTGATAATAATGAGTTATTATTTTTTAATAGACAGGGTTTCACTCTCATCCAGGCTGGAGTGCAGTGGCACAATCACAACTCACTGCAACCTCAAAGTGATCCTGCTGCCTCAGTGTTCTGAGTAGCTAGGACTACAGGCAAACAACACCATAGCTGACTAATTTTTAGAAGAAAAATTTTTTTAGAGATGGAGTCTTGCTATATTGTCCAGGCTGGTCTCAAACTCCAGGCCTCAAGTGATCCTTCCACCTCAGCTTCCCAAAGGGCTGAGATTATAGGAATGAGCCATCAGGCACATTCAGCCGTTTTGAGTTAATTTTTGTATATGTTATGAATTACCTATTTATTTTTGAAGATCATGTCTTGATGTAGGTGGCATGCTGACATGTGGAATATTGCAAGAATCCCCAAACACATACAAATTTATCTCCATTCAATGGAGTATGGATGTTTTCTCTGAATTGGAATAATAAAAAAGAAATAGAGAACAAAATTAATATTTCTTTTCATGTTTTAATGCAGAATACTAGATTCCTATGTAAAAGGAGAAAAAACATGGAAGTTTCAATCAGGTAAAACTTGTATTTCCTGTCATCTACAACACACTGCTTCTCCATACTTCATAAAATGCTTCCAGCTGAATAAAGGAAGGGAATTAGAGAGGAGAGTTTAGATAAGACAGACTCTAGAGAAAAATCTATGCTTACCTCCCAGACGGATTCACAGCAAGAGGAAGAGATAGAATCCCATATTTAGGCGATCTGAAAGCAGATGGGCGACTGTTATGCTTTTTACCTGGCTACACATGGAGGCTGTAAACCTCACTGACCATTCTCTGCATCCTCATGATGAAAAATGCTGGTGGAGATGGCCCCATAAGGCACCATATCTATAGGCATACAGAGACAAATGAGCCAGAGAGGAACCTCAGAAATATTTGCTGAGTGTTTTTACTCCCAGTGCTTGAGGAGCTGCCAAATTTCTCATATGAAACATTGTAAATTGCCCTAAGACTAGAGAGTTTCTCTTGCCATGACTTTAAAATTAAGGTCAAAACATAGTCAATTATATCTAGTACAATTATATATATCCAACGAAGAGGTAATATATTTTGCAGGAATAAAGAAGACACAGTGAGGCCTATGTTCAGCCTTGCCTCACCTTATGGCCAAAAGTTTCTCACCAAAATTCACCACTCTACCAGAATTTGGAGGGTTTGCCAATTTAAATAATTCTATAGAAACTAGCAACTAAATACAGTTGAATTTGTTTATAGGAAGTTGTATCAAGATGTTTTAAAAGAACACCAATATTTTATATGCTGCTTTTAGGAAGCTTTAAAATGATCATTTGAGACACTGTTGCATGCAGATAAATTCTCTAGTCTGCTTGTGTATCTCCAGTGCAATTTAAAACACAGATGCAGGCAAGAGAGAAGGGCTGGAGGCTAACAGAATTTGGCAGCAGCTGTAAGTCTTTCTTTTCCCGTAATAGCTTTGTAGATGTCAGCATGAAAGGACAAGACCTGGTCTCTGCTCTCACTTCAAAGGAGTCTAGGCATTAAATCTCCAACAGTCTCATGCCTTTAGCAGAAGGCTTGTGAAGACAGGGGCAACTGATGTGAATCCCAGGGGAGGAAAAGGTAATTTTCTAACACAGAAACACAAATCATCCCAATGGATCCTAGTAAGTTGAGTATGAGGGGAAAGATGCTAAGATAATGTAGAAAATGCTGCAACATATTGAGAAGGAGGATGGAATGTGGAGTTCAGTATTCCCTTTGGATGGAACTCAAGGGAAAACTCATAGGTGTTATCTGTTTCTGTGCTCAGAGCCTGCAGTTATACTTCTAAGTTCAAAGACTCAGTTGACTAATCTTAAATCATTATTGTTTGTCTTTTAAAAAAGTACTTGTACAGAAAATTACATAGTATTATAATATTTGTTGGCAGTCAAGAAAAGGCAAAAGAGCTAAAGCAATCACCACTGGTGGACTCTCACTTGAGCTCCCCATTGAATAATCAGCAATGGAGAAAGCAGTTGACATTCAGCTCAATGAACACACATTGAGTATGTAACATGATCTAGGCACTAATTGGTTTCTTTGAAAGGGAAGGGACCTACATATCCATAAAACACAGACCTTCCCCCAAGTGACAAATCAAGAAGTCTAGAAGCATCTTAGACGTATGTGTGCTTGCCAGGAAAGTTCCACAAGGCTACTGGGGAGTCTTCGACCAAAGTCACCCATCAGAGGAGTCCCACATGTCCCAGGAATTTGGGATTTTTTTGTCATACTCATTCACTGATGGAGAGCAGCACATGGGAAGTGTGGCTGTGGTGCAAATGTGGTGATGGATTTCAGAGCCAGGTAGAAGATCTCTTGGTCAATTATGCTCCCTGCTCTGACAGGCAAGTTCCCACAATGGCCACACCAGTGAGTCGGCTCCCTGGAAATGTCAGTATAACACAGGTATGTTGTTGCATATTTTAGTATTGTAAATTTGTCTGTTTAAATAAGAAAATTAGTTCATATATTTACTCGATAGAGAAATGAGTGTTTTCGACCTCAAAAAGATAAAGTAATTTATTACTCAGAGAATCTTTGCTCCTACTGGGCTCCTTTAACAGCCACTGGATGGTTTTTAGTTCACAGAAAGTTGCCACTCCCTTCTCAGAAAATGGTAAAGGGGGAGAGAAAGATTTGCTGTTGTACTAATATAGAGAAGAAGCAGCTCTGTTCATTTCTTTTAATTTTCTCTGAAGTGAGCTTTTCTTCTTCATGGCAAATGATTGTTCTGCCTGAAGCTATTTGTCACTGGGATGGGAACAGAAGGGTGGAGTAGCCATGTATGCAATATTCTTAGCATATCTTTATTAGAGTCTAATTCTTTACATCTGTCTCCTACAGAGAAACCTCTCCTTAAAATGGTAGCATCCACTTTACGAGTTAAGAAGAGTAAGAAGTGAGCAACACATGGCATTCTATTACGGCATTGCAAGTTGCGGCAATGATTTCTTTGTTGTCTTGATATCAAAATTTAACTCTATCATGGTATAAATTGATCTTGTCATTGTGACCCATGAACATTTACTGAATATTTATGATATGTTTACCAATGAGAATGCAAAGAGGTCTCAGACTCTTTATCTCAAGAGGCTTATCTATTTAGGGGGAAAATGCATGTATATTAAAGAATTCCAGATAGTATAGTCTACCAAGTCTAGAGTTTATTTATTTCACTTATAAGCTATAGAATGAACCTGTAATGCTTTCCCAGAAGTGTAGCAGAAGATACAAGATCCTGGGTCAGAAATGAAGGATTTTGTGATTTACAGCACAGCAAGCAGCAGTGGAGTTTGGGGAGCCCACTGCTTTTCCAACAAGCAGAAAGTTAGCCTGATCTTTGTTGAAGGCGGATACATTACCTCATCTTGCAGGTAACCAGCTGCATAAACAAGTGTGAGAAATGGCCTGAGTATCAGGGCCTTGCAGTCTTGGCTCACCCAGCAAGACATGTAGGAACTCAAGAAGCCCAAGGAAGGCTGCCTCCTCCAACACAGGCAGAAAGTCAAATGGTCAATACCAGTGACAGCACCACTGAAGTTTGGAAATCAGAAATAACAGGACATTCATGACATAGGGGAAATGGATTTTTTTTTCATGAATATAAACCAAAAATAAAATTCTAAGCCCCTCAACCATCTGAATGGACCGCTCCTTTTGGCCAGGGCACTCCAAAGTTAATCTGAAAAACTAATTCAAGCCATGATAGGAAGTAGGGGTCAGACATGCCTCATTAAACTCTCCTCCCTTTTGGAATTCAGGAAAAACTGGACTAGCATTAACAACACAGACCTTAAGTCTGATAAACATTTACAATCTGTTCTCTCTGAAGCCTACTACCTGGAGGCTTCATCTGCATAATAAAACCTTGATCTCCACAACCCCTTATCATAACTCAGACATTCCTTTCTATTGATAATAATTCCTTCAACCAATTACCAATCAGAAAATTTTAAAATCTATCCAGGACCTGGAACACCCACCCCTACCTCCTCATGCTTTGAGTTGTCCTACCTTTCCAGGTCAAACCAATGTACATCTTACATGTATTGATTAATGACTTGTGTCTCCCTAAAATGTATAAAAGCAAGCTGTACCCCTACCGCCTTGGGCACATGTCATCAGGACCTCCTGAGGCTGTGTCACAGGTGCATCTTTAACCTTGGCAAAATAAACTTTCTAAATTGATTGAGTCCTGCCTCAGATACTTTTGGGTTCACATTACAAAAACGAAGAAAAGATTACTGCCTATAGTAAAATATTTATTATTAGCTTACCTCAACAGGCAGCAGTGGTTTGCTTATAAAAACAAAACACTGGGGTAGAAAGAGAGGGAACAGGTCTTTGGGAGTTTTAATACTTATTAACAATGATGAGACTGGATGAACTGCATTGCGAAACATAATGTAAAACTATCATTCATTGTCAGTGATTTAAGGAAGGAATGTTAGATGCAGGAATCTGATTATAATCAAGTGAATTGAAATGTTATCTCCACCCAGAAATTTCTACATGTTTTCTATTGAATGTCCCTCCTAGGCCACAATAGAAACAGTAGGAACAATGCCCAGCATTTTAAGCTTCAATTAGCTGCATAGTGGTTGATGGGAGTATGGGGATTTAAAATCCTTTATGCTTCCATTAGATAAAAATCTGTGACATGTAAGTCATGATTATTCATCAGCATGGGGCCAAGTCCTGCTCCACACCCTTGTCTGCTTGGCCTATTTTCCTCCATGAGCTCCAGAGCCACACAAGAGGTTGTAGCCAATAGTGACCTTTTGTACCAGAAGCTTCACTGATTCTAGAAGGAAACCGAGTTTCCTCCACTTGGTTCCAGAGGACACTGTACATGACCTTGAAGTATTTTGTGATCCTATTGTGTGGCCAACAGCAATGAAGCAGCAACATTTCCCAGAACAAAAGCAGATGACCTCAGGCAGACACAAGACTAACGGGCAGTTGTGAAGCAGGCCCGGGCTCCCTGCTTTAGAGAAGAGAAATGGAGCCATCATTACAGACACTGACTCTCTAAATTTATCAATTCCTGGAAAAAGAGCATTAAAAAGTAGAAGTTATTGGCTAGCCCTGAAGTATTATTTAGCGTGGAAAAGTGGCCCAAGTAAAACATATAAAAGTCAAGGTTTTTTTCAAAAGTAGTGTCGATCAACTTTCTTATTCATAGTTTACATACAGTGTCTTTGATTATGAAAAAGGTTCTGTGCGTGTGTGTATGTGTGTGTGTGTGTGTAATTCTAGAATCCATTTGTAACTTTTTAAATTAAAATCCCATTTTAGGAGGAGAAAAAATAAACTTTCATCTCCATATAAAAGAAAAGAGCTTTGGGAGATCTCTGTTACTTAATTTGAGCAGTTTTTTTCCATTCTCTGAAATTGCCTCTTCCTTCCTCATATTTTCCCAAATTATCTCGGTTCCTAGTTTACAACCTGCCCCAGCTTACCTAAACACCTTCTTCTTCAGGGATTTTCAAGTATCTAATGATAAAATATTGTGACACCTCTCAGCCATATTTGTACTTTAAAAGAGAAATTTTGTTTTCAAAATACAAAGGGGTCTATTACTAACAGTAGATTTTTTAGGAATGAATGGATGGCATTTGCAGCAACCTGGATGAGATTGGAGAATATTATTCTAAGTTAAGTAACTCAAGAATAGAAAACCAAACATTGTATGTTCTCACTCACAAGTGGGAGCTAAGCTATGAGGATGCAAAGGCATAAGAATAATACAACGGACTTTGGGGACTCACGAGAAAAAGGTGGGAAGGGGGTGATGGATAAAAGATTACAATTTGGGTTCAATGTACATGCTCAGGTATTGGGTGCACCAAAATCTCACAAATCACCACTGAAGAACTTACTCATGGAACCAAACACCAGCTTTTCCTCAATAACCTATGGAAATAAAAAATTTAAAATAAAATAAAAGCTGTCCTTCCCAGGTTAAAACACACACAAACACACACACACACACCAAAAAAACCCAAACAAACAAAAACCAGTGGATTTTTTTAAGGGCTGTCTTTTGGGACAAGAAGAATCTTCTCCCATTTCTGGAGCTATAAAACATTTAACAAAATATCTAGTTTGCTTCTGTGTAAGTCTATCTCTGGTTCCCTTCACCAAACAGAGTATTTCTATGTCCAAACTCAGACTGTATCCTTGACTTTAGGCCTATTTGTGGACAAAGCTAAATGCCCAGTGGTCAGTTTCCAGTCTCAGCAATAAACCAGATGTTTTGTCTGATATCAAACCAGAATTTATGTGAGAACACATAGATGTTTGATTGAATTTTTCATTTGTCATCCAAATATTTGGCACTAAATACAAACAGTCTTTAGAAATCACAGAAGGAATTCATTCTCCAGGCATTTCATATAATCTGCCCTACAATGTTGCCTTTCTGTTCTAAAAGAGTTTCAGTGTCCATTGAAAGTGGCAGCAGCATGGAGATCTGTCATAGTAGAGGCATTAGATATTTGGAAGGTTCCTTTGCTCTTTTGGAAAGTCAGCGCCAGTCAGGAGCTGGAGTTGCTCACTGTGCCATTCAGGATAGGCTAGGTTGGCAGTGGTCACCAAAAATGTCCCAAATCTTAGTGGCTGAAGCAGTAAGGGTTTATTCTTCACTTATGTTCATGTCTGATGTGGGTGTGGGGTAGTAGTAGCTAGGGTGGAGGGATGGAGGGTGAGTCTCTGCTCAGTAGTTACTCTGGGACCCAGACTGAAGAAGCTTTGCTCTCAGCATGAAGGGATTTCTGCATTTGCCCAGCAGGGGAAGAGCAGAGCTGGTGGGTGTCCTTCAGGCATTTGGTAAAACCTTGAGTTGGAAAGTTTTCTCACCAGAGCTAGTCACATGGACACATCTAACTTCAAGCAGTCAAGACATCACCGTCCCCCAGAGTGTGCCCCAGCAGGGGAACGGGGACCAAAAAGGAGTGCACAGCAGTAACGTCTATCACACACCCATGCATGTCTGAAGAGGAAAAAGTCACCAAAACAGAATTTCCTCAAAGCTAGGCTTCTTCTTAGGGCAAATCAAACATTCCTTGGTTTCCTCAGCCTAAATACAGGGTCAAAATTTATCAATATTTTATTATATGTAATTATCTATGTTTTTACTTTACATACATTTTATTATTACATTGATAGAATCACTGGAAGTATGCGGTTTTTTTGGAATTTAAAAGTTTATTATCTCCTTCCCTTTGGGAAAAGCAAATACTTAAAGTTAAGGTGTCCCAGAAACTTCTGCAAAACAGACATACAGATAAATAAGTAACATGTATAGTTGATACATATACTCCATGAGAGAAGAAACAATATTTACTTTATTCACCTCACGCTGAGGCTTATAATGCCCACCCGTCAGAGGTCTGCACAATGCCGGTAACCTACATGCAATAAATATTTGTTATATATGAAACAATATATATTAAATCAAATAAAATGGAGATCTGTAATGAACAAGACAATGATTTAGCTCCCAGGACACTAGACAGAGGGTCTACCCAACATATCAACCTTACAATTTGAGGGGTGACAATTTCATGTCTTCCAAAACATTTCCCCACATATAACTAATGATAAAGTATTAATCTTTCACTAGACCTAAAATTTTCAACTGTTAGAATGATTCCCATGAATTTGATAACAAAGGTGGGGAAATCATCTGCATTCTATTTTGGCTTGAAATATTTATTAGTTTAAAAAATAACTAGAAAACACTGGCTGCATATGTGTTCTAACAGTAACAAATACTTCTGTGGTGCTGATTTTGTGCAATGCACTGTTCTGAATACTTCACCTACGTTAAATTCTTTGAGACATCAGAACTCTTTGAGGTAAGTACTATTATTATTATTTTCATTTTAAAGCTAAGGAAGCCGAGACAAGTGAATGCAATTAACTTGTCCAAGGTCACACAGCTAAGATGTGATGCGGTTATTCAGCTCTGATTAGAACCCAGACACTCCAACTTCAAACTAAACTGTTGCCCTTGATTCTGTGTGGTGGCAGTAAAGATGAAAAGGATCCTACCCTTATCTCTGGAATAAACTCACATTAGAGCCATGGTGTGCAGGAACAAAACAAAGCTGCCTGCTTTTGTCACTTCCATTAAGCATAGTGTTGGAAATTCTAGGGAGGGTAGTAAGCACTAGACTCTCCCCCACATTGATCCCACACTATTACCCATCTTGTCCCCTAAATTTTTCCCCAACCTGTCCTCCACATATGACTCACACATATGGTCCCCTACACTGTCTCCCACACTCTCCCCTACAATGTGACTCCACACTGTCCCGTATACTGTCACCTATATTGTGTAACCAATCTTCAGAACTCCTTTTATCTTGCCAGTCTGAAACTCTTTGTCTATTTGGTTCTTTTTATCCTTTCCATTTCTCTACTGACTTTGTTCATTTATTCTGAAGGCATTTTTCTTGACCCTCATGAACATATTTATAACAGCTGCTTTCAAAGCCTTGTAAGCTAATTACAACATCTTGGGACATTTTGAGATTAGTTTCTACTGCCTACTTACTGTCTTGTGTATGGATTACATTTTCCTGTAGCTTCATACATCTCCTGATTTTTTTTAAGTGTGTGCTAGACCCTATGAATGACAGCTACAGAGACTGGATTCTGTTGTATTTTTTTGAATAGGGTTGATCTTTTTCTAACAATGAATTAACTTGGCTGGACTCAAACCCCAATCTCTATCTTTCCTACAGTGAGCACAACTGAAATTTTCATTCGGTTCATTCAGAGTCCAATGATTGTTTTTACGTTTGGCCCCTGGGTTCTGCCTTGCATATATGTAGCTCAAAGATTCACCAATCATTTGCAGGCAACTTAACATACGTATTTTGGGATTCACCCCTTTGTGGTTCCCTCCCCTCCAAAATATCTCCCCTAAACCCCCAGCATGACCCAAAAATCCTCTGACACAACAAGTAAGACTCTGGTTTTCTGCCTGCCTGGACCACATATAGATTGTGAAGTATTTTGAAGCAAAAATTCAAATTTGTAAATATTTTCTGTTATAATTCTCATCACTCAAGTTTAGACTCCTTCACAATTTTATCTGTTTTTTGGAGATCAAAAAGCAATTATATATTATATATAAAAATTATATTTAACATATAATAACAGAATCATAATATATAATTATATATAACTATATATGTAATATATAATTATATAAAATTATATATGTAATATATCATTTCATATATATGTAAGATAGAATTTCATATATATAATATATACAGATACAGCTCTCTGCATAGATACATAGATATGACTATAGATACAGACATATTATTTGTCCACATTTTATCACCATTATCTGTAGGAGTGTTAGTTCATCAAGCTACGCCACCATTGTTGTGTCCAACAGGACACCAGAACCTGTTTCATCTGATTTCTGGATTTTACATAATTGGAATTATATAGTAAGTATACTTTTGCACCTGGCTTTATTTACACACTATGTTTGTGATAGTCATCAATGACACTAATGTAGATATTGTTTGATCATTTTAATTGCTGCACAGTATTCTATTATATAAACATACTACACCTTATTTATTCATTCTACTCTTGATAATCATCATTTGGATGCTTTAAATTAATAGGCTACTTTTAGAGCAGTTTTAGATGTATAGAAAAAATGAGTGGAAAGTACAAATGGTTCCCATATGCTTCTTCTCCTCATTCCTCCTATGGGTTCACTGTCATTAACATCTTGCAAAGTACGGTAGATTTGTTACAGCTCATTAACAAATGTCAATGCATTATTATTAACCAAAACCCATACTTTACATTAGAGTTCACTCCTTGCGTTGTACATTCTACGAACTTTGAAAAATGTGCAATGACGTGTATCCACCATTGCAGTATCATACAAAATAGTTCCACTGCCTTAAATGTCCTCTGTGCTCCACTATTCGTCTTTCTTTTCCCCACTCTGAACTTCTGGCAACCACTGATATTTTTACCATCTCCATAGTTTTGTCTTTTACAAAATATCAAATAGTTAAAATTATATACTATGTAGCTTGTCCAGGTTTGGGTAAATACTGAGGAGTACAGCTGCTGGATCATAGGATGAGAATATAGTTGCTTTTGTAAGAAACTGCCAAACTGTCCTCCAAGTGGGTATACTATTTTTGTATTCCCATCAGCAATACATGAGAGTTCCTGTTGTTCCACATACTTGCCAATATTTATTGTTGTCAGTGCTTTGGATTTTACCCATTTTTATAAGCATGTGGTGATATCTCATTGTTGTTTTAATTTGCAATTCCCTAGTGATATACGACCTTGAGCATTTTCATATATTAATTTGTCATCCACATGTCTTTGGTGAGGTATTAGTTCTGAACTTTTTTTCATTTTATAATTGGGTTTTCAACTTTCTTCTTCTTTTTTTTTTTTTGGAGATGGAATCTCACTCTACTACCCAGGCTGGAGTGTAGTGGCATGATCTCGGCTCACTGCAACCTCTGCCTCCCAGGTTCAAGCGATTCTCCTGCCTCAGCCTCCCAAGTAGCTGAGATTACAGGCATGTGCCACCACACCTGGCTAATTTTTGTATTTTTAGTAGAGACGGGGTTTCACCATGTTGACCAGGCTGGTCTCAAACTCCTGACTTCAGGTGATCTGCCCACCTCAGTCTCCCAAAGTGTTGGGATTACAGGTGTGAGGCACCGGCCCCTGCCCAATTTTCTTATTGTTTCATTTTAACAGTTCTTTGTACATTTTGGATCCTGGTCTGTCTTGTCAGTTTGGACTGCTATAATAAGCATACTACGTCAACAAGCATTTATTTCTAACAGTTCTGGATACTGGGAAGTCCAAGATCAAGGAGTCAGCAGAGCTAGTGCCTAGTGAGAGCCTGCTTCCTGGTTTGCAGTTAACTGTCTTCTTTTGGCAGATAGCAGAGAGAGAGAAAAAAAATGCATACTCTTGTGTCTCTTCTTGTAATGGCACTAATCTCTATCCATGACGGCTCCATCCTCATGACCTAAGAACCCCCGCCAAAGGCTCCTCACCTCCTAAAACCATCACAGTGGGGTTCAGACTTCAACATACGAACTTTTGAAGGACACAAACATTCAGTCTGTAACATTCCACCTCTAGCCCCCCAAAATTCATGACTTTCTCACTTTTAAAATATTCTTTTTTTAATACATTCTTTCCATCCCAACAACCCCAGAAGTCTTAATTCATTTCAACATCAACTCTAAATTGCAAAGTCGATTGTAAATATCATCTAAATCAGAGATTTGTGATACTCGAGCTACATTCATCCTGTTGCAAAATTCCTCTCCAGCTGTGGACCTGTGAAACCAACCATGTGCCTCCCAAATACAGTGATGAGACAGGCATAGAACAAACATTCCATTCTCATTCTCATTTCAAAAGGGAAAAATATGAAAGAAGGAAGTAGTGACAGGTCCCAAACAAATCCAAAACCTACCAAGGCAAATCCCATAAGATCTTAGAACTCAAGAACAATTCTCTTTGGCTCAATACTCTATCCTCCAAGCCTACTAGGACAATGATCCTGCCCCCAGAGACCCACTGGGACCGCAGTCACACCCCATGGCTCTGTCAGGTGCCCTCATGACTCTCTTAGGTCGTGGTCCCACTCTTGGAAACCAAGGTGGATACAGCCTTTTTCCATAGATCCATGCATTCTGGACTTGTGGTGGGAGTGGCAGCCCTATTGACCCCTGAATCACCTTGGGGGTTCTTTTTTTAAAAAAACTATAGATTCAAGGAGTACATATGCAAGTTTGTTACATAGGTATATTGCAGAATGCTGGGATTTGGACTTCTAATGAACGCATTACCCAAATAGTGAAAATAATACCCAATAGGTAGTTTTTCAACACTTGCCATTCTCCCATCCTTCCCCCTTTTTGGAGGCTCCAGTGTCCATTATTTCTGTCTTTATTACCATATGTAATCATTGTTTAGCTCCCACTTATAAGTAAGAACATGCAGTATTTGATTTTCAGTTTCTGAGTCATTTCATTTAGAATAATGGCCTCCAGCTTCATTTGTGTTGCTGTGAATGATATTATCTCTTCCTTTCTTTATATAACTTTTTTCAACTTTTATTTTAGAATTTTATTACCTATGTAATAAACATAGGTATGTTGAGGTTTGGAGTATGAATGTATCCATCACCTATGTTGTGAGCATAGTACCTGATAGTTTCTTTCAACCTATGTCCTCCTCCATCCTTCCTCCTTCTTGTATTCCCCAGTGTCTGTTGTTCCTGTTTTTATGACCATGTATACCTAATGTTTAGCTCCCACTTATAAGTGAGAACATGCAGTGTTCGGTTTTCTGTTTCTGTGTTAGTTTGCTTAGCATAATGGCTTCCAGCTGCATTCATGTTGCTGCAGAGGACATGATTTCATACTTTTTTGTTGCTGCATAGTATTCCATGGTGTAATGAAAAGAAAATAAAGTCTCAGGACCCCAATTTACTATGCCTACAGAAAAAAATTAAGCTGAAAGCTGAATCATGCAAGAGACTGCCTTTCCTTTTGTTCCTAAGCAGATAATTGCAGATAAAAGGCCAGATGCATTTTATTAAAGGCCAGATACCTGCTTATACCTAGGCAGATACCTACAGGTAAAAGGCCAGATACAGATATGTTCACTTTACCTTATGTAAAGTGCCAATCTACTGAGCAGGAGATGAATACATAATTGACTACCCCCCTACCTTCTTTTCTCTCACAACATGTAGATTCAGTAATGTGAATCTACCCTCCTCTTTCCTCTCTACCCTGATTTTCCTCTTGAAATACTAAAGCTCTCAAATCATCTTTGGAAAAAGGCATGGACCACAGACTTGTCTTTTCGTTTTGTGCTCCTTTTTTGGGGGGGTGGGGTATGTCCTTAACTTTGGCTAAATAAACCTCTAACTTGATCGAGACCTGTCTCAGATACTTTTTAGTTTACAGTGTATACCTAACTCATTTTCTTTATCCAGTCCACCATGGATGGGCACCTGGATTGATTCCATGACTTCGCTATTGTGAATAGTGCTGCAATAAACACATGAGTGCCAATGTCTTTTGATAAAATTATTTCTTTTCCTTTGGGTAGATACCCAGTAGTGGGATTGCTGGATTGAATGGCAGTTCTATTTTTAGTTCTTTGAAAAATCCCCAAACAGTTTTCCACAGTGGTTGAACTAATTTACATTCCCACCAACAGTATATAAGTGTTCCTTTTTCTGTGCAGCCTTGCTACCATCTGTTGTTTTTGACTTTTTAATAAAAGCCATTCTGACTAGTGTGAGATGGTATCTCAACGTGGTTTTAATTTGCATTTCTCTGATGATTAGTGATTTTGAGCATTTTTTTAATATTTGTTGGCTGCTTGTATGTCTTGTTTTAATAAGTGTCTGTTCATGTCCTTTGCCCATTTTTTAATGGGGTTATTTGGTTTTATTTCCTGTTGATTTATTTAAGTTTCTTATAGATTCTGGGTATTAGTCATTTGTCAGATGCATAGTTTGCATATATTCTCTCCTATTCTGTAGGTTGTCTGTTTACCCTTCTTGGTTGTTCTTTTTGCTATGCAGAAACACTTTAGTTTAATTAAGTCTCATTTGTCTATTTTTTGTTTTGTTACTATTGCTTTTGAGGTGTTAATCACAAATTTTTTATCTAGGCCAATGTCTGGAGATTTCTCCCAGGTTTTCTTCTAGGATTTTTATAATTTCTGGTCTTACAGTTAAGCCTTCAATCCATATTGAGTTAATTTTTTATATGGTGAAAGTAAGGGGTACAGTTTCATTCTTCTGTGTATAGCTAGCCAGTTTTCCCAGCACCATTCATTGAATATGGTGTCCTTTCCCCCACTGTTTATTTCTTTTCATTTTGTTGAAGATCAGTTGGTTGTAGGGCTGTGGTTTTATTTCTGAGTTCTCTACTCTGTTCCATTGATCTATGTGTCTGTTTTTGTACCATGCTATTTGGGTTACTATAGCCTTGAAGTGTAGTTTGAAGTTGGGTAATGTGATGCCTTTGGCTTCGTTTTTTGTGCTTAGGATTGCTCTGTCCGTTCTGACTCTTAGTTTGTAGTTGGGTAATGTGACACCTCTGGCTTTGTTGTTTGTGCTTAGGATTGCTCTGTCTGTCCTGGCTCTCTTTTTGTTCCATGTAAATTTTAGAATGGTTTTTCTAATTCTGTGGAAAATGATGTTGGTAATTTGATAGAATTTTCTTTGAAGTTGTAGATTGCTTTGGGAAGTATAGTCATTTTAATTATATTAATTCTTCCTATCCATGAGCATGGTATGTTTTTCCATTCATTTGTGTCGTCTACATCAATATTTTGTAGTTCTCCTTGTAGAGCTATTTCACCTTCTTAGTTAAATGTATTTAACTAGGGTTTTTTATTTGTGTGTGTGACGATTGTAAATGGGGTTGAGTTCTTGATTTCATTGTTAGCTTGAGGGTTGTTGGTATATAAAAATGCAACTGATTTTTGTGCATTAATTTTGAATCCTGAAACTTTACTCAAGTTGTCAGGGTTCTTCTTATCTGTCCTTTAAGGGTAGTTCACATTCACATCCTTCCTTCATTCCATCCCATTTTTCTCTTTCCTTTAGTCCCAGCTGACAGTCTTTGTGCTGGCATACTTCCATCTCTATTTCTGACTTCTGTTGAAATGGCTGATTAAGTTCATGGTTCACGGATATGCTAATTGTATCAAATGATTGATCATCTTGGTGTTCCCTTCCAAACACACTTTCTTTTATTTTTTTATTTTTATTTTTTCGAGATGGAGTTTCACTCTTGTTGCCCAGGCTGGAGTGCAATGGCACAATCTCAGCTCACTACAACCTCCACCTCCTGGGTTCAAGCAATTCTCTAGCCTCTGCCTCCCAAGTAGCTGGGATTACAGGCATCTGCCACCACACCCAGCTAATTTTTGTATTTTTAGTAGAGACAGGGTTTCACCATGTTGGCCAAGCTGGCCTTGAACTCCTGACTTCAGGTGATCTGCCTCCCTTGGCCTCCCAAAATGCTGGGAATACAGGCATGAGCCACAGCACCTGGCCCCAAACACATTTTCTAATTTTTTTTTTTTTTTTTTGCAATATGAACATGGTGAAAATGTGTGTAATTTTTAAGTTCTGCTTCCTTTGCTTTAGCAATTTTGTCTTCAATTCATTTATCTTTTCTCACATTTTACTATAAGTAGTCAGGAGAAACCAAGCCACTCTTGCAACACCTTCTTATAAATTTCCTTAGCTAAATATCTGATTTCATCACTAAAAAATTCTACTTTCCTCAAAACACTAGAACATGAAGACAATTTAACGAAATGTTTGTCACTTTATAACAAGAGTCATCTTTTCTCCATTATCCAATAATATGTTCTTCATTGATTAATGAGTTCCATGTGAGACCTCATTAGAATCACCCTTAACATGCATATTTCTGCCAACATTCTGTACATGACTATTTACGTATTCTCTAAGTACCTATTTTCCCACCATTAAGTGTGATGTTAGCTGAAGACTTTTTGTAGATGTTCTTTATTAAATTGAGGAAATTTTCCTTTTATTTCTAGTTTGATGAAAGCTTTTTTTTTTATCATAAATCAGAGTTGGATTTCGTCAAATGCTTTTTTTGCATCTATTGATGTGATTGTGTGATTTTCTTCAGCCTGTTGATGTTATGGATTACATTAATTGATTTTTGAATAATGATCCAGCCTTGTAGGCCTGAGATAAATCCCAACTGGTCATAGGGTATAAGTCTTTTTATACATTGTTGGATTTACTTTGCTGTAATAATATTTTGTTGACGATTTTTGTATCTATGTTCATGAAAGGCATTGGTCTGTAATTTTTTATGGTATCATCTCTGCCTAATTTTGGTACTGGTGTAATGCTCCCCTCATTGAATGAGTTAGAAAGTGTTTACTCTTAGCTTTTGTTTTCTGGCAGAGATTGTTGAGAATTCAGATAATTTCTTCCTGAAATGTCCAGTAAAATTCACCAATGAACCCAAGTGGGGCTTGTGTTTTTTATTTGGGAAGGGTATTAATTTGATTTCTTTCATAGATACGGGTCTATTCAGGTTATCTATTTCTTCTTATGTGAGTTTTGGTAGGTTATGTTGTTCTAATAATTGATCGATTTCAGATAGGTATCCATTTTTTTTATCCTTTTAACATCCATAGGATTAGCAGTAATAGTTTCTCTTTCATTTCTGACCTCGGTATTTGTGTCTTTTCTCTTTTTTTAATTATCCTGATTAGAAGTTTATCAATTTTATTAATATTTTCAAAGAGTCAACTTTTCTTTCCTTGATTTTTAATTTCCTATTTTCAATTTTACTGATGACTGCTCTAATTTTTATTATTTCTTTTCTTCTGTTTATTTTGATTTTAACTTGCTCTTCTTTCTCTAGTTTCTTGAGGTAGAAGGCTAGATTATTGATTTTAGATTTTTTCTTTTCTAATATATGCTTTCAGTGCTATGTACTTTCATTTTCATCTAGTTAAAGATAATTTTTAATTCCTCTTGATACTTCTTTGATCCATGTGTTATTTATGACTGTGATGTTTAATATCAAGTATCTGAAGATTTTCCAGCTCTCTTTCTGTTTTTTTTTTATCTACTTCAATTTCATTGAGATCTGAGAGCATATTTTGTATGCTTACTATTTGTTTAAATTTGTTGGCCAGACGCAGTGCCTCTTGCCTATAATCCCAGCACTTTGGGAAGCCAAGGCAGGCGAATTACTTGAGATCAGGAGTTCATGACCAGCCCAGCCAACAAGGTAAAACTCAAAAATACAGAAATTAGCAGGAGAATTGCTTGAACCTGGGAGACAGTAGGAGAAACAGCCTCTTATTTGGACACATAAAAATGAGCCAAATGGTGGTGCCAGTACAGATACAGCATGAGCTACATCTCCTTCCCTCATGGGACCTAAAACCTAATTCAGGATTAACTGAAAAAGAATTCAGTGGGACAAGAGAGTGCCTAATCAAGTAGGCCCAAAAGATGTACAAAGAAGGGGAAATCACAGAAGTAAAAAATTGAGAACCTAGTGGGTGAGTAAGATTTAGTAGAGCAGAGGATATAATGGCACCCCAACCATGGCAGGGCAACGGGCAGAGTCAATCAGAGACACTAGTGAGTTCATTCTAGACTTCACTCATATTCATAATTTTGAACTATCACTCTGATGTTGGCAGAAATTGAGCTAAGATAGGGCACATTACTTATTTTAAAAATCAATATGCTATAGTAACTCTATAAAAGTGTTTGATAGCACAACAGGGTGACTATAGTAACTTAATTATACACTTTTAAATAATTTAAAGAGTATAATTGGATTGTTTGTAACTTAAAGGATAAATGCTTGAGGGGATAGATACCCCATTCTCCATGATGTGCTTATTTTATATCTCATGCCTGTATCAAAACATCTCATCTACCCCGTAAATACATACACCTACTATGTACCCACAATTTTTTTAATTTTAAAAATAAAAAATTAATATTGCCCTAGGTAATGTACCCTAAAGTGTAAAAAATTACCTTCTATCAACTTATTTATGGGTTGTTAACAGCCATACATTTTATATACAGACAACGTTCATCAGAGTATTGGATTTGGAAATTCAGATTAGGCCAAATAAAGAGATCAGGCTGTCATGTAATGGAAACACAGCACTCTATTACCACAGAACTTTCCCACAACATAGAACGGGACCATTTTGGAAAGGTATGTTCTGACCTTGGAGTCTGGAGAGCAGCACTAGAGACTTTCCCTCACTTTGACTTCTTAGCTAGGGCTCTCTCTCTCTGCCTAAGGCCAAGAGTGGTGAATTTTACCATGGCTGCCCTTCACAGTAAAATTTGGCTGGTAAAGATTTATTAGGTCATGCCCTTGGAGGATTAGTGGGAGAAAAAAAAGAATTCTTTACCACAGAACTGAACTCATTTGCAATAAGTAAACTTCCCCATTATTGACAGGTTCACAGCAGACGGTTCTAGACCCTAAGACTACAATAGCAAAAGACACCAGGGCAATGATTCAGAAGTTGTTCTTACTACAAAAGGATTCCGTAATATTGTGAAAGCCAGCCAGGTGGAGTGGCTCACACCAGTGCTTTGGGAGGCTGAGGCAGGAGGATTGCTTGAGACCAGGTGTTTGAGATGAGCCTGGACAACATAGCAAGACCGCATCTCTAAAAAAAAAAATTTTTTTTTAATTAGCCAGGCTTGGTGGTGCATGCCTATAGTCCTAGCTACCCAGGAGGCTGAGGCAGATGGATCACTTGAGCCCAGGAGATCAGGCAGCAATGAACTACGATCGGGTCACTGCACTCCAGCCTAGGTGACAAAGTGACACCCTGTCTTTTAAAAGAAAAAGGTAGACTTAGTATATGCCATAGGTATGACTAAGAAATGGAGGCAGAGAATGCAAACTGTCATATGGGAACTCTTGGGAACAGAGCTCAGTTAAAACTTGGGTCTCCTGATTTCAAGCTGTTAATCTTTCTTGGCATGGTATTGCCAATGAAGAGGCTGATTCAAGGCCCCTGATTATTTTTGAAAAAGAGAGGGATGCTTCTTCCTTTATATCACCCATTTTTCCTGTCCAGCTTCATTCTGCAGCACTTTCACATCACCACATATACCTCTCCCCAACTGAACTACTTTTTTAGTTTGTCAAATAATCCATGCTTTATCTCACTGGAAACATCCCACATGTTACTTCAGCGTGACTTCCTTGCTCCTGACCTCTGTCCTTCACCACCACTCCCCACACACCAGAAGTACACACTTCAAATATATCATTCATGCTCCAAACTCATGGGGCAGCAGAACTGCTCTGCAAGACCACACTATTATTTCCTAAACAGTCCTCAAATAGCTGTGCCCACACTGGACTGGATGGCTGAGAGGGAGGGAGACTGAGCAGTTTCTGCTGTTATGGACTGAAAGTCTGTGTCTCCCCAAAATTCATACGTTGAAACCCCAACCCCCAGGGTTGATGTATTTAAAGATGGAGCTTCAAAGGGAGTAATTAAAGTTAAATGAGGTCATAAGGTTAGTGCTCAATCCCACAGGATTGGTATCTTTATTAGAAGAGATATCAGGGACCTCTTGCTTGCGCCCCGTCCCCCTCCCATTCACTGAGCAAAGGCCACATGAAGACATAGTGAGAAGGCAGCCATCAGCTCACCAGGAACCTACTCTGCGGTACATTGATCTGGAACTTTCAGCCTCCAGAACTGTGAGAAATACATTTCTATTCTTTAAGCCACCCAGCCTCTGGTATTTTGTTATGGCAGCCCAAGGAGACTAATATACCTGCTAAAATTAAAATATTTTTCTCTTCCCAATTTATTCTCCCACAGTTTCCAGGGAAAGAGGAACTTATGAACGCTAACCTGTACTGGACTCTAGTATAAATGGGTATGTAATTTAACTGCAACAAAAACAAAAGCTAATCATTTAGTTATTTTAAGACCTATTAAGATCAGTATTTTCAGGTGACCCAAAAAGACTAGCATGAATTTTAATAATTATTTTATTGCCTGAGAACATATTCCTTCTACTCACTGATCTCTGAAGAGGGTAAATTTCCCACTGGGGGGAAATTCAAAGCTCTAGCATCAGTTATGCATGTTGTACCCTGAAAACCCTAAGAGCCGCTCTTAACGTGATCTGCAACGTGACCTTCTCTGTGTGTTTCTTCTTTTCATTAACCAACTTCACTACATTGATTTCTCATTAGATAATAAAATAAATGTGAAATAATAACTATGGCACCATTAACACAGTGGCTATTAAATGAAAGACAGTCAATAGTTTCTTTTCCTTGTTTTGAACTCAACTGACTATTAAACAGGCACAGTTTGGGAGAGTTTGTTAATTGAGATTATCACTCCAACATGAGGAATCAGAGCTATGGAGCAGCTAATGCCACCTGCATTTGGCCTGAACTCATTCGCCATTATCATGATTATGTTTTTGTAAATCTGTTTAGTATTTCATGTGTGTAATGTCCTTAATACCGGGTTTCACTACAACCGTGGTTAGCCACATTAATTAGCTTAATTCAGAGAAGAGCACTTGGAGTGAGTTGTTTGAGGTTTATATGTAAATTAGTGCAAAGTGTATGTAAGTAGGTTTCTAATTCCAAATGCTGCCTCTTGAAAAAAGTCCACAACACAACTATGTGATGCCCACATTCACTGCTCTGACCATTTAATGACATTTGCACGTGGAGACACCATTAATCATTACAGATCAAAGCACTGCTGCTATGAGGGCACACGCGTGGGGTCTCCCATGTGGCCAATATGCTCAGTTACATGTTTCTAAAGGGAATGGAAGCTCTGGCAACAATGGCAGGGTAGGGAGAAAAAACAGGAGTCTGGCTGTTTCCTCAGCAGCCCAACACCCATCCAACCTCTAGCCCCTGGTGCCAGTCAGAGAGGGAGAAACCCAACCTGTCCTAGATAAGGACCTACAGCCATGTTGAGCCCTGGGAAAAGCTGCCATTTGGGTGAGGCTTCATCTGGAGACCATTATCACAACTGCCGTGTGCAAGATGCTAACGATTTAAATTGGGTTGCAGGAAATGAAAAGTGGCTCTTTCAAAAAATTGGAGGAGGGAGGTGCACCAGCTTCAGAATATGTATGATCATTCTGTCAGGAATAAATAAAATGTCTTTTCAGTTACTGGCACAGTAAGTTGGGCTTACTTTGGGACTAAGCCCTGAATCTAGTGAGCTACACATCAGAAGAAATGGGAGGCAGAGTAAGCTCTCCACTGAGAGTCACATGAAAATAATACTGTACTTGATAATCTCAGATCATTCCCCTTTGTTTGTTCATTTATATTAAGATGAGTTAGGAGGTCGGAAATTATGTCAAAAAATATCAATGTATAACTTGTCCTAATACATTGCCAAGTAGCCTTTAAAAATCTTATCCTTGGCCGGGCGTGATGGCTCACACCTGTAATCCCAGCACTTTGGGAGGCCGAGGCGGGTGGATCATGAGGTCAGGAGATCGAGACCATCCTGGCTAACATGGTGAAACCCCGTCTTTACTAAAAAATACAAAAAATTAGCTGGGCGTGGTGGCGGGCGCCTGTAGTCCCAGCTACTCGGGAGGCTGAGGCAGGAGAATGGCGTGAACCCGGGAGGCGGAGCCTGCAGTGAGCCGAGATCGCGCCACTGCACTCCAGCCTGGGCGACAGAGCGAGAGTCCTTCTAAAAAAAAAAAAAAAAAATCGTATCCTTATGAATACTCCTATTGGTATATGAGAAGTATTAAGAAGACACTTCTCTCATTTCCTCACTGACACTGGGTATTGTGAGTTTTTAAAAAATCTTTGTTAATTTCATGCTTAAACATGTATGCTTTTATGGCCATTTCTTTCTTTGTTGTGTTAAAACAGAAACGAAAGCATGTGAAAATGTTAAAGTTTATTAGAGCAAACAACAATTCATGAATCAGGCAACACAACACTGCAAGTGGTTCAGGGTTCCAATGAAAGGGTGGGGGCCGGAGAGGCTTTTTTGGGGTGAATGCAGAAGCAAGGTAAAGAAAATATTTGATTGATTGAAGAGGAGCAGTGGCCTTATTTAGTAAAGTCCCTAGTTAGGGGTTAGTTGGTAATTTCTGATTGGCCTAGGATATGACCATTTACTGAGTTGGGTTCAGTTTGCTTACATAGGAACCCGGGGTGCTGGAGGTCCCCTCAGCCTGATGGCATCCCAATTAATTTTTTTAAATATTAGTGATATTTAGAATCTTTAATAATAAAAGATTAATAAAATCTTTAATCTAATAAAAATATATTAGACATTTGTACTTCTTTTTGTAAACTGCCTATTCTTGACGTTTTACTACTAGGATGTTGCTTGTTTTCTTACTAACTTGTCCATCACATGTATTGCAAATATTGGTTGATTTGTGTTTTATCCTTGCTTACAGTGTTTAATAATTAAAGAAAAGTAACCATTTAAAAAATTGTATCTCAAAGCACAAATCATGGCACCTTTCTAAACAAGTGGACAATTTTTTCGTGGCTATCTTGAAAATGGACGCAAAATAGTTCTCCCTGATACTTACTTTTCAGGAAGCTCTTGCCTGAGTTGTAGCAGTGCTGCACCCTATAATAAGCTATAAGAGGAGCTCCTGCCCTTCAGCAACTGTGGTATCCTTTGTAGTCTTAAAGCTTGGAGCCTGGCACAGCCAAAACCAGCCCTGCACACAGTAGGCAGGCCAAGCAGTTGGAACTATTCTAGTCCCTGCCAGCAGCTGGATGGCAGAGAAGGTGCAGTACTCAGCAAACCCGCTAGGTGTACTTAGCATCAGGGAGCAAAAAATTAAAAACATATTACTCTGGAAATTTCCTTAGCTTTGATATTCAACCTGGAAACAGATTTGCTTCAAGTGCTCCGGCATCTAGCATAACAGCAATTTCTCTTCCGCTCGACTGAGGAAAGGAAAACATTTAAAAAGCATCCACCAGGCCTGCCATCTTACAAGGAGATGAGATATCCAAAAGGAACTGCTATGCTACGTATCAACGGGGAAATCAGGCAACATTTCTTCCCCTCAATTATTCCTAAAAAGAGTAGTGATCAGCAGGTAAGGGAAGAGAAAGGTGGAATAGAGTATATGCTAGTTAGTAAAGAGGAAAAAAAATCCCAGAAGTAAAGTGTCAACCAATTTCAAAGCAGGCATAATGTATGCATTATCCCTGCTCTTTTCTGAATAATTTTACAGCCCTGTACAATAGGAGCTGCTGTCATTGCAGAAGGAGAGTCAGCTGTGGAAAGTCCTTGGTGCAGCCAGCTTCCTCCCAGCTCTTCCCTAAGGCCCAGCAGTAATTAACCCTTCTTCCACTGGGTCATTGTACTCTGCCTTCTCAGTTGACTGGCAGAAAACCCTGGTAAGATTCCAGGTGGTAGCTGCTTTCCATCCTAGATGTTCATATCTTAATAGGAACTCATTATGAATAGTCTCCAAGACTTAAAAGCATAAGTCTCTAAGTGTATAAATTTGGGTATAAGGAAAGCAGTAACAGGTGTTTTCAGCATCTCTCAAATCATAATGTGAAAATAGCCTCATCTTCATAAGGCCAGCCCTTGGCATCTCTATCATGCAAAGTAGGGTAAGTCCAAGATGACATGAAAGACAGTTTGTATGCAACACTATCTTCAGTCCAACTGCCTCACTTTAAATGACCCAGTGAGTCTTTGAAATAAGTATAGAACATAGAAAAAGAAAAAAATTATCAGACACAGAATTTTGCAGATCAGAGGAAAATCTTCTAGAATGTTCACATTTTATACATCCTATTCTATTTATATGACTATATCATCAGCACTTCTATAATAAAGTTAATTTCCAGCTTGAAAACCTTCAGCTACTTACATAAACAAGCAAACTCTAGAAACAGAATTTATTTTTAGCTGATAAAAGTAATAACACATCAGTGGCTTCCAAGGGAAAAGCTTTCAAACAAGCCATTTTGGATTGAGATTATAGAAGATGGTAGGTATCACTCTGAAATAGTAGAACTAATCCAGAACACTCCAGACTTTGATTAATAATATAGGAGTTTAATCAGATGCCCAGGAATCAAACTCCCATTATCATCCCTGGAAGCATTTCTGAAACTTTCCCTTTAGACACAAAATGCCAGGCAAAAAATAAAAAATAAACAGCAGAGAAAGATTAATCCTGCTTGGGCAGACACTTAAAGCAAATTAGTACCCATAACTCACATCTCTCAGAGCCGTACTATGAAGTTTTCACCAGAACCCTCCTTGTCCCACTCAACAGGAGCCTTCTCCTTACTCCCCACCTGATTAAAACAAAAATGAAACAGCCCAAAGAGAGAGACAGAATCAATGTGAAAACTTTAGTTCCTCATTTAAAGCACGTAACGGATTTAACTGGAAATGCAAACAAATACACTTACCTCCTGGCAAAAACACTACTCTTAACAGAACATGCTGTATGCTTTCTAATCTCATCACCAGCAAGAACCACTGTTTAATGTGGTATATAATCACTTTTCCTACACCTAGGTAAGCATTATTTGTTTTATAAAATAGAAATTATATTCTCTACTTTTATATCTTATTTTTTAAATTATGTTATTGTAATTAACAATTCTTTGAAATAATTTTGATGGCTACAAAATATTAAATGAAAATTAATATGATTTATTTCACCATTTTCCTTTTGGATATTTTGGTTGTTCCCATGTAAGTTTACATTTCTACAATTATTTGATGAATGTTTGTTTACCTCACCAGGTTGCAAACCTTTGTGCGTGTGGTCACCATTATATTCTCATTCCATAGGAGTACCTGAAGTACAGTCGGTAGGCTATAGCGTCAGCATCTGTAGAACGGATGCATTCTTGGCTCAAATCAGCCTCATCCACAAAACATCTGTAACCTCAGCCGTACATAGTACTTTTTCTGTCTTCTAAAATTTCACTCTAATTCTTTTATTTACAACTCTTTTACTGGAACAGAGGAAAAAAACTATTTATTGAGCACTCTTATGTGCCAGGCACTGTGCTAAACATATTCGAGAAGAAAGTCCACGCCAAAAAGGTGTACTTCAACTTTAAAGGACATAAGAAATTTCATGCCATGAAATTTTCAATCAAGGAACCTTTCAGAACTCTTCAGCGACCTCACTAAGCAGTCTGACCCTGGAAAGAGCTTCAGATTCCCGTCCCCCCAAAAAATATCTCAGCCCCTATGTCTGGGGACTGTCTGAGAGGACAGAAGCCCCGAACATACTGCAGCTTGGAGGACCTGACATACAGGCTGATCCCGGCACAGGGAGGTGTGACCCAGCAGCTCAGGAGTGAGTGCTCTAAAGTGAGTTGTGAACAGCTCTGATTATCAAAGAGGGTGTCACCAGGACTTTGTGACATTATCTGCAAAGAGATGGGAAAAAATGTAAAGGAGAAAGTCTAAAGGATAAGCCATTAACTCATTCTGGAACTAATGAAGAAGGGAAAAGGAAGTAATATTGTAAGATGTTCCTGCCTTGTTAACCTACTGCACTTATTTTCCGAGATTCATATCTAAAATAAAGGCATAATTCCCCTAAACTCTCAAATTGCAAGCCAGAAATAAAAGTGTAAATAATCATTCACTCAAGTAAACAGAAGTCTCCATTTTCTTCTCTTCTGAATGATACTTTAAAAACGAATGAATGTCTCAGAATGTTTTTCTACCTCCCATATGGGAGACACAAAAACTGCAATCCTTCAACCTTAAGAGTTAATAAAAAATAATGTAAGACATTTACCCTCCTTCACACCATAAATTTTGAATAGCTTTGTTTTTGGAGTATCATAACACACATGTTTAAGCAGCTGAGCAGGTGTTTAATTAATCTTTACTAATGACTCCAGGTAAATGCAACCTCACTTTCTAAGGATAAGTGAACGTGTGTGAGGGATTTAGAGAGTGAGGGAGGAAAGCACGATAGCTGAGGTTCCAACATCCAATCAGATTTGATTTTAGAGACAACATAGCCTTTCAAAAGTTAAGCAGTTTATGGGCTGGGCACGGTGGCTCACGCCTGTAATCCCAGCACTTTGGGAGGCCAAGGTGGGTGGATAAGTTCAAGACCACCCTGGCCAACACGGTGAAACCCCGTCTCTACTAAAAACAATAAAAAATACAAAAATTAGCCAGGCGTGGTGGCATGCACCTGTAATCCCAGCTACTTGGGAGGCTGAGGCAGGAGAATCACTTGAACCCAGGAGGCAGAGGTTGCAGTGAGCCGAGATCACGCCATTGCACTCCAGCCTGGGTGACAAGAGCAAAACTCTGTCTCTAAAAAAAAAAAAAAAAAAAAAAAAAAAAGCTAAGCAATTTATATGATATGTTACTATATGGATGAAAACATGATATAAGCTAAACAAGGCAGGTACATAGCCAAATGGAGGTGAAGCAGACACAACAAATCTTAGTACATTTTGCTGTCTATTCATTTCCCTATCTGAATACTCTCACCCCATCATCCCTGCTCTGGCCTAACCTCCTCTCCTACAAGGCACAGAGGCCATGGTCAATGCTGCTTGGAGAGAAAAATAAATATAAGAACTACTGTCTTCAACACATTCCACATGCCAACCCCCATCTCTCTTCTCGACAGTTTTTTTCCCTCTTCGTGCATCCGAGTACATCCTGGTAGATGTACCTTAAAGGTAACTTTTACAGACAACACAAGAACACGCTAAAACTGAATTCACTATCCTACATGATCTGTGAAGACTCTTCTACATATAGGATTTTAAATGTCTATGAGCATCATAAAAACTACAAATCAAATAGCTTTTAACACTTGGGAGATATAGACTGACATCAGGATAACAACTGGGGCAATTGCCACTTTGTACAGTGACTCAAGGGCAGAAGCTGTATAAAATCAGGAGAAATCTATTACTTTCTTTCCTTTTGATGTCCATGAGTAAGTCAGTTCCTCCCTGAATGACCAGCACTGATAATCCTGGCATTTGTAATATAAATGAGAGACGACACTTACGTAGCTTTCACTTTAAAACTTTAGCTGCCTTCTTTTAACTCTAAAAGCCAAAATTCTTAGTAGGCACAATTCTCTCAAGTGTCAAGGGACCAAAATAGATCAAATTCTTTTCCAACCAACCTCTTCTATCTCAATCAAGAATTCCTGCTTTCTCCTAATCAATAGCCCAGCAATAAAAAATAGCTGTTACCTTTAATATCCATGTGAGTCATTGTACTGCCTTAAGAGGTTAAAAGAATACAAAGAAATCAGAGAAGAAAAGGGCACATGCTTTTTTAGCTACAGCATGAAGCTGATACTTTGGAGAGCTGGAGGGCTTACAATTCCCAGCACAGAACAGATGAGCAGTGGCTTCAGTTAAAGGTTAACTAGAAAACTTCGTTCACTCTCCATTTTTGCATCTCCCCATCAACACATCTGCAACTGCCTCTTTCCAGCCTGCCTCTGGCTTGCGTTGATCTCTGGGAAGAATCAGCATATCTTCAGGGAGAGGTGGACCTATTAGACCAACCAGATAGCATCCATGCTACATAAGTGCTGACATGGCATTTCTGAGCACTAGTTTCTCAAGATACCCAGGTGAAAACCTGCTCAAACCTTCCAGAAAACTGTGGACTTCGTGCCTTCTTAAGATTAACAATGGACATATGTATTTTCTGTATTAATTTGACCTTGGGATCTATTTATCAAGCTGCACTAATTAATATCCCAAGCATCTTGAGTTCTACAGAGCATGTTCTGGCAAACATTGCTTTCTGCCTCTGTTGGCTGCCAACAGCCCAGAACATATTTCTTCTGCCCTACTTTCCAGATGAAAGGAATGCTGTTTTTGTCACATACACAGCTCTTTGTTAATTGCTGAAATGTACTCCTGAAAGGTATATTCTACTGTCTTTCTCAGTGCCAGGTCTCTAAAGTTCTGCCTCACTCTTATCCTTTGTTGGCAAGCCAACTTCCACTCATCCATTAAGACCATTCAATCATCACTTTCTTTAGGAAGTCTCACCTTCTGTCTACTTTCCATCAACCTAACCTCCCTCCTCTCCAGGCTGGATTAAGTGCCCCTCCTATATACATATCACCACTATTCATCAAATTAAAGAAATACATCTTTGTCATTGGCTTGGTGCTAGGCACTTAAAGGTGCTCAAAAAATACTTGTGAATAAATCTCCAACTAGTATATTTGCTCCTTGAAGACAAGTATTATAGTTTACCCATCTTTCTGGCTCTAGCACCCTGCAAGCAGATAGTGGCTGCCAGTAAATATATTTGTTTGACAAACATTTATTATTCATATTATATACTCATACAGCTCCTAACATCTCAAGAGTCAAAATACTGACTATTTGAGTAAATTAGTTTGTTCATTAATAGAAAAGGATTGGAATAAGGAAAGGAAATCTTCCAGGTTAGTGGGTAGGGATGAACAAGAGATCCTCATTCTAAAGACATTGCTCTACATTTGCTATTTAGCTCTTAAGAATTTTTGACACGAGGTAGGAGAGGAGTGAGGAGGCCCCTTTGCTAGCCACCATCCTCTGGTTTGTATTTAAATTGGGCTCCTTCTAAAGCTGTAATACCAGAGGGGTCAAGGTGTGTGCCAAAGACCTGGAGACACCAAAGCCCAGGCTATATAGTATTAATATACAAGGTTCCATTCACCAGTAGCATTTTCAGCACTCTGGACAGCATCATTTTTCTTTCATGTTTTTGAGATAGAATTTGTACTTCAGAACTATGACCTGATTATGCAGAGGAGGACTTAGGAGACAGCACACAAATTAATTCACAAGGACCAAGGAAAAGTGCTATACAAAGCAGTTGGTTGTGTCCTCTCTCTCATGACTTTGAATTATCCATTTAAGAGTCACAGTAAACCAACCTCAAAAGGATGCCCAAACAAAACAAAACAAAAACAGGACTCTAGGGGCCCATAGACCTGAACCAAGGGAGGTCTGATAGCACTGAGGTTGAGAGCACAAGCTCACAACATAAGCTCTGCCATTCACCAGTTCAGTGATTTTCAACAAGCTCCTTAACCTCCCTCACTATTCATTTTCAAATCTGTTAAGTGGCTTTGTGTGGCTAAAAATAAGAAGAATGATATAGAAAGACTTTGGCCAGTAGTAGCTGCTAATGTTATTTATTGGTGTTAATGTCATTGTTATAAAACCAGCTGAAGGAAGTGACAAGCTTATGTTCCCTATGACAAACATAAATAAGAGCCATTGAAATCAATAATTACCTCCCAGAATCCATCGTTAAAAACAACTCAGAAAATAAGATATTAAATACTTCCCCATTAAAATTTTTATTGTGTTTATTTCTATAGAACCACCTCCCTCCCCAACAAACACAGAATAAAAGACAGAGAGGATCAGGGTGTGGGAGAAATGCCTCAGGAAATAGTCTATTCTCTTTAAGTTTCACCCAGGCTGGAGTGGAGGGGTCAGCCTGCACCTTCTAGCAAGCCTCTCCTCTTGTCTCCCAGGTGGATCCTGGCACTCTTTGAAACTTAAACCCACAGTTATTTTGGACACAATGCTTTTGAATGCCATGGGGATGACAAATACTTTGAACCCATGGAGGGAATGCCACAGCAGTTTGCACACCGTCATCCTCCACTCCCGGGATCCTCTTGGCCGGGCATGCCACGCACACACAGTTGATGGACTTCCCACACAGCTCTTTTCCACAGCTGTCTCCATCCAGCATTGGCCCTTCTAGACTTTGTGGAACAGTCTCAGAGCAGAGATGCATTCCACTGACTTGTGTTGATGATCTGCACAGCCCCACTTTTGAAGTGCCAGGCCATCTTCACCTTGATAAAGATATTCTTGCTATCTTGAGGAGCTGGTCATGGCCAATATGGGTCTCCTCCTGAGCCGAGATGGCCAAGAGGCCCTGCAGCATGGTGAACTTACTGCTAACAATACTAACAACTAACAAAAGAAGAAAATGAAAACAAAGAACAAAGAAAAAAGTGAGAAAACAAAAGAAAAGAAAAATGTGAAAAAGAAAAAATGAGAAAAAAAGAATAAAGAAAGAAAATGAGTAGGCGTTTGTATTCAATGACATGAACAGGGTGGTCTAATTTCAGGGAATGGTGCTAGTACTTCAGGGAGGGAACAGAGAAGCCTTTCAGTTATTCTTCCTCTAACACTCATTCTTTATGTAAATCCAAATTTCTGGCCTGTATCACATTCCTCCCTCTCTGAAGAACTTTTTTTAACCTTTTTTATTTGTGAGACAGATTGATGGGTGACAAATTTCCCTAATATTTCTTTGTCTAGGAAAGTTTTTATATCTCCTTCATTTTGAAGCATAATTTTGCTGGATACAGAATTCTAGGTTGGTGGATTTTTTTTTCTTGCTTGTCTGCATTGTTTCAGAAAAAAGTCTGATTTAATTCTTATCTTTGTCCCTGTATAGGTGAAGCATTTTTTCCTCCCTCTTGTTTCTTTCAAGATTTTCTCTTTTTCTTTGATTTTCTGTACTTCGACTATGACTAGGTGTAGAGGATTTTAGTATTGCCCTGTTTAACGTTCTTTTGGATTCCTGGGCCTGTGATTTTTTGTCTGTCATTAATTCTAGAACATTGTCAGCCATTGTTACTTCAAATAATTCTTCTGTTTCTTTCTCTCTTCTGTTTTTAATATTGTCATTATGAATATGTTATACCTTTTAAAATTGTCCCACATTTCCTGGATATTCTATTCTGTCTCTTTCATTCTTTTTTCTCTTTGCTTTTCAATTTGGGAAGTTCCTGTTGACATATCTTTGAGCTCACTAATTCTTTCCTCAGCCGTGTTTTGTCTAGTCATGAACTCATTAAAGGCATTCTTCATTTCTGTTACACTGTTTCTGATTTCTATCATTTCCTTTTGGTGCTTTCTAAGAGTTTCCATCTCTCTGTTTACATTACTTATCTGCTTTTGCATGTTGTGCACTTTTTCCTTTCAAGTCCTTAGTATATTAATCACAGCTATTTCAAATTCTTAGCATGATAAATCCAAAATTGCAGCTATGTCTGAGTCTGATTCTGATTTCTCTGTCTCGTCTAGCTGTGTTTTTGCCTTTGATATTTTTGTTGAAAACTGTCCACGACATACTGAGGTTTTGTGCTTCTTCGGCTAGGAGTTAAACTGTGTTGATTCTTTGTCATAGCCGTGGATGCTAAAGACCAACATTTTCTTTGGTGTCCTTATTTTTTCCTCCTCTGTTGTCTTTGGGTTCTTTCTTGAGACTTCTTAAATAAGGACTGACGCTTGCAGTTCTTTTAGTTTAATCTGCTATTATACAGAAGCCCTATTGATGTGGTAGAAGAGTGTGAGGGGAGGGAAAGCATGTCGTCCTATGATTAGGTTTCAGTCTTTTATGGAGCCTGTGCCCCTGTGACCTGCACAAGTGCTTTACAATCATGCTCTACTCTTACAACAAGGCTTAGGTGAGACAGGAAGGCTAGAAGGGACTGGAGTTGGATGTTTTCTCTTCCTTTCTCTTTCTGTTAGGTTCTGGTAAAACCCAAGGTGGTTAGGCTCTGCTAAAGTAGTTTTCCTTGAGGGTACATTTTTATTAAATCCAACACTGGATGTATTTCAGAATGGTTACTTTTCTTTATTCCTTGCAGGAAGCAAGAGGGAGTTTTCCTTTGATCTTCACCCTGAGCATTTGATGGGACTCTTGGTGATAAAACTCATGAAAGTATGGGGTCCCCAAAGACTAGGCATACCCACCTCCCTGAATTTCCAACTCTCAAGCATGGGCACACTGAGCTCTAGCAATTTATTGATTACAAGTTAAGCTTTTATACCCTAGTACCAGCTCCAGTAGTGGCTTTTGCTCCTGGGCTTGTATTCCCAGAAAACTATGATTCTCCGTACTCACCCATCTCTCTGATTTTGGGGGCAGTGGTTTGCCTTGTGACCTCAATTCTCTGACAGATCCAAGAAAAGATGTTGGCTTTCAGTTTGTCCATCATTTTTCTTGTCGTAAGGATGGGAATGATGATTTCCAAGCTGGAAACCAGAAGTCTCATATAGATTTCTTCACGGTTTTTTTTCTATGAAAAATAACAATGCTTCACACATTCTTGTATGTCTTTTGCTGTACATATATATGCATTTCAGTTACACCAAGAGTTAAATATCTGGGTCCTAGCATATGCTAATTTTTAGATCTAATGTACAATACCAAGCACAATACACTCCCTTCTACAGCAAATGACAGGTCTCATTGCTCTTTACCTTCACCAACACTTGGTTTGTCAGACTTTTAAGTTTTAGCTATTCTGTTCCATGTATGGTGGTATCTTATTGTGATTTTAATTTGCATCGGCATGATTATTAATGAAGTTGAAAACCATTTGGAGATCTTCTTTTGTAAATTACCTGTTCAGATCTTCTCCTATTTTCTGTAGATATCTTTTTCTTATTGATTTATAGAAGTTCTTTACATATTCTGAATGTGAGCCCTTTATTTTTATAACCAAATTATATATTCTTATGCCCAAAATTGCAAGAAGAAAAGTCAGAGAAAGGGACATGTAAATTTCTTGATGTATCCACATCAAGAGCCACAGATTCACCAGAAACCTATAAGCTCCCATTCACCTAGTTTACGTGAAATAACTACTGGAAAAGGGCTTTAAGTTGCTCATTGATTTATTTTACATATCAGTACACTGTAGAATCAGTTATCAGACTTTGATGATAATTGACATTATTATTTTTAAATATAAGGACAGATTGCCACAATGAGAGTAAATATGCCTTTAGAAAATCTATTTCAGTCTTACAAATTAATAGTATGACAAAGGTTTTCATTTCATTTCATAATAAATGTGTGATTCTGAGGCTGAATTCAATAACCAAAGCATGCCTGAAGTTGTTCAGACACTTCACTATACCTGTTTTAACAGTGAGATAAATCTAATATAGCTGACTCCATCTTGCTTCTAACCTTACAAGCTGTCTTTGCTCATTCCTGCACATAGGCCAAGGGAGGAATTCAGTTTACAGTTTAACTTTAAAACAAGGATGATAATAGTTGCTTCCCAAAACTAACCCCCAGGAGATAAGGAAGTATGCACACAAACAACTATGCTGTCTTAAAGATTTATAGGAACAAAGCGGATCTGACAAACAGTTAACCATAGACAAAGTTCTGCCACCTCCTCAGATCCTTGCTGATGCCCAGATGGGTGTGGTCACCAGTCACCTATGGACCTTAACCCCTCTCTGTTTTTCCTTCCCCTAACTTAAAAGAAGCCTAAAAATCTATCCACTTAAGATGGTTCTTTAGGACATCAGTTTGCCATCTTCTTGGTTTGCTGGCTCCCTGAAATAAAGATGCCCTCCTTTCCTTAACACCTTATCTGTCGACTTATGAGAGCCCTCATGCAGTGAGCAATACGAGCTTTGGACTCAACAACACTGTGAGTCAATCAATGTCTAAGGTTGAACTATCCATCAGACAATGGAACATAAGGGTGGCTTCTAGGTGAATCTGACTGTTGGTTCATTTTCCAGGAGAAAAGGTCAGAAGTGGCTTCCTCCTGGTGAAACTGCCCAATATCACAGGGCACCCACATTCACTGTTGGAGATTATAATACCATCTAAATTGGGAACAGTTAGGGTGTGTGTGTGTGTGTGTGTGTGTGTGTGTGTGTGTGTGTGTTGACTAATTCTGTGGAAAAAATGGTTGTAGGGCCAAGGATGGGGGGATAATTTGGTTGAGGCAGCAGAATATACACATTTTGTCAGAATACAGAAGCAGAGTTGGATGATAGCTCAAAGGATATTCCATCTCCCATTGTATTTATTAACTAATTTATTTTAATATATTTTATTATTTTTTAAAATTTTTGTGGGTACATAGTAGGTTTACATATTTATGGGGTACATGAGATGTTTTGATACAGACATGCAATGTGAAATAAGTACATCATGTGGAATGGGGCACCCATTCCCTGAAACATGTGTACTTTGAGTTATAAACAACCCAATTACATTGTTTAAGTTATTTAACAATATACAATTAAGTTATTATTGACTATTGTCACCCTATTGTGCTATCAAATAGTAGGTCTTATTCATTCTTTCTGTTCTTTTGGTATCCATTAACCATCCTTACCTCCCCCTGAACCCTCCACTACCCTTCCCAGCCTCTGGTAACCATCCTTCTACTGCATCTCCCATTTTAAATAAGGTGATATTACATGAATAGAAACTATTCAGGTGGGGGCCGAGGTTTGACTTTTGGGCGTAGTATCCTTTTGGTTTCAAGATTAACATGGTCTTTATCTGTTGTCCCTGATGCTCACTTGATGCCCTGGGTAATGGAGTCTCCCCACAGGAATCTAAGCCATCACCAGTTTTAAGGGATGAGCAGTAGATGTGGAGAGATATTTGCCATGCTTTCCAGAGATCTCCTGCTGAGGCTCCACTGCTTGAAGCACACCCTCCCTGGTGCCAAGTAACAACAGGATGGAGTGTCCATTCACGGGCCTGTATTTTGGGTGTTTTAATAGGTTACAAAAAAACTGTTTTGTGAGCAGAAATGAATCCGCTGCAAGAAAAACTAGTCAAAGCCGGAAGAAGGGCAGGTCCTTTCATGCTAACCTGGGGCTGAATAATTGGGAAGGATGCAGGCTGAGGCAATAATGAGTCTTTTGTGATGGAAACTGGTAACTACTCAGGACTATAGGGCCTGAGGTTTCATCGTACACCATGGGGTTTATGAAAGCTTGAAATCAACCTAATAATCAAGATGTGGACTGCTAGTTATTTGCTGGTTTTTAAAATCTTTTTAGTCTGGGGAAATGACAGTGTGGGGAGGAGGAAAAGGAAGAAATCCCAAAGGGCAACAAGGCCATTAATTATTTTAAAAAATCCTTATGGCATTATTCTGACTCACAGCTTGCATGAAGTTGGAGTTAAATTGCCTTTTTGTTTGTTTGTTTGTTTGAGACAGGGTCTCACTCTATCACCCAGGCTGGAGTGCAGGGGCACAGTCACAGCTCACTGAAGCCTTGACCTCCTGAGCTCAAGCGATGCTCCTACCTCAGCCTCCTGAGTAGCTGGGACTACAGGCACACAGCACCACATGCGGCTATTTTATATTTTTTATTTTTTTGTAGAGATGGAATCTCCCTATGTTGCCTAGGCTGTTCTCAAACTCCTGGCCTCAACTGATCCCCCCCACCTTGGCCTCCTCAAACACTGGGATTTACAGGAATGAGCCACCACATCCAACCAAATTGCCATTTGTAATGTTCAAATTACTTATTTGGTTGCAAAAAGTATTTCATTTATACTTCATTTAGAAAACTTTGAGGCAGGATTCTAGGACTTAGTTTTAACCCCTGAGTCTACCCCTTGCCCTACTCTTCATCATCCTAAAAACATGGGAAACCCAAGACAATAGAGTACATACTATTTATGTGCCATGAAAGCAGAGACTACATCTCCCTTGTTCACTGCTATATTTCCAGGGCTTAGTGCAGTGTCTCGCACATAGTTGGTTCTTGATAAATATCAATTGAATAAATTTCTATTTTCCATATTCCCTTATGTCAAACTTCTAAAACAAAGTAATACTAATAGCTTCTAAGTAACTGTAGATTCTGGTAAGCTTCATGCCAGTTTCTCTTGCAATGTTACATATTTGTTTATAAAACAGCAACTCATCTGTTTAGATTAAGGAAAACAAATGAAAATTATCTGCTGTGGGCCTACTTATTCATGTTCCAATGATATCAGACATCCTTATTTTTTAATCATAAATAATTTGGGTAAAAGACACAAGGGCAGTATAGTCAGAGGCATTTGAACCAGAGCGATTCTATCTTGAATAGGGGGCTAAAATAAGTCTGAGACCTGTTGGGTCACATTCCCAGGAGGTTAGACGTTTTTAGTTACAGGATGAGATGGGAGGTTGGCAGGACTGGTATCACAAGCTACAGGTCATAAAGACCCTGCTGATATAACAGGATGCTGTAAAGAAGCTAGCCAAAACCCACCAAAACCAAGATGGCCACAAAAGTGACACCTGATCATCTTCACTGCTCATTATATGTTAATTATAATGCATTAGCATGCTAAAAGACACTCCCACCAGCACCATGACAGCTTATAAATACCATAGTAACATGGGGAAGTTACCCTATATGGTCTAAAAAGGAGAGGAACCCTCAGTTCCTGAGTAGAAATGAGTGTACTCAGTCCAGCAGCCCATGCTGCTACTCTGCCTATGGAGTAGTAATTCCTTTGTTTCTTTACTTTCTTTATAAACTTGCTTTCACTTTTAGATTCACCCCGAATTCTTTCTTGCATAAGATCTGAGAACCCTCTCTTGGGTCTGGATGTATTTATTAATGCAGCCTTTAAAGATTTAACCAAAACATTTGTAGTGGGTCAAAAGGAACAAACCAGAGACCAGGTTTCTCAATATTGGGGTGATGATGTGCTTCAGAGACCTAGATCAGAGTGGGCTTTAAAAGGAAAACTCCTTGGAATGGTCCACCTAACTTTTCAGACTTCACTTTCTGCTTCTTGAATCAGGGAGGAGTGCCCAGTGGTGTGACTTGAGTGCATTCCACCCACACAGGCCTTCTAAGAAGGTGGACCATGTCTTCTCACCATCCTGGCCCAAGGAGCAGGTGCTTGCTTCAAGGACAGCTAATTTGTAAGGGGGTCACCATCTTAGCAGGTGGACTAGTGTCAGATCTCTGCCTGGCAGGAAGGAGATTAACTGGAAACTTCAGAGCCTATCTTTGTAAAGGTTTGAAATCAAGACCTAGAGAAACCATCAGCAGTCTGGGCAGAGAATAAGCAGGCAGACAGAATAATGGCAGAAGTAATGAGTCAAGACAAGCCATGAACAAGCAGAGGCTGGAGTAACCCATTTTCCATAACAGCAGCCTCAGTTCCAGAAGTAGTCAATGTCTACCCATAAGGAGACAGCTAGGAGTTGTTCAATCACAGAGCTGCTGTCAGAATGCTGGACCCAGGGCTGTCCTTGAATGACCTTCTTTTAAGGCCCTAGAAGGCCTGATAAGGGGTATTCCTGTTCTTTTCCCCTCCTATCTCTTTAGTTAACCTTGAAGAGCCTAATTAACACTTGTATAAGTTGGGATCTCCTCTGGCTTTAATATTCTAGAATTACACTGAGTACAGTAAAAAACTCATTAATTCAGATGGCACAGTATGAATTCCTAATTAGTCTATTTGGACCAAGCTGAAGTTTATTTTTTGCTCAGCAAAATTTTATTTAGTTCAAACTACAAAGAAAAAGGGGTAGAGAAGTTGTTTAGAATGATTAATTTAGTATGTTAGTTTAAAATTATTTTATGTTTTTATTAAAAATGTATGACCCAAGGAACTTTAATTGGGTAGAACAAATAAATATTCTTAACCTTCATGCTTTGTTTCAAATATTTACTGAACCTCTCTGTGGGCCAGACACTGTGCGAAGTTACCAAAACATAGAAATATAGAATCAGTTATATATGGCATGCTACTGTATGTTAATTTTAAAAATAAAGTAAAAGGGCGATAGAAGAAATATCTTGGAATGTTGATATTTGCCACTCACCAAATTGTGTATGTGTGTGTAATGGGCTTTGTCCTCAAGCAGCTTAGAGACTAGTGGAAATGCAGAAAAATCAATACATTAGTGTGATAAATGCTGAAATAGGGGTACATGCATGGTGTGTTAACAAGCATAGATGATGACTATCTCAGTCACCCTCATGGTGGGGGCACAGAGAAATTGCCTGGGGATGACTGGGGCTGAGACTTGAAAGATGAAGAGGAGAAAGCATCTCAGGAAAAGCATTTTCAGGCAACTACAAATAGGTCCTTGGAGCTAAAACCTGTACTTCAGGAAACACAGTCAATTCTCATTATTCATGGTAGTTACGTCTTATAAACTTGTCATGAGCACTAGGTTATGAAATACTGAACTATTGCTCCTAGAGGCCATGCAGCATTAGATTCCTATAAGCCTCTGGTTACATCTTCATTAATTGAAATGCCATGTGTGTTTTATAGGCTACTTTGCCAGAGTCCTTGAAAAAAAGCCAGTCTCATCAATGTTGCAAACCTATTCCACATAACACTTAGTAGTATTTTTTAAAGTCTTCTGCAGCCTCCTGATTACTTTGGCCACACTTATCTCTGATGTTTATAACATGGAAATGGTATTCTGTTTAACACAGTGCTGGAAGTCCTAGCCAGAGCAACTAAGCAAGAAAAAGAAATAAAAGGATCCAAATTGGAAAGGAAGAAGTAAAATTATGTGTGCCCAGATAACATGACCTTATATATGTATAGAAAATGCTAAAGGTCTCACAAAAAACTATTAGAAATAAAAAACAAATTCAGCCATGTTACAAGTTACAAAATTAACATGAAAACATTATTTGCATTTTTATATACTAACAACGAATAATCCAAAAAGGAAATTAAGAAATTATTCTACTTAAAATAGCATCATAAAAATAAAATACTTAGGAATAAAGTTAATTAAGGAGGTAAAAGACTTCTGCATTGAAAACTACAAAATGTTGTTGGAAAAAAATAGAGAGGACATAATTCCTAATTTCAAAATGTATTACAAATCTACAGTAATCAAAATAGTGTCATACTGGCATAAAGATAGACATATAGACCAATGGAATAGAATAGAGAACCTGGAAATAAGCCTCACATATATGGTCAAATGATTTTTGACAGGGGAGCCAAGACTATTCAATGCGAAAACATTCTGCAACATGGATGACCCTTAAAGACATTATGCTCATTAAGCCAGTCACAAAATGACAAATATTGTATGTTTCTACTTATAGGGGGTACCTAGAATAGCCAAATTCGTAGAGATGGAAAGTGGAATAGTGGTTACCAGGGGCTAGGGGGAAAGGGGATGGTTATTGCTTAATGAGTACAACATTTCAGTTTTGGATGACGAAAAAGTACTGGAGATGGGTGGATAGTGGTGATGGTTACACAATATGAATGTACTTACTTCCACTGAACCTCTTAAAAGTGGTTAAAATGGTAAATGTTATGTTACACATATTTTGCCACAATAAACAAACAAATAAAAGACAATTGTCCATGTACATGATAGCAGCTCTCAAAGAATATTATTAATCAGAATTTATGCATATACGGGTCCTTTCTTTAATACCGTGTGTGATGGTTAGTTCTAGGTGTCAATTTGGCTGCATACCTAAGTAGCTGGTAAAGCATTATTTCTTTGTGTATCTGTGAGAGTGTTTCCAGAGGAGATGGTTAGTTCTAGGTGTCAACTCGGCTAGATATCTAAATAGCTGGTAGAGCATTATTTATTTGTGTATCTGTGAGAGTGTTTGCAGAGAAGATTGGCATGTGAATTGTTGGACTGAGTGGGGATGATCCTTCCTTAATGTGGGCGGGCATCATCTAATCAGCTGTGAGCCTGGATAAAATAAAAAGGTGGATGAAGGATGTGTTTTAGCTCTCTCTCTCTTCTGAAACTGGATGCCCTTCTTTTCCTAGCCTTGGACACCAGAACTCTAGGTTCTTGGGCATCTGGACAACGGACGCTCGCCAGCAGTCTCCTGAGCTATCTGGCCTTCAGTCTCAAACTGAAAGTTACATCATTGGCTTCTCTGGTTCTGAGGCCTTGGAACTTGGACTGAGCAATACTGAGGGCTTTCCTGGTTTTCCAACTTGCAGGAAGACTATCATGGGACTTCTTAGCCTCCATAATCATGTGAGCCAATTCCCCTAATGAATCTCCTCTCATCTATCTATATCTATGTATATCTGTCTGTCTATCCATCTATCTATCTATCTATCTATCTATCTATCTATCTATCTATCTATCTATCTGTCTATCTATCTATCTATCCATCCATCTATCTATCTATCCTATTGGTCTGCCTCTCTGGAGAACCCTTACTAATACACCATGTAATGCTTTTTGCTACAGAAAAAGAGTCATGAAATCCAAAGTTATATTTCATTTATGTATTTATTGTTTTATTTATTTTAGAATGAAGCAAACCTTTACTTTTACACACTTTGACAAATAAGTTTTCATTAAACAGTCTTTCCAGTGGAGAATAGAGAACATGAAATTTAGCCTCCAGACATCAGCAGTGGCTCTGCTCAGGGCCTAGGATCCCCCTTACCCAAGCAGTGAGGTGGAAGGGTGTACTTCCCTTCCATTATTAGCTTATCCCGCAACTTCTTGATGGCTCTCACAAGTCCCATTGTTTTCTGCTGAAGCATGCACTCTATGAAATCATCAGATTCTGTCTTGCACTCTTTCTCTTCCCAGATACTACCTATTCCATGTTCACATTCTATCAATTTTTTTCCCAAAAACGTGGCACTGAGCAGGAATCTTGCAGGGTTTTGGATTTTCACCCATGGATCTATGTTAAGGCCTGGCCTTTTTTGCACATCAAAGAAAGGGATGGTGTTCCACCGCAGTGCCCTTAATTCTTCTCTGGTTGCCACTTCAGGATGACTCCAAAGTTACATTTTAGAATCTTCTGTTTCTTTGTTTAAAAAAAATGAGTATTTTATACTTTAGTTTTTTTCCCCAGAAATTCCAAACTTTTAACATAGTAAACCTTTATAAAATATAAAATTCCCACAAAAATAGATTTTAAAAACTAAAATATATAGTATGTATATAAATATATTTAAAAGGTAAATATTTATCTCCCTTCCCATCATCAAAGTCTTTATCTACCCTATTTGCAGATGTCTAAACAGTCTTCACATTCATTGGAAAAGTGAAAATCAATGCCAATATTTTTCCTCCTGCTGGATCCAGAATTGAAATTCATTTTCTTTTTTCTGTAATATGATAGAAAACTCTCACTAGCACACAAAGCTACAATGGAAGTTCACTGAAATGATAATCCCCTCTTAAGACATCAGAATAAGAAACCAACTCAAAATCAAAATATCCTGCTGTGCCAAACCCATACTATACCTAGAGGGATGTTCAAAAGCTTAGATGATTTTCTATAGTCTTATTTTTATGTTCTTTGGTTATTGCTATTTTTGCCCTCTGAGAGATATTTTTCTCTACTCCCACACAGTTCAATTTTCAGTGACATTTCTAATCAAACCAAACTCAAGACAGGAAAGCTTATATTAAAGTGTTCATTCTTGGGACTTCACACTACAAACCAAAATGGAAAACTAAATAAATAACAGAAAGTTAGTTCTAACTCATGCAAACCAACTGGGCTTTAAAACATTTGGATTTCCTTGAATATTTGCACTGAGCATGAGTTAGATACTGAAATAATTAATTAGAAGGAAAGGGCAACAATACAGAGTTAACCATTTCTCCTTTATATAGAAAAATACAAGTCAGAGGAGCTGCCACACAACTTTCTTAATATCTTAACAGCATAATAATAGATGCAATCATCTCTGTAAACTGTCATCCTTAGGTAACCCAAATAAGTTATTTCCCAGAATTTTTTTTTCTTCAGTTCTTTCTGGAGCTCATCAAATGTGCAAAAAAAATTAAGAGTGCACATCATAGGCTGGGTGCAGTGGCTCATGTCTATAATCCCACCACTTTGGGAAGCCAAGGTGGGTGGACTGCTTGAGGCCAGGAGATCAAGACCAGCCTTGCCAACATGGCGAAATCCCGTCTCTACTAAAAATACAAAAATTAGCCAGGCACAGTGGTGCACACCTGTAATCCCAGCTACTCAGGAGTTTGAGGCATGAGGACTGTTTGAACCTGGTAGGCTGACTTTGCAGTAAGCCAAGATCATGCCACTGCACCCAGCCTGGGAGACAGAGCAAGACTTTGTCAAAAAAAAAAAAAAAAGCATACATCAAAATGATTACTCATTTAAGACAATTTAAGAAAAAAGTATAGGTTCTTCTTCATACTGTACAAGATTAATTTATCATAAGTGAAAGAGTTAAAGCCAAAATGAAATTATAGGGCTGGGCGTGGTGGCTCACCCCTGTAATCTCAGCACTTTGGGAGGCCGAGGCAGGCAGATCACGAGGTCAGGAGATCGAGACCATCCTGGCTAACACGGATGGTTTCTTTTAGTAGAAACCCCGTCTCTTCTAAAAATACAAAAAATTAGCCAGGCGTGATGGCGGGCACCTGTAGTCCCAGCTACTTGGGAGGCTGAAGCAGGAGAATGGTGTGAACCCAGGAGGCGGAGCTTGCAGTGAGCCGAGATAGCGCCACTGCACTCCAGCCCGGGTGACAGAGCAAGACTCCATCTCAAAAAAAAAAAAAAAATGAAATTATAAAGGCACTATAGGACAACAAATACTCATGCATTGAGAAATGACTAAGTATTGAAAGCAGAAATTAAAAAGAGCCACAACAACAGCAAAATCATAGATTTTTCCTAGGAAGCACTAAAGTTGAAAAAAATAAATAACAAGAAAAAATATAAACAGTGACCTTTGTGGGGTAAGCACAGAAGAGCAAAAGGGTGCTAAGAATGTGGCTTGTAACCAAAATTTCTAGAGTCAGTTCCTGCAGTACTCACATTAAAATGTTTTAAATACTGTTCCTCAGAAATTTTACCTTCTGCTCAGAAAAACATTCATTTAAGAAAAATTTATTACATGCTGATTATGTGCCAGACACCTGTGATAGACACAGAGCTGGATTGCCAAGATGCCCCTACAGGAGAGGACTTGTTGCCTCCAGCTGTCAGCCCCTGCAGGGGTGGCCTCAGCTGTAGAGCCACCCTGCCCAGGTCAGGCATCCTCAATGTCTTATGTAGGTGGGTGGGAAAGTTCTGATCACTCATGCAGGATGATGCTGCCGTGTTATTTTATGTCAAGAGCTAAGGCACTGGGGCCAGCACTGCAGCTCCACTCCTGACTTGGCTTGATCTTGCTTCTGCCTCTTCCCTTCCACTGGTGTTGAACCAAAGGGCGTGATCTACTGAGCAACCCACACAGAAACTCCCTCCAGCATCTGCTCCCTGACAACCCTGTTAGCAATAGTTCCATTCTAGATGTTGGGGATGCTATAGTGAACAAGACAAAGACCTTTGTTCTTAAGCACTTACACCTGGTGTAGAGGAAACATAAAATAAAAAAGTAAACAAATGAACAAGAAAAATGAACAGAATCATTGCAGAGAGTAATTGTGTAGAGAAGAAAATAAAACAGCATAATTTGAGAGAGTAACTGGTGTTGTATGGGGACTATTTTTTTTTTTATTGAGAGGCCAGATAAGGAAGTAACATTTGAACAGAAAGCTGATGGGAAAGAAAGAGTCAGCCAGGAAGAGATACAGTTGCAAATGTTAGAGGAAGTTGTAAGGACAAAGACACTGCCATCTAAAAAACTAAAAATGTAAAGCAATTGGGAGAAAATGTCAAAGAATGTCTGCATGACCTTGATATTGGAAAGGATCTTTTTAAACAAGTAATAAAAATTTTAAACCACACACAAAAAATAAACTGCATTAAATTTCAAAACATCTTGTGAACCCCGAATATCTGAGACAGGTCTCAGTTAATTTAGAAAGTTTATTCTGCCAAAGTTGAGGACACGCACCCTTCACACACCCTTCAGGAGGTCCTGATGACATGTGCCCAAGGTGGTCAGAGCACAATTTGGTTTTATACATTTTAAGGAGACATGAGACATCAATCAATATATGTAATATGTACATTGGTTCCTGGAAAGGCAGGACAACTCAAGCAGGGAGAGGGCTTCCAGGTGACAGGTAAGTGAGAGACAAACAGTTGCATCTTTTGAGTTTTTGATTAGCATTTCCAAAAAAGGAAATCAGATACTCAGCTCAGTGAGCAAAGGGATGACTTTGAGTAGAATGGGCGGCAGGTTTGCCCTAAGCAGTTCCCAGCTTGACTTTTCTCTTTAGCTTAGTGATTTTGGGGCCCCTAGATTTTCCTTTCACATTTCCCCCCTTTTCTTCTTAAAAATTTTTTTGGAGAAAGCATTTTAGAAGAAAATGAGTCTCTGGTCTCAGGTTTCATCTGATCCCTTATGGCTAAGATGATTTATTCCTAGATGGGTAGGTCCTGAGTTACTAGGAAAGCTAATTTTTAGCAAGTTGAGAAGTCTTGTGTCCTATGAAAAGAAAACAGGGGAAGAAAGGGAGAAAAACAACAACAAACAAAAGAATAATCCTGGAAAATCAATATAGGCCACATTACTCTGAAAGCCATACAACAGTAGGCAGGTTCGAAAGTGGCTCATGTATGTAAATAGGTTGCTGTCATTTTCTTCTGAAGTTTAAGTTGTCTAGATTCAGTTTGCAGGGGAAAAAAAGGAAAAGGAACAAGAAAAAAAGTGAAAACACTATTTTGACGACCTGTAGCCAGGAAAAATTAGAATTCAGTGCAAACCATAGAAAATAATAAAAACTGAAAAACATTAGGCAAAACTAGAATCTAACAATAGGTGTACTGTAGGTTTTGAAACATAACTCCAGTTTCCCATTTTTACTAATGACACATCATGATAGACTAATTTGCTTTATTATACTTGGCCAGATTATTTGTATAAAGTGCAGCAAGAATAATTATTTTTCACATAGGCTTTATAAATTGGCTTTGTTGGAACTTTGTTCCATAGAAGGAAGCTCAGATAAGACTCCTTTTTAAAGCCAAGCCCAGCCATGGATTTGTTACCATCAAATACCAAGGAGTTTGGTGAATTCTTCTCCTCAAGATTACTTGGGGTTCCTGCGCCTGTCAGGAAGTGATATTCTTTGCTTATTACAGGTCAGGAACCCTGTACAGAGACTGTGTAGACAAGGTATAAGGCCAGTTTTCCTACAGAGGCTTTTATTGGCTCTGTAAGTCAGGTTTGATTCCTTAAAGGAAAGCACACTATTCCAGTCAAAGCCTTGGTAAAATAACAAGTTTCTCCAACTGTGTCTTGTTACAAATGAAAACAGATTCTTATTGCACTTATGCAAATAACTATATTGCCATAAATTAACAATATTCACAAATAATTTCCAAATTCTGGAGAAATCAGGTAGAGAGAAACAAATATGCTCCAAATTTTGTTCACAGGAGCATACTTAATTGTTAAAAAGCTGTCAATAGCTCAAAAGAAAAGTTTCCTTGACTCTGAAAAACAAAATAAAGGATCAGCAACATTTTAAGCAAAAAGTCAAAGAGATCACTTCAGTCTTCTATTAGTTCAGTCCATGCAGCTAATTCCTGTTCTCATATTCATGAACATTTCAGCTCTCCATGAATCCTGAAACTTTTTTCCTCTATTCTGACATCACAATCTCCAGAGTTATCAGAAACCTGCATTCAAGAGCACCTGTTAGGGTTTTATAGCCATATAGAAGATCATCTTCTAAAGAGGACCAAAACAAGACAACAATTCTCTGTGGATGACAAAAAGTTTTAGGGCAGCCATAGTCAAAGACACAATTGACAAGGAAATTGGTTACCTCTGTGGCACACAATAATTTAACACAACAATTATAATTATTACTGATAATGTACACTAAGTCATATCAGAATTATAGTTTACCATAATTTTAGAAAACATACCAAATAACATGTGTATCTAAATACAGCCCAAAGGAAACCAAACACCATTTCATGTTTGACAGTGATTCCTGTATAACTTTTATACCAAATAAGACAAATATGTCATCTTTGGACTGTAGGGAACCTGTTAATAATATCTGAAAGGATTAATTAGGTCAGGAAAAGACATAATTTATAACTTGATTTTGGAACATTTGTCAAATATCAAAGGTTTATAATACTTGATATCACAAAATAGGATCACCGGTCATTGTAAAATAAGCCATTCGCTTAACCAAATTGATAACTCAAGGATTTCAAAAAAAGATGAAAACCCTCATTCTTTGAGCAGACAGACTTAATTTTCCAAACAATAAGCCCTAATAAAAACAGTATAAAGCCAATTAAATTTTTTTCCAGAATTGTATAAACAATTTATAAAATTTTAATCTTGATCATAAGATATAACTTTCATAACCTTTATTAAGGAGTCAGTAAATGCTTCGAGACACCTTGTTAATCTAACACAGGGGCCCATACGCTTGTCTTGCATCAGTATGCCTTTGACATTAATGGTTAATTTATAAAGAAACTGAACTTATTTTATCTTTAAAAATCTGCCCTTACAATCTCACATGCACAATAGTCCCTAGGCCTGAGGAGTTGAATAGCTTTAATTTCTGGCCCTGTGTCTCAGGAATGCAGTTTATTTTGATTGGCATCTTCTACCAGGCCTGAAGATGAGGCTTTAATTACTGTCAGTGTTTAAGATGTAGCAGGACTTGGTGTCCTTTTTAGATATAGGAGTCAAAGCCCTGTAACTCAATGTCACAAGGACTTTACAGGAAGATACATGGATGTAAAAACCTTAGTTTAAAAAAAAATTTGTTTTTGTTGTTGTTGTTGCTTTGTGTTTTTTTGAGATGGAGCTTCACTCTTTCTGTCCAGGCTGGAGTGCAATGGTGGGATCTCGGCTCATTGCAACCTCCGCTTCCCGGGTTCAAGTGATTCTCCTACCTCAGCCTCCCAAGTAGCTGGGATTACAGGCAAAATAAAATCTCTTTTAATCTCTGTTTTTTCTAAGCAATCCAAGCTTAATAACAATGGCATAGGAATTATTTTTGATAAAATGTAAAACCTTTTAGGCCAGTTACCAAAATGCAAAAGAAAAGACCTTCTGCAGTGCACAGATTATGTCAGAAGAAAATATTTCCTTTAGACCTTTAAGAAAACATTGTTAGCATCAGGCCACAACAAACAGAACCTGAGAAAAAAAACTTACATGAGCTGAAAATTAGTTGAAGGTGAGCATTACTATTGCATGCCTTTTAAAATGGAAGAGAAAACCGATGCCTCTAATCCCAACACTTTGGGAGACTGAGGAAGGTAGACTACTCGAGCTCAGGAGTTCAAGATCAGCCTGGGCAACATGGCGAAACCCCGTCTCTATCAAAAGAGAAAAGTCAGGCAAGGCAGCGTGTGCCTGTATTCCCAGCTACTTGGGAGGCTGAGGCAGGAGGATCACTTAAGCCCAGGTGGTCAAGGCTGCAGTGAGTCATTATTGCGCCACTACACTCCAGCCTGGGTGACAGAGAGAGAGAGACACTCTCTAAAAATAAATCAATAAATAAATAAACTCCCTGAAATAACTCTTTATTTACAAAGTTCTGCATGATATCATTTCAAAAGAATAAATATACCACTAGGAGAATATTAAGATATATTTTGACAATATTATAAGAATTTTGAGTATAAAAATTATATCTTATTTTTTAATGTTATTCATTTAAATGTTAACCTGTTTCTTCTCTGTTTGAATAGCATTAAAAATAAAATTTACCTTCTACATTCTCTGCTGAGCAGATCTTTTAGAGCCATTTTTTCACCTTCTCCATTCAAACATGATTCAATCCATTTCTTGAAATTGAAAATGGCTTCCAAATACCACTATCATTTTCCTAGTCTAATTTTCATAGGCACTTCACAGAATGCTAATTAAGTCCCACTTACAATTTTTGTATTTATTTCATTCATTAATGGAGCCATACAATTTGTATTTGACCAAGTATCTGACAGACATGAAGAGATGATTTCTTTAATATATTATACCACAAATGTTTTTGTGAATTTTACTTTTTCATAATGATGGAAAGTTATTTCTGTGACATTCTGAAGTTTGGTAAGTCATATTTGAAAATAAGTAAATGAATTATCTATGTGATGGGTGGGGGTGTTTTAATGACCAAGTTTTATACCCACTGCTAAATCCTAACTGAATACAGTACACATTATCATGTTGGGTTGTCTAACATCAACTCCTCTATTCTTCTGGTGAAGCAGAGTTGATGAGTCTGTCAAGACAAGATACTTTGCCCTTCTCAGCCTGTTATATTCTAAATATTTGTGTCCCTGCCCCCAAATTTATATGTTGAAACTTAATCACCAATGTGATAGTATTAAGAGGTGGGGGGCCTTTAGAAGCTGATCAAGTCATGAGGGTACAGGCCTCATATATAGAATTAGTGACTTCATAAAAGAGCTGTGCCCCTCCTGCCATGCAGGAGTGCAGTAAGAAGCACCATGTATGAAGCAGAGAGCACCCCTCACCAGACACTAAATGTGCTGGTGCCTTGATCTTGGACTTCCCAGCCTCTAGAACTGTGAGCAAGAAGTTTCTATTATTTATGAACTACCCAGTCTAAGGTATTTTGTTATAGCCACAGGAACAGACTAAGACACTGGCCAAGGCTTTTTATTTCCTAGGACTTCACATTTTTAGTAGAGAGACAAAAGGATTTGAAAAACTGTGGAGGTGACTTACTGAAATAATAGATGAGTCGCTGCTACTGGATACCCAGAGCATCCCTGCTTCCTGCCCTTTCCGGCCTGGCTCTTCAGCAAAGCTTTTGTTTAGTAAGTCATGCCAGATCCTTCCAAAGGTTAACTTTTCTTTATCAAAGTCAGTTTTTCCTGCTTTCCACCAAGAGCCCTAACTGGCACATAGGTTTTAACATGAGTGAGCTATCTAGGGTTACAGAAAATGTCACCACTCCCTAAATAGCTACATAGTCTCTGAGGGTGGGGATGGTGTTTCTTATTCATGTATACTTAGTGCCTGAAACAAACTCCTGGAACATCTATAACTTATTTTTTCCAGATTTCCATGCCAACCTTCTGGCTTCTCTCAATTAAATGTGATACCTATCTCCCACCTGCACCCTACCTTCATGCTTCGACTTCCCTGAATTCAGCAATTTTTAAACTGAGAAGTTTAAGAACCCAGACTGTTTCTCAGCAAATATTTGTTAATCAAAATTATTCTGTGGGGGCCATATTAAACTTATGGCCTTGTATTAATAAAATATGTACCAACTAATTGAAAGAAAGTTGTCCCAGAAGAAAAACATGTGTCAAAGTTCTCTTCACCTAGGATGGAAATCTATATAGAATGGTAAATATTGACCTAGACAAAGAAAATTTAGTCTTTCTTAAATCTAAGTTAGCTTAAAATAAAGTAAGAGGATTATTCTAAACTCATCCTGGGTATTGTCCACTACCAAAACAGCTTGAACAAGATTTAGGAATAAATTGTTTCTTTAAGAGAATAAATTATTTACCTGCAAACTAAAAGTAAATATTCAGATGCAACATAAAGAAAAAAACAAAATTTCTCAACACCCAAAATAAGGAAAATAATTCATCAGTACCATCCTGGAGAACTGAAAACAATTTTGCAACATTTATTGGGGGGTGGGGATGGGATTTTTTTTTGTGGCCATTATATTCATCATAGAAAAAAATGAAAAATATAGTAAAATACTAAGGACATAATCATCCATGATTTGTAAATGGTTAAGACTCTCTTTCTACTGTAGGCAGCCGTAAAACCCAATTCAAATTGCTTTAGCATAAAGGGAATCTCTTGGCTCCTAAAACTGAAAAGAGCAGGGTTTGAACTAATTTCAGGTGCCACTTGATCTGAGGTCAAATGGTGTCACCAGCTCCAGATTTCTATCTTGCCTCCTCTGACTCTGCTGTCCATGAGGCTCATTCCATTCCCAGTCAGACTGTCTCTTCAGGGTGGCTGGGCTCAGGACACATTAACCCAAAATATGGCACATTGGCATTTGAGAAAACAGCAGAAGCAGAAAGGTTTCTCTCATCTTCCCCTTGTTCTTCTCCTGTGAAGCAGATCATAAGACCCCCATTCTAGGGGTGCCCTCCCTATACCTGGAGGAAAGACACATCCTCATCTCTGAAGACATAAGGACACAGAGAAGAATCTGAGTAAGCAGGCCTTGCTAAGTCCCCTCAGTTTATTACCATTAGATCACATTTCCTTGGTCCACTCATACTTTTCACCACTGTGCACCTCTTCATTCAACCTAAGCATAAAAATACACAGGTTTTCCTAACTCTTTGAGTCTTAATTTCTAAAGGCTCTCATAAAGCTTTTATTAAATAAATTTCTATGCTTTTCTCTTGTTAATCTTTTATATAGGTGCCTCATCCATGAACCTACTAATGGGTGAGGAAAGAAATCTTTTCTCCCCGACAGAGACTGCAGTGTGACTGTACTGCAAAAATGCCAGTACTGTCTTACCTCCAACTCCACATCCCATGGGAAAGGCTCTGCAGCCTTGATGGCTGAAACCAAAGCTTTGGCAATGAGATGTGTTGGTTCAGGGCCTGGCCCTGAGTCCTCCCCTAGCTCAGTGTGCCAACAGACTGGGGGAACCAGGGGTGGAACCCACTTCCCAGACCACAAGGGCTACAAGTAGTGGAGACCTTGATACCATTAGTGAGACTGGGGGCTAAAGCCTGAAGGAGAAAGAATGGGGATGGGAGCCAAACCACAAATGTCTGCTACCATACCACCATCACTGGAGGATAACAACCATTGACATGTTGTTATATGTATGTGTGTAAGAAATTAGAGCAGTTATGTGCCCACCAAAAATGTACAACAATGGCATATCAATTTAAGAATGTTAGAAAGAAATTAGAGCATTTAAAAATGGATGTATAGTCTTCTCCTTTTACTTTATAATGTACAAAAGGCATCATTATGTGAGAAGAAAGTACCTTTAATTTGACAATTAGCACATAGTCCAAATATCATAGATTCAGTAGAGCTAAGTTAAAATTTAAAATCAAGGTCAGGAACATGTGAAAGACCTAGGGAAAAAAAAGTTGGAAAAAGAATTCAAGTTCATGAATTTTGCATCTGAGAGTCAGAGCTACTAATCTATCAAATACTTTGCTTATAGCATCGGAGCAAACTGTTCACGAGTAATTTTAACAAGTTTTTCTTAATTCATTCAAGGGGTAAGTATAATGAAAACTAAAGTAGGGTTACAGACAGGCCAGAATCGAATGACAGAATAAGCATGATGAGTTATCTGTATTCATTTTACATGACTGATACATTGAAAATTTTCCTCAGTCAAAAACAACTTCCATATGATATCATGCTGGTCAGGGATGGTAGCAACTGATACTAAGTATTGCAGGAAAAGAGTTGGTTAGAAAAGTCAGTTTCACATTAAAATGGCAATGTAGCAAACATACATGCATCTGGTTAAGATTTATTAAGAATAAAACATCTAGCAGAAGAGGAAGTTTCCACCAATGCTATTAACCATGCATATTTGATTTCATCTTCAATGCCATGACTGTCACACTGCATTTATTACTTAGACGATCTCATTACTTTTCCTATACTTCCTTCCTTTCATTGAATTTTGTGATCTTATAACCCATGACATGTAGCACTCACACCATACTACAGTGATATGTGCTAGATGTATACGTATGACAAAGTTCTGTGATCAAAGAACAACAAGATCTGTCATCCTCCAGATACTGCAGTCAGGGTCAGTTCTCAATTATTTCTCCTTGGGAACAGGGTTATGTTTACTATTGCTATTACTAAATATTTATGTGACAAATGAGATGCTCAAAAGTCTCCAAACAACTTTTATGTGTCATCTTCTCAAAGGCTTGCCTTGATGGAATGACATTCCTACGCACATTTTGCAAAAGGACAGCTAAGTCAACATCAATGGGCACATCAAAACCAGGAGGCAGCCATGACTTCAGGACAAGGATCATGATTCCTTCCAAGAAATAGAAAACCACTGGGGACTTTGAGCAGGAGAGGGAGTTCTTAGCAGAAAAGATGTTTGTTTTTGTTTCTGTTTTCTTTTAGAGAGATAACTTTGACAGAGTATCATAGGCGAATAGGTGTGTGAAGAGAGTGGAAAAAACAAGGCAGACAAAACAGTTGGAGTGAACTGCAATAGATCAGGCTTGAGGGGACAAGGGCCAGATAAAGGATTTAGCATTTGCAAGTGCAGATGTAAAGCAAAATGGTGAAGAGATACATGGTCTGGAAGCACCAGTGTAGACAAAGGTTTGAGCCTCTTCTTCCTACCAAGTGAATCAGGGCAAGAGTCGCAACTGAGTGGCACAAAACAATGGCATCACCATGGGGAAGCCTGGATTCAGGTATGGGGATGGGGAACGAGGTCGAGAGCTTGAACACCTTTCAATAGATTGGACAGAACAGAAAAGTCAAGGTCTGGAGCTAGAAATACCTACTTGGTGGCCAGACCCACTTTCCAAAATGGTAATAAGTTTATTTAGGTAGATGGATTCCAGACAAGGTAATGACAATCAACAGATGGAAAGCTAGGCCAGGAGCTGACATCAGGCTGGCCTAAAGAAGTAAAAGAATATTATCAAAATTAGACGACCCAAAGGGTGAATGTGAGCCAACAATCTGTAGAGATCCAGGCAACAGACAGCATTATGCACATCTGACGTTTCACCTTCCAAGGAGTGAGAATTGACAAGGATGAGGCGTGACCTGTTCCAGGTGACCAGCACATTAGACAGGTATTTGATGCAGGGGCTCCAGCAAGAGGAATGGGTCATGAGGCTGCTGGAATGAGAGGACAAACAGAGAGCTGGGTGTTAACCCCCAACTATGAAAATTGAGACACAAAGTCAGAGTGAGGTTGACGTAGAGCAGAAGCACTTGAATATTGAAGACTAAGGACAAAATTGGCCACAGGCTCCAGAGCCAGTGGTCTCTTCCATGGAGAGAGAAAGGAGTACAAAGCTAAAGAGATACGAGGGTGTTTTTTGAAGTATTTGAAAGAGTAGTTAAGATAAAGGATAGTTTGTTCAAGACAGATTGGGGCTCCTAGGCACACTGAAAAGAATCAGATGTGACAACTGTCTAGAGAGTAATTTGTGAAGAAAATATCATTTTCCCAATGGATACCTAAAAAGAAACTTCTCTTTTTCCCTTGGTCTATAACATAGCAAGCAAAAATAAAACAGGAAGGAAGGAAGGGAGGGAGGAAGGAAGGCAAAAGGGGAGGAAGGGAGGAGAGGAGGAAGGGAGGAAGGAAGGAATGGAGGTAGGGAGGAAAGAAGGGAGGGAAGGAAAAGAAGAGAAGAGAGGGGAGGAGAGGAGAGGAGGGGAGAAGAGAGAAAAAAGGAGGGGAGGGGAGGGGAGGAAAGGATTCTCCAAGTAAGAGGCTCGAGAAACTTCATCCTTGACATTATTATGTTATTACAATTATTGGTAGTAATATATGGTGTCATTGGTATCATATTATTTCTCCTTATCACCAGGATTGCCCAGTTTTTTAATTGTACAATTGTTGTCATGTATAATTAGTTGTCTTCTTGAAGACATTCATTAAAACTTTCCATTTTAATTTGGACCAGTGATTTCCAGGCTTGCTGCACAGTAGCTGTCATCCTAGGTTTCTTTTTGTTGTACTTCTGGGTTACATCCAGTAACTCAGATCCCTTCTCTTTTTTTATACATACATTTTTCATTTTTCTGGTAAATATCTTCTGGCACTTTTCTAAGAGTACGTGTGTCAGCACTAAATTCTGAATTATTACAAATACAAAACTGTTTCATTTTGCCCTCACCTTTGACTGGTGATTTGGTTAGAAACAAAAGTATTAAAATAATTTCCTCTTGGCATTTGCATGGCACTACTACATGTTTTTAGTGTCACTGGTTCTTTCCAGCAGGTCTCACTTTGAAGATATCGCTCCATTTTCTATAGAATCTAGTGGTAATGATGACAAGTTTGATGCTGATATGATTCTTAGTCCTTTATAAATCACCCGCCTTTTGCTCCAAAACCTTTCATATGTTCATTTTACGTTTCATGTGCTGGAATTTCACAAGGGTGGAGTTGAACGTGGCTCTTTCAAAATAATAATAATTACTTATATTATTCATTCTTCTTGATGTTCAATGGGTCCTTTCCACCTGCATGTGGGTCTTCATCTCTGGGAATGCATGCTTTTTTTTTTTTTTTTTTTTTTTGAGACGGAGTTTCACTCTGTCACCCAGGCTGGAGTGCAGTGGTGCGATCTCGGCTCACTGCAAGCTCTGTCTCCCGGGTTCACGCCATTCTCCTGCCTCAGCCTCCCAAGTAGCTGGGACTACAGGCGCCCACCACCACGCCTGGCTAATTTTTTGTATTTTTAGTAGAGACGGGGTTTCACCATGTTAGCCAGGATGGTCTCGATCTCCTGACCTCATGATCCGCCCGCCTTGGTCTCTCAAAGTGCTGGGATTACAGGCATGAGCCACTGCGCCCGGCTGAATGCATGCTTCTATAATTCCTTTGACTATTCTCTTCTTTTTCTGGAACTAATTAAATGGATTATTTAGACTCAACCTCTTTCTCATCTTTTCTCTTTCATTTTCTATCGCTTGGCCATCTAGACTTTTTCTGATGGTTCTTTGTGGTAATTTGTGTCTTTCTTATCTTTCTTTTAAGAAATAATTTCAAACTTAACTGAAAAGTTTGTGAGAACAGTATAAAAAACACCTGCATATCCTTTACCCAGCTTCACCAATTGTTAACATTTTGTCCCATTTGCTTTATCATTTGCATGTCTGGGCACACGGTCTCTGTGTGCAGGTATACATGTATGTATAAGTCAAGGAGAAAAGCCTGGGATACGGATCCTTCCCCAACAGCCCTCCAAAGGAACCAAGCTTGCCCACACTTTGATCTTGGACTTCCTGCCTCCAGAACTGTGAGACAGTACATTTCTGTTGCTTACGTCACCCAGTTTGTGGTACTTTGTTACAGCAGCCCCAGCAAACTGACAAAGCACTCAGTGCTCATTTGCCCTTCAATGGTAGTTACTTTTGATCAAAAGTAATCAAAAGTGGAGACATATGGGTACTTCACTGTATAATCACTGTTTCTCTCTGGCAACTAATAAGCCACATGTGGGGAGATAAATTTAATGTCACATAAGCATCCTGTTCTTTGTTACAGCTGCATAGTACTCCATTGTGCTTATTCAAACAATCTCCTACATTTAGAATGCAAGGAATTCTCAATATTTACTGGAATTTTTTTGGTTATCCACTGACATGCAATTTGACAACCATAATATTCTCTGTCACCTTGAAATGCTGAAAGTATGAGTCTTGTGTGATTTTATTTACTTTCATTGTTGATTTTATGTCATCTAGGAAAGGTATGGGAAAATTCAAAATCGGGTGGGCACACTTAACCTCTAGATTGCTAGTTGCGTTTTTAAATTTCAAAATTTATTTTTTAAATTCTTTTTTATAGCAACCTATTCTTATTTTATGGATCAATATCTCTCCAAGTCTCTCAGAAGATATTACTAACATATGTTTTAATTTCCCTTCTGATTCTTTAATTAATCCTGTTTTCTCCAGGGTCAATTATCTTTTCCTTTTGTACCTGTTTTGCCCTTGAAAAAGGAGGGTTGTTGATTGTCCATTCTCGTTCATGGATAAAGGACTGAGTTGCTGATACGGGTATATGGCATGGATGTCCTATGAATACATAGAATCTCAATTCCCTGCTAAGTCCCTCATCTGAATGGAAAGGCTGGCTGTAGTTTCTGTGCACATGGTGCCACCCATCAACCGGCAAGGCCTGCTTTAGGGTACACAATGGGTACCCCAACTCCTATCCCTACCAACTCTAACAAAGAGAGTTTTCTTTAGCGGGGTGCCATACCCACACTCTGAACCCTAGGATTCCTCATGTATATTAGCTGATCTATTTTAGAGGCCATTGCTCCAGTTTTATCCTAGAAATAATCACCATAATTCATTGAGGAGATGATGGTGAGGGGTGGGGGTGAGAGCCCAAGCTCAAAACCAGTCTAGAAACACTTTCTAGATAACTCCTGAGTTAATCGCCTACCAATTCTTATTCTCTATTCTCATCACTCTTAGTCTGTAGTCTTCCTATGATCATGTCGCCAGCTTCTGCTTCCACTGTAGACACTTTGATGATGATTCTTTTGGAATTTGGCTCCTGCTTTAATTTATCTTTCAGTATTGTCCATTTGGTTTTCCATCTTCAGGAAACTGGTTGCAATCTCTGATCTCCACTGTTCTCTCCTCTCATCTCAGGGGTATCATGAATTAATTCTGCTTTAAATTTCCTTATAATCATTTCAATGGAATATGTGAAGGGAGGAGAGGTCAATGTGGATATTCAATTAGACAAGCTTGGTTAATGCTCTTATTAGAGCATGGACAGCACCATGAACTCCACATACATGGTATAGGGTGAGACTGAATTGCTTATGGCAAGGGTTAAAAAGCATGAAGGTTTGCACCCTGGGTAGGAACTGTGGTCATTTGCCCTAGTCAGTCCAGAGGGTGCCAGTGAAATGTTTTGCATTCCAGCAAATTTACCCTATGCATGTTACAACCATTCAAAACCACCATCCTAGAACAATAAAGGCTTAATATAATGATAGATCCATAAGTAGATAAAAGGAAATCAATCTGCTAATCTTCTCATTTTCTGATCCTTCAGCAGACAGAGAACATCTGAAAATCTGCTTATCTCACTACACTAATAATATCCATCCTCCATCCTTGACCATTTCAGATACAGTCACCTGGACTGAATCAGCCTCAGGATTTACATACCAGGAAACACTACGCTGCCTCTCCTATTTCTATACTACTTCTGCACATTTATTTTATAACCGTAGCAATAATAGTCCACTTTTAACATCTTTATTAGGTGAAAGAGAAGGCTATTTCTCAAAGATCATTCATGGTAATGGCATTCTACTTTTTGAAGTAAACTTTAAGGATTTCACCTGGAATCACTTCCACATTTCAGCACTAGCTGTGAAAACAGAAAGATCCTAGAAGATGAATGCTATTTTTCTTAACACACCCAGAAAGGGAAGGAATTTTAACATTTGATAATGACCAACATTCATTTCATTACTGAACTGTCTTGCATTCATTCTAAAAAAAGAACTGGAGAGACTGATCCCTCCTCCTCAGGTGCTCCTGTGGGACTTTTGACTCTCCCTGTTGCATTGTGCCTATTATAGTGATTGATCACTAATATTGTTCATTCTCTAGTTCATGTTTTCATTTTTTATATCCCTATATGAAGTCTCTAACTATTCAGTTCTTTATTTTCTCCTTTCTTCCTGAAGCTGGCCTTCTCTTGTTTTATAGATTTCTCATTAATGATCACATGTAAAAAGTTTGCTGCAGGGTATCTAAGCTCAGATTAAGGATGATTTTCTTTCTCTCGAATCTGGTTCACATTCTCCTTAGTTGATGTCTTCTTTTTGATCGGCAATGTTTCATGCATTAACTTGGATTCACATTCACAGAGAAAAGACTTCTCACTGTCATCATCATGCTTTCAAAAATATGCAAAAGGAAGGAAATCAAGCATGGGTTTCTAATGCCATCTAAAATTCTGTCTGATTTGTCAGCTCTCTTGTCTTGCAGACCTGTTCACCTGTCAGAGAGCATACTTTAAAGGTAAGTTTTCAAAAAGGCTTAAAGAACAGATTTAGAGATAAAGTTGATGGGAGCTTACCAAACTCCAGCAAAGACTTTGATATAAATAGAGTTTTCAAAATAATAATAAAGAGTATTTAGAATTTCAACAGCAAAGTCTTATCACCATATCCCTAGAAATAAAATCAAAGATTAAAAAAGTAGTAGCTCATGATGATGAAGACTTTAAGAAGATTACTTTATTGAGTCTAGAGCCACCCACTCATTCTATTTGTACTCAATTTTATACTAGAGTGGTTAAGAATGTGGGTTTTATATTCAGAGAAACTTGATTTCAAATATACCTCTAACACATTAATTATATGATTTGTAGTATGTTAATATTTCTGAGCTTCATTTTTCTAAGATATAAAAGGGGGATGATAATAATAATATCTACTTCATGGAATGGATACAATGATTGAATTAGATAACTACGCAAAGTGCTTGGCAGAGAGTCTGACCTATAGGAAATAGAGAAAAATATTAGCAGATGCAAAGAAATACTATTTGAATAATATTTCTATCATATTACAAAATATAACTTGGAAATTGCTACCCTTATTTATTTGCTATTGCAACATCTTTATTTTATGAATGGAATGTATACCCTCCCCTAATGTAACTCTTTTTTTTTTTTTTTTTTTGAGACAGAGTCTCGCTCTGTCGCCCAAGCTGGCGTGCAGTGGCGCGATCTCGGCTCACTGCAAGCTCTGCCTCCCAGGTTCACGCCATTCTCCTGCCCCCGCCTCCCGAGCAGCTGGGACTACAGGCACCTGCCACCACGCCCAGCTAAATTTTCGTATTTTTAGTAGAGATGGGGTTTCACTGTGTTAGCCAGGATGCTCTCGATCTCCTGACCTCGTGATCCGCCTGCCTCGGCCTCCCAAAGTGCTGGGATTACAGGCGTGAGCCACTGCGCCCGGCCCCCTAATGTAACTTCTAAAAATTATATATATATGTATATATACATATATATAATAATTATATATGTACATATATATAATAATTATATATATGTACATATATAATTATTATATATGTACATATATAATTATTATATATGTACATATATAATTATTATATATGTATATACATATATGTGTATATATACATACATATACACACACACACACACACACACACACACACACACACACACACACCCCCTTTTGAAAGATTGACTATGCCTGTGAGAAAGTGTTGGGGGAAAACCCAGAGAAGAGGAGCAAAGCGGAAGCATGTGAGGAGGGGAGCAAGTGAACCCTAAATCTGCGGGATGCTCTGGCATCGCCCCCACCTTGAAGCCTGGAGTGTCAGTGCACAGGGAGTCCAGGGACAAAGCCTTGGGCCTTTGTAGAGAAGGGAGCTGGATCAAAGTTCATCCCACTTAATGTCAGGATCTTGGAGAAACATTCTCTCAGAAACAGGGCAAACTAGGAAAATAATAACCTTTCCACAAAAGCAGTTGGCAAGAAAGTTTTCTGTCTTGGCCTTGCTTCGAGGTAGAGGTTAAAAGAAAAATCTTTCCTGAGTGTTCTTGATTACCAGCCAGATCTCCTGTGGGTGTAGAACCTGATTTACAGTATTTTCATGGCACTAAAAACTACAAACCAAAAATTATAGCTTAAAGTGTTTGCAAGTTTATAATGCCCCCAGGTACTGGTAGGAGTAAAAATAAACACTCCCTGACCGTTCCTACATGTTCGTGCCCAGATTTAAAGAATTCTCAGAAACATTTCCAACAAATATAAGTTCACAATAAAAATAATAATAAAATACACAAGAAAATAAATCGCTAGACGTGAGGGACAGAAAAAACAACCAGGAACAGAATCAGACACTCAGAAATATAAGACACTATAATTTCCAGGTGCAGAATATAAAACACAAAATAATTATGATATATATCATATATATCTATAAAACAGGAGCAAGACATTATAAAAAATGAACTGGCAGAATTTTTTAAAGAACCAAAGAGTTGTTTTAGAAATAAATAACATAACAATTTAAATTTTAGAACGATTTGGAACGGTTAAACAGCATACCTAAGATAAGAATGAGTACATTTGAAGATGTTGGACAAAACTACACAGAATGCAGAAAACACAGAGAGTAAAGAAATGGAAAATATTAAAGGTATTAGGTTGGTGCAAAAGTAATTGCGGTTTTGGCTATTACTTTTAATGGCCAAAATTGCAATTACTTTTGTTTTTTGTTTTTCGTTTTTTGTTTTTTGTTTTTGAGATGGAGTCTCGCTGTCACCCAGGCTGGAGTGCAGTGGCATGATCTCGGCTCACTGCAAGCTCCACCTCCTGGGTTCACGCCATTCTCCTGCCTCAGCCTCCCGAGTAGCTGGGACTACAGGTGCCCACCACCATGCCTGGCTAATTTTTTTGTATTTTTAGTAGACACGGAGTTTCACCGTGTTCGCCAGGATGTTCTCGATCTCCTGACCTCAAGACTGCAATTACTTTTGCACAAACCTGATAGGTTCCTAGGAATTGGAAACCTAGCAAGCAGATATAATATTTATATCATTTGCACTACTCTTCCCGTTGCCTTCCAACCCTGATACATAAGCAACTTCTTGCTGGTGCTCAGTGCTGCATTGCCATCCTCCCTACAGCTTAGCATTACCATCACTTCTGTAACCAATTCCCTATATTAAATTTCTTCTACTAAAAGATTAAAAGTGATTTCTTTTTTCCTTGTTGGACCCAGAATGATAAAAGTGATTAAAATGGCATTTTAATTTTAATTTTCAATTTTTAACTTTCTATATTAAGTATGCCTATTATAGAAGTTTAAGAGCAAGTGGAAGGAAGGAAATAGCTCCCAATCAATTGAAAAACGGGCAGGCAATAAAGGGAAAAAAGAAACAGAAATACCAAAATAAAATAAAAATCACAAAATAAAATGGTAGAGATAAATACATATATATTAGTATTTTCAATAAATTGAAGTAGGTTAATGGAAATACTTGAAATCTTCAGTTAAATGGCACAAATATTCATAAGGGGGTCAGAATTCAGCTACATGCAAAGAGGAAGAGATACATAAGTTTCCCCAAAAAGGGTTTAAAAAATAAAAAGATGGAAGTAACTATAAAAGTCAAATGCCAGCCAAAACAAAATTTGAGTATACCAAACTAACATCATACAAAATAGAAATTAAGGCAAAAAATGCTTTTACTCTTTATGACAAAAGTCTCAGCTCACTGGAAGGATGAAACAATTCTAAATTTATTTATTTGCACTTAGTAGCACAACCTCAAAACTATAAGCAGAAAATGACAGGAGAAAACAGGCAAATTCACCATCACAGAAGGAAACGTATTGACAAATCTTTCCTAATGGATAGAACCAGATTTTTCAAAAGGTAAAAATCACCATTGAACATCATGATTAACAAGCATAACCCAATAGATGTACACAGAACCTTAATCCAATAATTGTAGAATATTCTTTTCTTTGAAATATACATCGAACGTTCCCAAAACTCCTACTAATAGAGAACTCCTTCTTGAGTTGTTATGGTGCAGCAGAAACACAGCTCTGGCCAGGATTCTATGGTTTCTATCAGCTTGCCTAGCTACTCTTGTACTCTGCAGACTGAAATGGCAGTGCCACCCTGGAGCAGTCTAACTCATTGAGCATTTTTCAAACTGTTATTCATATCTAATTTCCCTGGGTCCCTGGTGTTCTCACAGGTGCCAAACAAAGCCTGCATCTGCCCCTGCATCCTCAAAGCTCCACTTCAGAAAAGACTAAAATTGCCCATTGTAAGAGATACCCAGGTGTCCTGGCCAGTGATCTTCCCTTAATCATGGCAGACATTTCTAGAACGTGTCTACTTGTCCTTAAAATCACTTAAATTCCCTACCTTAAATGGTCAGTGGGAAAATAAGTTAAAGTCTGGTTTTCTGGTTAGTAATTTACTTTTCATACCGTCTCTAAAAATGTTTGTAAGCAGCAAATGAGGTTTTCTTTTTAAAAATTTAAATACATAAAGGCATGCAGCGCATTTAAAATTGTTTTAAAGACTACGAAAATGTCCATATAGTACCTGATGTTACAGGACATAAAAAGCCCTCCCAGGGATACTATGATCTGCTTGTGTGAATGAGGTTTTCATGGTCAAGGAAGTGATAAAGCCAAGAGCTTATTATAAAATCACAGGCAGTGTTGAACTTCACCTGATCCCTCTCTTTATGGAAAATAATTGAGACAGTTGAGAAACCCTCCACCCTTTGTGATCCTTTTATGTTATTAGAAACAGTAAAATGACTAAGCAGCTAATCAGCCAACTCCAAAGAGCCACCATGTCCTCATATATTTCCAGATTAGACTTAACCTCCACTCCACTCTTCCTCAATGATTCCATTTCGTAAAACCCCAAGTTTTCTTTCTCTTCTTTGAAACAGTCATCATTAATAAATGTTTTCCCTGTTGCAATAGCCTGAATAAAATCATTCTTTAAATTGTCTAGTGCATTTTCTCTTTCACAGTTTGGTGCCATGACTGAGATAGGGCTGGTCCTCACCTTCAGATCTCTGTCTGCTCCTACCAAGAAATAAGGTTTTTCAGAGCCCTGTGTGCTCTGTTCCTGAGTGGTGATCCAGGGACCCCAAAGTGAGTTAAGCTCTTGGTCCTGTCTTCTGGACTCTTGTCCATCTGTAGCATTACAATAATTCAATTTAACTCCTCTTGAGTATTCATTTTAAATCTGGTGCCAGCTTCTTTTGGTTTCATCGTTGTGATCATTTGGTGATTTCTATAAATGTATTAATCATTTATAGGGATCCTGTTTCTCTTGGTTGAAAGGCAACAGGGAATCTGGTATGTTAACTTTTTCTGTTTATCTTTTTGTCTGTTAGAGCTCAAATAAATTAAGAATTTGTACCCAGTGGGAAAAAACAGCTCAACAGATATGGACAAGTAAGATGTGTACTTTTGTGTTTATACTTGACAGATGGCTAAAATTTTAAAAATAAAGCTACAAACTTTCTATTTGTGTCTGTCTGCATGTTTATATGTCTGTCATTCAGTAAGGCTGTTGCATCTCATCATACAAGTATGTAATATTTTCTTCCTCTGATGGTAATAAATTAGATTATAAAATCTCTTAAAAGAGCCCTATTCTAATTGACTTAAAGATTAAAAAAAAACACTTATTAATGGGACATTCCTAAAATTACCATAAATTAAGAAAATTCACCCTCAAATATTTTCAATATAAATAAAAAAGAACCGGGTATGGTGGCACTCATCTGAAATTCCAGCTACTCAGGAGGCTGAGATGGGGGATTGCTTGAGCCCAGGAGTTCAAGACCAGCCTGGGCAACAGAGTGAGACCCCATCTCTCTATAAAAAATAAAAGAAGTATCTTATAAAAATGAACTCAGGAACTTTTTAAGAATTCAAGTTCATATAATTTACATAAATCTTTGGCAAACAAGACTACCTTAATTGTTTTGATTTAATTAAAAACAGGTATATATTATCCAATAGGCCAGGTTGAAGGATAATATACATGTAGACCTTCGTCTACATAGGTATGTTTTTCCTAAACATACAGTTTACTGATTGAATAATGTAGCATTATTTCTACTGAATGTTTAGGATTAAAAAATGTAAACAGAATCACTGTTTTGACAGATTGTATTTCAACAGTGTTGTGGACACACTGCAAAGAGAGAACGGACACCCACCCAAAATGTGGTTCAGATTGCAGACTGATGATGTCACACGAACACTAAGAAGGTATCAGAAGTTTTATTACTCATATAAGGAGGCTTTCTGGAGACAACAAAGAGGGAAGCCCTTCCAAATAGGCCTAAACTGACTTGGCAGAAGGCAAGGAAAGGAGACTGGTTTGAGGTTTTGATGGTGGTTAGGGGGTGGGCATGGAGCGATGTTTCCCACCTGCAAGCAGGGACTTGCTGGGCTTGAACTTCCCATCAGCACCAAGGAAGGAAGAACACAAGCTTTCTCTTCAGTTTGCTCACATGTGGGACAGAAAAAGATGGAGAGGTGAGGCTTGAAAGCTGTCAGCTGGCCAGGTGCAGTGGCTCATCCCTGTAATCCCAGCAGCACTTTGGGCAGCCAAGGTGGGTGGATCACTTGAGGTCAGGAGTTCAAGACCAGCCTGGCCAACATGGTGAAACGCCATCTCTACTACAAATTCAAAAATTAGCCGGGTGTGGTGGCGGGTGCCTGTAATCCCAGCTACTCAGGAGACTGAGGCAGGAGAATTGCTGGAACCCAGGAGGCAGAGGTTACAGTGAGCCGAGGTCATGCCACTGCACTCCAGCCTGGGGGCAGAAAAAAAAAATAAATAAAATAAAAGCTGTCAGCAGTCAAATAGTAATGTAGGCAGTCTCTTTATTACAAATAGCACTTATATTTTGTAGTATGTCAACTTGAAGATGATTTCCAAGATGTTTAGGTAACTAAATTTTGCACTGATACTACATTGAGTTAATCAATATTCACTGGATGCCTAGGTCATTTTTAAGTAAGAAAAAATGCTGAAATGTTAGTTATCAAGCACAGTTTAAATTTATGTATTTTTGTCTCTTATTTTTGTGATACATAAAGGGTATGTATTTGGATCTGTTAAAGAGAAGGTTCATTTTTGCTACTTTGAGAAGTTGTAGTGTAAGAGATGTATTTGTGTTAAGGAAATGAGCGTAGTTCTGTCCTCAAGTAATGTTGTGGTAAGTCAGGGACCCCGAACAGAGGGACCAGCTGAAGCCATGGCAGAGGAACATAAATTGTGAAGATTTCATGGACATTTATTAGTTCCCCAAATTAATACTTTTATAATTTCTTATGCCTGTCTTTACTGCAATCTCTGAACATAAACTGTGAAGATTTCATGGACATTTATCACTTCCCCAATCAATACTCTTGTAGCAGGACGAGCTGCAGACAAAACCTCTCAGACCCCGAGTTGTAGAAGGAAGGGCTTTATTCAGCTGGGAGCATCGGCAAGCTACTGCCTTAAAATCCGAGCTCCCGACTACACAATTTCTGTCCCTTTTAAGGGCTCACAACACTAAAGATTTCACATGAAAGGGTTGTGATTGATTGAGCAAGCAAGGGGTACGTGACAGGGGCTGCATGCACCGGTGGTCAGAGAGAAACAGAACACGGCAGGGAGTTTCACAATGCTCTTCTATACAATGTCTGGAATCTATGAATAACATCGGTTTCTAAGTCATGAGTTGATTTTTAACTACTATGTTTAGGCCAGGCAGGCCCAGGTCTGGTTTTGGGCCTGGCACCGGGCTGCCTGTCTTTGATTTCACTTCCTTGTTGTTTCTTCTTAAAACAGGTACTGAGTATAAAACAATATGAGAGGGTCTCTCTCTCCTCACTCTTGTGATTTCCTATGCCTGTCCTTACTTTAATCTCTTAATCCCGTCATCTTCCTAAGCTGAGGATGTATGTTGCCTCAGGACCCCGTGATGATTGCGTTAACTGCACAAATTTTTTGTAGAGCATGTGTGTTTGAACAATATCAAATCTGGGCACCTTAAGGACAGGATAACAGCAATTTTCAGGGAACAAGGGAGATAACCTTAAAGTCTGGCTGCCTGTGGGCTGGGCAGGACAGAGCCATATTTCTCTTATTATGGAAAATGGGTAAGAGAAATATCACTGAATTCTTTCCCCAGTAAGGAATATTAATAATTAACAGCCCTAGGAAAAGAATGCATTCCAACGGTGGGGCCTCTAAAATGGCTGCCCTGGGATTGTCTGCCTTTATGCAGATGTAGATAGGGATGAAACACGCCCTAGTCTCCTGCAGCGCCCCAAAGCTTGCTAGGATTAGGAAATTCCAGCCTGGCGAATTCTAGTCAGACCAGTTATCTGCTCTTGAACCCTGACAATGCGTGCACATGGAAGTTCATTAGTGATTCTAGTTTCACCCTGACCTTCTGCCTTGTGATCTTTTGTTGCCCATGAAGCATGTGATCTCTGTGACCCACACCTTATTCATGCACTCCCTCCCCTTTGAAAATTGCTAATAAAAACTTGCTGGTTTTATGGCTCAGGGGGCATCATGGAACCTGCTGACATGTGATGTCTGTCCTGGACACCCAGCTTTAAAATTTCTCTCTTTTGTACTCTTTCCCTTTATTTCTCAGACCAGCCGACTCTTAGGGAAAATAGAAAAGAACCCACAAAGAATTATCGGGGATGGGCTCCCCCGATAAAGTAAAATGACTGGTTGTTCCAGAATGAGGGGGACAAAATGTAGGGTAAAACCTGAGTGAATATAAAAAGTTGTGAAAGATTTGTGGGAAGGGATTTTTTTTTGTCATGATTAAAGCTGACTGAAGTTTGATGGGTTCATTAGTTTCCAATTGCTCCTGAAGCAAATTACCAAAAATTTAGTAGCTGAAAATAACCCAAATTTACTATCTTATGATTCTGGAGGTCACAAGTCCAAAGTGAACCTCACTTGGCTAAAATCAAGGTATCATCAGTCTGCATTCCTGGAGGCTTTAGAAGAGAATTCATTTCCTAACGTTTTCAGGATTGCAGAGATTGCCTGAATTTCTTGGTTTATGGACTCCTTCCATCTTCAAAGCCAGCAATGATCAGTCAAGTCTTTCTCATGTTGCATCACTCTGACACTGATTCTTCTGTTCCCCCCCACCCCAACATTCCACATTTAGATGACCATTGTGATTACACTGGGTCCACTAAATAATACAGGACAATTTTGTTACTTTAAGATCAGATGGTTGACAACCTTAATTCCATGAGCAATCTTAATTCTTCCACGCTGTGTAACATAACATGTTTATAGGTTCCAGGGATTAAAATACGGATGTCATTGGGGGTAGGGGGAGGGGCATCACCCTGCCTATCACAATAAATTTACTTATAAGGTTTTCTCAAGGATATTTTAAATCAAATATTATACTGGTACAAAAATAGAATTTGGTCTTGTCTCTGTAAAAATGGCAAAATTTTCTTGGCTTATTGGCCCACTCTAGGAAGAGGGGATAAAAGGTATTCTTGTTGTCTATGTAGTCGGCCTAAATAACTGCCCAGATCCCTGTTGGGACTCAATTGCCTGGCAGCTGGCCGTTTTCCCCAGAATCTGAAGAAGACCCACCAGCTGAAGCCTGAAGACTTGATATAAACCTCAAAGGAGTTACTACTGCAGCTGACCATGCATGGGCTGGATTTCTCCCTGGACACCAAGGGAGAGTCTGTATGAGCCACTAAAGTGTGGTAAAGTACTTGGGTGATGCACCTGCTTCCAAGAGAGACACCATGACCACAAACAACATCGCCAAGAGCACTGACCTCCTACTCCAGAGCTTCAAGAAACTCCAGGAGCAGTCCTGCATATCCAAAAGATTTTCCTCCAACAATTTTTTGGAATCTACTGGCTTAGTTACTCTCAGAGTTTAACTCCTGGCTCTTTATTTTAATCAATTTTTGCATTAATATTTTTCTTTCTCACTTCAAGCATCTCTGTTTAAAGATGCCTGATCTCTAGCACTCTGAAGACTGACTGCACCACTGCCAAACAGAGTTCATCCGATTTTACAGAAACGACACCGATAAGAGTCCTCAGGAGACTATTTCCTAGATCTTGCTTTGTCCCAGTCAGGAGGTTTGTGATTGCTACTGAGTTGTTGAGGGAGGAATGACATTCATTGTTTTGAACAAAAGTGGGCACTGACAGTGTTTAACTTTATGTGAACCCTGTACTTCTGGAAAGTAGCAACAGGTTCGAGAAATTCTTCCACCCTTTTGTGACTTTTTTATGTTCTAAGAAATGGCCAACTAATAGCAGAGGACCATCCTGTGTTTGCAGGGTTAGAGATAGGACCTACTTCCTCCTTTCCTCAATGACTCCCTTGTTTTATAAAATTCAAAGTTCTTTCTCTCTTCTGTGAGGTGTTCATTACTGAACATTCTCCCTGGTGCAGTAGCCTGAATAAAGCATTTCCTTAATTGTCTAGTACATTTTATCTTTCAGAAAAACAAAGTCATCCTTAAATTATTTGTTTTCTCAACTAACATTTGCTTCACTTGAAACCACTGCTCTTCAAGAGCTTGGTTAGTATTCTGGAGCATGAGGTCTGGAGTGAGTCTCAAACTCTGGCTCTACTCTTCATACTGTGTAACCATGGGCAAGGGACATGACCTTTTTGTCTTAATCCACTCACCTATAAATGGGAATGATGGGGGTGGTGGTGGTGGTGGTGGAGACTACAACACAGTGTTGTTATGAAGTTCATAACAAGTGCCCCATTGTTATTATTTGAAAAACACCTTAGGCTCATCAAGTCCTGATATTCTGAAGAGAGTTTATTTCTTATTCCATATCTCTAAACTGAAATTTCACACTCACTTTTTAACCCCAGAGCTTGCACAATGCATACATCATTGACCAATAATAAATATTGAACAAATTAATGGATAAATGCATGAATAGATGGATGGATGGATGGATGGATGGATGGATGGATGGATGGATGGATAGATGAAGGAAGAAACTTTGAGGGAGGAGGCAACCATTATCATAAGAAAAAAAAAGATTGTTTTTAATCAAAGGTAGAATTTCTTTCCATAGTTAAATAAACAAGTTGAATTCCAAGTTGTATCTCACAGATGTTCATTAATAGTCAGACATCAAATCAAATACATTTTATTAGGTACGTGTGATAGGGCTACACCGGCAGCTGATGTGATCCAGAACATTGCATTCAATGCTCTGCGGTTAAGGAATGTGAGGCCGTGTGATCTAACTTCAATTAACGACAGCTATCTCCGGAAACTTGGTTTCTTTCCTTAGGGAAATAGAGTATAAATTAAAGTCTAGCCAGACTGAAGTGCATCACTGTTCAACCAAGTGCAGAAACTTGAATTCACACTTTTTGATTTGTCAGTAAGACAGAAACACTTTCAACATATAATCAGCTCCATCATGCCTCACAGCAAATGGAAACACATAGACTTATCCAGACACTAAATGTGGGAAGTCTTTTTAAACTTTAAAACAGACAGTAGAACTGTATGTCACTTTTAAAAATTAAGCTGTCATGTGATATTCAGCTTATGATCTGAAACAAATCAATATTTCAGGCAACCAGCCATAATTCTTACGATATACTGCCCTCCAGTGGACTCCTGTCAGACATAACCTCTGAAAATTATTTTAAATAACCTTTACCTAAGCTATCTTTTAGGTGTGATATTTAATCTTTGACAAAAACTTTAAAAATCCTCTTGCAAATACCAAACAATAATCTTCAAACCTTTTTCTCGAGAACAGTTTTGCATTTAAATGACTGGATGTTGAGTGGAATAATAGACATTGGAGACTCCAAAAAGTGGGAGGGAGGTGAGATATGAAAAATTGCCTACTGGGTGCAATGTTCACTGTTCAGGTGATGGGTGCACTAAAAGCCCAGACTTCACCACGATGCAACATATGCATGTAAGAAATCAGCACTTGTACCCTCTAAATCTATCAAAATAAAAAATAAAATAAAATAAATTCCCTCATGTCAAGGTAAAGTACCTTGTTAATTTCCCCCAGAGCTTGACTCCCTCACTAGCTTGCCATAGTGTGTTTCTGTTTGTTTGTTTGCTTGCTTGTTTTTGCACCCCTCTCATTAGTGGATCCAGAGCCTACTACTATTTTTTCTTTTTTTTTTTAGACGTGGTCTCACTCTGTCACCCAGGCTATAGTGCAGTGGCAGTCTCTGCTCACTGCAACCTCTGCCTCCCAGGTTCAAGCGATCCCACCTCAGCCCCCCAAGTAGCTGGGATTACAGGTGCATGCCACCATACCTGCCAAAATTTTTTTTTTTTTTTTTGAGATGGAGTCTTGCTGCATCCCCCAGGCTGGAGTACAGTGAGGAGATCTCAGCTCACTGCAACCTCCACCTCCTGGGTTCAAGCAATTCTCTTGCCTCAGCCTCCCCAGTAGCTGGGATTACAGGCAGCGTGCCACCATGCCTGGCTAATTTTTGTATTTTTGGTAGAGATGAGGTTTCGCCATGTCTCCCAGGCTGGTCTCAAACTCCTGACCTCAAGTGATCTTCCCACCTTGGCTGCCCAAAGCGCTAGGATTACAGGCCTGAGCCACTGCACCCAGCCTGGAGCTTACTACTACTTCTAACTAAATTCACTGTGTAAGAGAGAAATAATTTTGTACCTCTACTGCCTTTCTTATTAGAAGAAGCTCAAATAGCTTCTTTAAGTGCTGCCTTGACACTCCTAGGTAAGCAAACAACAACTATTTCTTCTCATTTGATAAATGACAATCACAGATCAATGGTAAAGTTTAGAGCAAAACTTAGATGTTCCTATTTCTGGTAAGCCGTGGATGTGTAAGTTTCTGTGAACAGCAAGATGACGTCTGACACACCATGATTCTGACCTGCTCTACTCAGAATTTGGTTTGTTGAATTTTTTCCTGTCTTTTGTTGTCTACCTGGTTTCTTAACACTTACATTTTAGTATTTGAACACCACAACATTTTCTGTTGTTTTAAAGTAATACCTCTTGGCTGAACACAGTGGCTCACCTCTGGTAATCCCATCAGTTTGGGAGGCCGACATGAAAGGATCACTTGACTCCAGGAGTTCTAGACCAGCCTGGGCAACACAGCAAAACTCCATCTCTACAAAAAATACAAAAATTAGCCGAGCATAGTGGCACGTGACTGTAGTTCCAGCTACTTGGGAGGCTGAGGTGGTAGGACCACCTGAGCCCAGGAGACTGAGGCTGTGGTGAACTGTGATCGTGCCACTGCACTCCAGCCTGGGTGAGACCTTGTCTCAAAAAAAATAAAGTAAAATAGTACCTCAGTCTAGGGCTGGTCCTCCTCAAATATCTTTTCCATTTTTCTCTGATGGACATTGTACAAAAAACATTACATAAGGAATTGGAAATTTAGTGCATGTGATTTTTTTCAGGGCAAGTATTTATGATAAATACTAACCAAACAACAGAACTCTTCTAGGTAACTAATTAGGTAAAAAAAAAAAATGACCAGAAAGACGTTTCCGGAAGAAAGTTTTTTTTTTTTTCCTTTAAAATAAGCATGACTGAAGTTAAGTTCAATTTAGTCCTCTTAAATGTACACATAAAGTATTAAATCATTCAGTGGAAACTAGCCTTTTCCCAGGTAGTAGAAGACATTTTTAGAAGTGGGATTTTAAAATATTGTCCTAGCAGTAATTCAGCATCAGATTATTAGAAAATGAAAATGTGCTAACTGGCTAATGAAATTTTGAAGTCCTATAGTACTTCGAGTCACACTGTTTATTTTGAATGCACTTCTAAAATATTCCCTCCACGCTCGCAAAAATGAACATGTGGAATTGTTCATATTTGTTCCTTCACACTCACAAAAATGAACATGGGAAATTATCTGTTTAATTTATAATAAAATTATAATTATAAAAATACACAATTTTATTATAATATATAATTTTACATAATTGAAATTATAAAATTTCAATTACATTTTAAATATATCACAACCAAACTTTTAGATAAATCTCCTTTACAGACTGCTTTAACAAAAAAGACTAAGTTAATCAAGAGGAGCTCTAGAAAGTGATGAATTAAATTTGACTTTAGTGTAATTTTTATGTATTCAACATGTTTTCACTTATTCATTCTCTTGCTCTAAAAATATTCCTTGAGCATACCAGAAAGTATATAATATGTGATGAATTCGGACATGAACATAATAAAGTCCTGCTAAGTGGGAGTCCCACATTTAGTGGGAAAGTCAGATGAGTATATAGATCATTACAGTGTAGGTAAGTGTTGCAGGAAAGGCACACAGAGGTCACTGTGAGAACATAGAAGGAGCATGTAACTGAAAGTGGGGAAGCTTCAGAGAAGCAACATTACTTGTGTCTTAACAGATGAATGAAAAACATTCCATTGTGTATATAGTCCACATTTTCTTTATCCATTCATGTGTTGTTGGACACTTTTGAATGTTCTCAACACAAACAAATAATAAATGTATGAGGCGGTGGGTAAGCTAACTACCCTGAATTGATCATTATACAGCATAGACTACATCGAGACATCACATCGTACCCCATAAATATGTACAATTATAATGTGTCAATTAAAATTTTTTTAATTTTTAAAGATGGAGAAAAAAAAGATAAGTGAGTCTGCTGAGTACACAAGCTACAATGAGGCTTTCTCGAATGCAGGTGCAACTAGGCACTAAAAAGTCTGGCTTGTGAGGAAAACTGCAAATTCTTTCATTTGGCCTGAGCCTGGGTAGCCTATAGAGGGAGGGGGAGCTTCCAGGGTGGGCAGGGGCCAGACGTGAAGGGTCTTAGGTGTTTTCACAGCCACTTTGGAAAGCAATAGAAACAGTTGAAGAATCTTAAGCAGGATAATGGCATGGTCAGATTTAAATTATAGAAAGCATACCCTGATAGTAATGTGGAAAAAAAAAAAAAAAAAAACTGCCAGGGACATTTATTTCATTACTGGCAAAGAAGCCAGTTAAGAGGCTATTGGGAATAATCCAAGTAAGAGATGATGAGAAATGCAAGGTCAAGAAGACAATATATCCAGTGAAATGTCTTCAGATACATACATTAAATCCCTTTCCACATATATAAATTCTCTAAAGTGTTTGTATGAATCACATCAAATTGTTTTGCAGATGAACAATTTTGCAAAAGTGAATTTCTAATCCGAAATACAACCACACATCATTAATAGAAGCAGTTGCTACTCGTATTTGCTTAATTTTTCTTTCACTTTAGAGTATCATCCTGCATACCTATTTGTTTCTGCTCATGTCTCTAACTCTTCCAATTTATTATACAATCAAATCTGAATCTTGCCTTCTCAAGTATATCCCATCCCCTCCCAGGTTATTTTAGAAACTTAAAAGCATTATTCATGGGCCAAAGGAAATCTCTAGAATAAAAATTAGTGAGAGAAAGAGTTGATAGAAAAAGTGACAAGTGACAATGATAGACACTTAGGATAATACGCTGGTACTTCCACAATGACTGAAGATATTCTAGAATACAATGCACTAGTTCTATATTAGACGGAGCTACTCAGAAAATCATTTATTAAAAACACCCCAATCTTGGGCCAAAAATAAAGTGAAAATGAGCCCAATTTCAACGCTTAGATGAAGTTGTATTGAAAAAGAAAAGCCGAGCTCTTTGTGATCTCCACCACAGTTGAACTCCATTTTAGTGGGGGTAAAACTCAACAAGAGTGCTCAATTTATAGGAAAAAAGAGGCTATGCCTGGTTATGTTATCATGACCTAGGTGCACTGAGGGCCTGTTTTACAGACTGGATGAGGAAGGCTCTCCATCCAGACACCCCTGGATGCAGAGTGCTGCTCAGCCACTTTATGGCTTTGGGAACTTGGACACTACATAGCTTATCTAAGGCTAAATTTCTTCATCTGTAGCAGAGTTTCTCAACCTCGGCACTGTTGACATTTTGGGTTGGATAATTCTTATTATGGGGCATAATCTGGAAGATAATCCCAGGTGAAGTCTATGCAGGAGATTCTCAGCATATTTCCTCTAGCATGACATAAAGCTCCTGCCTGCATTCAGCCTCACCTCCACGGGATGACTGCTACACACACAGTTCCATGAAAACAAGCCAAATTTTGCAGGTAGACACCCTGCATCCAGACTACATGTGTGCAATAAAGAACAATATTTCCCAAAAAAGTAAAGTCTGCAAGAATGGCAGTCTGGCCAAAACAAAAGGAATTCATATTACAAAGAGAACTTCTAGGTTTTTACTCTAAAACATCGGCATTCAAGCCACTTTACAATTTTCCCTAAGAATAGTAGGGTGGATTATTTATATTTGTGTAACCAAAGAGTCTATTTATTTTTGTCCACACAAAAAAGCACAGTCCAAATTCAAGTTTTTCTCTTTTACTAGACAGAAACTGCTTGTCAGCAGGTTTGAAATCAGAGTTTGCCAGAGCTTCTAGTCATCAACTTTTCTCTGTGTTCATTTGGTTCATTGGTTGATTTTTAGGAACTGATTTCTCATCCAGGCATCTGGCTACAAATGTGAATTTTATCTTTTTTGGCTTATTTATAAATTATGTATTCATTTATTCACTTATTTATTTTAATTAACAAAAATTGTGTCTATTTATCATGTACAATATGATGTTTTAAAATACGTATACACTATGGTAAGCTAAATCAAGCTAATTAACACATGCATTACTTCACACACTTATTTTTTGTGGTGAAAGCACAAAATCTATTCACTTAGCAATTTTCAAGAATGCAATCCGTTAACTACAGTCACTATATTGTACAACAGAACTCTGGAACTTAATCCTCCCTAATTGCAATTTTGTGTTCTTTGTCCAATATCTCCCCAATCCCCACCCCGCTCCACTCCCTGCACCAGCTCCTGGTAATCACCACTCTACTCTCTACTTCTGAGTTCAACATTTTTAGATTTCACATATAAGTAAGATCATGCAGTATTTGTCTTTCTGTGACTGGCTTGTTTTACTTAACATAATCCTCTATGTTCATCCATGTTATCGCAAATGACAGTATTCCCTTCTTTATTAAGGCTGAATAGTACTCCATTGTGTATACATACCACATTTTCTTTATCCATTCATCCCTTGATGGATACTTAGATTGACTTTATATCTTTGTTTTTTTGTTTTTTGTTTTTTGTTTTTTTTTTTTTTGAGACGGAGTCTCGCTCTGTCGCCCAGGCTGGAGTGCAGTGGCACGATCTCGGCTCACTGCAAGCTCCGCCTCCCGGGTTCACGCCATTCTCCTGCCTCAGCCTCCCGAGCAGCTGGGACTACAGGCGCCCGCCACCACGCCCGGCTAATTTTTTGCATTTTTAGTAGAGACGGGGTTTCACCGTGTTAGCCAGGATGGTCTCGATCTCCTGACCTCGTGATCCGCCCGCCTCAGCCTCCCAAAGTGCTGGGATTACAGGCACGAGCCACCGCGCCCGGCCGACTTTATATCTTAACTATCGTGATTAATGCTGCAGTGAACAGGGGAATGCAGATGTATCTTTGACATACTGATTTCATTTCCTTTGGATACATACCTACTAGTGGGATTGCTGGATCATAAGATGGTTCTATTTTTAATTTTCTGAGGAGCCCCTCTACTCCTTTCCATAATGGCTGTACTAATTTACATTCCCACCAAAATGTGCCAGTCTTCCCTTTTCTCCACATCTTTGTCAACACTTGTTAGGTTTCATCTTTTTGACAGTAGCCATCTAGCAGGTGTGAGGTGATATCTTGTTTTAATTTACATTTCCCTGATGATTAGTGATATTTAGCTTTTTTATATATACCTGTTGGCCATGTTTACTTCTGTTGAGATGTGTCTATTCGGGTCCTTTACCCATTTTTAATCAAGTTATTTGTTATCTCACTATTATTTGTATTCCTTATGTATTTTGAATATTAACACCTTGCCCGACATATGGTTTGCAAATATTTTCTCCCATTTCTTATAGTTTCCTCTACTGTGCAGAGCTTTTCATTTGACGTAATCACATTTGTCTTTTTTTTTTTTGGCTTTTGTTGCCTATGCTTTTGAGGTCACATACAAAAAAATCATTGCCCAGACCAATGTAATGGATTTTTCTTTCTATGTTTTCTTCTGGTAGTTTTATAGTTTCAGCTCTTACATTTAAGTCTTTTATTCACTTTGAATTGACTTTTGTGTATCTTGAGAGACAGGGGATCTAATTTCATTCTTCTGCATGTTGATATCCAGCTTTCCCAACACCGTTTATTAAAGAAAATGTCTTTCTCCATTATGTGTTCTTGGCACTTCTGTTAAAAATCAATTGACCGTAAGTTTGTGAATTCATTTCAGGGTTCTCTATTCTATTCTATTGGTCTTTGTGTCTGTTTTTATGCCAGTACCATGTTATTTTGATTACCATGATTTTGTAGTATACTGTGAAGTCAGGTAATATGATGCCTCCAGCTTAGTTCTTTTTGCACAAGATTGTTTTGGCTATTTGGGGTCTTTTGTGATTTCATATAAATTTTAGGATAGTTTTTTTCTATTTCTATGAAAAAAATGTCATTGGAATTTTGATAGGGATTGAATCTGTAGGTCACTTTGGGTAGCATGGACATTTTAATAATATTACTTCTTGCAATCCATAATTATGGGGTTTCTTACCATTTATTTGTGTTCTTCAGTTTCTTTCATCCATGTTTTATAATTTTCAGTGTACAGGTCTTTCACTTTCAGAGGGAAACTTATTCCTAAGTATCTTACTTTTTTGTAGCTGTTGTAAATGGGATTGTTTTCTTGATTTCCTTCTTGGATAGAAACACCATGGGGTTTTCTATGTTTTTTTAAATAACAAAATGTCTAGTTGTTTAATAAAATGTTTTTAGAAACTTAACAATATAATTTTCAAAACCAAAGAATAAAAATATTAAATATATCACCTTATGGCACAGGACAACATAAATTTATTTCTGCAACACAGCAGGCAGACTTTTGTGCTAGAAACAGAGTGGAGAAAAACCTAAATTAAAGCAAAAAGTCAGGAAATGGGTGTTCATAAATTTCTGGTTAACTCAGGCTCATGGTTTATTGTAAGAAACAAGGGCCTTTGGACATCAGATTTTGTTTATAAAAATAAAAACTTCCTCAAATATCAGATATTTTCACCTTAGCAAATATTTTTTCCTTTGATAATTCATAATCCTGCTGTTCATTTGTCACATTTATGAATATCTGGTATGTTTATTTTATATCCTGCAAATTTAATAAATTTGTTTATTAGTTTTAACAGTTTTTTGGTGGATGTTTTAGGGGTTTCCCTATATAAGATTATGTCATCTGCAAATAAGGACAATTTAACTTCTTTGTTTTCAATTTGGATGCTTTTTATTTCTTCCTCTTGCCTAATTGCTCTCAATATGACTTCCAGTACTGTGTTGAATTAAAGTGGCAAGTGTGGGCATCCTTGTTTGTTCATTTTAAAATGTGAACTACTAATTTTAGCTTCTTTTTCAGTGTTGCAAGTTACAAAGCCAAATTTGATGGCCAGTTGAATGTAAGAAAGCTTCAAGCTCCACTGTTAGGTGATTTTTCCCTTACAGCCACATTTTTCCAACTTTTGCACAATTTGAAAATGTCTTGAGCTTTTATTTTCTTTTTTTTTCCAAGATGTGTTCTCACTAGGCTGTAGTACAGTGGTGCAATCACAGCTCACTGCAGCCTTGACCTCTCAATCTCAAGCAATCCTCCCACTTCAGCCTCCCAAGCAGCTGGGACTACAGGCATGTGTCACCACACCCAGCTAATTTTATTGTGTTGTTATTAGAGAAGAGTTTCACCATATTGCCTAGGCTGGTCTTGAATTCCTGGAGTCAAGCAATCCACCCACCTTGGCCTCTCAAAGTGTTAGAATTATAGGCATGAGCCATGGCGCCTGGCTGAGCTTTTATTTTACTAACACATCTTCTCTATCACTACCTTCCCTGGGAGAAAAGTTGAACTGCTGGAGCCACAAGATAACAAGACATATCTATATATAATTTTTTATCAAGAAAATATTTTATGATTTTTAGTACTTAGCAACACTCTCAATTTCCAGTGTAAATTAGTTTAACCATTGGGAAAGACAGTGTGGTGATTCCTCAAAGACCTAAAGACAGAAATACCATTCAATTCAGCAATCTCATTACCTGCTGTATACCCAAAGGAATAGCTCTTTCTGTCATAAAAATACATGTGTGCATATGTTCATTGCAGCACTATTCACAATAGCAAAGACATGGAATCAACCTAAATGCCCATCAATTATAGAGTGGATACAGAAAATATGACACATATATACCATGGAATACTATGCAGCCACAAAAAAGAATGAATCATGTCCTTTGCAGGAACATGGATGAAGCTAGAGGCCATTTTCCTTAGCAAACTTAGCAAATGCAGGAACAGAAAACCAAATACCACGTGTTCTCACTTATAACTGGAAGCTAAATGATGAGAACACATAGACTACAGGGGAACAACACACATGGGGGCCTATCAGATGGTGAAAAGTGGGAAGAGGGAGAGGATCAGGAAAAATAATGGCTACTAAGCTTAAAAGCTGGGTGACAAAATAATCTGTACAACAAACCCGCATGACACAAGTTTGCCTACATAACAAACCTGCTCGTGTACCCTGAACTTAAAATAAAAGTTTAGTTAAAAGATAAATAAAATGCATTTTTAAATAGAATACATAAAATTTAAAGAAAAAAATAAAAATGACTTGTATGGTCAAAGATGCAGCTGAGGGATTCCAAAATTCCCCAAAAATGTTATCTGCTGTCAACTCTCAGTTTTTCAGATATCGCTTCAAGTGTTGGAACAAAAGAAGTCAGCCCAAGCCCACTTTAAAAAAGCTAAGCCACGTGGGAAGGAGGGAAGGTATTTAAACATCTCCTTTTGTGACATGCACCATTTCTCTAGGCAGAGCGACCTCAAACAGTTCCAATGTGGTGTAATCAATTATGTAAATAAAAATTCTCAGAGAAGTATGGCTATTCTTCTATCTGTACTCATCAAGAATAACAGTATTAATAATTATAACTCAAAGCCCACTCCAAACTTCACAAAACATTCTAATAGTCTCAGTAATTTTAATAGTCTCAAGGCCAAGTAACCCTTGCCTCCTTCCTTATTCTCATAACCATGTGCTGATTTTGCCAAAAATGGAAATGCTTCTTTTCCAACGAATCTAGCCAATGCCCACCTTTGTGTATGAGGAATCAGCTGCCAACATGGTAGGAATTTATGGGTACAAAGAAAAGTATCTTCTTCCAAATCTTTCTGGTACCCCCGTCCCAGGAATTTAGGTTCTATTTCTTTGGCATAAGGGGTTTCTTCATAAACAAAGTGATAATAATAATAGGTACTCACTCTCTGCCAACAAGACAGAGTTGAGATGCATTCAAAGGAGCAGAAACTTAATGGTGCTGGCCACTGGCAAGAGAAGGAAGAATAAAACCTAAAAAGAATGTGGAAAAATGTTAAAGAACAGCTTGCTCACTACACAATTTTTCCAAGGGCCAACTCATTTCAAACCCTATAATTTACCTCTTCTTACCTATTAAAGTGAACATTATGAGATTTTAAAAGGTCTTCTTAGATAAGTAAACAGGCCACTCACCATATTAACCATGTTCTACCCATCAGGTAAATTGCTAACTGTGCAATTCATTGCTTGTAAAGAATAATTAGAAAAATGTTATAGCCGCCAGCAGCATTAAGGGCTCGAATGTTCTGCAAAAGTAAACATACCACTTGAAATGCCATAGAGCTTGGAGTGTGTGCGATACCCTGATAAGGTTTCTAAATGTCATTATTTATTACTGTTTTTCTACAAGGCAATATAGGAACAAAAATCCTTTTATAAATACAAAGGTACTTTCTCTAGGGATTTGGTTCAGGATCTATTTCACATCGAAGCTTGATTCAGAGACAGATATTACTTCCTAAAATTTTCAAGTAACACGATCCCCAAATATTTTACTTTTCAATCAAAATCCAAAATAATATTGTGTGTAGGAGATAATAGACCCTAAGCCAATAAGATGGAGGATGTCAGTAGTAATGCGTATCAGCATTGTTCATCGACCAAGTGCTTTGTCATCGTATCTGTGGCAGAGACTTTAGTTATTTCTAATATTCATGATATCCTTCTTATATAGTATTAACAAAATAATAAGTATTTTTAACAGAGGTCATAACTGCCCAGCAGAAGGTTATGTTTTTAAGACTGCACTTGCAACAAAAGTATGGGAACCTGGCTAACTTCTAGACATGGCAGCATGAATGGAAACGAGGTGTACAACTCTAGGTCTGGTCCTTAAAGGAAAAGCCACACCACTCACTTCCCCTCATCCAGTTCCCACTGACTTGGATTTGGAAATACTCATCGTAGGTCCCATGTGGAAGCTGAATGTTTAAAACTGTCATGCAATAAGATAGGAGCCTGGACTCTGAGGAAGGTACACCCACCATACCAAGCCTGAACTTCTCATTAGGACTTTTGCATTACAAAGAAATCAACTTTAATCTTGCTTCAGTGGCAATTATTTTGGATCTGCCATTAGCATCAACCCAAATCTCTCAATCCATCTTCACAGCAATCCTAAAAGGAAAATGCTATTTTCCGTCTTACAAATCAGGAAAAATTTTAAAGCCTGTTCTCCTGCCAGAACCATTAGCTGACAACCCTAAGTTGAAAACTCAAAACCAACTTTCCGCTATACCATTGAAACCCTTACCAGGCTGAGACAGTGTAACTCTAGGCCTAGGTTTTTATGACCTGGGAACATCTGTGTTTCTCTCGTTTCAGCCTCAATTTTGTTACCTGTAAAGTCTTGTGCCACGCTAGGAATTTAAAGTAAAATAGGATTAATACAGAAATTTTATCATTCTTACATATTATCATTCTTACAAAAGTCTGAAAGCTCTGAAATTGCTGCCACTGGATTTTGGGTTTTAAGGCCACATCAACCTTAGATGTCGTCAGGAAATCCCTGCTTCTACTGTGAACCCCGCCGCCACCAAAACTTCACATCCATGGAGAGGATTTGAAGCCAGCGTCCACCTAGAACTGCAGCCGCAAAAGAAGCTGGGATGTGTCATTTTTACTCTTTCAACTCCTTCATACATGGGGAGATATACAGGGAAATGAGGATGAATGCACAGAGAGGATTGGAAAAGACAATCTCTAAGAATCCTGGCCCCACTTCTTACTTGCTGTGTGTCCTTGAGTAAATAACTTAACCTATCTGTGCCTCAATTTCCTCATCTAAAAATAAGGATAGTGGTGGTGTGCTCCTATAGTCCCAGCTTCTTGGGAGGCTGAGGTGGGAAGATCACTTGAGCCTGGGAGGTCAAGACTGCAGTGAGCTGTGATCGTGCCACTGCACTCCAGCCTGGGTGACAGAGTGAGAACTTGTCTCAAAAATAAATAAATAAGGATAATAATAGTACCTACTGCACAGGGTTGTGGTGAAGATTAAAGGAGCATGAAAATATGTGAAGTGTTTAGACAGTGAATGGCACATAGTATTACAAGTGTTATCTATTATAATTATTATCATTAACATTATTAAGCCTCTTCTAATTCCAAAATTCTCTTTGTTTTCTAGTGAGTCCAAAGGGTGAAGTACATAGGCGATGCACTTCAAACAACGTGAGCTAAAAGAATAAATGGCTAGTGCCACATTTACCTTCAACTGAAGAAATTGTAAGAACAATCACCCGGCATCTCCTGGGGTGTCATCTGCATGGGGAATTCTTGACTGTCGCAGGAAGTCTGTGACTTATCTCTCTTTATTTATTACCTTCTCGATGCTGAGATTTCTAAGATCCTCTCAGATAAAATTCACTCTCATTTTTCTGGTTATTTTTTAAATAAAATTGTGGCAGAGACTGATAATTTTCAAGCACTAGATATTCTCTCTCTCTTTCTCTTGGTGATAAATTCCCCTGGTATTGTGGCTGGATACATGGTTGTTTAGAATAAACACTGCATTTCAGCCTCCCCTGCAGCTAAGGTGAACATGGGACTAAGTTTTGGCCAGTGGGGCTGAAGAAAAGTGAAATGTCATTTTGTCCTTCAACAAAAGGTTGTATCTTTTCCTTCCCTTTCTCTGTTGATATACTGCAGCCCACTAATACTGTCTTACAAGGGACAAATGGTAAATATTCAGAAATTTAGTAAGCCAGTTGTTAAACTGTTGGTAGTTTCACATCAGCCATGGCAGGAGTATTTAAAACATAAGAATCTGCAAACACTACAAATCTGGGCTTTTAAAAAATGTTCCTGATTGTGTTGGTTTTTTTTTTTTTTTTTTTTAACAGAGTCTGTTTACCAGTACACCATTGTCTGTGCCCTCCTAGAACTGAGACTCTTAAGTGAGATGTAGGCATCCAGGTGATGAGGGCAGCTTGTACAATTTGCAAAGCGAGGAGGAACCTGGGCTCCCAGTGCACAGCAGAGCGACCATGCCAGCCTGGACTCTCCATGTGTGAGATGTAAGTTTCTATCTAACCCAGTGGTCTTCAATGGGGACAATTTTGCCCTCTAGGGAGACTTTGAAAATGTCAGGAGACATTTTTGGTTGTCAAAACCAGAGAGTGTGGTTGTTACTTGTATCTGTTATCACCTCTGGAGGGTATCATTGCTTCTGGAGGGTATAGCAGCTACATTCATTGCTTCAGGAGGGTATAGCAGCTACATACTTACATATATATGTATATATATACACACACACATATATACATATATATGGCTGTATTTAATAATAATGTATTAATACATTATTTAATAATGTGTGGCTGTATGTAATAATATATGGCTGTATTTAAAATAAAATTGGAAATAACTCACTTATATGATGGTGTTTCTTAGCATTTTCCTACCTTTAAAGCATTTATTCCTTGAAATCTCTGAGGCACTCTTCGGGGCAGTGCTAGAGTTTATTTACCAAGTGACTCGAGGGGTCCAAAGAGTTACTGCTCCTTCAGAAAATGAGTAACTCACTCCTGCCTACCACCTAATATTGGGAGCAAGAGGTGAGGGTGTTAATATTTCCCCTCCAAGAAAGTGATGGACTTCAATTGCTCCCTGTAATTTCCTTCTGAAATTATGCTGAGGATGCTATTGAACTTGACCAACAGAGTTTCTCTGGTAACAAAGAAATGAAAATAAATTTTGCAGAAATGTCCACTGGGGAAATACAAATGTTGACAAAGGAAGCAGAAATTTTAGCTATCCACGGATATTCTGTTGAAAAAAAATGAAAATGCATATTCTATGAGACCAGAGTAAGCCCGAGAAAGAGAAAGCAATAGTACTCTCTAGTTTTTATGTAGGGGAAATGGACAGAGTTCTGATCTCTCCAAGGTAAATGAATTATTTTAGCATTAAGGATAAACGAAAGTTTATCTCTCAGTTATTTTTATAATGTATAGTATAAATAATAAACTTATAATATAAATTATATATATGTATGTATATGTTTGTTCATACCTACTGATGAATTCTAAAATTTTAAATGTAATTACAATAAAAAATCAATTTAACCTGATTTGTGTCTCTGATATTTTACCTAATCAAAGGATCATACTTTTGCACATAACAATAACTTTTCTTTCCAGCATTCCAGATTCACCCTATAATTCTTATCTCTTAAGTCTGTCTGATTTTTTCTTTCTTCACCCCTTTCTTTCTTTCCCTCTAAAATTCATTCAGGTTTATGACTTTGTCTACCCCTTACCTCTTGAACAAAATGACTCCTGAGGGTTCTCCTTTGGATTCATTCTGACATTTTATAAACACATTATTTGTGTTCTACCAGATACTCAAAATTATCAAGAATGCTCCCCCTCAAAAAATGTTTAGTATTTATCATCATGATCATTTTTAACCAGAAAACTTTTTTCCCAGCCCCTCAATTCAAATAATTTACCAATTCATCAGGTTTTAATACTATCATTAATCTAATCACCACCAAACATTTATTTATTGAATACATTCTATATGCAAATGCTCTGGAGGAAACAAAAATGAATCAGACAGACCCTCCTCTAAAGAGACTTACTCTCTGGTAAGGGAATATAGACATTTTAAAGAAATAATATATTATTTATATTATGTTTCAAGAGGAAGTTGTTATGGTTTAATAAATCAGCATAATATTAAAGCAACACATGTGAGTCCATTATCCCTATCATATATTCATATATCCTCCTTTTACAGCTGAGTTCTTTTGTTGAAAGAGTTATTCATTCCTCATCTCTGTAAGTGGCTTCATCTATGGAGACAAACCAAGCACTACTACCGGGAAATCCCGAATTAGGGCTGCTGTTCTGCCATCCTGAAGCCCAATGGGTGTGATTGGAATGCCTTGGCCACTCAGAATCTTGCATTAAAATATAACTGGAGAGACTGATGGTGGGAGAAAAGTGTCCATGGATACAGCCTAGAGCCTCATAAAGAAGCACCCCTCCAACACTCTGATGCATCCCCCAAGGGTGCTGACTGTTTAAGGCACATCCTCGGCTCCCTCACCGCTATTTGCATTGCCAAACCCACCTCCAGAATACCAGCTTATATTTGTGTCAGTTCCTTCTAGGCCTTCTGCAGGCTGTGTGGCTCAGTCTCCACCCCCAAATGAAAGCCTCTGTCGCTTCCTGGTTATACATACTGGAGAACATGGAATCAGATTTGTAAATTTAAAATGACATTATAGGCTGGGCACAGTGGCTCATGCCTGTAATCTCAGCACTTTGGGAGGCCAAGGCAGGCAGATCACCTGAGGTCAGGAGTTCAAGACCAGCCTGGCCAACATGGTGAAACCCTGTCTCTACTAAAAATACAAAAATTAGCCGGGCATGGTGGCATACACCTGTAATCCCAGCTACTTGGGAGGTTCAGGCAGGAGATTCACTTGAACCTGGTAGGCAGAGGTTGCAGTGAGCCAAGATCATGCCACTACACTCCAGCCTGGGCAACAGAGCAAGACTCTGTCTCGAAAAATAAATTAAAATAACATTATAAAGTTTTATCAAGTGAGCATTATATTAATAACTTGACATGTAGTGTAATTGTTCTGTAGTATGCAGTTACATCTGAGATCAATAACATCTATATTTTACAAATATTCACAAAATTTGCTCAGATGGCTAACTTCTTTTAAGACCTTGTTTTCTTCACTTCTTGTCTTTAGATTCTCCTCCATAATCAAGAGTATGACTGACCATGTGAACCTAAAGCCTACTCTGACAGTCTTGTATTTCTGAACTAAGAAATGTACACCTCAGTCACAATAGCTTTCCTCAAACTGTGAAGAGTGAAATATGCCTTACTTCCCTAGAATGGAAAAAATCACTACCCTCCAGGTCCCCACAAAATGTTCAGACTATCTTACTTTTATGGCACCACTTTACCTTTCCAGCGTTTTACATGAGAAAAAAGTTTTCTATTGCTGTAAGAAAAAAACTCTTGGTGTTTTCCTTTTCATTTTTGCATTAATTTGGAATCCTAATTGGAATTTAAAAGAAGAATATAGTTTCAATATTGAAAATTGGATTCCAAATATGGCCACTGAAAAGGTCTGGGAATTCAAGAGTAGCCCCACGTGTCAAGCCTGGATGTGGGTCAGAATCATCTAGGGGGCTGGTTAAACTGAGCCTCGTCCTCATAGGTTCTGACTCAGTAGATTCAGGGACTGATCCAGCATCTGTCTGATAAAGGATGGTGTCCCAGTACATACTCAGATGGCACAGTGAGAGAAGAATCAGAAGAATCATATATATTACATATATATATATAAATGAACAAAGATGACAAAGATTTATGTTCTTGGGAAGTTAACCAGTGGTTCAAGCCACTCACATTCAAATAGTACCCACGGTGAAAGATCACCAGCCAGTAGGATGAGTCATCTGAATAGTGTGCACTGTAAACACGTCTTTATCTGCTCCTGGAATCACTGCAATTCCATTTCCCAATTTAAATAAGGAATGAGGTCTTCATGCAGAGGTAAGAATACCCTCTTGCTATAGACCAAATGGGTTCTCCCTAAATTTGTATGTTGAAACCCTAATCCCCAATGTGATAGTATTCGGAGGTGGGATTTTAGGGGGTTTAGCTGAGGTCATGAAGGTAGAGTCTTCAGGATGGGATTAGTACCCTTATAAAAAGAGAACAGAGAGCTAGCTCACTCTCTCCACCACGGGAGAACATGGTAAGAAGGTAGACACCTCTAACCAGGAAGAGGGTTCTTACCAGAACCTGACCATGTGGGCACGCTGATCTCTGACTTCCAGGCTTTAGAACTGGGAGAAATAAATGTTTCTTGTTTAAGCCACCCAGTCTATGGTATCTTGTGATAATATCCCAAAATAACTAAGGCACCCCTGATTGTGTCAGGGGTCTGCGTGAACCAAATGGCCAAACTCAAACTGGGCAGTTGAGTTTAATAAAGGAATTATTTACAAAGGAATGGTCAAGATCTAGGGTGGTTACAAGGGATGGTGGTGAACAAAGGAACAAAATAACAAAGGAGAGCATGGAACTAGATCTGTAGGGACAGGGCAGAGAGAGGTATTAAAAAGGCCACCTAGTAAGAACCATGGCTTTCAGTAGAGAAATGCTACTCTCTGCTAAAGGAGGGAGCCAAGGGGATCAAATCTATCTCATTCTTTGCAGAGATTCTAATCCAAAAAGACTGAGATTCAATCATTAGCAAATATTTATATAGCACCAACTAGAGGCCAGGCACTGTTCTAGGTGTGTGGAATACATTAATGAACAAAGATGACAAAGATTTATGTTCTTGGGAAGCTAAATTCTTGTGAGTACAATTCATGTAAAAGTAAATGAATTCTATTATATGGTAGAGGGCAATAAATGCTATAGAAAAAAGTGGACGGGCCAGGCACGGTGGGTCATGCCTGTAATCCCAGCACTTTGGGAGACCAAGGCGGGTGGATCACCTGGAGTCAGGAGTTCAAGACCAGCCTGACCAACATGGTAAAACCCTATTTCTACAAAAAAATACTAAAAAATACCACTGGGGGAAGCTGAGGCCTCTTTCTGATCTCCACTGGCACCTTCCAGAAGCCGAACCCAGCAGGAAGCCAGAGGATGAGGGAGCTCATTGATGCAGTCCACACTCATCTCATGTCCTTATCTTCAGGCAACTCCTTCATTTAATTACCAGATTTCACTCTCTCTGGTCTATCCAAGGAAATTATTTCAATAACTCTCCCATAATTTTTTTTACTCCCTCCTAGATCATCTCATGAGAAAACAAACATATAATTTTTCCAAGCATAAAAAATAATTTTTCTCTTGACTTACCTTCTCCCATCAGCTGCACACTACAGTTCTGTCCCTGTTTGCAGCAAAACTTTGTTGAAGAATTATCAATACCTGTTGCTTCCAATGCCTGTTCCCTTTGAATCCATTTCAATCAGGCTTTTGCCTCCCAAGTTTCCATTAAAGTTTCTTTTTCCAGCCGGGGGCTGTGGCTCATGCCTATAATCCCAGCACTTGAGGAGGCCAAGGCAGATGGATCATTTAAGGTCAGAAGTTCGAGACCAGCCTGGCCAACACAGTGAAACCCCATAAAAGTACAAAAATTAGCTGGGCGTGGTGATGCATGCTACTTGGGAGGCTGAGGCAGGAGAATCGCTTCAACCTGGGAGATGGAGGCTGTAGTGAGCTGAGATTGCACCACTATACGCCAGTCTAGAAGACAGAGTGAGACTCCATCTCAGAAGAATAAAAAATAACAACAAAACTTCTTTTTCCATTGGCCACTGCTTTTCATCTCATGTAACCTATTAGCAGCATTTCACACAGTTGATTACTCTCATTTTTGAAACACCTTTTTTCACTTGTCTTCCAGGACATTACATTCTCTTCCTTTCTTTTCAACATCATTGGTTGCTTCTCATCAGTCTCCTTTGCTGTTTCCTAGTCTTTTCCTTTGACTTTTAATGTTGCAATCACCCAGGACTCAATCTTTAGTCTTCTTTTCTTCTCTGCATTTGTTCCCTTGGAGATTCTATCCAGCTTATGGTGTTCAATGCCATCTGTATGCTGACAGTTCCCACATTTAAATTTCTCACCAGACTCCTCTTCCTAACTCCAGACTCGTATATATGACTGTGTTATAGGCATCTCCACTTGGCTACTAGGCATCTCAATCTCAATATACCCCATATTGAACTTCTGATCTTCATTCTCTCAAACCTGGCACAGCATTCCATGTCTCC